>NC_000019.10:47865874-48490874 GCF_000001405.40 Homo sapiens
GTAATCTCGGCTCACTGCAACCTCCACCTCCCGGGTTCACGCCATTCTCCTGTCTCAGCCTCCCTAGTAGCTGGGACTACAGGCGCCCGCCACCACGCCCGCTAATTTTTTGTATTTTTAGTAGAGACGGGGTTTCACCGTGTTAGCCAGGATGGTCACGATCTCCTGACCTTGTGATCCACCCGCCTCAGCCTCCCAAAGTGCTGGGATTACAGGCATAAGCCACCAAGCCTGGCATTTTTGTATATTTTGTAGAGACAGGGTTTCACCATGTTTTCCAGGCTGGTTTTGAACTCCTGATCTCATGTGATCCTCCTGCCTCAGCCTCTCAAAGTGCTGGGATTACAAAGTGTGTGAGCCACTGTGCCAGGCCAGAACCTCTTGCTTTAACACCCTGCTTCATCCTAGGTCTCTGGATCTAGTTTCTGATTTTCTTTTTTTTTTTTCGAGATGGAGTTTTGCTCTTTTTGCCCAGGCTGGAGTGCAATGGCACGGTCTAGGCTCACTGCAGCCTCCACCTCCTGGGTTGAAGTGATTCTCCTGCCTCAGCCTCCCGAGTAGCTTGGATTACAGGCGCCTGCCACCACGCCCAGCTCATTTTTTTTTTTTGTAATTTTAGTAGAGCAGGGTTTCACCATGTTGGCCAGACTGGTCTCGAACTCCTGACCTCACCTGACCTCAGGTGATTTGCCCGCCTCGGCCTCCCAAAGTAGTGGGATTACAGGCGTGAGCCACCGCACCTGGCCTGATTTTTTTCTTTTTTTCTTTTTTTGAGATGGGGTCTCACTCTGTCACCCAGGCTGGTGTACAGTGGTGTGATCATAGCTCACTGCAACCCTGAACTCTTAGGCTCAAGCAGTCTTCTCATCCCAGCCTCCCTAGTGGCTGTGCCTACAGCCATGTGCCACCAAGCCAGGCTAATTTTTAATTTTTTTCCTGTAGAGATGGGGTCTTGCTATGTTGCCTGGGTTGGTCTCGAACTCCTGGGCTCAAGCTATCCTCCCATCTAGCTTCCTAAAGCATTGGGATTACAGGTTTGAGCCACAGCACCTGGCCTGCCCCATCTCTTAAAAAAAAAAAAAAATAGTGAGGTTGGTGGGGTGGGGCACCAGTATGTTTTAAAGCTCTGAGGCAATTCCAGTGTGCAAAGCTTGAGTACTGCTGTTCTCAGTCAAATCCCTGCCATGGAGTAGACAGACTCCTGGGAGTTGATGCCTAACTGTCATTATTAAGAAGACACCAAAGCCAGCTGTGGTGGCTCATGCCTGGCATCCCAGCACTTTGGGAGGCCGAGGTGGGTGGATCACCTAAGTTCAGGAGTTTGAGACCAGCCTGGCCAACATGATGAAACCCCCTCTCTACTAAAAATAAAAAAATTAGCAGAGCATGATGGCGGGTGCCTGTAATCCCAGCTACTCAGGAGGCTGAGGCATGAGAATCGCTTGAACTGGGGAGGTGGAGGCTGCAGTGAGCCAAGATTGCGCCACTGCGCTCCAGCCTGGGTGACAGAGCGAGACTGTCTCAAAAACAAACAAACAAACAAACAAAACTATTTTAGTAAAAGAAAACTCAAAATTGCCTTATCTGATTGTCCCTTTCACAGAAATCCACCTAGATAAAATCAAATGCCATAAAGAGAAAGATGTGAATGGTCATTATTTTATTTATTATTTATTTATTTATTTTTGAGATGGAGTTTTGCTGTTGTTGCCCAGGCTGGAGTGCAGTGGCTTGATCTTGGCTCACCGCAACCTCCACCTCCCGGTTCAAGTGATTCTCCTGCCTCCGCCTCTCGAGTAGCTGAGATTACAGGCATGAGCCACCATGCCCAGCTAATTTTTGTATTTTCAGTAGAGACGGGGTTTCTCCATGTTGGTCAGGCTGGTCTCCAACTCCCGACCTCAGGTTATCTGCCTGCCTCGGCTCCCAAAGTGCTGGGATTACAGGCATGAGCCACTGTGCCCAGCCTGCGAATGGTCATTATTTTTATACCAAATAAATATAGTAGCCACCAGTAAATTCATTAGTTAAAAAGGGTTTTCAGCTGGGCATGGTGGTTCACGCCTGCAATCCCAGCACTTTGGGAGGCCTAGGTGGGTGGATTACGAGGTCGGGAGATCAAGACCATCCTGGCTAACACGGTGAAACCCCGTCTCTACTAAAAATGCAAAAAATTAGCCAGGCATGGTGGCGGGCGCCTGTAGTCCCAGCTACTTGGGAGGCTGAAGGAGGAGAATGGCGTGAACCCGGGAGGTGGAGGTTGCAGTGAGCCGAGATTGTGCCACTTCACTCCAGCCTGGGTGACAGAAATTCTGTCTTAAAAAAAAAAAAGGGTTTTCAAGGCCAGGTAAGGAGGTGGCTCACGCTTTCTAATCTCGGGAAGCCGAGGTGGAAGGATGGACTGAACCCAGAAGTTCGAGACTGGCCTGGGCAACATAGTAAGACCCCGTCTCTACAAAAAATTAAAAATTTGGCCAGGTGTGGTGGCACTACCTGTGGTCTCAGCTACTTGGAAGGCTGAGGCAGGAGGGAGGATCACTTGAGCCTGGGAGGTGGAAGCTGCAGTGAGCTGTGGTGGTAGCACTGCACTCCAGACTGGATGACACAGCAAGACCCCGTCTCAAAAAAAATTTTTTTCCAGACTCCCATTTTAACAGACTGTTTCTGCCGGGTGCAGTGGCTCACGCCTGTATTCACAACACTTTCGGAGGCCGAGGAGGGTGGATCACTTAAGGTCAGGGGTTTGAGACCAGCCTGGCCAACATGGTGAAAACCCGTCTCTACTAAAAATACAAAAATTAGCCTGGCATGGTGGCTGGCGCCTGTAGTCCCAGTTACTCAGGAGGCTGAGGCAGGAGGATCGCTTGAATCCGGGAGGCAGAGGTTGCAATGAGCTGAGATCGTGCCACTGCACTCCAGCTTGTACGACAGAGCAAGACTCCATCTCAAGAATATCCCCCAAAAACAACAAAAAACCTCAGACTGCTTCCCTGAAATTCTTCTAAAGAAAATGCCTGACAGGAAATAACTTAAGGATATTGTGGGTTTTTATTGTTGCTACTTCGAGATGCAGTTGTATCTCTAGAGACACAGTGGGGTCAGATCAGAGATGGGGTTCATTCAGGGGCACCCCCAGAACTGGGAGAGTCCTCGGCTTCCACATACCCGTTATGGTGCTCCGTGGCCACCAGGGGGCAACAATACGTCACTGTTCCAGCCCAGGGAGCGGCCAACCAGAGCTTGGACCTGGGGTGTCCCAGGAGCCACCTAGACCGGCTGGTTCCTTCCATACAAAAGACCTCCAGGTGGGATGGGGGAGAGACACCCCACATTCGAGTGGGAGAAAAACATGGAAAAGACACAGAGGCAACATTATATTTCTTTCCACTTGTGTAATTTAAGCTAAAGCCAAACAGCTAGAAAATATACTTTTTTTTTTTTTTTTTTTGGAGACAGTCTTGCTCTGTTGCTCAGGCTGGAGTGCAGTGATAGGATCATAACTCACTGCAAGCTCCGCCTCCCGGGTTCAAGCCATTCTCCTGCCTCAGCCTCCCAAGTAGCTGGGACTACAGGCACCCGCCACCACGCCTGGCTAATTTTTGTATTTTTAGTAGAGACAGGGTTTCACCATGTTGGCCAGGCTGGTCTCAAACTCCTGAGCTCAAGTGATCCACCTACCTTGGCCTCTCAAAGTGCTGGGATCATAGGCGTGAGCCACCTTACCCGGCCTTCTTGTTGTGGTTTTAATTTATATTTCTCTAGAGGCAAATGATGCAAAACATCGTTTCATGTGCTGATTTGCCATCCCTGTGTCCTCTTTGGTGAAATGTTTGTTCAAATCTTTTATTCTTTTTTTTCTTTTAAAAGATTATTTGTTTAATGCTGGGTTTTAGGAGTTCTTTATGTATTCTAGAAACAAGTCCATTGCCAGATATGAGATTTACAAGTACTTCCTCTCCATCTCTGGTTTGTCTTCTTGTTTTCTCATTTTGTTTTGAGATGGAGTCTCACTTTGTTGCCCAGGCTGGAATGTAGTGGCACAATCTCGGCTCACTGCAACCTCCGCCAACACATCTGGCTAATTTTTCTATTTTTAGTAGAGACAGGGTTTTACCATGTTGGCCAGACTTGTCTTGAACTCCTGAGCTCAAGTGATCCACCTGCCTCGGCCTCCGAAAGTGCTGGGATTACAGGCATGAGCCACCGCACCTGGCCTATCTTTTCATTCTCTTTATAGGTTCTTTGGTTCTTTTGCGGAACAAGACTTTAGTTTTTTTATTTTTTATTTTTGAGATGGAGTCTCCCTCTGTTGCCCAGGCTGGAGTGCAATGGTATGATCTCAGCTCACTGCAACCTCCATCTCCTAGGTTCAAGCAATTCTCATGCCTCAGCCTCCCGAGTAGCTGGGATTACAGACATGTGCCATCATGCCCAGCTAATTTTTGTATTTTTAGTAGAGACAGAGTTTCACTATGTTGGCCAGGCTGGTCTCAAACTCCTGACCTCAAGTGATCCGCCCTCCTTGGCCTCCCAAAGTGCTGGGATTACAGGTGTGAGCCACCGCACCTGGCCTTATGAAAGTTTTAGAAGCCTCCATAAACACCGTTTATTGTATATGGTTTAACAACACAGAGTAAGAGGATAAAATTAGATTGCAAATTACACTCCTTAAGATCAGAGCAATAATAAATTGTGGAGATACATGTGATGAAAAGAAATGGAACCTTAATTGCTCCTGTAATTTTATTTCTTATTTTTATTACTAATTTTTGCTCTAAAATCTGTCACTGTAGCTATTTCTTATTTTTATTAACAAACATTTAGACATCCTTTTAGGTAGTACGTACATTATTCTTGTAGCATTCTGTAAACGGGAAACATTGCAAACATTTAAAAAAGTCTGGGATCCCATGACTCAACTCACTGCAACCTTTGCATCCCTGGGCTTTGAACCCTGGTTCTCTGAACCCTAGTCACTTCTTTCTTTTTGAGACGGTCTCGCTCTGTCACCCAGGCTGGAGTGCAGTGGCGCGATCTTGGCTCATTGCAACCTCTGCCTCCTGAGTTCAAACGATTCTCCTACCTCAGCCTCCCGAGTAGCTGGGACTATAGGCGTGCACCACCATGCCCGGCTAATTTTTGTATTTTTAGTAGAGATAGGGTTTCATCATGTTGGCCAGGATGGTCTCGATCTCCTGACCCCGTGATCCTCCCCCACCCCCCCGACCTCCCAAAGTGCTGGGATTACAGACATGAGCCAATGCGCCTGGCTAATTTTTTTTGGTTTTTGTATTTTTAGTAGAGATGGGGTTTCACCGTGTTAGCCAGGATGGTCTCAGTCTCCTGACCTCGTGATCCGCCCGTCTCGGCCTCCCATAGTGCTGGGATTACAGGCATGAACCACCGTGCCTGGCCAACCCTGGTAACTTTTAACAAGGAAGGGATCAGAGATGCAGAGGTTTGATATTTAAGGTTTCAGGATAAAATAATAAGTCTTACACAATGACCCCAGTCAGGTACATGTACAAGGACAGGAGAATCAATGTCATTCTCCATATAAGATCCAGAGTGTTTTGGACGTTATTCCCATGGGAACAGCTCTCGAGGAAGATCTGCCATCTTCTCTTGGAACAATTTATCAAAGTCTTCAGCTTGGGCCACTGTGAAGTGATTTTTCCAGTCCCCAGATACACCTGGAAACAAGAAGCAGAAACTCAGGTCAGACCACACATCTCCTTGACCTGTCTCCACCAGGCACCTGACATGGACATTGTAGCTAACATAGCAGAATGGCCGATGGTTCGTGGTGGGCCTTTATCCTGCCTGGTCACATAGTTATTCACCTAGCTGGAAACAATTTCCTATTTTCTCCTTTCTCCCATCCATCCTGTGTACAATTCCTCAGCAATAACGCCAGTATATCATCTGATATGTCCAGAATCAAGTCACGTCTCACCACCTCTGTTTCTACCACGTTGACTCAAGCCAACATCATTTTTCACCTGGATTATTAGAGTACACTTGTAACTGGTCTCTGCTTTTTTTTCTTTTTTTTTTTGTAGAGACGGAGTCTTGCTCTATCCCTCAGGCTGGAGTGCAGTAGCGCGATCTTGGCTCACTGCAACCTCTGCCTCCCGAGTTCAAGCAGTTCTCGTGCCTCAGCCTCCCGAATAGCTGGGATTACAGGTGCCTACCACCACGCCTGGCTAATTTTTGTATTTTTAGTAGAGATGGGGTTTTGCCATGTTGGCCAGGCTGGTCTCAAACTTCTGACCTCAGGTGATCCGCCCGCCTTGGCCTCCCAAAGTGCTGGGATTACAGGCGTGAGCCACCACACCCGGCCTGGCCTCTGCTTTCATAAGTTCTCTTTCATAAGTTAGTCTCAGCATGGCAGCCCTCATGATCCCAGATCATGCCACTTCTCTGCTCAGATTTTCCGAGGACTCTAGGTTTCACTCAAGTACAAGTGCTGGAGGCGCTTACAGGGCTCCAGGTGATCCAGCCCCTGTGGCTTCTCTGAGCTCATCCCCTAAAACTACCCTCTCCGTCACTCTACTCACACGGGGACTTCTGATTCTGCCTCAAACGTGGCAGGCATCCCCACTCCTCAGACTATTGGCGTCCCACGCTCCTTCTCCTTGGAACGCTGCTCTCTCAGATTGGCCCATGACTTGCCTATTTGCCTCTTTCAAGTCTTTATTCCAATTCAAGTTTCTCAGCGAGGTTCTCTCTCACCACCCAATTTAGAGGTCACTCCCCATCCTTGCTGTATTTCGCCTCATAACACATATCATGTAGGACAGGTTCTGTGTATTTTCTTTCTGTGGTGTATGTGTATGGTATGTATCCCTAATATAGATAAGTTATACAAAGTCTCAGCATTTATCTTTTTTTTTTTTTTTGAGATGGAGTCTTGCTCTGTCTCCCAGGCAGGAGTACAGTGTTGTAATCTCGGCTCACTGCAACCTCTGCCTCCTGGGTTCAAGCGATTCTCATGTCTCAGCCCCACCCCAAGTAGCTGGGACTACAGGTGGGCGCCACCACACATGGCTAATTTTTGTATTTTTAGTAGAAACAGAGTTTCACCATGTTGCCCAGGCTGGTCTCGAACTCCTGAGCTCAAGTGATACACTTGCCTTGGTCTCTCAAAGTGCTGGGATTACAGGCGTGAGCCACCGTACCCGGCCAACGTTTACTTTTACGATTGCCCAAGACTCTGGGTCTTTTGAAGGATTTAATTCTTTTCTTCCACGGAGGACTGTCCCAGATGTATTAGAACTGTAGGATTTTGGAAAAATGGATTTTTGTTTTGAGCCGGAGTTTCACTCTTGTTGCCCAGGCTGGAGTGCAAATGGCAGGATCTCGGCTCACTGCAGCCTCCTCCTCCCAGGTTCAAGTGATTCTCCTGCCTCAGCCTCCCGAGTAGCTGGGATTACAGGCGCCCACCACCACACTTGGCTAATTTTTTGTATTTTTAGTAGAGATGGGCTTTCTCCGTGTTAGCCAGGCTGGTCTTGAACTCCTGACCTCAGGTGATCCACCCGCCTTGGCCTCCCAAAGTGCTGGGATTACAAGCATGAGCCACCACGCCTGGCCCTGGAAAAATGGATTCTTTCACCCCATGCAATAGACATTTCCATTCATCTTGGCACCTTACAGCGTGTGATAGCAAAGTCTCTCTTCTCTCCCTTTTCCAGGTGAGGCATTCCTTCACACATTTCTTCATCCAGGACAGATCTCTTTTTTTTTTTTTTTTTTTTTTTTTTTGAGACGGAGTCTTGCTCTGTCGCCCAGGCTGGAGTGCAGTGGCACGATCTTGGCTCACTGCAAGCTCCGCCTCCTGGGTTCACACCATTCTCCTGCTTCAGCCTCCCGAGTAGCTGGGACCACAGGCACCCGCCACCATGCCCGGCTAATTTTTTGTATTTTTAGTGGAGATGGGGTTTCACCATGTTAGCCAGGATGGTCTTGATCTCCTGACCTTGTGATCCGCCCGCCTCGGCTTCCCAAAGTGCTGGGATTACAGGCATGAGCCACCGCACCCGGCCCATCCAGGACAGATCTCTATGCTAACTCACCAGTGGGGCAGCTGCACTGTGGCCATCCCCAACCCCGTCCTTGTCCTCATTTCTCAGGTGAATCACAGCTTGTAGGTCTAGCAAGGGTTGCTAGTTAACCTGCTCACTGTCTGTAGAATGGATAATGCTCATGTCACATTCTGAGGAAAGAGAATCTGAATGACCTCACGTAAGTCAGATAACCTTCCCGGGCGGAACCAATTTTCCCCACCCACCTACAGCCCACATCAGTACCACAAGAAGAGGCTCCCTGCTGAGGCCACGGGAGAAGTGTTCTGGGCGATGAGCAATTAAAGCTGATAAATTGGCCGGGCGCCGTGGCTCATGCCTGTAATCCCAGCACTTTGGGAGGCCGAGGTGGGCGGATCACAAGGTCAGGAGATCGAGACCAGCCTAGCTAAGATGGTGAAACCATGTCTTTACTAAAGATACAAAAATTAGCTGGGTGTGGTGGCGTGTGCCTGTAATTTCCAGCTACTCGGGAGGCTGAGGCAGAAGAATCACTTGAATCCTGGAGGCGGACGTTGCAGTGAGCTGAGATCGCACCACTGCACTCCAGCCTGGGTGATAGAGCAAGACTTCATCTCGGAAAAAAAAAAAAAAAAAAAGCACTCTTTCATCTCAACTGTTAGCGCCCAGTTGTGACCATAGGCATGCATGCCGTGTATTCTGGTATATTTGGAAACCAGAGGATTTTCTTTTACCTTTTCTCAGAAGTTGTGCTTTGTCCACTACATAATCAACACTCAGGAGGGAATAATTGGACATCTTGTTTTCTTTCATGCTCTGAAAGGAGCTGTTCTTGAGAATTAAGTTCAGTTCTTCGGGTTCTAACGTCTTTCCCAGGAATTGACAGATCTTCTCTATGGTTCTTCCTGTGTCCTAAAAAAGAAAAATCAAGAGAGAGGATACGAAAGAGAAAGACAAGGCTGGGCGTGGTGGTTCACGCCTGTAATCCCAGCACTCTGGGAGGCTGAGGCGGTTGGATCACTTGAGATCAGGAGTTCGAGACTAGCCTGGCCAACGTGGTGAAACCCCATCTCTACTAAAAATACAAAAATTGGCAGGGTGTGGTGGTGGGCGCCGGTAATCCCAGCTACTCGGGAGGTTGGGGGAGGAGAGTTGCTTGAACCCAGGAGGTGGAGGGTGCAGTGAGCTGAGATCACGCCACTGCACTCCAGCCTGGTGACAGAGTGAGACCTTGTCAAAAAAAAAAAAAAAAAAAAAAAAAGACAATAGAAAAAAGTAAGATGAGAAGGAGGGAACCGCAGAATGAGGAGGAGGAGGAAGAAGAGAGGAACAACATGCAGATGTGAGAAGGGATTGAGTTGAATGCAATTAGGAGAAAGAAAGAAAAAAGGTAAAGAAGAGAGGGCATGAAGTATGTAAAAGATGCAAGGATGGGTTGGGCGCCGTGGCTCCTGCCTGTAATTCCAGCACTTTGGGAGGCTGAGGCAGGCGGATCACTTGAGTCCGGGAGTTTTAGACCAGCCTGGGCGATATAGTGAGACCCTGTCTCTACAAAAAATACAAAAATTAGCCAGGCATGGTGGCGCACAGCTGTGGTACCAGCTACTTGGGAGGCTGAGGTGGGAGGATCACCTGAACCCAGGAAGTTGAGGCTGCAGTGAGCTGTGATTGCACCACTGTACTCCAGCCTGGGCGTTGGAGTGAGACCCTGTCTCAAAAACAAAACAAAGCAAAACAAAACAAAACAAAACCAACCAGAAAACCACAAAAGATGCAAGGATCATCGTGGATTTTCCCGTATGGTAGAGTTTAGGACAACTTAACAGTAAAACACAGAGCCTCGGGTTTCCTAAGAGACGTTTAGAGAGGCTTCTAGACAGTAATTAGGGTTAGCAAGGAGAGGTTCAGGGAGAATCTGATGGAGATTGAAGGCTTGATTTCAAATCCTGGCTGTACTGTCAGATAGTACTGTTTCCCATAACTAGCTTTTGAATAACACACAGAGTTTTACAATATCTTCTTATATTTCATCTCAATAATTAGGACTAGGTACATGATCCTGGGAGATTAATAGATTTTTATTTTTAAAATTTTATTTATGTATTTATTTAGAGACAAGATCTCACTCTGTCGCCCAGGCTGGAGTGCAGTGGCATGATCTCAGCTCACTGCAACCTCCGCCTCCCAGGCTCAAGCAATTCTCCTGTCTCAACCTCCCGAGTAGCTGGGGTTACAGGCGTGCGCCACCACTCCCGGCTAATTTACGTATTTTTAGTAGAGAGGGAGTATCACCATGTTGGCCAAGCTGGGTTCCAACTCCTGAGCTCAGGTGATCTGCCCACCTCAGCCTCCCAAAGTGCTGGGATTATGGATGTGAACCACCGCACCTGGCCAACAAAATGGATTATTGTAACCAGAAGGACTTTGCTTTGAATCATAGGCCTTACTCTTAGATCTATAATGCTTTAATTTTTTCCTCTATTTCATAAACCTTGGTTATCTAATAAGAAGATGTACAACTATGGAAATAACTAAAATAAGTTCATTGTGTGATCCGAAAGGAAGATCCCAGGAAGGTATGGGATCGTGTATCTGAGGTAGCCAACCAAACTTGTTACAAAGGGCTTCTTAACAGAAATGAAATTCATTCCAGCTTGGTCAACGTGGTGAAACCCCATCTGTACCAAAGATACAAAAATTAGCCAGGTGTTGTAGTGCATGCCTGTAATCCTAGCTACTTGGGAGGCTGAGGCACGAGAATCACTTGAACCGGAGAGGTGGAGATTGCAATGAACTGAGATTGCGCCACTGCACTCCAGCCTGGGTGACAGAGCAAGACTCTGTCTAAAAAAAAAAAAAAAAAAAAAGATGGCCGGGCGCGGTGGCTCATGCCTGTAATCCTAGCACTTTGGGAGGCCTACGGGAGGATTGCCTGAGCTCAGGAGTTCGAGACCAGCCTGGGCAACATGGTGAAACCCTGTCTCTACTAAAAATACAAAAAAAAATTAGCTGGGCATGGCGGCGTGCATCTGTAGTCCCAGCTACTCAGGAGGCTGAGGCAGAAGAATCGCTTGAACCCGAGAGGCGGAGGTTGCAGTGAGCCGAGATCGTGCCACTGCACTCCAGCCTGGGCGACAGAGCAAGACTCCACCTCATAAAAAAAAAAAAAAAAGAAATTCATGCCCAGACCATAGGCCATAGAGGATTGGAGAGGATGAGCCAGAGGAAGGTGTTGGGACGTGACGTTTCCCAGGTGGTACAAAATCCAATGTTGGTGTTATTTTCTCTTTTATGTGAGATATCACTAATAGGTCAAGTTCTTTTTTTTTTTTGAGATGGAGTCTTGCTCTGTTGCCCAGGCTGGAGTGCAATGGCATGATCTCGGCTCACTGCAACCTCCGCCTCCTGGGTTCAAGCGATTCTCCTGAGTAGCTGGGTCCTGAGTAGCTGGGACTACAGGTGCACAACACCACGCCTGGCTAATTTTTTATATTTTTGGTAGAGATGGGATTTCGCCATGTTGCCCAGGCTGGTATCGAACTCCTGACCTCAAGTGATCCCCCTACTTTGGCCTCCCAAAGTGCTGGGATTACAGGTGTGAGACACCGTGCCCAGCCTTCTTTTTCTTTCTTTTTTTTTTTTTTTGAGACAGGGTCTCATTCTGTTGCCCAGCCTAGAGTGCAGTGGTGTGATCTCGGCTCACTGCAACCTCTTCCTCCTGGGTTCAAGTGATTCTCCTACCTCAGCCTCCCAAGTAGCTGGGACTACAGGTGCCTGCCACCATGCCCGGCTAATTTTTTGTATTTTTAGTAGAGATGGGGTCTTGCTATGTTGGCCAGGCTGGTCTCGAACTCCTGGACTCAAGCCATCCACCTGCCTTCACCTCCCCAGTGCTGGGATTACAGGCGTGAGCCACTGAGCTTGGCCTCAAGTTGTTCTTTCAATACTTGCTGGTTCTGAGTATCATCGGACAGCTTTTCCTCTCCGTCACTATTCACTCCAGTACTTGGATCTCAGAATAGTGAGATAAATTGATTACATGCCTTCATTTCTGTTCATACCAGCCAAGCTGAGATGTCAGACACTCGGAACCATCTCAGGAACTAAATCACTTCTACCCAGTCCCATCCTCTCTTCCAGCGCCCTCTCAACGCTTGGTTATCAGCAGCACCATAGGTCTCACCCAGAGAAATGTTTACATACACCAGTGCTAGCAGGAGACATCACACTCTGCCTCAATGCATGGAATATGCTCCTTATTTTTATTTTTAGAGCCGGCGTCTTGCTCTGCTGCCCCAGGCTGGAGTGCAGTGGTGTGATCATAGCTCACTGCAGCCTTGAATTCATGGGCTCAAGTAATTCCCCTGGCCTCGGCTTCCCGAGTAGCTGGAATTAGAGGTGTGCACCCCCCACATCTGGCTAATTTTTTTTTTCCTTTGTAGACTGGAGTCTTGCTGTTTCGTAGACTGGAGTCTTGCTGGTCTCAAACTCCCAGCCTCAAGTGATTCTCCCACCTCGGCCTTCCAAAGTGCTGGGATTACAAGTGTGAGCCACTGCACCCGGTGCCAAAAAACCTCTCTAGATTTTTTTTTTTTTTTTTTTTTGAGACAGAGTCGTGCTCTATCGCCCAGGCTAGAGTGCAGTGGCATGATCTTGGCATATCGGCTCACTGCAAACTCCACCTCCCAGGTTCAAGCGATTCTCCTGCCTCAGCCTCCCGAGTAGCTGGGATTACAGGCGCTCGCCACTGCACCCGGCTAATTTTTGTATTTGTAGTAGAGATGGGGTTTTATCATCTTGTCCAGGCTGGCCTTGAACTCCTGACCTTGTGATCCACCCACCTCGGCCTCCCAAAGTGCTGGGATTACAGGCGCCAGCCAACGTGCCTGGCTTAGATGTTTTAAGATAAAATAAGGAGCGTGAAGCTTGGGCAAGGGTCAACCAGAAACAGGGCAATGAAGACCAGGGAGTTAATCCTGCTCTTTGTGACTCTTCACCAGGCTCCACTTTAACTGAGAGGGTGGAATGAAGACACAGCGGGATGGAGGGAATTTAAGGAAAGTAAGGATGGTGGTGAGAGGGTGTGCACTGACTCTAAAAATGATGGGATTACCTGTTTCAGCTCCTCATAACTCAGTAACAGGAAGTTTTTCTCCTCTCTCATGGGCATCCAGCCATGAATGTGGTCAAACCATGACCCATATAGCACTGCATGGGGTGGCAGAAAAAGTGATAGGTTACAAATTTTATGAGAGCAGGCATCCAGTCTATTATGTTCATCCCCCCACCGGCTTGTTAACGTATGATTGACAAATAAAACTTGAATGAAACTTGGTCGAAGGGGACCAACAAATGGTATATATTTACAGTATATAACAGATGTTTTGATGTACGCATACACTATGGAATGACAGTGTATTAGTCAGTTTTCACACTGCTGTGAAGAACTGCCCAAGACTGGGTAATTCACAAAGGAAAGTGGCCTAATTGACTCACAGTTCAGTGTGGCTGGGGGAGCCTCAGGAAACTCACAATCATGGAGGAAGGGGAAGCAAGGCAACTTCCTCACAAGGCGGCAGGAGGGAGGAGTGAGTGCCAGCAGGGGAAATGCCAGCCACTTATAATACCATCAGATCTCAAATGTGGCATGTATACACCATGGAATACAATGCAGCCATGAAAAAGGATGAGTTCATATCCTTTGTAGGGACATGGATGAAGCGGGAAACCATCATTCTGAGCAAACTATCGCAAGGACAGAAAACCAAACACCACATATTCTCACTCATAGGTGGGAATTGAACAATGAGAACACTTGGACACAGGGTGGGGAACATCACACACCGGGGCCTGTCATGGGGCGGGGGGAGGGGGAGGGATAGCATTAGGAGATATACCTAATGTAAATGACGAGTTAATGGGTGCAGCACACCAACATAGCACATGTATACATATGTAACAAACCTGTACGTTGTGCACATGTACCCTAGAACTTAAAGTATAACAATAAAAAAAATTAAAAAAAAAACCTAGGCCAGGTACGGTGGCTCACACCTGTAATCCCAGCACTTTGGGAGGCCGAGGCGGGCGGATCACGAGGTCAGGAGATCGAGACCATCCTGGCTAACACAGTGAAACCCTGTCTCTACTAAAAACACAAAAAAATTAGCCGGGTGTGATGGCGGGCGCCTGTAGTCCCAGCTACTCGGGAGGCTGAGGCGGGAGAATGGTGTGAACCTGGGAGGCGGAGCTTGCAGTGAGCTGAGATCGCGCCACTGCACTCCAGACTAGGTGACAGAGCAAGACTCTGTCTCAAAAAAAAAAAAAAAAAAAAAACCTGAAGCTGTAATAAATAAATAAAACCATCAGATCTCGTGAAAACTCACTCACTGTCATGAGAACAGCATGGGGGAAACCACTACTATGATCCAATCACTTCCCACCAGGTCCCTCCTACAACACGTGGGGATTATGGGGATTACAATTCGAGATGAGATTTGGGTGGGGACACAAAGCCTAACCATATCAGACAGAATCAAGCTAATTAACATATTCATTTCCTCATATACTTACCATTTTTTGTCGGGGCGGTGAGAACATTTAAGATGGTCTCTCTTAGCAATTGTCAAGTATGGAATACATTATTATTATTATTATTATTATTATTATTATTATTATTATTGACACAGAGTCTCACTCTGTCACCCAGGCTGTAGTGCCATGGAGTGATCTCGGCTCGCTGCAACCTCTGCCTCCTAGATTCAAGCGATTCTCCTGCCTTAGCCTTCCAAGTAGCTGAGACTACGGGCACATGCCACCACACTCGGCTAATTTTTTGTATTTTTAATAGAGATAGGGCTTTGCCATGTTGGCCAGGCTGGTCTTGAACTCCTGACCTCAGGTGATCCGCCTGCCTCGGCCTCCCAAAGTGCTGAGACCAGAATGAAGATATTAATCAAGATGGTAGGACTTAATTAATAATTAGAGATAGGAAAGTGGTGAGGGGCCTAGGGGAGTGGGATGGGAAAAGAGAATGCTTATGAAATATTAGACTCATGCTAGTCTTTGCATGAGGGGTGGAGTAAGATAAACCCCACGCAGTTAAGAAAGGTGTTCAAATGTTTTTATTTGAGATGGAGTTTTGATTTTGTTGCCCAGGCTGGGGTGCAGTGGCGTGATCTTGGCTCACTGCCACCTCTACCTCCTGGGTTCAAGCAATTCTCGTGCCTCAGCCTCCTGAGTAGCTGGGATTACAGGCACCCACCACCACGGCCAGCTAATTTTTCTGTATTTTTAGTAGAGACAGTTTCATTATGTTGGCCAGGCTGGTCTCGAACTCCTGACCCCAGGTGATCCACCTGCCTTGGCCTCCCAAAGTGTTGGGATTACAGGTGTGAGCCACCATGGCCGGCTAATTTTTTGTATTTTTAGTAGAGACGGGGTTTCGTTATGTTGGCCAGGTTGGTCTCGAACTCCTGACCTCAGGTGATCCACCCGCCTCGGCCTCCCATAGTGTTGGGATTACATGTGTGAGCCACCGCGCCCAGCCAGAAAGGTGTTCAAATTTGAGTGTACTGAATTAGAGGCATTGGTGGCTCTCTCTAATGGAGGTATCTGTAGCTGGTGTATTGCAGAGAGACACATCACAGCTGAGATAGAGGCTCATAGAGTTTTGAGATCAATTGCAAAATGGAAAGTACTGAAAAAGCCCAGGAATTCTGCATAACTAAATATATAGCGATCCTAGAGTCATGCAATCAGTTCTGAGACAGATAGAAACAGAATATTAAGAGGGTTTTGGAAAGAGGCATCAGAAAAAAATGGCGGAAGGTCAGGATTGTGTTGTCCCGGAAGCCAGTGAAAAGCTAACTTCCAGACATCTAGCATTAGGAGACTAGAGGAGAATATAAGTTTCCTGTGCTAGTATTGGAGGCTCTAGAGACTTAGAAAATAGCTAGGATGGTTTATCATGGGGCAAGCTGAGGGGCCGGCTAGAGTTCTGCTGCTATGCGGGAGAGTAAGCGAACTTAGCAGGTTTGGCCTCCAGGGGTGGTGGAGCCTTTCAACCCATGGGTTGGTGAGATGTAGAGATGTGAGGCTGGGTGTCAAAAGAGGTCGGCTAGAAGACTCCAAGCACCCCCATATTTTGTGAAACACTCACCAGTTCCTTGACAAAACCATTCAAAATATTCTTCCCATGACTTTGGTTTCTTAATAAACTTCATGTTTTTCCAGAAAAAATAACCAGACACCAAAACATCTCTGGGATTTCTCATGAGATAAATCACCTTAAATGGAAAAACGGGAGAATGAAAAATCAATACAGTCAATCCTCACTCTTTTTGATCTTCACAAAAATGGAGAAAAAGCCAATTCCTGGATAATGCCTAATAATATCAATGGATTCTTTTAACAAATTACTTACTGCACTCACTAATCAAATTTGATGTGCCTATGAAGTAGTCACTGCACTAGGAATATATCAATGGAAGAAGGAAGCATCGTTCCTTCCCTCTGGGATATTACAGTCTGCTCACAATGGGAAGAACATGGAAGGTTTCCAAAGGTGAGTGATGTATATTTGTGTACTATGGTTTAAAGATCATTAACAGGAGAATGAATTCATAAATTAAGCTACATTCATAGATATATAGCAATATTATCCATATACAACACCCAAGATCATGGACACATTTCAGAGACATTACTTTGTCCTTTGGGCCAGGCATGGTGGCTCATGCCTGTAATCCTAGCACTTTGGGAGGCTGAATCACTCGAGGTCAGGAGTTCGAGACCAGCCTGGCCAACATAGTGAAACCCTGTGTCTACTAAAAATACAAAAATTAGCCAGGCATGGTGGCGCACACCTCTAGTCCTAGCTACTCAGGAGGCTGGAGCAGGAGAATCACTTGAACCTGGGGAGGTGGAGGTTGCAGTGAGCCAAGATCGCACCAATGCACTCCAGCCTGGGTGACAGAATGAGACTGTGTCTCAAAATAATAATAATAATAATAATTCACACACCTATAAACACCTTCCAGGAAAGTACAATTCTAGAAGCAGTCTGAGCCATGCAAGGTCCTGGATATGCCTTGTCCCTCTTGTGATCACCCCTCTGCCCCATGGGAGATGCATGTGGCTGCTGATATCAACACATATTTACACACAGTAAGACGAAGTGTGTACAGAGCCCAGTCCTGGCCCCGGGGCAGTCAACCTGGATACAGGCATTGATTGATGAACATGCTGCTTCCCATAGGAACACCTCTGTGTCTTTTCTGTGGCAGGAGGCATTTGTTGAATTCAGATTGGCTAATTATTTTTTAGGGCAACCAAAGGCGGTTATCTAGTATATAATATGGCTATACATTCTGATTGCACTTAGAACCTAGTTTTCTAAGATTCTGGGTTAGTGTTTTCACCCTATCCCTGGTTTAAATCTGGCTGGGGTAATCTGTGGAATGGTCTATATCCTTGAACTCAAGGACAGTTCTGGGAGCAGCCACATAGGTGTCACCTAATACGGAATCTCAGGTCTCAACAACACAGACCTGTTGAAGGAGAATGCATTTCAGCAAGATCTCCAGATGACTTATAGGCATATCAGTGTTTGAAAGGCACTGATCAAACACGTCTTAACCATTATGCACTGACCTTGGCCTTGGAACTGAAGAAAGACTTGGGGAATAACTGGATGGGGAGGTGGGAGGAGAATAAACGTGGACTCTCCGTTTCACTGAGTGCTGTATACCCAATCTCACTCTCTACCCAGGGTGATCGCTCCCAGATGGGCACAGATTGGATCCACTTGGCATCCCCCTTGGAGTGCATCAGGCAGAGAATCTCAGCCAACCAGTTTGTTCCTGGAAAAAGAAGGAAAAAAATATATAAAATGTACCATCTCAGCCGGACATGGTGGCTCACGCCTGTAATCCCAGCACTTTGGGAGGCTGAGGCAAGTGATCATGAGGTCAGGGGTTCCAGAATAGCCTGGCCAAGATGGTGAAACCCCGTCTCTACTAAAAATACAAAAATTAGCCAGGTATGGTGGCGGGCGCCTAAAATCCCAGCTACTTGGGAGGCTGAGGCAGAGAATTGCTTGAACCTGGGAGGCGGAGGTTGCGGTGAGCCGAGATCGTGCCATGGCACTCCAGCCTGGGCAACAGAGTGAGACTCAGTCTCAAAAAAAAAAACAAAAACAAAAACAAAAAAAAGTACCATCTCAACCTTAATTTTTTTATTATTTATTTATTTATTTATTTATTTTGAGACAGAGTCTTGCTCTGTCACCCAGGCTGGAGTGCAATGGCACGATCTCAGTTCACTGCAAGCTGTGCATCCCGGGTTCATGCCATTCTCCTGCCTCAGCCTCCCAAGTAGCTGGGACTACAGGCGCCCACCACCACGTCTGGCTAATTTTTTTTTTAATATATTTTTAGTAGAGATGGGGTTTCACCATGTTAGCCAGGATGGTCTCGATCTCCTGACCTCATGATCTGCCTGCCTCGGCCTCCCCAAGTGCTGGGATTACAGGCGTGAGCCACTGCGCCTGGCTTTTTTTTTTTTTTTTTTTAGCGATGAGGTCTCCCTCTGTAGCCCAGGCTAGAGTGCAGTGGTGCAATTATAGCCCACTGCAGCCTTGAACTCGGGCTCAAGTGATCCTTGTACTTCGGCCTCCTGCTTCAGCCTCGCAAGTATCTGAGACCTCAGGCATGTGCCATCGCGCTGGGCTAATTTTTTGAAAAAATTTTATTGTAGAGATCAGGCCTTGCTATGTTGCCCAGGCTGGTCTTGAACGCTTGACCTCAAGCAATCTGCCTATCTTGCCCTCCCAAAGCACTGGGACTGTAGGCGTGAGCCACTGCAGCCAGCTCTCAACCACTTTTTTTTTTTTTTTTTTTTTTTTTTGAGACAGAGTCTTGCTCTGTCACCCAGGCTGGAGTGCAGTGGCATGATCTTGGCTCACTGCCACCTCCATCTCCTGGGTTCAAGTGATTCTCTTGGTCAGCCTCCCGAGTAGCTGGAACTACAGACGTGCGCCACAGCGCCTGGCTAATTTTTTATTTTTAGTAGAGACGGGGTTTTGCCATGTTGGCCAGGCTGGTGTCGAACTCCTGACCTCAGGCAATCCACCTGCCTTGACCTCCCAAAGTGCTGGGATTACAGGTATGAGCCACCATGCCCAGCCTGTCAACCACTTTTAAGCCTACGGTTTCGTAGTGTTAAGTGTTAAGTATATTCCCAGTGCTGCTCAACCAATCTCCAGAGGATTTTTGTGTTGCAAAACCGAAACTCTATGCAGAGCCAGCACCGACTCCCCATTTACCCTTCTCTTCAGCCCCTGGCAGCCGCCAGTGTACTTTCTGTTTCTATGGACTTGATGACTCCAGGTACCTTATGTAAGTGGAATCACACACTATTTGTATTTTTGTGACTGGCTTATTTCATTTAGCATAATGTCCTTGATGTTTATCTCTGTTGTATCATGCATCAGAATTTTCTTCCTTCTCAAGGATGAATAACATTCCATTATAGCTATATACCACATTTTGTTTATTCACTCACCTGTCAGTGGATATCTGGGTTGCTTCCATCTTTTGGCTATTTGCTGAAATCCCTCTTATTATGTTCCCATTGCTCTTGGCCTCTCAGGGCCATGCCACTTCCAATGTCTTCAGCCTCAATCCTCACCGCATCCGCAGTGCTCTTACCGCCCTCCACCCACAGCCCCACTCCCAGAGACATATGATCCTCATCTTTCAGCCCCTTGAGATTGCCTGGCTCTTTTGTGGTTCCTGGCCATTGCCCTGATGATTCTCCTATCTGAAAATAGCCCTCCCCCCAAGTAATTTCATACTCATTCTTTGCATTTCCATTTAAATGCTATTTCTTCTTTCAGGACATCATTGGTCATCCTCAGCCATCCTCCCTCCCACTGCCACCAAACAAACACCTGAATTTGCCTTGGGATTCACTCCTGTGGATTCTCCTAATACCTTAGATTACCCCTCTGAACACTCATCCTACTGTGTAATTTCCTGACTAAATCCTTTTCTCTGATTGTCAATGGTATTAGGCATTCCTCTCTTCCCCTTAAAGCATTGTACACTGTCTGACATAAAGGAAGAACTCCAATCATGCACTGAATGGACAGGAACACAACCACAGCCTTTCTCAGTTCACGATTCTGCCTCCTTACCTGATTTGGGGTAAGTCAATATTATTACATCTTCATCCCTTATCACGAACTCATCACGTACTTTTCTTAAGGTTTCGGATCTGAAACCCATAGTAGGGAAAGCTATGCCTTCAAACCATAAGAAATCGTCCGACATGATGATGACCTCTTCCTGCGTGGTGTGAGGGTTTCAACTGTAGCCACCGCTGGAGGCTGTGGCAGCTACAGGCAGATCAGCTTTTACAGCAAGGATAAAACGATCTTTAACCTTGTCCCAGCATGTCACATGTTTGTTGTAAAGTTTACTTGCTGATAAAGAGAGGTATAATGTGACCCATACTCAAAAGATTGAAGATGTTGAGCAATCATGAACTTATCTAGAGACCATTTTAGGGGTCATCTGAGCTTGCGTTCCTGAGAGTGAACTGCAAGATCGAATAACAAACACGAGGACAAATATTTTTTTTGATAATATGGGTGAATTTATTTCTTAAGGTTTGAGTGCAAACTTAAAAACAAGAACAAAGCTTTTCATCAAGCATAAACACAAAATCTAAATAATCCTGCAATCGTGCATTTTAACAGAAAGTACAAATATGAATACATTATAATTTGTAACTGCATTTAAAAATTAAAATATGTCTCTCCAAATCCAAAAGACCACACAGTCTTTATCTGTTCTCATCTTGTTACCTTAGAAACATTTGTCATATGCTCTCAGGAAAATATAGGCAAGAATTACTAATCAGTTATTCACGATCAAAGAAACATTATTCTCCCTGAGACTTTTTGAATCATTTATCTGTATTTCTGAAGTATCACACAATTATACCTCCACTCTAGAGAAAAAAAGAGTAAGTACAAATATTAGCAGTGTATATATTGTAGTAAATTTTTAAAGTACAACTTTAGTTGATGGCTGACGTGTATGTAATAATTGTGAACAATTTAAACGGTATAAAAATGTGAGATGAAAATCTTTAGACTCAAATACTTGAAAAGTCACTATGAATATGGAAAGATTTGTTTGCATAAACATGTATGTTTTTAGATGGAAAATCAAGAGGTAGTGGCATCTCCCTGTTTCCTTAATAATATTTGGATTTTCACAAAGAATTGGCAGCACCCAACCTTAAGTGTTAATTATGTGTTTGTTTGTTTTTTTTTTTTTTTTGAGATGGAGTCTCACTCTGTCGTCCAGGCTGGAGTGTAGTGGCGCGATCTCGGCTTGCTGCAAGCTCTGCCTACTGGGTTCATGCCATTCTCCTGCCTCAGCCTCCAGAGTAGCTGGGACTACAGGTGCCCGCCACCACGCCCAGCTAATTTTTTGTATTTTTAGTAGAGACGGGGTTTCACCGTGTTAGCCAGGATGGTTTCAATCTCCTGACCTTGTGATCCGCCACGCCCAGCCTAATTATGTGTTTCTAAAGGACCTATACAACAGATCAGTTGGCAGTGTTCTAGCTTTAGGGAGATGGGGGTGGATTGGGGGTGCAAATATCTGAGATAAGATAATGCATGCACTCACACATTTAAAATCACCATTCTAAATGGGAAAAAAAAATCACATATTGGGAAAGTCCAAGAAACTCATTCTTAAGGGATAAACAGCAGGGCAGGAGCAAAAGCTGAATAGAAGTCTACTTGATAATAATGTTTTTTCACTCTTCAAAGGCAAGTTGGGAAGAATGAGAATACTCACATACACATAACTTCAGGGAAAACGTGCCTAGAATTTTACCTTGCAAAACACTGAACAGAAATCTTTACAAAAACCTTCATTCTTGGTCTGGGCACGGTGTGGTGGCTCACGCCTGTAATCCCAGCACTTTGGGAGGCCGAGGCGGGCGGATCACGAGGTCAGGAGATCGAGACCATCCTGGCTAACACGGTGAAACCCCGTCTCTACTAAAAATACAAAAAATTAGCCGGGCGTGGTGGCGGGTGCCTGTAGTCCCAGCTACTCAGGAGGCTGAGGCAGGAGAATGGCATGAACCCGGGAGGCGGAGCTTGCAGTGAGCCGAGATCTCGCCACTGCACTCCAGCCTGGGCGACAGAGCGAGACTCCGTCTCAAAAAAAAAAAAAAAAAAAAGGAAAGAAAAAAAGCCTTCATTCTTGTTTATAATACTTGATTTTTCCCTTATTACCACCCTGTACATCACATTTAAGTATTTTCTTTATAAATATTTTAGAGCAAAAAGAATTTATTTTGTTGCAATGGTGGCCCACATCTGTACAAAACAACCTAAACAAGATATATATGTATATATATATGCATATATATATGCGCATATATATATGCATATATATAAAATGATTAAGAAAAAGTGCAAAGAATAACAGTATTAAGAATTTTTGCATTTTATAGTAACTGTGGTTCAAGCGTGAATATCTATCAGCGATATATAATCCCAGGTTTTACTTTTTAATTTTATTTATTTATTTATTGTTTTGAGATGGACTCTTGCTCTTGTCACCCAGGTTAGAGTGCAATGGCATGATCTCGGGCTCACTGCAACCTCCGCCTGCTGGGTCCAAGCGATTCTCTTGCCTCAGCCTCCTGAGTAGCTGGGATTACAGGCGCCCACCACCACGCCTGGCTAATTTTTGTACTTTTAGTAGACATGGGGTTTCACCATGTTGGCCAGGCTGGTCTCAAACTCCTGACCTCGTGATCCACCCGCCTCGGCCTCCAAAAGTGCTGGGATTACAGGTGTGAGCTACTGCGCCCGGCCAATCCCAGGATTTAATTAAAGATTCAAAAACAAACCACACTCCAAATTACTGCACAAACATCGGTCCCTTATCAAGCAAGTCTGCCCTTCTCCTGAATCTAGTATTTCCAGTTTCTAAACTCTTCCCAAACAGGAAAAAAATATTTTTAATACGCCTCATTTTTTAGGGCACTTTTAGACTTACAGAAAAATTGCAAAGAGAGTACAGAGAGTTCCCATAGTCCATACTTAATTTGGATTTCCTTAGTTTTTATCTCATGCTCGTGTTTTTTTTTTTTTTTTTTGACAGAGTTCTCTCTTTGTTGCCCAGGCTGAAGTGCAGTGGCATGATCCTGGCTCACTGTCTCATGCCCTTTTTTTGCCCCAAAATCCCATCCTGTATAGTACATGACATACACTCATCCTGTCTCCTTGGGCTCCTCTTGGCTGTGACAGTTGTTGCTCAGACTTTCCTCATTTTTTTTTTTTTTGAGATGGAGTCTTGCTCTGCTGCCCAGGCTGGAGTGCAGTGGCACAATCTTGGCTCACTGCAGCCTCTGCCTCCCCAGTTCAAGTGATTCTCCTGCCTCAGCCTCACGAGTAGCTGGGATTACAGGCACGCGCCACTACACCCGGCTAATTTTTGCATTTTTAGTAGAAACGGGGTTTCACCATATTGGCCAGGCTGGTCTCGAACTCCTGACCTCAGGTGATCCGCCCACTTTGGCCTCCCAAAGTACTGGGATTACAGGTGCGAACCACTGCGCCTGGCCGACTTTCCTCATTTTTGATGACCTTGATGGTTTTGAAGAACACTGGTGAGGCATTTTGTACAATGTTCCTCCTTTGGGATTTATTGCAGGTTTTCTCATCCAACAAATGAGTTCATGGGTTTTGGAGAGGAAGGTCACAGAGGTAAAATACCATGATCATCACACCATATCAAGGGGACTTATTAGCAACATGACCTGGCACTAATGATGTTGACCTTGGTCACCAGAGGTCACTTGACTTTTCTCCCTCTTCCCTTTCTATGTGGCCATATTTTAAACATAAACTCTAGGCCTGAATATATTAGTGAGATAACATTATATGAACCCCAAATGAGGGACAGTCTGCAAAATGACGGGCCTGTACTTTTTAAATTGTGAAAAAATTTTTTTTTTTTGAAACGGAGTCTCGTGCTCAGTTGCCCAGGCTGGAGTGCAGTGGCACGATCTCAGCTCGCTGCAAGCTCTATACCTCCTGGGTTCACGCCATTCTCCTGCCTCAGCCTCCCGAGTACCTGAGACTACAGGTGCCAGCCACCATGCCCGGCTAATTTTGTGTATTTTTTTAGTAGAGACGGGGTTTCACCGTGTTAGCCAGGATGGTCTCGATCTCCTGACCTCGTGATCCGCCCTCCTCGGCCTCCCGAAGTACTGGGATTACAGGCATGCGCCACTGCGCCTGGCCTATTATTTATTTTATTTTATTTTGAGATGGAGTCTCACTCTGTTGCCCAGGCTGGAGTGCAGTGGTGCAATCTCAGCTCACTGCAACTTCCGCCTCTCCAGTTCAAGTGAACCTCTTGCCTCAGCCTCCTGAGCAGCTGGGATTACAAAGGTGTGCCACCATGCCCAGCTAAGTTTTGTACTTTTAGTAGAGATGGGGTTTCACCATGTTGGCCAGGCAGGTCTTGAACTCCTGATCTCAGGTGATCCACCTGCCTTGACCTCCCAAAGAATTACAGGCATGAGCCGCCACGCCTGGCCATACTTATATCTTTTTTAAAAAGACAAAGGATATTATTATTTGACAGAAAAGGGAAATAAAAGGACCATTAAACCATACAATTGATTATTAATCATACCTGTAATCAGGGAAATACAAATCAAAATCACAGTAATGCATGTAGGTTGTCACTTCTTATACGTTAGAAGAAAAAAATGGGATGATACTACCTGTTGGTCAGGCCGTTCGAATTTGGGGGATCTGTTCATTTGCATGGTGGTATTGGAGGAGAGTTTCAGAAAGTAACTGGAGTTGAAACTTGCAGAGATATATGTCCTTGGAGACATTTTCATACATGGACAAGGAAACTCGAAAAAAAAATGTGTATTTCAACATTGCAACCGTGAAAAATGGGAAACCAGTTGAATTTGGGGATGAATGATTAATTTAAAACACAGGATAAGTTATAGAATATGTGGAAGATGACACTATAGTTGAATGAATGAATGAATGAATGAATGAATGGGACTTACATCTGTCAGCCTGCACACACTCAGCACAGAATGTTAGAGGAACAGGCAGATTCCTAATTATGAAGAGATGGTGCTCAGGCCACGTTCACAGGCACAGAGCAGTGGGGAGAGGTGCCATGATCGTAAACACCACGGGCAGGAAGTTGCAGAACAATTTCACCTCTGGAAAGGGGAGCAGAGCAGCAGACTCAGGAAAGACTTTAGAAGAAGCCTCAATTGTGTTTTGACTTTCTCACTGGAGTCTTTATCTGAAGCCATAGGGCAAAATGATAGCCTTAAAGAGTTTTGTTGACATGCTTTTCTTTTCTTTTTTTTTTTTGAGACAGAGTCTTACTCTGTTTTTCAGGCTGGAGTGCAATGGCGTGATCTCGGCTCACTGCAACCTCCACCTTCTGGGTTCAAGTGATTCTCCTGCCTCAGCCTCCTGAGTAGCTGGGATTACAGGTAGGCACCACCATACCTGGCTAATTTTTGTATCTTTAGTAGAGATGGGGTTTTGCCATATTGGCCAAGCTGGTCTCAAACCCCTGACCTCAAGTGATCTGCTTGCCTCAGCCTCCCAAAGTGCTGGGATTACAGGCCTGAGCCACCGTGCCCAGCCTGTTTACCTGCTTTTCTATATGTGTGAGACATTTCATTATAAAATGAATAGATAAAACCTAAACATGGCTCCACGTGGGCACTGGCAGATTGGCTGGGATGAGCTCCTGAGATCTTATCTCCAGCATCTGGTTTGGGTTCTTTCCATGTCTGGCAGTAATCTCTGGAGCTGGAAGAATCACTTCAGCTGTGGCCCAGAGTGAGGCCTCTGAGGAGCTGATCTGGGAGAAGATGTCAATGTCCCCCCAGGGCTGAGATCAGGGCTGTGGATAGTGAGAGAGGAGGTAGGAAGAAAGTGGTCAGACAGGCAGTTAGGGTGAGTCCTTGGTAAAACTCCTTCAAACGAAGAACAGCCTGAAAATCCAGCTGCAGGCCCCAGATAAGAAAGAGCTCACATCAGCAAAATTTCTTCAAATCAAGAACAGCCTGAATATCAAGCTACAGGCCCTAGATAAGAAACAGCCCGCGTCCTTGAATGGAAATGCCTGCTCTGTGAACCTAGATAAACAAATTCCACTCCTTTTTTGGACACATTTTCCTCCCTTTGATGCATGTTTGTCTCATTTCACATGCTTCCTCTGGATTGATCCTTACCTTTCACCTATTTTACATATACTTATCTTTCTGTGATTGGCCGTGGGCAAAATCCTCATTTGCATAAAGTGTAACATCACTCCAGCCCCTAATTGGTTGCAGGCCAAGCCTTCACCTCAGCCTCTAATTGGCTCTTTTCACTGTTGTGTGTCTTTCTGAGTGGCCCACAGACCAGTCAAGCACACTCCTCCCACTTCCCAGTCCATAAAACCACTGAACTTAGCCCTGCAGCCAGCAACTCTTTGTCGGGTCACCTCTCTTTGTTGAGAGCTTTTCTGTCACTTTCGCTTGATAAATCCCACTCTGTCCTACTCAGTCTCCAGTGTCAACGTTTCTTATTCTTCTTGGTTGTGGGACAAGAACCTGGAGCTTGCTGGTGGTGGGAGTAAAAGAACTACAACACTCCCTCCCATTCACTGAACATCAGTAGTGAAAAAGCTGCAACAGGGCTGGGTGTAGTGGCTCACGCCTGTAATCCCAGCACTTTGGGAGGCCAAGGTGGGTCAGGAGTTTGAGACCAGTTTGGCCAACATGGTGAAACTCCGTCTCTACTAAAAATACAAAAAATTAGCTAGGCGTGGTGGCGGGTGCCTGTAATCTCAGCTACTTGGGAGGCTGAGGCAGGAGAAACACTTGAACCCGGGAGGCAGAGGTTGCGGTGAACTGAGATCATGCCACTGCACTCCAGCCTGGGCGACAGAGTGATACCCTGTCTCAAAAAAAAAAAAAAAAATTGCCCCTAGTTGAGAACCACTGTCTTAGATGTAAAAGCTGTTATTCAGACAAAGAGGACGGGTGAATGCTGGTGTCATCAGCAGAGAGAAGGGTAGAGTTCATCTCCTGGAGGCACATTTAGAATAGATGCCATCTTTCACATGGGCACATACTTCCATTTCACATTCATTCTTTCTAAAAGAACTAGATTATAGGCCAGGCGCGGTGGCTCACACCTGTAATCCCAGAACTTTGGGAGGCCGAGGCAGGCAGATCATGAGGTCAGGAGATCGAGACCATCCTGGCTAACATGGTGAAACCCTGTCTCTACTAAAAATACAAAAAATTAGCCGGGTGTGGTGGCGGGTGCCTGTAGTCCCAGCTACTCAGGGGGCTGAGGCGGGAGAATGGCATGAACCCGGGAGGCGGGGCTTGCAGTTAGCTGAGATCACGCCACTGCATTCCAGCCTGGGTGACAGAGCAAGACTACGTCTCAAAACAAACAAACAAAAAACTAGATTATAAAATTCTAAAAGCAATCATATAAGCAATCATGTATTTTAAAGACAATTATAATAATACTGCCAACAACAAGATTATGTTATTTAGTTTTCACAGTGACCATGGGAAGGGTAAGAAATTATTTTACTTTATTTTACAGATGATGAAACTGAGACACACAGATCTTAAAGGATACTTTTGAACTTTTAAAGTCAGTATTTCTTTTGTTTTCTTTTTTTGTTTTTTTGAGACAGAGTTTCACTCTGTCTCCGAGGCTGGGGTACAGCGATGCGATCTCGGCTCACTGCAACCTCCACTTCCTGGTTCAAACCATTCTTGTGCTTCAGCCTCCCAAGCAACTGGGATTACAGCCCCCCACCATCATGCCTGGCTAATTTTTGTATTTTTGGTAGACATGGGGTTTCAACCATGTTGGCCAGGCTGGTCTCGAACTCCTTACCTCAGGTGATCTGCCTGCCTTGGCCATCCAAAGTGCTGGGACTACAAGGGTGAGCCACCACACCCGGTCTAAAGTCAGTATTTTTTCTTTTCTTTTCTTTTTTTTTTTTTTTTTTTTGAGATGGAGTCTTGCTCTGTCACCCAGACTGGAGTGCAGTGGCGTGAACCTGGCTCACTGCAAGCTCTGCCTCCCGGGTTCACGCCATTCTCCTGCCTCAGCCTCCTGAGTAGCTGGGACTACAGGCGCCCGCCACCCACGCCTGGCTAATTTTTTTGTATTTTTAGTAGAGACGGGGTTTCACCATGTTGGCCAGGATGGTCTCGAACTCCTGACCTCGTGATCCGCCCACCTCGGCCTCCCAAAGTGCTGGTATTACAGGCGTGAGCCACCGCGCCCGGCCATAAAGTCAGTATTTTTTCATCCATAAACATTTAGATGAAGATTATTTCGTGCCAGACATTCTAAGTACTTTACAAAACATTAAATGATTTGAATGTTTCTAAGAACTCTATGAAGCAGTTAATTTTTTTTTTTGAGACAGAGTCTCGCTCTGTCTCTCAGGCTGGAGTGCAGTGGCGCGATCTCAGCTCACTGCAAGCTTCACCTCCTGGATTTTACGCCATTCTCCTGCCTCAGCCTCCCAAGTAGCTGAGACTACAGGCGTGCACCACCTATGCCCGGCTAATTTTTTTTTTTTTTTGTATTTTTAGTAGAGACGGGGTTTCACCGTGTTAGCCAGGATGGTCTCAAACTCCTGACCTCGTGATCCTCCCGCCTCGGCCTCCCAAAGTGCTGGGATTACAGGTGTGAGCCACCGTGCCCAGCAGCAGTTAATAATATTTTCCTCATTTTACAGATGCAGGATCTGAACCACAGAGAGGTTAGGTTGTGGGCTCAAGAACACACAGCAAACAAGTTCCCACCTCAAACTGAAACCCAGAACATGTGCTCTTAATCACAACACTGTTAGGCTCCCTTTTCTCCCGCAGGAAAAAAATGATTAATTAACTCATCCTTAGTTACAGAGTTAGTGACCCAGCTGTGGCTGGGCATGTTGGCTCATGCTTGTAATCCCAGCACTTTGGGAGGCCGAGGCGGGCGGATCACCTGAGTTCGAGACCAGCGTGGTCAACATGGTGAAACCCTGTCTCTGCTCAAAATACAAAAATTAGCCGGGCATGGTGGTGCTGCACACCTGTAGTCTCAGCTATTCGGGAGGCTGAGGCAGGAGAATCGCTTGAACCTGGGAGGCGGAGGTTGCAGTGAGCCGAGATCGTGCCATTGCACTCCAGCCTGGGCACAGAGTGAGACTCTGTCTCAAAAAAAAGAAAGTGACCTAGTTGTGATTCAAACTCAGGTTTAGTCCTTTGAATTTGTGCTGAGTCATCATTCTGCTAATGGAATTGGAAAACTTAGAACATTTGTTCCAGGAAGGAATGTTAGGAAAGAAACAAGTGGTCCTGGCAACATTTTATAGTACTTAGTTTAGAAATCAATTTTTCAGTATCCTTCAGTTGCAAAATACAGATTGTGAAATTATTAATGTTCTGTTTTCTTTACTAGTACCTAACAAACCACCCCCAAACTTAGTGGCTTAAAGTAGAGATTTGGCAAACTTTTTTTTGTTTGTTTGTTTTTGGTGGAGGGAGGGAGTGAGGTGGCTCCCTGACCCAAGGTCTTCCATGGTCCAACCTCCCTCACCGCCATCCCACCTGCAAAGGGAGGGCACAGAACTGTTTTCTGTTCTATGACTCCATAGGGCAGACTTTTTTTTTTTTTTTTTTTTGAGAAGGGCTAGAGAATGAATATTTTCAGCTTTGAAGGCCATGTTTCTACTACTCTGCCATTACAGCATGAAAACATTATGGACAATACATCCATGAATGAGTGTGGCCGTGTGCCAACAAAACTTTGCTTACCAAACAAGGTAGTGGGCCCGATTTGGTTTGTATATGGTAGTTTGCTGACTCCTGGCTTAAAACACAATTCTGTGGTTCTAGGGCTTTACTGGGCTCAGCTGAGTGGTTCTAATTTGGAGTCTGTCATGATACTGCAGCCAGATAATATCTAGGGCTGGGATTGTTTGAAGACTTCTTCACTCACATGGCTTGCACCTGGGCTCTGAAGGTTGGAACAGCTTCGGGCTGGTTGGACATCTGTATCTTAAAGATGCCTCTCATACTCCTATTCCAATTTCTTTTATTCCCCCCATTCCGATTTCTAAAAATAAAAGAAAAAAATTAAAAGATGCCTCTCTGTGTGACTAGCTTGGGCTTCCTTACAGCATGGCCGTCTCCCAGTGAGGATGCTCCAAGAGACTTAAGGTGATACTTTCAATGTTTCTTAGGATCTGACTTTAGGAGTCACAGGCATCACTTCTGCTTTATTCTATTGGTTAAAACCTAGTCATAGGTCCAGTCCTGATTCAAGGGGAAGGAATGACACAGGGAATAAATACTGGTAGATCGCTCTTTGGGTACCATCTTTGGGAACAAGCCACCAGTTTGATTTTTCAGAGAACTTGCTGACTTCCAGATGCTAATATTCTTGTGGCCCAGTAAAGATCACACAAACCCAAATAACATGGCCAGGATGGAAATACATACCTTTATGTGATAACTGTTCATAGCAGAAGGTTTTATACCCTCCCTTTGGTAGACAGTTTACTGGAGAAATCTGAAAAGAATGCTATTGATAAAAATTCACTTTGACTGTAAGAATTGTGGTTATTTGATAGGTTTTTGGATGCTCACGTTGAAACAGAGTGGAGAGTTGATATGTAGGTTGAGAAATAAACATTTAGTCTGGACAATGTGTGTGCATTATGGGAAGATGTGTTAAGCCCTGGCCAGGCCTGCTAGCTTCAGAGAGCTAGCTCATGGGTCAACTTCAGACTCTGGAAGAAGGACTTTCACCCCACTTTCCATCTGCACGCTATGTCAAGTCAGGGGTCCCTGATATCTGTGGTCCAAGCTCTACAAATGCGTGTGTTCACTGTACAGCAGGGGAAGTGTGCCTTTGAGTTTCTGCTAAATAGGCTTAATTCCACCTGCCACAAGCTGACAAAGACCTGAGATCAGGGCTTCATGCTATCTAGTTATCTCCCTGTGTACCTTTGCCCTTTCCATTTACCTATAAACGGCATGCCTGGGCAACGCACCAGGATCTACTTCCATCAGGTTGGTGGAAAAGTAATTGCGGTTTTTGCCATTACATTTATGACATTGCAATTACTTTTTTTTTTTTTTTTTTTTGAGACGGAGTCTCACTCTGTTGACCGGGCTGGAGTGCAGTGGCATGATCTCGGCTCACTACAACCTCTGCCTCCCAGGTTCAAGCAATTCTCTGCCTCAGCCTCCCGAGTAGCTGGGATTACAGGCACCTGCCACCATGCCCAGCTGATGTTTGTATATTTAGTAGAGATGGGGTTTTCACCATGTTGCCCAGGCTGGTCTTGAACTCCTGACCTCGTGATTCACCCGTCTCGGCTTCCCAAGGTGTTGGGATTACAGGCGTGAGCCACCATGCCCGGCCTTTTTATTTTTATTGATTTTTTTTTTTTAGGTGGGGTCTCACTTTGTCATCCAGGCTGGAGTGCAGTGGCACGATCTTAGCTCACTGCAACCTCCGCTTCCCAGGTTCAAGCGATTCTTCTGCCTCAGCCTCCTGAGTAGCTGGGATTACAGGCATGTGCCACCATGCCTGGCTAATTTTTGTATTTTTAGTAGAGATGGGATTTCACCATGCAACCCCAGCTCACTGTAACCTCTGCCTCCCAGGTTCAAGCAATTCTCTGCCTCAGCCTCCCGAGTACCTGGGATTACAGGCACCCGCTGCCATGCCCAGCTAATTTTTATATTTTTAGTAGAGACAGGGTTTCACCATTTTGGCCAGGCTGGTCTGGAACTCCTGACCTCAGGTGATCCACCCATCTCAGCCTCCCAAAGTGGTGGGATTACAGACGTGAGGCACTGCACCCAGCCAAGAAACCGCAGTTACTTTTGCACCAACCTAATAGGAGCCATTCCTGGACATTGGTCCCGTTTTTATTTTATGATCCAGGGGCTCCATCTGGATTTGCAGGAAGAGAGAACAGAAGTTTCACACTGATTCCAGGCCAAAGCCTTGAGCGCTAGCACCCGTTGGCAGAGGACTCCTGCATTTGCAGGATATTTAGGAACGCCCTGGCAACAACAGAAGTGGAACATTCCTCATTTTTCACTGCCCTTCTGACGCTGTGCACGTAATTTTTTTGTAGAAGGAAATAGATCAAATTGTAGGAGTTAGGAAGCAAATGCCTGAGGTTGAATGCGCTCTGTATTTGGTATCTGCTGGATGATAGGAAATGGGTTTTTTTGTTTTGTTTTGTTTTTGTTTTTGTTTTTTTTTTGAGACAGAGTTTTGCTCTTGCTGCCCAGGCTGGAGTGCAATGACGCGATCTCGACTCACTGCGACCTCCGCTTCCCGGGTTCAAGCGATTCTCCTGCCTCAGCCTCCTGCGTAGCTGGGATTACAGGCATGCGCGACCATGCGTGGCTAATTTGGTATTTTTAGTAGAGACGGGGTTTCTGCATGTCGGTCGGGCTGGTCTCAAACTCCCGACCTCAGGTGATCCACCTGACTCAGGCCTCCCAAAGTGCTGGGATTACAGGCATGAGCCACCTCGCCCAGCCAGGAAATGGTTTTATTGTGGACTTCTATTTTAGTCCCCCACCCCCAGGAAGTATAATCCCTCTAACTGCCTGGATGGCTCCCATCCTGTTTATAAGACTCCAGGGAGGGAATCATCAGTCTCGTTTCAATCTATAGATTGGTGCAAAAGTAACTGTGGTTTTGGCCATTACTTTCAATGGCAAATCTGCAATTACTTTTGCACCAACCTTAATAGGGTTCCTAATTGTTAGGATGTATTGCAAGACACTATAGTGGCATAGCCCAGATGGGGCAAACAGAATATGTATGGTTTGTTTCCTGACTCTGAGCAGTCAGCAGTCGATGCACAGAACTCTGCACGCCCCTCCCCCCACAGTGTCTATTCCGGTTCAAGCATGCCTACTGAAACACTAATTTAAGTCCTTTAATTTCTACCGGTTGACCCTGATGATGTCTGTGATGTTTAGACTTTTGTGTCAGCTTGGCTAGCCTGCAGTACGCAGTTTTTTGTTTTTTTTTAACAGAATCTTGCCCTGTCGTCCAGGCTGGAGTGCAGTGGCACAATCTCAGCTCACTGCAACCTCTGCCACCCGGGTTCAAGCAATTCTCCTGCCTCAGCCTCCTGAGTAGCTGGGATTACAGGTGCCCGCCACCACACCCGGCTAATTTTTGTATTTTTAGTAGAGACGGGGTTTCACCATGTTGGCCAGGCTGGTCCTGAACTCCTGACCTCAGGTGATCCACCTGCCTCAGCCTCCCAGGCATGAGCCACTGTGCCCGGCCCAGTACCCACTTGTTTAATCAAATGCTAGCCTAGGTGTTGCTGTGACAGTATTTCGTAGACACAGTTAACATCTACAATCAGTTGATTTTAAATAAAGGAGATGAATGGCGATAACCTGGGTGGGCCCAAGCTAATCAGTTGAAGGCCTTAAGAACATAAAGAGGTTTCCTGTAGAAGAAATTCTGCCTGAAGACTGCAGCATCAAATCCTCTCTAAGCTTCCAAACTTCCAGCGTGCCCTACAGATTTTGGACTTGCCAGCCTCTACAACTGCATGAGTCAATTTCGTCAATTTCTTTACTCCTCCCTGCCGTGTTTTTTTTTTTTTTGAAACAGAGTCTCGCTCTGTCGCCCAGGCTAGAGTGCAGTGGCACGATCTCAGCTCACTGCAACCTCCGCCTTCTGGGTTCAAGCGATTCTTGTGCCTCAGCCTCCCAAGTAGCTGGGATTACAGGCGTGCGCCACCATGCCCAGCTAATTTTTGTGTTTTTAGTAGAGACGGGGTTTCCCCATACTGGCCAGGCTGGTCTTGAACTCTTGACCTCATGCAATCCACCCACCTCTGCCTCCTAAAGTGTTGGGATTACAGGCATGAGCCGCCGTACCCAGCCCAATTTCTTGAAATCAATCACTTTCCTGTTGATTCTGTTTCCCTGGAGAGTGCTAACTGTCCCCTTATCCTATGCCACAGATTTACTCTTCTGATCCTTTCATTTATTTGATACTCGGTGAATTATACGAACACTAACTATGGGCTGGGCCCCATCTTGTCCAATAATTTCCCCTCTGCATATAAGCCCAGACTCAATTTAAGATCCCTAAAACATGCACCAGTGCCCAGATGTCCTTAATGGAGCTAAGGTTTCAGGCTATTGAAGATGTTAGGAAGGGAGGACAGAAACCAAACACAGTAAGTTCTCAACACAGAATTCAGAATTTCTCTCTTATTCTATATGATTGTTCTTCTGACTACATATATACCTTTTGTGACAAAATACGAACACCTTTGGAGATTAAGTGCTTAACCAGTGGGATTGCTTCATATATCATTATCTGTAGCCTCACTCCCTCAATTATTTCTTTCTTTTTTTTTTTTTTTTTTTTTTGAGACAGGGTGTTGCTCTGTCACCCAGGCTGGAGTGCAGTGGCAGGATCTCGGCTCACTGCAACCTCTGCCTCCCGGGTTCAAGCGATTCTCCTGCCTCAACCTCCCGAGTAGCTGGGACTACGGGCATACGCCACCATGCCCGGCTAATTTTTTTTTTTTTTTGTAAAAAGAGAGGGGGTTTCACCATGTTGGCCAGGTTGGTCTTGAACTCCTGACCTCAAATGATCTGCCTGCCTCGGCCTCCCAAAGTGCTGAGGTTACAGGCGTGAGCCACCGTGCCCAGCCATCTACTCTTAAGTTTGGTTGAAGTTTGTTTATATATTGTTAGGTTACAGTTTGCCACATAAGGAGGCAGCTTTAGGCCAAATTTCACTTAATTTAAACAACTGGTTTTCTCAATGCTGCAGTGAGGTGAGGGCAGAAAGGCTTGAGCGCTTGATGTGTCGGGAGGGAAATATCTTCACTAACATAGAACAACCTGAAATTTCAATGGATCACATCTGAGAAATGAATCTGAGGTTGAGTTGAAATCAAATATATAAAGTCAGGTAGGAGTGAGGACAAAATGCCAATACTTGATGTTTCATAAATGCTTTCATACATACCAGGGAACTATTATTATCTCTATTTTAGAGTTAAAAAAGGGGGTGTTCAGAGTGGTTAATCATTTTACGAAGTCATGTAGCTCCTAAGTGGCAGAGCTGGGATTTGATCCCAGGCACTTTCATTCCAAGTCTGTGTTTGTAATCTGTGACTTATGGTCCCCAAAAGATACGTTCACGTCCCAACCTCTGGAACCTACCAATGTGACCTTATTTGGAAAAAGGGTCTTTGCAGATGGCATCAAGTGAAGAATCTCAAGATGAGAGTATCATTAATTACCTGGTGGGCCTTAAATCCAATAACAAGTATCCTTATGAGATAAAAAAGAGGAGAAGACACAGGCACACAGAGTAGAAGGCCACATGAAGTTGGAGGCAGAGACTGGAGTGTTGCAGCCATAAGCCACCGAAGGTCTGCAGCCACCAGGCGCTGGAAGAGACCAGGAAGGATCCTTCCCCAGAGCCTCCAGAGGGAATGTGGCCTGACCGATACCTTGATTTTGGACTTCTGGCCTCCAGCACTGTGAGAGAATAACCCACGATAGTGTGGTGGTTTGCTCTGGCAGGCACAGGAAGCTAATACAGTGCTCTTTAGTTCTACATGGCCCCGCTTCCTCCAGAGCTACGTGGGCCTTCCCTATTAGTTGATGTTCATCAGTTCTATTGCACAAAGCTGAAGATGTCCAACAACGGTACTCAAATCCCACACATCCTTGGGGACCTTGAGGGTTCTAGGCTCTCTAAGGTAAGGTGCCTGTTAGGGAGGACAGAATCCAGAAACAGTGAGTTCGTTTTTTTTTCTTTTCTTTTTCTGTTTTTTTTGAGAGGGAGTTTCACTCTTATTGCCTGGCTGGAGTGCAATGGCAAGATCTCGGCTCACTGCAACCTCCGCCTTCCGGGTTCAAGCAATTCTCCTGCCTCAGCCTCCCGAGTAGCTGGAATTACAGGCATGTGTCACCACTCCAGGCTAATTTTGTATTTTTAGTAGAGATGGGGTTTCACCATGTTGGCCAGGCTGGTCTCCAACTCCTGACCTCAGGTGATCCAACTGCCTCGGCCTCCCAAAGTGCTGGGATTACAGGCGTGAACCACTGCGCCCAGCCAACAGTGAGTTTTTAATACAGAACCCAGAACTTCTCTCCCATTCTGTACTCTTCTCTAACCATATAAACAAAAATTAATAAGCCAAACGTTTGTGGTGGGGCATGGTAGCTCACGCCTGTAATCCCAGCACTTTGGGAGGCCGAGGCGGGTGGATCACGAGGCCAGGAGTTCAAGACCAGCCTGGCCAAGATGGTGAAACCCCGTCTCTACTGAAAATACAGAAATTAGCTGGGCGTGGTGGCAGGCTCCTGTAATCCCAGCTACTCCAGAGGCTGAGGCAGGAGAATTGCTTGAACTCGGAGGGCGGAGGTTGAAGTGAGCCGAGATTGTGCCACTGCAATCCAGCCTGGGTGACAGAGTGAGACTCTGTTACACACACAAAAAAAAACAAAAAACAAAACAACAAACAAACGTTTGCATCTGAAAGAAATCTGCATACTTTTGTATCATTTTCGTTGATATTTCTCTCAGGTTCATCAATCTTGCCAGAAGATCTGCAGAATCTGCAGATATTCTTACTAGAGAAGCCGCAGTGAGTGTGAACATTTCAGCCGGGGATGGGAGGAAGGAAAAGCAGTCCTGGGGACATTTTTTGCTCCAGGGGACCAGTGATGCTCCATTAAGTGGCACTTGCAGATCAAGTTCTGTTTCTGCTTTGAACAGAATGTTCAGGCACCCGAGAGATAGAACAAAGTGCTGAACTCCGTTCTTCACGTCATTAACCTTAATGACCTTCAGACAGTTCCCATCCATACACAGAGTCCTACAGATTTTTGAGATCCAAAAGGTTATTTTACTATTGTCTTACCAAATTTCTAGGGGACTTGTCTTTAGAATTAGGTAGCGGCTATGTGAATCTTCCAGGGGTAAAGGTCCTCTGCTTCCTCACAGGGATTCTCCCACAATCCCTTCCTGCATGCCACAAACACAGCATGTCCCTTTCCCCTCAATCCCTGCACCTTCCAGGCAACATTTAATGCACCTTTTTTTTTTTTTGAGACAGAGTCTCACCCAGGCTGGAGTGCAGTGGTGCGATCTCGGCTCACTGCAACCTCCGCCTCCTGGGTACAAGTGATTCTTCTGCCTCAGCCTCTTGAGTAGCTGGGACTATAGGCACATGCCACCACGCCTGGCTAATTTTTCTATTTTTAGTAGAGACGGGGTTTCACCACATTGGCCAGGCTGGTCTACAACTCCTAACCCCATGATCTGCCCACCTTGCCCTCCCAAAGTGCTGGGATTACAGGCATGAGACACCGCGCCTGGCCTTTTTTTTTTTTTTTTTCTTTTTTTTTAGGACAGAGTCTCACCCAGGTTGGAGTGCAGTGACACGATCTCTGTTCACTGCAACCTCCGCCTCCCGGGTTCAAGCGATTCCCCTGCCTCAGCCTCCTGAACAGCTGGGATTACAGGCACCCGTCCCCATGCCCGGGTAATTTTTGTATATTTAGTAGAGATGGGGTTTCACCATGTTGGCCAGGCTGGTCTCGAACTCCTTACCTCAAGTGATCCATCCGCCTCAGCCTCCCAAAGTGCTGGGATTACAGGCGTGAGCCAGTGCGCCCGGCTTCTTGAATTAGTTTCTAGGAGAAGCCAAGAACCCCCCCGGGCTAAGCCTCAATTTTGGGGCTCGCCTGTGCTGCATCAGCTTCACACCTAGAGAAGAGAGTGAAAGAGAAGGGAGAGCCGTCCTTTTGGGCTGCCTTGAAATAAAGGTTGACCCATGGGTTCATGTATTGTCATTCATTCTCATTTTCTCTTCCTCTCTTTCTCTCTCTCCCCTGCCCCTTAAGTTAGCTTTTCTAAACCCTACCTGGATAAGGATAAGAAATAGAAGGAGGGGACACTTTAGGATGCTACAAAATAAAATACAACAACAACAACAATAACAGCAGCAGCAACAACAAAACAGCAACAAAAGGGGAAGAAACAAATCTGGCCACTGCACATTCCTCCTTGGCAACAAAAAGCCGTGGATGCAAAAAGCTGCCCTTCACTGCATAGACAGAACAGGGCGCGCTCGAGCTATGAATCTCGGAAATTACTCAAACCATCAGCCTCTGCAAGAAGCAAAGTGGACGGCCGGGCGCGGTGGCTCACTCCTGGAATCCCAGCACTTTGGGAGCCCGAGGTGGGCGGATCACGAGGTCAGGAGATCGAGACTGTTCTGGCTAAACCAGTGAAACCCCCTCTCTACTAAAAAAATAAGAAAAGCGAAGTGCATCTCCCATAAACGAGGTACTGCAGGAAGAAAGCAGAAAATGAGACCCGAGTACACACATGCACGCGGGCGCGCGCACACACACACCAGAAGAAATGAACCAAGAGGAAAGGAAACATTTTCAAATAAGCATTTGGAGATGGGAAAAACACGTTGAAACAGAAATTCATAAAGCACAGAATTTTTTTTTAAGTTAAAAAAGGAACAATAATAGACAGAAAATGAATGAAAAATTAAATGTCATATCAGAAGTGAAGATAAATTAAAAGTGGTCAAGGGAGAAGAGATCTAAATGCAAACTTAAGAAGGGGCAATTTTTTTTTTTTTTTTTTTTTTGAGACGCAGCCTCACTCTGTCGCCCGGGCTGGAGTGCAGTGGCGTGATCTTGGCTCACTGAAACCTCTGCCTCCTGGATTCAAGCGATTCTCCTGCCTCAGCCTCCCAAGTGGCTGGGATTACAGGCATGAGCCACCATGCCCGGCCTAGAGTCATCATGGAAATTAAACAACCTGCTTCCAAATGACTTTTGGGTAAAGACTGAAATTAAGGCAGAAATAAAAAAATTATCTGAAACTAATGAAAACAAACATACAACATCCCAGAATCTCTGGGACACAGCTAGAACAGTGCTCAAAGGAAGTTTCTAGTGCTAAAGGGCTACACTAAGAAGCTAGAAAGATCTCAAATGAACCGCCTAACATCACACCTAGAGGAATTAGAAAAACAAGAGCAAATCAACCCCAAAGCTAGCAGAAGAAAAAAAAAAACCAACATCGGAGCTGACCTGAATGAAATGGAGACGTAAAAAACCATACAAAAGATCAATGAAACCCAAAGTTGATTTTTTAAAAAAATTATTTATTTATTATTTATTCCATAAATTATTGGGGTACAGGTGGTGTGTGGTTACATAAGCTCTTTAGTGGTGATTTGTGATTTTGGTGCACCCATCACCTGAGCAGTATACACTACACCCTACTTGTTGTATTTTATCCCTCGCCCCCGCCAACTCGTCCCCCTAAGTCCCCAAAGTCCATTGTATCATTCTTACGCCTTTGCGTCCTCATAGCTTAGCTCCCACATATCAGTGAGAACATACGATGTTTGGTTTTCCATTCCTGAGTTACTTCACTTAGAATAACAGTCTCCGGTCTCATCCAGGTCACGGCAAATGCTGTTAATTCATACAAAGTTGATATTTTTGAAAGCATAAATAACATGGGAAGACCACTAGCTAGATTAATAAAGAAAAAAAGACAAGATCCAAATAAACACAATCAGAAATGACAAAGGTGACATTACCACTGACCCACAGATATACAAGAAACCCTGAGACTATTCCACATGCCTCTATGCACACAAACTAGAAAACTAGAAGAAATAGAGAAATTCCTGGAAACATAAAACCTCTCAAGATTGAACCAGGAAGAAATGGAAACCCTGAACAAACCAACGATGAGTTCCAAAATTGAGTTAGTCATACAAAACCTACCAACCAGCACAAAAAACCTTAGACTAGACGGATTCACAGTCGAATCCTACCAGATGTGTAAAGAAAAGCCGGCACCAATCCTACTGAAATTATTCCACACAATTGAGGAGGAGCAACTGCTCTCTAACTCATTCTATGAGGTCAGAGTCATTCTGATACTGAAACCTGGCAGAGACACAACGAAAAAAGGAAAATAGGTAAAGTAATACATATGTTAATGATCTTGATTTAGCCATTCTACGGTATATACATATTTCAAAACAATATGTACATGATAAATATGTACAATTTGTCAATTAAAAATATATAAAAGGAATAGGAAAAAATTCAAATGGCACAGAATTTGAAAGGAGAAGATACAGAACAAACTCCGGTGTCTTCTTTATTCAACTATATATACACACATTCAATGGACTGGGAGCAGTGGCTCAAGCCTGTAATCACAGCACTTTGGGAGGTCAAGGCGGGCAGATCACCTGAGGTCGGGAGTTCGAGACCAGCCTGACCAACAGGGAGAAACCCCAGCTCTACTAAAAATACAAAATTAGCCGGGCATGGTGGCGCATGCCTGTAATCCCAGCTACTCGGAAGGCTGAGGCAGGAGAATCGCTTGAACTCAAGAGGTGGAGGTTGTGGTGAGCCGAGATGGCACCATTGCACTCCAGCCTGGGCAACAAGAGCGAAACTCAGTCTCAAAAAAAGAAAAAAAAGGATTTAATGAATGAATGATGAGACTGTTGGTTACATCTCCCACCTTCTCCCTCTCACTCCACTGCAGCCACACGGGGCTCCTCACTGTTCCCGTAGCAGCAGGCATGTGCCCCCACTGGGCCTCTGTACTGGCTGTTCCCACTGCCCGAACACCCTCATGCACCATCTGCACTGTCCAATATGGCCGCCTCTGGCCACACATGGCTACTGAGCAGTTGAACATGGCTGGTCCAAACCAACATTTCCAAGACGTCGTATGGTAAAAAATAACATAAAATCTTGCAAAAATGTTTCTATTGATTATGTTAAAATTATGATGTTTTAGGTATATTAGGTTAAATCAGCTATTTTATCCAAATGAATCTCGCCTGTTTGTTTTTGCTTTTTTTTTTTTTTTTTTTTTTGAGATGGAGGCTCGCTCTGTCGCCCAGGCTAGAGTACAATGGCGTGGTCTCGGCTCACTGCATCACTGCAACCTCTACCTCCCAGGTTCAAGCGATTCTCCTACCTCACCCTCCCAAGTGGCTGGGATTACAGGCGTGTGCCACCACACCCAGCTAATTTTTGTATTTTTAGTAGAGACAGGGTTTCACCATGTTGGCCAGGCTGGTCTCGAACTGCTGACCTCGTGATCTACCTGCCTCGGCCTCCCAAAGTCCTGGGATTACAGGTGTGGGCCACTGCGCCGGCCATGTTTCTCGACTTCTGCTGGCAAGCATGTTCCAGTATTTGCATGGCTCCTAGCCCTCATCTCCATTTCTCTGCACAGATGTTACCTTCCCCATGAGGTCTGCCTTATACATGAGGCCTGTATTATAAACTGCAACTCCGCATTCCCCAACCCCGTTGTTTCTTCTCTCCAGAACACTAGGCACCATCTGATCTCCTATGCCTTTTCCTTATTGTCAGATACTGAACTCTCAGATACAGTTCCCCTTCCTCCCTCCAGGGGGCGCCATGGAACGCAGGGCCCTCACTGGCCCTGGGGACTGGGTGACGACAGGGGGGAGCCTCTGGTGATTGGCTCCCTCACCCTGCGTAAGATCAAAGGGACTAAAGGACAGCCCCGACACCCGGAGCCATTGTGGCTCAGGCAGGTTGCGCCTGCCCTCGGGCCCTCACGGAGGCGGGGGTTCCAGGGCACGAGTTCGAGGCCAGCCTGGTCCACATGGGTCGGAAAAAAGGACTTTTTTTTATCGTTCCCAATATAACGACAAAACATAAAGGGAGGACGCCTTGATAGGAAGAAATGACATCTTCCTAAGTGTTTTTAAATTACTTCCATGTGTCTTTTTTTTTTTTTTTTTTGGGAGACCGAGCCTTGCTCTGTTGCCCAGGCTGGAGTGCAGTGGTGTGATCTTCGCTCACTGCAACCTCCGCCTCGTCGGTTCAAGGGAGTCTCCTATCTAAGCCTCCTGAGTAGCTGGGATTACAGTCGCCTGCCAAGAGATGGGGTTTCGCCATGTTGACCAGGCTGGTCTTGAACACCTGGCCTCAAATGATCCACTCGCCTTGGTCTCCCAAAGTGGTAGGATGACAGGCGTGAGCCACCGCGCCCAGCCTCTTCTATTCTTTTAGAGACAGGTTCTCACTGTGTTGCCCAGGCTGGAGTGCATTGATGTGATGTGTGATCATAGCTCATTGCAGCCCTGACCATCCGAGCTCAAGCAATCCTTCTGCCTCAGCCTCCTGAGTAGCTGGGGCCGCAGATGTGCACCACTGCACCTGGCTAATTTTTAACATTTTTGTGGAGCCAGAGTCTGTATAAAATAAAGTGTAAATAGTACCATAAATAAAGAATACATAGTACCATTTTATAGTAGTATAAAACGGACATTAGAAACTCTGAACTTAAAGGTTAAAAAAATACACAAAAGTAGTTCTCAAGTTCTAGAGACTTGGAGAATCCAGGAATCAACAATGTCGTGGAACTCCTACAGCCTTTCATAAAGAATGGCCCTCGAGGAAAGTGGAATTGTCAGTGGGCATTGTGTTCGTGCCTCAGCTAAACACGGCAGGAATTTATTTATAACCTAGTGTAACATCCTCGAGGCACTGTTCAATTAGTCAAGCAATTGTAAAATTCTCCCAGTCTTAGAAAAGATACAGGTGTGTGTCCCTCTGCTGTGGCTGTGCACTGACGCTTCAGTAAAAGTTGCCGTCTAAAACCACCGGCCTGCCCTTGAATTGTTTTGTTTTGTTTTGTTTTGTTTTGTTTTTTTGATTCGCAGCCTCACTCTATCACCCAGGCTGGAGTGCAGTGACACGATCTCTGTTCACTGCAACCTCCGCCTCCCGGGTTCAAGCGATTCCCCTGCCTCAGCCTCCTGAACAGCTGGGATTACAGGCACCCGTCCCCATGCCCGGGTAATTTTTGTATATTTAGTAGAGATGGGGTTTCACCATTTTGGCCAGGCTGGTCTCGAACTCCTTACCTCAAGTGATCCATCCGCCTCAGCCTCCCAAAGTGCTGGGATTACAGGCGTGAGCCAGTGCGCCCGGCTTCTTGAATTAGTTTCTAGGAGAAGCCAAGAACCCCCCCGGGCTAAGCCTCAATTTTGGGGCTCGCCTGTGCTGCATCAGCTTCACACCTAGAGAAGAGAGTGAAAGAGAAGGGAGAGCCGTCCTTTTGGGCTGCCTTGAAATAAAGGTTGACCCATGGGTTCATGTATTGTCATTCATTCTCATTTTCTCTTCCTCTCTTTCTCTCTCTCCCCTGCCCCTTAAGTTAGCTTTTCTACACCCTACCTGGATAAGGATAAGAAATAGAAGGAGGGGACACTTTAGGATGCTACAAAATAAAATACAACAACAACAACAATAACAGCAGCAGCAACAACAACAACAGCAACAAAAGGGGAAGAAACAAATCTGGCCACTGCACATTCCTCCTTGGCAACAAAAAGCCGTGGATGCAAAAAGCTGCCCTTCACTGCATAGACAGAAGAGGGCGCGCTCGAGCTATGAATCTCGGAAATTACTCAAGCCATCAGCCTCTGCAAGAAGCAAAGTGGACGGCCGGGCGCGGCGGCTCACTCCTGGAATCCCAGCACTTTGGGAGCCCGAGGTGGGCGGATCACGAGGTCAGGAGATCGAGACTGTTCTGGCTAAACCAGTGAAACCCCCTCTCTACTAAAAAAATAACAAAAGCGAAGTGCATCTCCCATAAACGAGGTACTGCAGGAAGAAAGCAGAAAATGAGACCCGAGTACACACATGCACGCGGGCGTGCGCACACACACACCAGAAGAAATGAACCAAGAGGAAAGGAAATATTTTCAAGTAAGCATTTGGAGATGGGAAAAACACCTTGAAACAGAAATTCATAAAGTACACACATGTTTTTTTTTTTAAGTTAAAAGAGGAACAATAATAAACAGGCAGAAAATGAATAAAAAATAAAATGTCATATCAGAAGTGAAGATAAATTAAAAGTGGTCAAAGGAGAAGAGATCTAAATGCAAACTTAAGAAGGGGCAATTTTTTTTTTTTTTTTTTTTGAGACGCAGCCTCACTCTGTCGCCCGGGCTGGAGTGCAGTGGCGTGATCTTGGCTCACTGAAACCTCTGCCTCCTGGATTCAAGCGATTCTCCTGCCTCAGCCTCCCAAGTGGCTGGGATTACAGGCATGAGCCACCATGCCCGGCCTAGAGTCATCATGGAAATTAAACAACCTGCTTCCAAATGACTTTTGGGTAAAGACTGAAATTAAGGCAGAAATAAAAAAATTATTTGAAACTAATGAAAACAAACATACAACATCCCAGAATCTCTGGGACACAGCTACAACAGTGCTCAGAGGAAGTTTCTAGTGCTATATGGCTACATTAAGAAGCTAGAAAGATCTCAAATGAACCGCCTAACATCACACCTAGAGGAATTAGAAAAACAAGAGCAAATCAACCCCAAAGCTAGCAGAAGAAAAAAAAAAAACAAAATCAGAGCTGAGCTGAATGAAATTGAGATGTAAAATACCATACAAAAGATCAATGAAACCCAAAGTTGATTTTTTAAAAAAATTATTTATTTATTATTTATTCCATAAATTATTGGGGTACAGGTGGTATGTGGTTACATAAGCTCTTTAGTGGTGATTTGTGATTTTGGTGCACCCATCACCTGAGCAGTATACACTACCCCCTATTTGTTGTCTTTTATCCCTCGCCCTCGCCAACTCGTCCCCCTAAGTCCCCAAAGTCCATTGTATCATTCTTATGCCTTTGTGTCCTCATAGCTTAGGTCCCACATATCAGTGAGAACATACGATGTTTGGTTTTCCATTCCTGAGTTACTTCACTTAGAATAATACTCTCCGGTCTCATCCAGGTCACTGCAAATGCTGTTAATTCATACAAAGTTGATATTTTTGGAAGCATAAATAACATGGAAAGACCACTAGCTAGATTAATAAAGAAAAAAAGACAAGATCCAAATAAACACAATCAGAAATGACAGAGGTGACATTACCACTGACCCACAGACATACAAGAAACCCTGAGACTATTCCAAATGCCTCTATGCACAAAAACTAGAAAACTAGAAGAAATAGAGAAATTCCTGGAAACATAAAACCTCTCAAGATTGAACCAGGAAGAAATGGAAACCCTGAACAAACCAACGATGAGTTCCAAAATTGAGTTAGTCATACAAGACCTACCAACCAGCGCAAAAAACCTTAGACTAGACGGATTCACAGTCGAATTCTACCAGATGTGTAAAGAAAAGCCGGCACCAATCCTACTGAAATTATTCCACACAATTGAGGAGGAGCAACTGCTCTCTAACTCATTCTATGAGGTCAGAGTCATTCTGATACCGAAACCTGGCAGAGACACAACGAAAAAAGGAAAATAGGTAAAGTAATACATATGTTAATGATCTTGATTTAGCCATTCTACGGTATATACATATTTCAAAACAATATGTACATGATAAATATGTACAATTTGTCAATTAAAAATATATAAAAGGAAGAGGAAAAAATTCAAATGGCGTAGAATTTGAAAGGAGAAGATACAGAACAAACTCCAGTGTCTTATTATTCAACTATATATACACACGTTCAATGGACCGGGAGCAGTGGCTCAAGCCTGTAATCACAGCACTTTGGGAGGTCAAGGCGGGCAGATCACCTGAGGTCGGGAGTTCGAGACCAGCCTGACCAACAGAGAGAAACCCCAGCTCTACTAAAAATACAAAATTAGCCGGGCATGGTGACGCATGCCTGTAATCCCAGCTACTCGGGAGGGTGAGGCAGGAGAATCGCTTGAACTCAAGAGGTGGAGGTTGTGGTGAGCCGAGATGGCACCATTGCACTCCAGCCTGGGCAACAAGAGCGAAACTCAGTCTCAAAAAAAAAAAAAAAAAAAAGAAAAAGGATTTAATGAATGAATGATGAGACCGTTGGTGACATCTCCCACCTTCTCCCTCTCACTCCACTGCAGCCACACGGGGCTCCTCACTGTTCCCGTAGCAGCAGGCATGTGCCCCCACAGGGCCTCTGTACTGGCTGTTCCCACTGCCCGAACACCCTCATGCACCATCTGCACTGTCCAATACGGCCGCCTCTGGCCACACATGGCTACTGAGCAGTTGAACATGGCTGGTCCAAACCAAGATTTCCAAGACGTCGTGTGGTAAAAAAAACAACATAAAATTTTGCAAAAATGTTTCTATTGATTATGTTAAAATTATGATGTTTTAGGTATATTAGGTTAAATCAGCTATTTTATCAAAATGAATCTCGCCTGTTTGTTTTTGCTTTTTTTTTTTTTTTTTTGAGATGGAGTCTCGCTCTGTCGCCCAGGCTAGAGTACAATGGCGTGGTCTCAGCTCACTGCATCACTGCAACCTCTACCTCCCAGGTTCAAGCGATTCTCCTACCTCACCCTCCCAAGTGGCTGGGATTACAGGCGTGTGCCACCACACCCAGCTAATTTTTGTATTTTTGTAGAGACAGGGTTTCACCATGTTGGCCAGGCTGGTCTCGAACTGCTGACCTCGTGATCTACCTGCCTCGGCCTCCCAAAGTCCTGGGATTACAGGTGTGGGCCACTGCGCCGGCCATGTTTCTCGACTTCTGCTGGCAAGCATGTTCCAGTATTTGCATGGCTCCTAGCCCTCATCTCCATTTCTCTGCACAGATGTTATCTTCCCCATGAGGTCTGCCTTATACATGAGGCCTGTATTATAAAGTGCAACTGCCAATTCGCCAACCCCGTTGTTTCTTCTCTCCAGAACACTAGGCACCATCTGATCTCCTATGCCTTTTCCTTATTGTCAGATACTGAACTCTCAGATACAGTTCCCCTTCCTCCCTCCAGGGGGCGCCATGGAACGCAGGGCCCTCACTGGCCCTGGGGACTGGGTGACGTCAGGGGTGAGCCTCTGGTGATTGGCTCCCTCACCCTGCGTAAGATCAAAGGGCCTAAAGGTCAGCCCCGACACCCGGAGCTATTGTGGCTCCGGCCGGTTGCGCGGGCCCTCGGACCCTCAGAGAGGCGAGGGTTCGAGGGCTCGAGTTCGAGGCCAACCTGGTCCACATGGGTTGAAAAAAAAATTTTTTTTATCGTTCCCAATATAACGACAAAACATAAAGGGAGGACGCCTTGATAGGAAGAAATGACATCTTCCTAAGTGTTTTTAAATTACTTCAATGTATCTTTCTTTTTTTTTTTTTTTTTGGGAGACCGAGGCTTGCTCTGTTGCCCAGGCTGGAGTGCAGTGGTGTGATCTTGGCTCACTGCAACCTCTGCCTCGTCGGTTCAAGGGAGTCTCCTATCTCAGCCTCCTGAGTAGCTGGGATTACAGTCGCCTGCCAAGAGATGGGGTTTCGCCATGTTGACCAGGCTGGTCTTGAACACCTGGCCTCAAATGATCCACTCGCCTTGGTCTCCCAAAGTGGTAGGATGACAGGCGTGAGCCACCGCGCCCAGCCTCTTCTATTCTTTTAGAGACAGCGTCTCACTCTGTTGCCCAGGCTGGAGTGCATTGATGTGATGTGTGATCATAGCTCATTGCAGCCCTGACCATCCGAGCTCAAGCAATCCTTCTGCCTCAGCCTCCTGAGTAGCTGGGGCCGCAGATGTGCACCACTGCACCTGGCTAATTTTTAACATTTTTTGTGGAGCCAGAGTCTGTATAAAATAAAGTGTAAATAGTACCATAAATAAAGAATACATAGTACCATTTTATAGTAGTATAAAACGGACATTAGAAACTCTGGACTTAAAGTTTAAAAAAATACACAAAAGTAGTTCTCAAGTTCTAGAGACTTGGAGAATCCAGGAATCAACAATGTCGTGGAACTCCTACAGCCTTTCATAAAGAATGGCCCTCGAGGAAAGTGGAATTGTCAGTGGGCATTGTGTTCGTGCCTCAGCTAAACACGGCAGGAATTTATTTATAACCTAGTGTAACATCCTCGAGGCACTGTTCAATTAGTCAAGCAATTGTAAAATTCTCCCAGTCTTAGAAAAGATACAGGTGTGTGTCCCTCTGCTGTGGCTGTGCACTGACGCTTCAGTAAAAGTTGCCGTCTAAAACCACCGGCCTGCCCTTGAATTGTTTTGTTTTGTTTTGTTTTGTTTTGTTTTGTTTTGTTTTGTTTTTTTGATTCGCAGCCTCACTCTATCACCCAGGCTGGAGTGCAGTGACACGATCTCTGTTCACTGCAACCTCCGCCTCCCGGGTTCAAGCGATTCCCCTGCCTCAGCCTCCTGAACAGCTGGGATTACAGGCACCCGTCCCCATGCCCGGGTAATTTTTGTATATTTAGTAGAGATGGGGTTTCACCATGTTGGCCAGGCTGGTCTCGAACTCCTTACCTCAAGTGATCCATCCGCCTCAGCCTCCCAAAGTGCTGGGATTACAGGCGTGAGCCAGTGCGCCCGGCTTCTTGAATTAGTTTCTAGGAGAAGCCAAGAACCCCCCCGGGCTAAGCCTCAATTTTGGGGCTCGCCTGTGCTGCATCAGCTTCACACCTAGAGAAGAGAGTGAAAGAGAAGGGAGAGCCGTCCTTTTGGGCTGCCTTGAAATAAAGGTTGACCCATGGGTTCATGTATTGTCATTCATTCTCATTTTCTCTTCCTCTCTTTCTCTCTCTCCCCTGCCCCTTAAGTTAGCTTTTCTACACCCTACCTGGATAAGGATAAGAAATAGAAGGAGGGGACACTTTAGGATGCTACAAAATAAAATACAACAACAACAACAATAACAGCAGCAGCAACAACAACAACAGCAACAAAAGGGGAAGAAACAAATCTGGCCACTGCACATTCCTCCTTGCCAACAAAAAGCCGCGGATGCAAAAAGCTGCCCTTCACTGCATAGACAGAAGAGGGCGCGCTCGAGCTATGAATCTCGAAAATTACTCAAACCATCAGCCTCTGCAAGAAGCAAAGTGGACGGCCGGGCGCGGCGGCTCACTCCTGGAATCCCAGCACTTTGGGAGCCCGAGGTGGGCGGATCACGAGGTCAGGAGATCGAGACTGTTCTGGCTAAACCAGTGAAACCCCCTCTCTACTAAAAAAATAAGAAAAGCGAAGTGCATCTCCCATAAACGAGGTACTGCAGGAAGAAAGCAGAAAATGAGACCCGAGTACACACATGCACGCGGGCGCGCGCACACACACACCAGAAGAAATGAACCAAGAGGAAAGGAAACATTTTCAAATAAGCATTTGGAGATGGGAAAAACACCTTGAAACAGAAATTCATAAAGCACAGAATTTTTTTTTAAGTTAAAAAAGGAACAATAATAGACAGAAAATGAATGAAAAATTAAATGTCATATCAGAAGTGAAGATAAATTAAAAGTGGTCAAAGGAGAAGAGATCTAAATGCAAACTTAAGAAGGGGCAATTTTTTTTTTTTTTTTTTTTTGAGACGCAGCCTCACTCTGTCGCCCAGGCTGGAGTGCAGTGGCGTGATCTTGGCTCACTGAAACCTCTGCCTCCTGGATTCAAGCGATTCTCCTGCCTCAGCCTCCCAAGTGGCTGGGATTACAGGCATGAGCCACCATGCCCGGCCTAGAGTCATCATGGAAATTAAACAACCTGCTTCCAAATGACTTTTGGGTAAAGACTGAATTTAAGGCAGAAATAAAAAAATTATTTGAAACTAATGAAAACAAACATACAACATCCCAGAATCTCTGGGACACAGCTAGAACAGTGCTCAAAGGAAGTTTCTAGTGCTATATGGCTACACTAAGAAGCTAGAAAGATCTCAAATGAACCGCCTAACATCACACCTAGAGGAATTAGAAAAACAAGAGCAAATCAACCCCAAAGCTAGCAGAAGAAAAAAAGAAAACCAACATCGGAGCTGACCTGAATGAAATGGAGACGTAAAAAACCATACAAAAGATCAATGAAACCCAAAGTTGATTTTTTAAAAAAATTATTTATTTATTATTTATTCCATAAATTATTGGGGTACAGGTGGTGTGTGGTTACATAAGCTCTTTAGTGGTGATTTGTGATTTTGGTGCACCCATCACCTGAGCAGTATACACTACACCCTACTTGTTGTATTTTATCCCTCGCCCCCGCCAACTCGTCCCCCTAAGTCCCCAAAGTCCATTGTATCATTCTTACGCCTTTGCGTCCTCATAGCTTAGCTCCCACATATCAGTGAGAACATACGATGTTTGGTTTTCCATTCCTGAGTTACTTCAGTTAGAATAACAGTCTCCGGTCTCATCCAGGTCACGGCAAATGCTGTTAATTCATACAAGGTTGATATTTTTGAAAGCATAAATAACATGGGAAGACCACTAGCTAGATTAATAAAGAAAAAAAGACAAGATCCAAATAAACACAATCAGAAATGACAAAGGTGACATTACCACTGACCCACAGATATACAAGAAACCCTGAGACTATTCCACATGCCTCTATGCACACAAACTAGAAAACTAGAAGAAATAGAGAAATTCCTGGAAACATAAAACCTCTCAAGATTGAACCAGGAAGAAATGGAAACCCTGAACAAACCAACGATGAGTTCCAAAATTGAGTTAGTCATACAAAACCTACCAACCAGCACAAAAAACCTTAGACTAGACGGATTCACAGTCGAATCCTACCAGATGTGTAAAGAAAAGCCGGCACCAATCCTACTGAAATTATTCCACACAATTGAGGAGGAGCAACTGCTCTCTAACTCATTCTATGAGGTCAGAGTCATTCTGATACCGAAACCTGGCAGAGACACAACGAAAAAAGGAAAATAGGTAAAGTAATACATATGTTAATGATCTTGATTTAGCCATTCTACGGTATATACATATTTCAAAACAATATGTACATGATAAATATGTACAATTTGTCAATTAAAAATATATAAAAGGAATAGGAAAAAATTCAAATGGCACAGAATTTGAAAGGAGAAGATACAGAACAAACTCCGGTGTCTTCTTTATTCAACTATATATACACACATTCAATGGACTGGGAGCAGTGGCTCAAGCCTGTAATCACAGCACTTTGGGAGGTCAAGGCGGGCAGATCACCTGAGGTCGGGAGTTCGAGACCAGCCTGACCAACAGGGAGAAACCCCAGCTCTACTAAAAATACAAAATTAGCCGGGCATGGTGGCGCATGCCTGTAATCCCAGCTACTCGGAGGCTGAGGCAGGAGAATCGCTTGAACTCAAGAGGTGGAGGTTGTGGTGAGCCGAGATGGCACCATTGCACTCCAGCCTGGGCAACAAGAGCGAAACTCAGTCTCAAAAAAAGAAAAAAAAGGATTTAATGAATGAATGATGAGACTGTTGGTTACATCTCCCACCTTCTCCCTCTCACTCCACTGCAGCCACACGGGGCTCCTCACTGTTCCCGTAGCAGCAGGCATGTGCCCCCACTGGGCCTCTGTACTGGCTGTTCCCACTGCCCGAACACCCTCATGCACCATCTGCACTGTCCAATACGGCCGCCTCTGGCCACACATGGCTACTGAGCAGTTGAACATGGCTGGTCCAAACCAAGATTTCCAAGACGTCGTATGGTAAAAAATAACATAAAATCTTGCAAAAATGTTTCTATTGATTATGTTAAAATTATGATGTTTTAGGTATATTAGGTTAAATCAGCTATTTTATCCAAATGAATCTCGCCTGTTTGTTTTTGCTTTTTTTTTTTTTTTTTTTTTTTTGAGATGGAGGCTCGCTCTGTCGCCCAGGCTAGAGTACAATGGCGTGGTCTCGGCTCACTGCATCACTGCAACCTCTACCTCCCAGGTTCAAGCGATTCTCCTACCTCACCCTCCCAAGTGGCTGGGATTACAGGCGTGTGCCACCACACCCAGCTAATTTTTGTATTTTTAGTAGAGACAGGGTTTCACCATGTTGGCCAGGCTGGTCTCGAACTGCTGACCTCGTGATCTACCTGCCTCGGCCTCCCAAAGTCCTGGGATTACAGGTGTGGGCCACTGCGCCAGCCATGTTTCTCGACTTCTGCTGGCAAGCATGTTCCAGTATTTGCATGGCTCCTAGCCCTCATCTCCATTTCTCTGCACAGATGTTACCTTCCCCATGAGGTCTGCCTTATACATGAGGCCTGTATTATAAACTGCAACTCCGCATTCCCCAACCCCGTTGTTTCTTCTCTCCAGAACACTAGGCACCATCTGATCTCCTATGCCTTTTCCTTATTGTCAGATACTGAACTCTCAGATACAGTTCCCCTTCCTCCCTCCAGGGGGCGCCATGGAACGCAGGGCCCTCACTGGCCCTGGGGACTGGGTGACGACAGGGGGGAGCCTCTGGTGATTGGCTCCCTCACCCTGCGTAAGATCAAAGGGACTAAAGGACAGCCCCGACACCCGGAGCCATTGTGGCTCAGGCCGGTTGCGCCTGCCCTCGGGCCCTCACGGAGGCGGGGGTTCCAGGGCACGAGTTCGAGGCCAGCCTGGTCCACATGGGTCGGAAAAAAGGACTTTTTTTTATCGTTCCCAATATAACGACAAAACATAAAGGGAGGACGCCTTGATAGGAAGAAATGACATCTTCCTAAGTGTTTTTAAATTACTTCCATGTGTCTTTTTTTTTTTTTTTTTTGGGAGACCGAGCCTTGCTCTGTTGCCCAGGCTGGAGTGCAGTGGTGTGATCTTCGCTCACTGCAAACTCCGCCTCGTCGGTTCAAGGGAGTCTCCTATCTAAGCCTCCTGAGTAGCTGGGATTACAGTCGCCTGCCAAGAGATGGGGTTTCGCCATGTTGACCAGGCTGGTCTTGAACACCTGGCCTCAAATGATCCACTCGCCTTGGTCTCCCAAAGTGGTAGGATGACAGGCGTGAGCCACCGCGCCCAGCCTCTTCTATTCTTTTAGAGACAGGGTCTCACTGTGTTGCCCAGGCTGGAGTGCATTGATGTGATGTGTGATCATAGCTCATTGCAGCCCTGACCATCCGAGCTCAAGCAATCCTTCTGCCTCAGCCTCCTGAGTAGCTGGGGCCGCAGATGTGCACCACTGCACCTGGCTAATTTTTAACATTTTTGTGGAGCCAGAGTCTGTATAAAATAAAGTGTAAATAGTACCATAAATAAAGAATACATAGTACCATTTTATAGTAGTATAAAACGGACATTAGAAACTCTGAACTTAAAGGTTAAAAAAATACACAAAAGTAGTTCTCAAGTTCTAGAGACTTGGAGAATCCAGGAATCAACAATGTCGTGGAACTCCTACAGCCTTTCATAAAGAATGGCCCTCGAGGAAAGTGGAATTGTCAGTGGGCATTGTGTTCGTGCCTCAGCTAAACACGGCAGGAATTTATTTATAACCTAGTGTAACATCCTCGAGGCACTGTTCAATTAGTCAAGCAATTGTAAAATTCTCCCAGTCTTAGAAAAGATACAGGTGTGTGTCCCTCTGCTGTGGCTGTGCACTGAGGCTTCGGTAAAGGTTGCCGTCTAAAACCACCGGCGTGCCCTTGAATTCTTTTTTTTTTTTTTTTCTTTTTCAGACGGAGTCGCACTCTATCACCCAGGCTGGAGTGCAGTGACACGATCTCTGTTCACTGCAACCTCCGCCTCCCGGGTTCAAGCGATTCCCCTGCCTCAGCCTCCTGAACAGCTGGGATTACAGGCACCCGTCCCCATGCCCGGGTAATTTTTGTATATTTAGTAGAGATGGGGTTTTCAGCATGTTGGCCAGGCTAGTCTCGAACTCCTTACCTCAAGTGATCCATCCGCCTCAGCCTCCCAAAGTGCTGGGATTACAGGCGTGAGCCACTGCGCCCGGCTTCTTGAATTAGTTTCTAGGAGAAGCCAAGAACCCCCCCGGGCTAAGCCTCAATTTTGGGGCTCGCCTGTGCTGCATCAGCTTCACACCTAGAGAAGAGAGTGAAAGAGAAGGGAGAGCCGTCCTTTTGGGCTGCCTTGAAATAAAGGTTGACCCATGGGTTCATGTATTGTCATTCATTCTCATTTTCTCTTCCTCTCTTTCTCTCTCTCCCCTGCCCCTTAAGTTAGCTTTTCTAAACCCTACCTGGATAAGGATAAGAAATAGAAGGAGGGGACACTTTAGGATGCTACAAAATAAAATACAACAACAACAACAATAACAGCAGCAGCAACAACAACAACAGCAACAAAAGGGGAAGAAACAAATCTGGCCACTGCACATTCCTCCTTGCCAACAAAAAGCCGCGGATGCAAAAAGCTGCCCTTCACTGCATAGACAGAAGAGGGCGCGCTCGAGCTATGAATCTCGGAAATTACTCAAACCATCAGCCTCTGCAAGAAGCAAAGTGGACGGCCGGGCGCGGTGGCTCACTCCTGGAATCCCAGCACTTTGGGAGCCCGAGGTGGGCGGATCACGAGGTCAGGAGATCGAGACTGTTCTGGCTAAACCAGTGAAACCCCCTCTCTACTAAAAAAATAACAAAAGCGAAGTGCATCTCCCATAAACGAGGTACTGCAGGAAGAAAGCAGAAAATGAGACCCGAGTACACACATGCACGCGGGCGCGCGCACACACACACCAGAAGAAATGAACCAAGAGGAAAGGAAACATTTTCAAATAAGCATTTGGAGATGGGAAAAACACCTTGAAACAGAAATTCATAAAGCACAGAATTTTTTTTTAAGTTAAAAAAGGAACAATAATAGACAGAAAATGAACGAAAAATTAAATGTCATATCAGAAGTGAAGATAAATTAAAAGTGGTCAAAGGAGAAGAGATCTAAATGCAAACTTAAGAAGGGGCAATTTTTTTTTTTTTTTTTTTTGAGACGCAGCCTCACTCTGTCGCCCGGGCTGGAGTGCAGTGGCGTGATCTTGGCTCACTGAAACCTCTGCCTCCTGGATTCAAGCGATTCTCCTGCCTCAGCCTCCCAAGTGGCTGGGATTACAGGCATGAGCCACCATGCCCGGCCTAGAGTCATCATGGAAATTAAACAACCTGCTTCCAAATGACTTTTGGGTAAAGACTGAATTTAAGGCAGAAATAAAAAAATTATTTGAAACTAATGAAAACAAACATACAACATCCCAGAATCTCTGGGACACAGCTAGAACAGTGCTCAAAGGAAGTTTCTAGTGCTATATGGCTACACTAAGAAGCTAGAAAGATCTCAAATGAACCGCCTAACATCACACCTAGAGGAATTAGAAAAACAAGAGCAAATCAACCCCAAAGCTAGCAGAAGAAAAAAAAAAACCAACATCGGAGCTGACCTGAATGAAATGGAGACGTAAAAAACCATACAAAAGATCAATGAAACCCAAAGTTGATTTTTTAAAAAAATTATTTATTTATTATTTATTCCATAAATTATTGGGGTACAGGTGGTGTGTGGTTACATAAGCTCTTTAGTGATGATTTGTGATTTTGGTGCACCCATCACCTGGGCAGTATACACTACACCCTACTTGTTGTATTTTATCCCTCGCCCCCGCCAACTCGTCCCCCTAAGTCCCCAAAGTCCATTGTATCATTCTTACGCCTTTGCGTCCTCATAGCTTAGCTCCCACATATCAGTGAGAACATACGATGTTTGGTTTTCCATTCCTGAGTTACTTCACTTAGAATAACAGTCTCCGGTCTCATCCAGGTCACGGCAAATGCTGTTAATTCATACAAAGTTGATATTTTTGAAAGCATAAATAACATGGGAAGACCACTAGCTAGATTAATAAAGAAAAAAAGACAAGATCCAAATAAACACAATCAGAAATGACAAAGGTGACATTACCACTGACCCACAGATATACAAGAAACCCTGAGACTATTCCACATGCCTCTATGCACACAAACTAGAAAACTAGAAGAAATAGAGAAATTCCTGGAAACATAAAACCTCTCAAGATTGAACCAGGAAGAAATGGAAACCCTGAACAAACCAACGATGAGTTCCAAAATTGAGTTAGTCATACAAAACCTACCAACCAGCACAAAAAACCTTAGACTAGACGGATTCACAGTCGAATCCTACCAGATGTGTAAAGAAAAGCCGGCACCAATCCTACTGAAATTATTCCACACAATTGAGGAGGAGCAACTGCTCTCTAACTCATTCTATGAGGTCAGAGTCATTCTGATACCGAAACCTGGCAGAGACACAACGAAAAAAGGAAAATAGGTAAAGTAATACATATGTTAATGATCTTGATTTAGCCATTCTACGGTATATACATATTTCAAAACAATATGTACATGATAAATATGTACAATTTGTCAATTAAAAATATATAAAAGGAATAGGAAAAAATTCAAATGGCACAGAATTTGAAAGGAGAAGATACAGAACAAACTCCGGTGTCTTCTTTATTCAACTATATATACACACATTCAATGGACTGGGAGCAGTGGCTCAAGCCTGTAATCACAGCACTTTGGGAGGTCAAGGCGGGCAGATCACCTGAGGTCGGGAGTTCGAGACCAGCCTGACCAACAGGGAGAAACCCCAGCTCTACTAAAAATACAAAATTAGCCGGGCATGGTGGCGCATGCCTGTAATCCCAGCTACTCGGAAGGCTGAGGCAGGAGAATCGCTTGAACTCAAGAGGTGGAGGTTGTGGTGAGCCGAGATGGCACCATTGCACTCCAGCCTGGGCAACAAGAGCGAAACTCAGTCTCAAAAAAAGAAAAAAAAGGATTTAATGAATGAATGATGAGACTGTTGGTTACATCTCCCACCTTCTCCCTCTCACTCCACTGCAGCCACACGGGGCTCCTCACTGTTCCCGTAGCAGCAGGCATGTGCCCCCACTGGGCCTCTGTACTGGCTGTTCCCACTGCCCGAACACCCTCATGCACCATCTGCACTGTCCAATACGGCCGCCTCTGGCCACACATGGCTACTGAGCAGTTGAACATGGCTGGTCCAAACCAACATTTCCAAGACGTCGTATGGTAAAAAATAACATAAAATCTTGCAAAAATGTTTCTATTGATTATGTTAAAATTATGATGTTTTAGGTATATTAGGTTAAATCAGCTATTTTATCCAAATGAATCTCGCCTGTTTGTTTTTGCTTTTTTTTTTTTTTTTTTTTTTTGAGATGGAGGCTCGCTCTGTCGCCCAGGCTAGAGTACAATGGCGTGGTCTCGGCTCACTGCATCACTGCAACCTCTATCTCCCAGGTTCAAGCGATTCTCCTACCTCACCCTCCCAAGTGGCTGGGATTACAGGCGTGTGCCACCACACCCAGCTAATTTTTGTATTTTTAGTAGAGACAGGGTTTCACCATGTTGGCCAGGCTGGTCTCGAACTGCTGACCTCGTGATCTACCTGCCTCGGCCTCCCAAAGTCCTGGGATTACAGGTGTGGGCCACTGCGCCGGCCATGTTTCTCGACTTCTGCTGGCAAGCATGTTCCAGTATTTGCATGGCTCCTAGCCCTCATCTCCATTTCTCTGCACAGATGTTACCTTCCCCATGAGGTCTGCCTTATACATGAGGCCTGTATTATAAAGTGCAACTCCGCATTCCCCAACCCCGTTGTTTCTTCTCTCCAGAACACTAGGCACCATCTGATCTCCTATGCCTTTTCCTTATTGTCAGATACTGAACTCTCAGATACAGTTCCCCTTCCTCCCTCCAGGGGGCGCCATGGAACGCAGGGCCCTCACTGGCCCTGGGGACTGGGTGACGACAGGGGGGAGCCTCTGGTGATTGGCTCCCTCACCCTGCGTAAGATCAAAGGGACTAAAGGACAGCCCCGACACCCGGAGCCATTGTGGCTCAGGCCGGTTGCGCCTGCCCTCGGGCCCTCACGGAGGCGGGGGTTCCAGGGCACGAGTTCGAGGCCAGCCTGGTCCACATGGGTCGGAAAAAAGGATTTTTTTTATCGTTCCCAATATAACGACAAAACGTAAAGGGAGGACGCCTTGATAGGAAGAAATGACATCTTCCTAAGTGTTTTTAAATTACTTCCATGTGTCTTTTTTTTTTTTTTTTTTTGGGAGACCGAGCCTTGCTCTGTTGCCCAGGCTGGAGTGCAGTGGTGTGATCTTCGCTCACTGCAACCTCCGCCTCGTCGGTTCAAGGGAGTCTCCTATCTAAGCCTCCTGAGTAGCTGGGATTACAGTCGCCTGCCAAGAGATGGGGTTTCGCCATGTTGACCAGGCTGGTCTTGAACACCTGGCCTCAAATGATCCACTCGCCTTGGTCTCCCAAAGTGGTAGGATGACAGGCGTGAGCCACCGCGCCCAGCCTCTTCTATTCTTTTAGAGACAGCGTCTCACTCTGTTGCCCAGGCTGGAGTGCATTGATGTGATGTGTGATCATAGCTCATTGCAGCCCTGACCATCCGAGCTCAAGCAATCCTTCTGCCTCAGCCTCCTGAGTAGCTGGGGCCGCAGATGTGCACCACTGCACCTGGCTAATTTTTAACATTTTTGTGGAGCCAGAGTCTGTATAAAATAAAGTGTAAATAGTACCATAAATAAAGAATACATAGTACCATTTTATAGTAGTATAAAACGGACATTAGAAACTCAGAACTTAAAGGTTAAAAAAATACACAAAAGTAGTTCTCAAGTTCTAGAGACTTGGAGAATCCAGGAATCAACAATGTCGTGGAACTCCTACAGCCTTTCATAAAGAATGGCCCTCGAGGAAAGTGGAATTGTCAGTGGGCATTGTGTTCGTGCCTCAGCTAAACACGGCAGGAATTTATTTATAACCTAGTGTAACATCCTCGAGGCACTGTTCAATTAGTCAAGCAATTGTAAAATTCTCCCAGTCTTAGAAAAGATACAGGTGTGTGTCCCTCTGCTGTGGCTGTGCACTGAGGCTTCGGTAAAGGTTGCCGTCTAAAACCACCGGCGTGCCCTTGAATTCTTTTTTTTTTTTTTTTTCTTTTTCAGACGGAGTCGCACTCTATCACCCAGGCTGGAGTGCAGTGACACGATCTCTGTTCACTGCAACCTCCGCCTCCCGGGTTCAAGCGATTCCCCTGCCTCAGCCTCCTGAACAGCTGGGATTACAGGCACCCGTCCCCATGCCCGGGTAATTTTTGTATATTTAGTAGAGATGGGGTTTCACCATGTTGGCCAGGCTGGTCTCGAACTCCTTACCTCAAGTGATCCATCCGCCTCAGCCTCCCAAAGTGCTGGGATTACAGGCGTGAGCCAGTGCGCCCGGCTTCTTGAATTAGTTTCTAGGAGAAGCCAAGAACCCCCCCGAGCTAAGCCTCAATTTTGGGGCTCGCCTGTGCTGCATCAGCTTCACACCTAGAGAAGAGAGTGAAAGAGAAGGGAGAGCCGTCCTTTTGGGCTGCCTTGAAATAAAGGTTGACCCATGGGTTCATGTATTGTCATTCATTCTCATTTTCTCTTCCTCTCTTTCTCTCTCTCCCCTGCCCCTTAAGTTAGCTTTTCTACACCCTACCTGGATAAGGATAAGAAATAGAAGGAGGGGACACTTTAGGATGCTACAAAATAAAATACAACAACAACAACAATAACAGCAGCAGCAACAACAACAACAGCAACAAAAGGGGAAGAAACAAATCTGGCCACTGCACATTCCTCCTTGGCAACAAAAAGCCGTGGATGCAAAAAGCTGCCCTTCACTGCATAGACAGAACAGGGCGCGCTCGAGCTATGAATCTCGGAAATTACTCAAGCCATCAGCCTCTGCAAGAAGCAAAGTGGACGGCCGGGCGCGGCGGCTCACTCCTGGAATCCCAGCACTTTGGGAGCCCGAGGTGGGCGGATCACGAGGTCAGGAGATCGAGACTGTTCTGGCTAAACCAGTGAAACCCCCTCTCTACTAAAAAAATAACAAAAGCGAAGTGCATCTCCCATAAACGAGGTACTGCAGGAAGAAAGCAGAAAATGAGACCCGAGTACACACATGCACGCGGGCGTGCGCACACACACACCAGAAGAAATGAACCAAGAGGAAAGGAAATATTTTCAAGTAAGCATTTGGAGATGGGAAAAACACCTTGAAACAGAAATTCATAAAGTACACACATGTTTTTTTTTTTAAGTTAAAAGAGGAACAATAATAAACAGGCAGAAAATGAATAAAAAATAAAATGTCATATCAGAAGTGAAGATAAATTAAAAGTGGTCAAAGGAGAAGAGATCTAAATGCAAACTTAAGAAGGGGCAATTTTTTTTTTTTTTTTTTGAGACGCAGCCTCACTCTGTCGCCCGGGCTGGAGTGCAGTGGCGTGATCTTGGCTCACTGAAACCTCTGCCTCCTGGATTCAAGCGATTCTCCTGCCTCAGCCTCCCAAGTGGCTGGGATTACAGGCATGAGCCACCATGCCCGGCCTAGAGTCATCATGGAAATTAAACAATGAAACCCAAAGTTGATTTTTTAAAAAAATTATTTATTATTTATTCCATAAATTATTGGGGTACAGGTGGTATGTGGTTACATAAGCTCTTTAGTGGTGATTTGTGATTTTGGTGCACCCATCACCTGAGCAGTATACACTACCCCCTATTTGTTGTCTTTTATCCCTCGCCCTCGCCAACTCGTCCCCCTAAGTCCCCAAAGTCCATTGTATCATTCTTATGCCTTTGTGTCCTCATAGCTTAGGTCCCACATATCAGTGAGAACATACGATGTTTGGTTTTCCATTCCTGAGTTACTTCACTTAGAATAATACTCTCCGGTCTCATCCAGGTCACTGCAAATGCTGTTAATTCATACAAAGTTGATATTTTTGGAAGCATAAATAACATGGAAAGACCACTAGCTAGATTAATAAAGAAAAAAAGACAAGATCCAAATAAACACAATCAGAAATGACAGAGGTGACATTACCACTGACCCACAGACATACAAGAAACCCTGAGACTATTCCACATGCCTCTATGCACAAAAACTAGAAAACTAGAAGAAATAGATAAATTCCTGGAAACATAAAACCTCTCAAGATTGAACCAGGAAGAAATGGAAACCCTGAACAAACCAACGATGAGTTCCAAAATTGAGTTAGTCATACAAGACCTACCAACCAGCGCAAAAAACCTTAGACTAGACGGATTCACAGTCGAATTCTACCAGATGTGTAAAGAAAAGCCGGCACCAATCCTACTGAAATTATTCCACACAATTGAGGAGGAGCAACTGCTCTCTAACTCATTCTATGAGGTCAGAGTCATTCTGATACCGAAACCTGGCAGAGACACAACGAAAAAAGGAAAATAGGTAAAGTAATACATATGTTAATGATCTTGATTTAGCCATTCTACGGTATATACATATTTCAAAACAATATGTACATGATAAATATGTACAATTTGTCAATTAAAAATATATAAAAGGAAGAGGAAAAAATTCAAATGGCGTAGAATTTGAAAGGAGAAGATACAGAACAAACTCCAGTGTCTTATTATTCAACTATATATACACACGTTCAATGGACCGGGAGCAGTGGCTCAAGCCTGTAATCACAGCACTTTGGGAGGTCAAGGCGGGCAGATCACCTGAGGTCGGGAGTTCGAGACCAGCCTGACCAACAGAGAGAAACCCCAGCTCTACTAAAAATACAAAATTAGCCGGGCATGGTGACGCATGCCTGTAATCCCAGCTACTCGGGAGGGTGAGGCAGGAGAATCGCTTGAACTCAAGAGGTGGAGGTTGTGGTGAGCCGAGATGGCACCATTGCACTCCAGCCTGGGCAACAAGAGCGAAACTCAGTCTCAAAAAAAAAAAAAAAAAAAGAAAAAGGATTTAATGAATGAATGATGAGACCGTTGGTGACATCTCCCACCTTCTCCCTCTCACTCCACTGCAGCCACACGGGGCTCCTCACTGTTCCCGTAGAAGCAGGCATGTGCCCCCACAGGGCCTCTGTACTGGCTGTTCCCACTGCCCGAACACCCTCATGCACCATCTGCACTGTCCAATACGGCCGCCTCTGGCCACACATGGCTACTGAGCAGTTGAACATGGCTGGTCCAAACCAAGATTTCCAAGACGTCGTGTGGTAAAAAAAACAACATAAAATTTTGCAAAAATGTTTCTATTGATTATGTTAAAATTATGATGTTTTAGGTATATTAGGTTAAATCAGCTATTTTATCAAAATGAATCTCGCCTGTTTGTTTTTGCTTTTTTTTTTTTTTTTTGAGATGGAGTCTCGCTCTGTCGCCCAGGCTAGAGTACAATGGCGTGGTCTCAGCTCACTGCATCACTGCAACCTCTACCTCCCAGGTTCAAGCGATTCTCCTACCTCACCCTCCCAAGTGGCTGGGATTACAGGCGTGTGCCACCACACCCAGCTAATTTTTGTATTTTTGTAGAGACAGGGTTTCACCATGTTGGCCAGGCTGGTCTCGAACTGCTGACCTCGTGATCTACCTGCCTCGGCCTCCCAAAGTCCTGGGATTACAGGTGTGGGCCACTGCGCCGGCCATGTTTCTCGACTTCTGCTGGCAAGCATGTTCCAGTATTTGCATGGCTCCTAGCCCTCATCTCCATTTCTCTGCACAGATGTTATCTTCCCCATGAGGTCTGCCTTATACATGAGGCCTGTATTATAAAGTGCAACTGCCAATTCGCCAACCCCGTTGTTTCTTCTCTCCAGAACACTAGGCACCATCTGATCTCCTATGCCTTTTCCTTATTGTCAGATACTGAACTCTCAGATACAGTTCCCCTTCCTCCCTCCAGGGGGCGCCATGGAACGCAGGGCCCTCACTGGCCCTGGGGACTGGGTGACGTCAGGGGTGAGCCTCTGGTGATTGGCTCCCTCACCGTGCGTAAGATCAAAGGGCCTAAAGGTCAGCCCCGACACCCGGAGCTATTGTGGCTCCGGCCGGTTGCGCGGGCCCTCGGACCCTCAGAGAGGCGAGGGTTCGAGGGCTCGAGTTCGAGGCCAACCTGGTCCACATGGGTTGAAAAAAAAATTTTTTTTATCGTTCCCAATATAACGACAAAACATAAAGGGAGGACGCCTTGATAGGAAGAAATGACATCTTCCTAAGTGTTTTTAAATTACTTCAATGTATCTTTCTTTTTTTTTTTTTTTTTGGGAGACCGAGGCTTGCTCTGTTGCCCAGGCTGGAGTGCAGTGGTGTGATCTTGGCTCACTGCAACCTCTGCCTCGTCGGTTCAAGGGAGTCTCCTATCTCAGCCTCCTGAGTAGCTGGGATTACAGTCGCCTGCCAAGAGATGGGGTTTCGCCATGTTGACCAGGCTGGTCTTGAACACCTGGCCTCAAATGATCCACTCGCCTTGGTCTCCCAAAGTGGTAGGATGACAGGCGTGAGCCACCGCGCCCAGCCTCTTCTATTCTTTTAGAGACAGCGTCTCACTCTGTTGCCCAGGCTGGAGTGCATTGATGTGATGTGTGATCATAGCTCATTGCAGCCCTGACCATCCGAGCTCAAGCAATCCTTCTGCCTCAGCCTCCTGAGTAGCTGGGGCCGCAGATGTGCACCACTGCACCTGGCTAATTTTTAACATTTTTTGTGGAGCCAGAGTCTGTATAAAATAAAGTGTAAATAGTACCATAAATAAAGAATACATAGTACCATTTTATAGTAGTATAAAACGGACATTAGAAACTCTGGACTTAAAGTTTAAAAAAATACACAAAAGTAGTTCTCAAGTTCTAGAGACTTGGAGAATCCAGGAATCAACAATGTCGTGGAACTCCTACAGCCTTTCATAAAGAATGGCCCTCGAGGAAAGTGGAATTGTCAGTGGGCATTGTGTTCGTGCCTCAGCTAAACACGGCAGGAATTTATTTATAACCTAGTGTAACATCCTCGAGGCACTGTTCAATTAGTCAAGCAATTGTAAAATTCTCCCAGTCTTAGAAAAGATACAGGTGTGTGTCCCTCTGCTGTGGCTGTGCACTGACGCTTCAGTAAAAGTTGCCGTCTAAAACCACCGGCCTGCCCTTGAATTGTTTTGTTTTGTTTTGTTTTGTTTTGTTTTTTTGATTCGCAGCCTCACTCTATCACCCAGGCTGGAGTGCAGTGACACGATCTCTGTTCACTGCAACCTCCGCCTCCCGGGTTCAAGCGATTCCCCTGCCTCAGCCTCCTGAACAGCTGGGATTACAGGCACCCGTCCCCATGCCCGGGTAATTTTTGTATATTTAGTAGAGATGGGGTTTCACCATGTTGGCCAGGCTGGTCTCGAACTCCTTACCTCAAGTGATCCATCCGCCTCAGCCTCCCAAAGTGCTGGGATTACAGGCGTGAGCCAGTGCGCCCGGCTTCTTGAATTAGTTTCTAGGAGAAGCCAAGAACCCCCCCGGGCTAAGCCTCAATTTTGGGGCTCGCCTGTGCTGCATCAGCTTCACACCTAGAGAAGAGAGTGAAAGAGAAGGGAGAGCCGTCCTTTTGGGCTGCCTTGAAATAAAGGTTGACCCATGGGTTCATGTATTGTCATTCATTCTCATTTTCTCTTCCTCTCTTTCTCTCTCTCCCCTGCCCCTTAAGTTAGCTTTTCTACACCCTACCTGGATAAGGATAAGAAATAGAAGGAGGGGACACTTTAGGATGCTACACAATAAAATACAACAACAACAACAATAACAGCAGCAGCAACAACAACAACAGCAACAAAAGGGGAAGAAACAAATCTGGCCACTGCACATTCCTCCTTGCCAACAAAAAGCCGCGGATGCAAAAAGCTGCCCTTCACTGCATAGACAGAAGAGGGCGCGCTCGAGCTATGAATCTCGAAAATTACTCAAACCATCAGCCTCTGCAAGAAGCAAAGTGGACGGCCGGGCGCGGCGGCTCACTCCTGGAATCCCAGCACTTTGGGAGCCCGAGGTGGGCGGATCACGAGGTCAGGAGATCGAGACTGTTCTGGCTAAACCAGTGAAACCCCCTCTCTACTAAAAAAATAAGAAAAGCGAAGTGCATCTCCCATAAACGAGGTACTGCAGGAAGAAAGCAGAAAATGAGACCCGAGTACACACATGCACGCGGGCGCGCGCACACACACACCAGAAGAAATGAACCAAGAGGAAAGGAAACATTTTCAAATAAGCATTTGGAGATGGGAAAAACACCTTGAAACAGAAATTCATAAAGCACAGAATTTTTTTTTAAGTTAAAAAAGGAACAATAATAGACAGAAAATGAATGAAAAATTAAATGTCATATCAGAAGTGAAGATAAATTAAAAGTGGTCAAAGGAGAAGAGATCTAAATGCAAACTTAAGAAGGGGCAATTTTTTTTTTTTTTTTTTTTTGAGACGCAGCCTCACTCTGTCGCCCAGGCTGGAGTGCAGTGGCGTGATCTTGGCTCACTGAAACCTCTGCCTCCTGGATTCAAGCGATTCTCCTGCCTCAGCCTCCCAAGTGGCTGGGATTACAGGCATGAGCCACCATGCCCGGCCTAGAGTCATCATGGAAATTAAACAACCTGCTTCCAAATGACTTTTGGGTAAAGACTGAATTTAAGGCAGAAATAAAAAAATTATTTGAAACTAATGAAAACAAACATACAACATCCCAGAATCTCTGGGACACAGCTAGAACAGTGCTCAAAGGAAGTTTCTAGTGCTATATGGCTACACTAAGAAGCTAGAAAGATCTCAAATGAACCGCCTAACATCACACCTAGAGGAATTAGAAAAACAAGAGCAAATCAACCCCAAAGCTAGCAGAAGAAAAAAAGAAAACCAACATCGGAGCTGACCTGAATGAAATGGAGACGTAAAAAACCATACAAAAGATCAATGAAACCCAAAGTTGATTTTTTAAAAAAATTATTTATTTATTATTTATTCCATAAATTATTGGGGTACAGGTGGTGTGTGGTTACATAAGCTCTTTAGTGGTGATTTGTGATTTTGGTGCACCCATCACCTGAGCAGTATACACTACACCCTACTTGTTGTATTTTATCCCTCGCCCCCGCCAACTCGTCCCCCTAAGTCCCCAAAGTCCATTGTATCATTCTTACGCCTTTGCGTCCTCATAGCTTAGCTCCCACATATCAGTGAGAACATACGATGTTTGGTTTTCCATTCCTGAGTTACTTCAGTTAGAATAACAGTCTCCGGTCTCATCCAGGTCACGGCAAATGCTGTTAATTCATACAAGGTTGATATTTTTGAAAGCATAAATAACATGGGAAGACCACTAGCTAGATTAATAAAGAAAAAAAGACAAGATCCAAATAAACACAATCAGAAATGACAAAGGTGACATTACCACTGACCCACAGATATACAAGAAACCCTGAGACTATTCCACATGCCTCTATGCACACAAACTAGAAAACTAGAAGAAATAGAGAAATTCCTGGAAACATAAAACCTCTCAAGATTGAACCAGGAAGAAATGGAAACCCTGAACAAACCAACGATGAGTTCCAAAATTGAGTTAGTCATACAAAACCTACCAACCAGCACAAAAAACCTTAGACTAGACGGATTCACAGTCGAATCCTACCAGATGTGTAAAGAAAAGCCGGCACCAATCCTACTGAAATTATTCCACACAATTGAGGAGGAGCAACTGCTCTCTAACTCATTCTATGAGGTCAGAGTCATTCTGATACCGAAACCTGGCAGAGACACAACGAAAAAAGGAAAATAGGTAAAGTAATACATATGTTAATGATCTTGATTTAGCCATTCTACGGTATATACATATTTCAAAACAATATGTACATGATAAATATGTACAATTTGTCAATTAAAAATATATAAAAGGAATAGGAAAAAATTCAAATGGCACAGAATTTGAAAGGAGAAGATACAGAACAAACTCCGGTGTCTTCTTTATTCAACTATATATACACACATTCAATGGACTGGGAGCAGTGGCTCAAGCCTGTAATCACAGCACTTTGGGAGGTCAAGGCGGGCAGATCACCTGAGGTCGGGAGTTCGAGACCAGCCTGACCAACAGGGAGAAACCCCAGCTCTACTAAAAATACAAAATTAGCCGGGCATGGTGGCGCATGCCTGTAATCCCAGCTACTCGGAAGGCTGAGGCAGGAGAATCGCTTGAACTCAAGAGGTGGAGGTTGTGGTGAGCCGAGATGGCACCATTGCACTCCAGCCTGGGCAACAAGAGCGAAACTCAGTCTCAAAAAAAGAAAAAAAAGGATTTAATGAATGAATGATGAGACTGTTGGTTACATCTCCCACCTTCTCCCTCTCACTCCACTGCAGCCACACGGGGCTCCTCACTGTTCCCGTAGCAGCAGGCATGTGCCCCCACTGGGCCTCTGTACTGGCTGTTCCCACTGCCCGAACACCCTCATGCACCATCTGCACTGTCCAATACGGCCGCCTCTGGCCACACATGGCTACTGAGCAGTTGAACATGGCTGGTCCAAACCAACATTTCCAAGACGTCGTATGGTAAAAAATAACATAAAATCTTGCAAAAATGTTTCTATTGATTATGTTAAAATTATGATGTTTTAGGTATATTAGGTTAAATCAGCTATTTTATCCAAATGAATCTCGCCTGTTTGTTTTTGCTTTTTTTTTTTTTTTTTTTTTTTGAGATGGAGGCTCGCTCTGTCGCCCAGGCTAGAGTACAATGGCGTGGTCTCGGCTCACTGCATCACTGCAACCTCTACCTCCCAGGTTCAAGCGATTCTCCTACCTCACCCTCCCAAGTGGCTGGGATTACAGGCGTGTGCCACCACACCCAGCTAATTTTTGTATTTTTAGTAGAGACAGGGTTTCACCATGTTGGCCAGGCTGGTCTCGAACTGCTGACCTCGTGATCTACCTGCCTCGGCCTCCCAAAGTCCTGGGATTACAGGTGTGGGCCACTGCGCCAGCCATGTTTCTCGACTTCTGCTGGCAAGCATGTTCCAGTATTTGCATGGCTCCTAGCCCTCATCTCCATTTCTCTGCACAGATGTTACCTTCCCCATGAGGTCTGCCTTATACATGAGGCCTGTATTATAAACTGCAACTCCGCATTCCCCAACCCCGTTGTTTCTTCTCTCCAGAACACTAGGCACCATCTGATCTCCTATGCCTTTTCCTTATTGTCAGATACTGAACTCTCAGATACAGTTCCCCTTCCTCCCTCCAGGGGGCGCCATGGAACGCAGGGCCCTCACTGGCCCTGGGGACTGGGTGACGACAGGGGGGAGCCTCTGGTGATTGGCTCCCTCACCCTGCGTAAGATCAAAGGGACTAAAGGACAGCCCCGACACCCGGAGCCATTGTGGCTCAGGCCGGTTGCGCCTGCCCTCGGGCCCTCACGGAGGCGGGGGTTCCAGGGCACGAGTTCGAGGCCAGCCTGGTCCACATGGGTCGGAAAAAAGGACTTTTTTTTATCGTTCCCAATATAACGACAAAACATAAAGGGAGGACGCCTTGATAGGAAGAAATGACATCTTCCTAAGTGTTTTTAAATTACTTCCATGTGTCTTTTTTTTTTTTTTTTTTGGGAGACCGAGCCTTGCCCTGTTGCCCAGGCTGGAGTGCAGTGGTGTGATCTTCGCTCACTGCAACCTCCGCCTCGTCGGTTCAAGGGAGTCTCCTATCTAAGCCTCCTGAGTAGCTGGGATTACAGTCGCCTGCCAAGAGATGGGGTTTCGCCATGTTGACCAGGCTGGTCTTGAACACCTGGCCTCAAATGATCCACTCGCCTTGGTCTCCCAAAGTGGTAGGATGACAGGCGTGAGCCACCGCGCCCAGCCTCTTCTATTCTTTTAGAGACAGGGTCTCACTGTGTTGCCCAGGCTGGAGTGCATTGATGTGATGTGTGATCATAGCTCATTGCAGCCCTGACCATCCGAGCTCAAGCAATCCTTCTGCCTCAGCCTCCTGAGTAGCTGGGGCCGCAGATGTGCACCACTGCACCTGGCTAATTTTTAACATTTTTGTGGAGCCAGAGTCTGTATAAAATAAAGTGTAAATAGTACCATAAATAAAGAATACATAGTACCATTTTATAGTAGTATAAAACGGACATTAGAAACTCTGAACTTAAAGGTTAAAAAAATACACAAAAGTAGTTCTCAAGTTCTAGAGACTTGGAGAATCCAGGAATCAACAATGTCGTGGAACTCCTACAGCCTTTCATAAAGAATGGCCCTCGAGGAAAGTGGAATTGTCAGTGGGCATTGTGTTCGTGCCTCAGCTAAACACGGCAGGAATTTATTTATAACCTAGTGTAACATCCTCGAGGCACTGTTCAATTAGTCAAGCAATTGTAAAATTCTCCCAGTCTTAGAAAAGATACAGGTGTGTGTCCCTCTGCTGTGGCTGTGCACTGAGGCTTCGGTAAAGGTTGCCGTCTAAAACCACCGGCGTGCCCTTGAATTCTTTTTTTTTTTTTTTTCTTTTTCAGACGGAGTCGCACTCTATCACCCAGGCTGGAGTGCAGTGACACGATCTCTGTTCACTGCAACCTCCGCCTCCCGGGTTCAAGCGATTCCCCTGCCTCAGCCTCCTGAACAGCTGGGATTACAGGCACCCGTCCCCATGCCCGGGTAATTTTTGTATATTTAGTAGAGATGGGGTTTCACCATGTTGGCCAGGCTGGTCTCGAACTCCTTACCTCAAGTGATCCATCCGCCTCAGCCTCCCAAAGTGCTGGGATTACAGGCGTGAGCCAGTGCGCCCGGCTTCTTGAATTAGTTTCTAGGAGAAGCCAAGAACCCCCCCGGGCTAAGCCTCAATTTTGGGGCTCGCCTGTGCTGCATCAGCTTCACACCTAGAGAAGAGAGTGAAAGAGAAGGGAGAGCCGTCCTTTTGGGCTGCCTTGAAATAAAGGTTGACCCATGGGTTCATGTATTGTCATTCATTCTCATTTTCTCTTCCTCTCTTTCTCTCTCTCCCCTGCCCCTTAAGTTAGCTTTTCTACACCCTACCTGGATAAGGATAAGAAATAGAAGGAGGGGACACTTTAGGATGCTACACAATAAAATACAACAACAACAACAATAACAGCAGCAGCAACAACAACAACAGCAACAAAAGGGGAAGAAACAAATCTGGCCACTGCACATTCCTCCTTGCCAACAAAAAGCCGCGGATGCAAAAAGCTGCCCTTCACTGCATAGACAGAACAGGGCGCGCTCGAGCTATGAATCTCGAAAATTACTCAAACCATCAGCCTCTGCAAGAAGCAAAGTGGACGGCCGGGCGCGGCGGCTCACTCCTGGAATCCCAGCACTTTGGGAGCCCGAGGTGGGCGGATCACGAGGTCAGGAGATCGAGACTGTTCTGGCTAAACCAGTGAAACCCCCTCTCTACTAAAAAAATAAGAAAAGCGAAGTGCATCTCCCATAAACGAGGTACTGCAGGAAGAAAGCAGAAAATGAGACCCGAGTACACACATGCACGCGGGCGCGCGCACACACACACCAGAAGAAATGAACCAAGAGGAAAGGAAACATTTTCAAATAAGCATTTGGAGATGGGAAAAACACCTTGAAACAGAAATTCATAAAGCACAGAATTTTTTTTTAAGTTAAAAAAGGAACAATAATAGACAGAAAATGAATGAAAAATTAAATGTCATATCAGAAGTGAAGATAAATTAAAAGTGGTCAAAGGAGAAGAGATCTAAATGCAAACTTAAGAAGGGGCAATTTTTTTTTTTTTTTTTTTGAGACGCAGCCTCACTCTGTCGCCCAGGCTGGAGTGCAGTGGCGTGATCTTGGCTCACTGAAACCTCTGCCTCCTGGATTCAAGCGATTCTCCTGCCTCAGCCTCCCAAGTGGCTGGGATTACAGGCATGAGCCACCATGCCCGGCCTAGAGTCATCATGGAAATTAAACAACCTGCTTCCAAATGACTTTTGGGTAAAGACTGAATTTAAGGCAGAAATAAAAAAATTATTTGAAACTAATGAAAACAAACATACAACATCCCAGAATCTCTGGGACACAGCTAGAACAGTGCTCAAAGGAAGTTTCTAGTGCTATATGGCTACACTAAGAAGCTAGAAAGATCTCAAATGAACCGCCTAACATCACACCTAGAGGAATTAGAAAAACAAGAGCAAATCAACCCCAAAGCTAGCAGAAGAAAAAAAGAAAACCAACATCGGAGCTGACCTGAATGAAATGGAGACGTAAAAAACCATACAAAAGATCAATGAAACCCAAAGTTGATTTTTTAAAAAAATTATTTATTTATTATTTATTCCATAAATTATTGGGGTACAGGTGGTGTGTGGTTACATAAGCTCTTTAGTGGTGATTTGTGATTTTGGTGCACCCATCACCTGAGCAGTATACACTACACCCTACTTGTTGTATTTTATCCCTCGCCCCCGCCAACTCGTCCCCCTAAGTCCCCAAAGTCCATTGTATCATTCTTACGCCTTTGCGTCCTCATAGCTTAGCTCCCACATATCAGTGAGAACATACGATGTTTGGTTTTCCATTCCTGAGTTACTTCAGTTAGAATAACAGTCTCCGGTCTCATCCAGGTCACGGCAAATGCTGTTAATTCATACAAAGTTGATATTTTTGAAAGCATAAATAACATGGGAAGACCACTAGCTAGATTAATAAAGAAAAAAAGACAAGATCCAAATAAACACAATCAGAAATGACAAAGGTGACATTACCACTGACCCACAGATATACAAGAAACCCTGAGACTATTCCACATGCCTCTATGCACACAAACTAGAAAACTAGAAGAAATAGAGAAATTCCTGGAAACATAAAACCTCTCAAGATTGAACCAGGAAGAAATGGAAACCCTGAACAAACCAACGATGAGTTCCAAAATTGAGTTAGTCATACAAAACCTACCAACCAGCACAAAAAACCTTAGACTAGACGGATTCACAGTCGAATCCTACCAGATGTGTAAAGAAAAGGCGGCACCAATCCTACTGAAATTATTCCACACAATTGAGGAGGAGCAACTGCTCTCTAACTCATTCTATGAGGTCAGAGTCATTCTGATACCGAAACCTGGCAGAGACACAACGAAAAAAGGAAAATAGGTAAAGTAATACATATGTTAATGATCTTGATTTAGCCATTCTACGGTATATACATATTTCAAAACAATATGTACATGATAAATATGTACAATTTGTCAATTAAAAATATATAAAAGGAAGAGGAAAAAATTCAAATGGCGTAGAATTTGAAAGGAGAAGATACAGAACAAACTCCAGTGTCTTATTATTCAACTATATATACACACGTTCAATGGACCGGGAGCAGTGGCTCAAGCCTGTAATCACAGCACTTTGGGAGGTCAAGGCGGGCAGATCACCTGAGGTCGGGAGTTCGAGACCAGCCTGACCAACAGAGAGAAACCCCAGCTCTACTAAAAATACAAAATTAGCCGGGCATGGTGACGCATGCCTGTAATCCCAGCTACTCGGGAGGGTGAGGCAGGAGAATCGCTTGAACTCAAGAGGTGGAGGTTGTGGTGAGCCGAGATGGCACCATTGCACTCCAGCCTGGGCAACAAGAGCGAAACTCAGTCTCAAAAAAAAAAAAAAAAAGAAAAAGGATTTAATGAATGAATGATGAGACCGTTGGTGACATCTCCCACCTTCTCCCTCTCACTCCACTGCAGCCACACGGGGCTCCTCACTGTTCCCGTAGCAGCAGGCATGTGCCCCCACAGGGCCTCTGTACTGGCTGTTCCCACTGCCCGAACACCCTCATGCACCATCTGCACTGTCCAATACGGCCGCCTCTGGCCACACATGGCTACTGAGCAGTTGAACATGGCTGGTCCAAACCAAGATTTCCAAGACGTCGTGTGGTAAAAAAAACAACATAAAATTTTGCAAAAATGTTTCTATTGATTATGTTAAAATTATGATGTTTTAGGTATATTAGGTTAAATCAGCTATTTTATAAAAATGAATCTCGCCTGTTTGTTTTTGCTTTTTTTTTTTTTTTTTTTTTTTTTTTGAGATGGAGTCTCGCTCTGTCGCCCAGGCTAGAGTACAATGGCGTGGTCTCAGCTCACTGCATCACTGCAACCTCTACCTCCCAGGTTCAAGCGATTCTCCTACCTCACCCTCCCAAGTGGGTGGGATTACAGGCGTGTGCCACCACACCCAGCTAATTTTTGTATTTTTGTAGAGACAGGGTTTCACCATGTTGGCCAGGCTGGTCTCGAACTGCTGACCTCGTGATCTACCTGCCTCGGCCTCCCAAAGTCCTGGGATTACAGGTGTGGGCCACTGCGCCGGCCATGTTTCTCGACTTCTGCTGGCAAGCATGTTCCAGTATTTGCATGGCTCCTAGCCCTCATCTCCATTTCTCTGCACAGATGTTATCTTCCCCATGAGGTCTGCCTTATACATGAGGCCTGTATTATAAAGTGCAACTGCCAATTCGCCAACCCCGTTGTTTCTTCTCTCCAGAACACTAGGCACCATCTGATCTCCTATGCCTTTTCCTTATTGTCAGATACTGAACTCTCAGATACAGTTCCCCTTCATCCCTCCAGGGGGCGCCATGGAACGCAGGGCCCTCACTGGCCCTGGGGACTGGGTGACGTCAGGGGTGAGCCTCTGGTGATTGGCTCCCTCACCCTGCGTAAGATCAAAGGGCCTAAAGGTCAGCCCCGACACCCGGAGCTATTGTGGCTCCGGCCGGTTGCGCGGGCCCTCGGACCCTCAGAGAGGCGAGGGTTCGAGGGCACGAGTTCGAGGCCAACCTGGTCCACATGGGTTGAAAAAAAAATTTTTTTTATCGTTCCCAATATAACAACAAAACATAAAGGGAGGACGCCTTGATAGGAAGAAATGACATCTTCCTAAGTGTTTTTAAATTACTTCAATGTATCTTTCTTTTTTTTTTTTTTTTTTTGGGAGACCGAGGCTTGCTCTGTTGCCCAGGCTGGAGTGCAGTGGTGTGATCTTGGCTCACTGCAACCTCTGCCTCGTCGGTTCAAGGGAGTCTCCTATCTCAGCCTCCTGAGTAGCTGGGATTACAGTCGCCTGCCAAGAGATGGGGTTTCGCCATGTTGACCAGGCTGGTCTTGAACACCTGGCCTCAAATGATCCACTCGCCTTGGTCTCCCAAAGTGGTAGGATGACAGGCGTGAGCCACCGCGCCCAGCCTCTTCTATTCTTTTAGAGACAGCGTCTCACTCTGTTGCCCAGGCTGGAGTGCATTGATGTGATGTGTGATCATAGCTCATTGCAGCCCTGACCATCCGAGCTCAAGCAATCCTTCTGCCTCAGCCTCCTGAGTAGCTGGGGCCGCAGATGTGCACCACTGCACCTGGCTAATTTTTAACATTTTTTGTGGAGCCAGAGTCTGTATAAAATAAAGTGTAAATAGTACCATAAATAAAGAATACATAGTACCATTTTATAGTAGTATAAAACGGACATTAGAAACTCTGGACTTAAAGTTTAAAAAAATACACAAAAGTAGTTCTCAAGTTCTAGAGACTTGGAGAATCCAGGAATCAACAATGTCGTGGAACTCCTACAGCCTTTCATAAAGAATGGCCCTCGAGGAAAGTGGAATTGTCAGTGGGCATTGTGTTCGTGCCTCAGCTAAACACGGCAGGAATTTATTTATAACCTAGTGTAACATCCTCGAGGCACTGTTCAATTAGTCAAGCAATTGTAAAATTCTCCCAGTCTTAGAAAAGATACAGGTGTGTGTCCCTCTGCTGTGGCTGTGCACTGACGCTTCAGTAAAAGTTGCCGTCTAAAACCACCGGCCTGCCCTTGAATTGTTTTGTTTTGTTTTGTTTTGTTTTGTTTTGTTTTGTTTTGTTTTTTTGATTCGCAGCCTCACTCTATCACCCAGGCTGGAGTGCAGTGACACGATCTCTGTTCACTGCAACCTCCGCCTCCCGGGTTCAAGCGATTCCCCTGCCTCAGCCTCCTGAACAGCTGGGATTACAGGCACCCGTCCCCATGCCCGGGTAATTTTTGTATATTTAGTAGAGATGGGGTTTCACCATGTTGGCCAGGCTGGTCTCGAACTCCTTACCTCAAGTGATCCATCCGCCTCAGCCTCCCAAAGTGCTGGGATTACAGGCGTGAGCCACTGCGCCCGGCTTCTTGAATTAGTTTCTAGGAGAAGCCAAGAACCCCCCCGGGCTAAGCCTCAATTTTGGGGCTCGCCTGTGCTGCATCAGCTTCACACCTAGAGAAGAGAGTGAAAGAGAAGGGAGAGCCGTCCTTTTGGGCTGCCTTGAAATAAAGGTTGACCCATGGGTTCATGTATTGTCATTCATTCTCATTTTCTCTTCCTCTCTTTCTCTCTCTCCCCTGCCCCTTAAGTTAGCTTTTCTACACCCTACCTGGATAAGGATAAGAAATAGAAGGAGGGGACACTTTAGGATGCTACAAAATAAAATACAACAACAACAACAATAACAGCAGCAGCAACAACAACAACAGCAACAAAAGGGGAAGAAACAAATCTGGCCACTGCACATTCCTCCTTGGCAACAAAAAGCCGCGGATGCAAAAAGCTGCCCTTCACTGCATAGACAGAACAGGGCGCGCTCGAGCTATGAATCTCGGAAATTACTCAAACCATCAGCCTCTGCAAGAAGCAAAGTGGACGGCCGGGCGCGGTGGCTCACTCCTGGAATCCCAGCACTTTGGGAGCCCGAGGTGGGCGGATCACGAGGTCAGGAGATCGAGACTGTTCTGGCTAAACCAGTGAAACCCCCTCTCTACTAAAAAAATAACAAAAGCGAAGTGCATCTCCCATAAACGAGGTACTGCAGGAAGAAAGCAGAAAATGAGACCCGAGTACACACATGCACGCGGGCGCGCGCACACACACACCAGAAGAAATGAACCAAGAGGAAAGGAAACATTTTCAAATAAGCATTTGGAGATGGGAAAAACACCTTGAAACAGAAATTCATAAAGCACAGAATTTTTTTTTAAGTTAAAAAAGGAACAATAATAGACAGAAAATGAACGAAAAATTAAATGTCATATCAGAAGTGAAGATAAATTAAAAGTGGTCAAAGGAGAAGAGATCTAAATGCAAACTTAAGAAGGGGCAATTTTTTTTTTTTTTTTTTTTTTTGAGACGCAGCCTCACTCTGTCGCCCGGGCTGGAGTGCAGTGGCGTGATCTTGGCTCACTGAAACCTCTGCCTCCTGGATTCAAGCGATTCTCCTGCCTCAGCCTCCCAAGTGGCTGGGATTACAGGCATGAGCCACCATGCCCGGCCTAGAGTCATCATGGAAATTAAACAACCTGCTTCCAAATGACTTTTGGGTAAAGACTGAATTTAAGGCAGAAATAAAAAAATTATTTGAAACTAATGAAAACAAACATACAACATCCCAGAATCTCTGGGACACAGCTAGAACAGTGCTCAAAGGAAGTTTCTAGTGCTATATGGCTACACTAAGAAGCTAGAAAGATCTCAAATGAACCGCCTAACATCACACCTAGAGGAATTAGAAAAACAAGAGCAAATCAACCCCAAAGCTAGCAGAAGAAAAAAAAAAACCAACATCGGAGCTGACCTGAATGAAATGGAGACGTAAAAAACCATACAAAAGATCAATGAAACCCAAAGTTGATTTTTTAAAAAAATTATTTATTTATTATTTATTCCATAAATTATTGGGGTACAGGTGGTGTGTGGTTACATAAGCTCTTTAGTGGTGATTTGTGATTTTGGTGCACCCATCACCTGAGCAGTATACACTACACCCTACTTGTTGTATTTTATCCCTCGCCCCCGCCAACTCGTCCCCCTAAGTCCCCAAAGTCCATTGTATCATTCTTACGCCTTTGCGTCCTCATAGCTTAGCTCCCACATATCAGTGAGAACATACGATGTTTGGTTTTCCATTCCTGAGTTACTTCAGTTAGAATAACAGTCTCCGGTCTCATCCAGGTCACGGCAAATGCTGTTAATTCATACAAAGTTGATATTTTTGAAAGCATAAATAACATGGGAAGACCACTAGCTAGATTAATAAAGAAAAAAAGACAAGATCCAAATAAACACAATCAGAAATGACAAAGGTGACATTACCACTGACCCACAGATATACAAGAAACCCTGAGACTATTCCACATGCCTCTATGCACACAAACTAGAAAACTAGAAGAAATAGAGAAATTCCTGGAAACATAAAACCTCTCAAGATTGAACCAGGAAGAAATGGAAACCCTGAACAAACCAACGATGAGTTCCAAAATTGAGTTAGTCATACAAAACCTACCAACCAGCACAAAAAACCTTAGACTAGACGGATTCACAGTCGAATCCTACCAGATGTGTAAAGAAAAGGCGGCACCAATCCTACTGAAATTATTCCACACAATTGAGGAGGAGCAACTGCTCTCTAACTCATTCTATGAGGTCAGAGTCATTCTGATACCGAAACCTGGCAGAGACACAACGAAAAAAGGAAAATAGGTAAAGTAATACATATGTTAATGATCTTGATTTAGCCATTCTACGGTATATACATATTTCAAAACAATATGTACATGATAAATATGTACAATTTGTCAATTAAAAATATATAAAAGGAATAGGAAAAAATTCAAATGGCACAGAATTTGAAAGGAGAAGATACAGAACAAACTCCGGTGTCTTCTTTATTCAACTATATATACACACATTCAATGGACTGGGAGCAGTGGCTCAAGCCTGTAATCACAGCACTTTGGGAGGTCAAGGCGGGCAGATCACCTGAGGTCGGGAGTTCGAGACCAGCCTGACCAACAGGGAGAAACCCCAGCTCTACTAAAAATACAAAATTAGCCGGGCATGGTGGCGCATGCCTGTAATCCCAGCTACTCGGAAGGCTGAGGCAGGAGAATCGCTTGAACTCAAGAGGTGGAGGTTGTGGTGAGCCGAGATGGCACCATTGCACTCCAGCCTGGGCAACAAGAGCGAAACTCAGTCTCAAAAAAAGAAAAAAAAGGATTTAATGAATGAATGATGAGACTGTTGGTTACATCTCCCACCTTCTCCCTCTCACTCCACTGCAGCCACACGGGGCTCCTCACTGTTCCCGTAGCAGCAGGCATGTGCCCCCACTGGGCCTCTGTACTGGCTGTTCCCACTGCCCGAACACCCTCATGCACCATCTGCACTGTCCAATACGGCCGCCTCTGGCCACACATGGCTACTGAGCAGTTGAACATGGCTGGTCCAAACCAACATTTCCAAGACGTCGTATGGTAAAAAATAACATAAAATCTTGCAAAAATGTTTCTATTGATTATGTTAAAATTATGATGTTTTAGGTATATTAGGTTAAATCAGCTATTTTATCCAAATGAATCTCGCCTGTTTGTTTTTGCTTTTTTTTTTTTTTTTTTTTTTTGAGATGGAGGCTCGCTCTGTCGCCCAGGCTAGAGTACAATGGCGTGGTCTCGGCTCACTGCATCACTGCAACCTCTACCTCCCAGGTTCAAGCGATTCTCCTACCTCACCCTCCCAAGTGGCTGGGATTACAGGCGTGTGCCACCACACCCAGCTAATTTTTGTATTTTTAGTAGAGACAGGGTTTCACCATGTTGGCCAGGCTGGTCTCGAACTGCTGACCTCGTGATCTACCTGCCTCGGCCTCCCAAAGTCCTGGGATTACAGGTGTGGGCCACTGCGCCAGCCATGTTTCTCGACTTCTGCTGGCAAGCATGTTCCAGTATTTGCATGGCTCCTAGCCCTCATCTCCATTTCTCTGCACAGATGTTACCTTCCCCATGAGGTCTGCCTTATACATGAGGCCTGTATTATAAACTGCAACTCCGCATTCCCCAACCCCGTTGTTTCTTCTCTCCAGAACACTAGGCACCATCTGATCTCCTATGCCTTTTCCTTATTGTCAGATACTGAACTCTCAGATACAGTTCCCCTTCCTCCCTCCAGGGGGCGCCATGGAACGCAGGGCCCTCACTGGCCCTGGGGACTGGGTGACGACAGGGGGGAGCCTCTGGTGATTGGCTCCCTCACCCTGCGTAAGATCAAAGGGACTAAAGGACAGCCCCGACACCCGGAGCCATTGTGGCTCAGGCAGGTTGCGCCTGCCCTCGGGCCCTCACGGAGGCGGGGGTTCCAGGGCACGAGTTCGAGGCCAGCCTGGTCCACATGGGTCGGAAAAAAGGACTTTTTTTTATCGTTCCCAATATAACGACAAAACATAAAGGGAGGACGCCTTGATAGGAAGAAATGACATCTTCCTAAGTGTTTTTAAATTACTTCCATGTGTCTTTTTTTTTTTTTTTTTTGGGAGACCGAGCCTTGCTCTGTTGCCCAGGCTGGAGTGCAGTGGTGTGATCTTCGCTCACTGCAACCTCCGCCTCGTCGGTTCAAGGGAGTCTCCTATCTAAGCCTCCTGAGTAGCTGGGATTACAGTCGCCTGCCAAGAGATGGGGTTTCGCCATGTTGACCAGGCTGGTCTTGAACACCTGGCCTCAAATGATCCACTCGCCTTGGTCTCCCAAAGTGGTAGGATGACAGGCGTGAGCCACCGCGCCCAGCCTCTTCTATTCTTTTAGAGACAGGGTCTCACTGTGTTGCCCAGGCTGGAGTGCATTGATGTGATGTGTGATCATAGCTCATTGCAGCCCTGACCATCCGAGCTCAAGCAATCCTTCTGCCTCAGCCTCCTGAGTAGCTGGGGCCGCAGATGTGCACCACTGCACCTGGCTAATTTTTAACATTTTTTGTGGAGCCAGAGTCTGTATAAAATAAAGTGTAAATAGTACCATAAATAAAGAATACATAGTACCATTTTATAGTAGTATAAAACGGACATTAGAAACTCTGGACTTAAAGTTTAAAAAAATACACAAAAGTAGTTCTCAAGTTCTAGAGACTTGGAGAATCCAGGAATCAACAATGTCGTGGAACTCCTACAGCCTTTCATAAAGAATGGCCCTCGAGGAAAGTGGAATTGTCAGTGGGCATTGTGTTCGTGCCTCAGCTAAACACGACAGGAATTTATTTATAACCTAGTGTAACATCCTCGAGGCACTGTTCAATTAGTCAAGCAATTGTAAAATTCTCCCAGTCTTAGAAAAGATACAGGTGTGTGTCCCTCTGCTGTGGCTGTGCACTGACGCTTCAGTAAAAGTTGCCGTCTAAAACCACCGGCCTGCCCTTGAATTGTTTTGTTTTGTTTTGTTTTGTTTTTTTGATTCGCAGCCTCACTCTATCACCCAGGCTGGAGTGCAGTGACACGATCTCTGTTCACTGCAACCTCCGCCTCCCGGGTTCAAGCGATTCCCCTGCCTCAGCCTCCTGAACAGCTGGGATTACAGGCACCCGTCCCCATGCCCGGGTAATTTTTGTATATTTAGTAGAGATGGGGTTTCACCATGTTGGCCAGGCTGGTCTCGAACTCCTTACCTCAAGTGATCCATCCGCCTCAGCCTCCCAAAGTGCTGGGATTACAGGCGTGAGCCACTGCGCCCGGCTTCTTGAATTAGTTTCTAGGAGAAGCCAAGAACCCCCCCGGGCTAAGCCTCAATTTTGGGGCTCGCCTGTGCTGCATCAGCTTCACACCTAGAGAAGAGAGTGAAAGAGAAGGGAGAGCCGTCCTTTTGGGCTGCCTTGAAATAAAGGTTGACCCATGGGTTCATGTATTGTCATTCATTCTCATTTTCTCTTCCTCTCTTTCTCTCTCTCCCCTGCCCCTTAAGTTAGCTTTTCTACACCCTACCTGGATAAGGATAAGAAATAGAAGGAGGGGACACTTTAGGATGCTACAAAATAAAATACAACAACAACAATAACAGCAGCAGCAACAACAACAACAGCAACAAAAGGGGAAGAAACAAATCTGGCCACTGCACATTCCTCCTTGCCAACAAAAAGCCGCGGATGCAAAAAGCTGCCCTTCACTGCATAGACAGAACAGGGCGCGCTCGAGCTATGAATCTCGGAAATTACTCAAACCATCAGCCTCTGCAAGAAGCAAAGTGGACGGCCGGGCGCGGTGGCTCACTCCTGGAATCCCAGCACTTTGGGAGCCCGAGGTGGGCGGATCACGAGGTCAGGAGATCGAGACTGTTCTGGCTAAACCAGTGAAACCCCCTCTCTACTAAAAAAATAACAAAAGCGAAGTGCATCTCCCATAAACGAGGTACTGCAGGAAGAAAGCAGAAAATGAGACCCGAGTACACACATGCACGCGGGCGTGCGCACACACACACCAGAAGAAATGAACCAAGAGGAAAGGAAATATTTTCAAGTAAGCATTTGGAGATGGGAAAAACACCTTGAAACAGAAATTCATAAAGTACACACATGTTTTTTTTTTAAGTTAAAAGAGGAACAATAATAAACAGGCAGAAAATGAATAAAAAATAAAATGTCATATCAGAAGTGAAGATAAATTAAAAGTGGTCAAAGGAGAAGAGATCTAAATGCAAACTTAAGAAGGGGCAATTTTTTTTTTTTTTTTTTTGAGACGCAGCCTCACTCTGTCGCCCGGGCTGGAGTGCAGTGGCGTGATCTTGGCTCACTGAAACCTCTGCCTCCTGGATTCAAGCGATTCTCCTGCCTCAGCCTCCCAAGTGGCTGGGATTACAGGCATGAGCCACCATGCCCGGCCTAGAGTCATCATGGAAATTAAACAACCTGCTTCCAAATGACTTTTGGGTAAAGACTGAAATTAAGGCAGAAATAAAAAAATTATTTGAAACTAATGAAAACAAACATACAACATCCCAGAATCTCTGGGACACAGCTAGAACAGTGCTCAGAGGAAGTTTCTAGTGCTATATGGCTACATTAAGAAGCTAGAAAGATCTCAAATGAACCGCCTAACATCACACCTAGAGGAATTAGAAAAACAAGAGCAAATCAACCCCAAAGCTAGCAGAAGAAAAAAAAAAAAAACAAAATCAGAGCTGAGCTGAATGAAATTGAGATGTAAAATACCATACAAAAGATCAATGAAACCCAAAGTTGATTTTTTAAAAAAATTATTTATTTATTATTTATTCCATAAATTATTGGGGTACAGGTGGTATGTGGTTACATAAGCTCTTTAGTGGTGATTTGTGATTTTGGTGCACCCATCACCTGAGCAGTATACACTACCCCCTATTTGTTGTCTTTTATCCCTCGCCCTCGCCAACTCGTCCCCCTAAGTCCCCAAAGTCCATTGTATCATTCTTATGCCTTTGTGTCCTCATAGCTTAGGTCCCACATATCAGTGAGAACATACGATGTTTGGTTTTCCATTCCTGAGTTACTTCACTTAGAATAATACTCTCCGGTCTCATCCAGGTCACTGCAAATGCTGTTAATTCATACAAAGTTGATATTTTTGGAAGCATAAATAACATGGAAAGACCACTAGCTAGATTAATAAAGAAAAAAAGACAAGATCCAAATAAACACAATCAGAAATGACAGAGGTGACATTACCACTGACCCACAGACATACAAGAAACCCTGAGACTATTCCACATGCCTCTATGCACAAAAGCTAGAAAACTAGAAGAAATAGAGAAATTCCTGGAAACATAAAACCTCTCAAGATTGAACCAGGAAGAAATGGAAACCCTGAACAAACCAACGATGAGTTCCAAAATTGAGTTAGTCATACAAGACCTACCAACCAGCGCAAAAAACCTTAGACTAGACGGATTCACAGTCGAATTCTACCAGATGTGTAAAGAAAAGCCGGCACCAATCCTACTGAAATTATTCCACACAATTGAGGAGGAGCAACTGCTCTCTAACTCATTCTATGAGGTCAGAGTCATTCTGATACCGAAACCTGGCAGAGACACAACGAAAAAAGGAAAATAGGTAAAGTAATACATATGTTAATGATCTTGATTTAGCCATTCTACGGTATATACATATTTCAAAACAATATGTACATGATAAATATGTACAATTTGTCAATTAAAAATATATAAAAGGAAGAGGAAAAAATTCAAATGGCGTAGAATTTGAAAGGAGAAGATACAGAACAAACTCCAGTGTCTTCTTTATTCAACTATATATACACACGTTCAATGGACCGGGAGCAGTGGCTCAAGCCTGTAATCACAGCACTTTGGGAGGTCAAGGCGGGCAGATCACCTGAGGTCGGGAGTTCGAGACCAGCCTGACCAACAGAGAGAAACCCCAGGTCTACTAAAAATACAAAATTAGCCGGGCATGGTGACGCATGCCTGTAATCCCAGCTACTCGGGAGGGTGAGGCAGGAGAATCGCTTGAACTCAAGAGGTGGAGGTTGTGGTGAGCCGAGATGGCACCATTGCACTCCAGCCTGGGCAACAAGAGCGAAACTCAGTCTCAAAAAAAAAAAAAAAAAAAAAAAAAAGGATTTAATGAATGAATGATGAGACCGTTGGTGACATCTCCCACCTTCTCCCTCTCACTCCACTGCAGCCACACGGGGCTCCTCACTGTTCCCGTAGCAGCAGGCATGTGCCCCCACAGGGCCTCTGTACTGGCTGTTCCCACTGCCCGAACACCCTCATGCACCATCTGCACTGTCCAATACGGCCGCCTCTGGCCACACATGGCTACTGAGCAGTTGAACATGGCTGGTCCAAACCAAGATTTCCAAGACGTCGTGTGGTAAAAAAAACAACATAAAGTTTTGCAAAAATGTTTCTATTGATTATGTTAAAATTATGATGTTTTAGGTATATTAGGTTAAATCAGCTATTTTATCAAAATGAATCTCGCCTGTTTGTTTTTGCTTTTTTTTTTTTTTTTTTTTTTTTTGAGATGGAGTCTCGCTCTGTCGCCCAGGCTAGAGTACAATGGCGTGGTCTCAGCTCACTGCATCACTGCAACCTCTACCTCCCAGGTTCAAGCGATTCTCCTACCTCACCCTCCCAAGTGGCTGGGATTACAGGCGTGTGCCACCACACCCAGCTAATTTTTGTATTTTTGTAGAGACAGGGTTTCACCACGTTGGCCAGGCTGGTCTCGAACTGCTGACCTCGTGATCTACCTGCCTCGGCCTCCCAAAGTCCTGGGATTACAGGTGTGGGCCACTGCGCCGGCCATGTTTCTCGACTTCTGCTGGCAAGCATGTTCCAGTATTTGCATGGCTCCTAGCCCTCATCTCCATTTCTCTGCACAGATGTTATCTTCCCCATGAGGTCTGCCTTATACATGAGGCGTGTATTATAAAGTGCAACTGCCAATTCGCCAACCCCGTTGTTTCTTCTCTCCAGAACACTAGGCACCATCTGATCTCCTATGCCTTTTCCTTATTGTCAGATACTGAACTCTCAGATACAGTTCCCCTTCCTCCCTCCAGGGGGCGCCATGGAACGCAGGGCCCTCACTGGCCCTGGGGACTGGGTGACGTCAGGGGTGAGCCTCTGGTGATTGGCTCCCTCACCCTGCGTAAGATCAAAGGGCCTAAAGGTCAGCCCCGACACCCGGAGCCATTGTGGCTCCGGCCGGTTGCGCGGGCCCTCGGACCCTCAGAGAGGCGAGGGTTCGAGGGCACGAGTTCGAGGCCAACCTGGTCCACATGGGTTGAAAAAAAAATTTTTTTATCGTTCCCAATATAACAACAAAACATAAAGGGAGGACGTCTTGATAGGAAGAAATGACATCTTCCTAAGTGTTTTTAAATTACTTCAATGTATCTTTCTTTTTTTTTTTTTTTTGGGAGACCGAGGCTTGCTCTGTTGCCCAGGCTGGAGTGCAGTGGTGTGATCTTGGCTCACTGCAACCTCTGCCTCGTCGGTTCAAGGGAGTCTCCTATCTCAGCCTCCTGAGTAGCTGGGATTACAGTCGCCTGCCAAGAGATGGGGTTTCGCCATGTTGACCAGGCTGGTCTTGAACACCTGGCCTCAAATGATCCACTCGCCTTGGTCTCCCAAAGTGCTAGGATGACAGGCGTGAGCCACCGCGCCCAGCCTCTTCTATTCTTTTAGAGACAGGGTCTCACTCTGTTGCCCAGGCTGGAGTGCATTGATGTGATGTGTGATCATAGCTCATTGCAGCCCTGACCATCCGAGCTCAAGCAATCCTTCTGCCTCAGCCTCCTGAGTAGCTGGGGCCGCAGATGTGCACCACTGCACCTGGCTAATTTTTAACATTTTTTGTGGAGCCAGAGTCTGTATAAAATAAAGTGTAAATAGTACCATAAATAAAGAATACATAGTACCATTTTATAGTAGTATAAAACGGACATTAGAAACTCTGGACTTAAAGTTTAAAAAAATACACAAAAGTAGTTCTCAAGTTCTAGAGACTTGGAGAATCCAGGAATCAACAATGTCGTGGAACTCCTACAGCCTTTCATAAAGAATGGCCCTCGAGGAAAGTGGAATTGTCAGTGGGCATTGTGTTCGTGCCTCAGCTAAACACGGCAGGAATTTATTTATAACCTAGTGTAACATCCTCGAGGCACTGTTCAATTAGTCAAGCAATTGTAAAATTCTCCCAGTCTTAGAAAAGATACAGGTGTGTGTCCCTCTGCTGTGGCTGTGCACTGACGCTTCAGTAAAAGTTGCCGTCTAAAACCACCGGCCTGCCCTTGAATTGTTTTGTTTTGTTTTGTTTTGTTTTGTTTTGTTTTGTTTTTTTGATTCGCAGCCTCACTCTATCACCCAGGCTGGAGTGCAGTGACACGATCTCTGTTCACTGCAACCTCCGCCTCCCGGGTTCAAGCGATTCCCCTGCCTCAGCCTCCTGAACAGCTGGGATTACAGGCACCCGTCCCCATGCCCGGGTAATTTTTGTATATTTAGTAGAGATGGGGTTTCACCATGTTGGCCAGGCTGGTCTCGAACTCCTTACCTCAAGTGATCCATCCGCCTCAGCCTCCCAAAGTGCTGGGATTACAGGCGTGAGCCACTGCGCCCGGCTTCTTGAATTAGTTTCTAGGAGAAGCCAAGAACCCCCCCGGGCTAAGCCTCAATTTTGGGGCTCGCCTGTGCTGCATCAGCTTCACACCTAGAGAAGAGAGTGAAAGAGAAGGGAGAGCCGTCCTTTTGGGCTGCCTTGAAATAAAGGTTGACCCATGGGTTCATGTATTGTCATTCATTCTCATTTTCTCTTCCTCTCTTTCTCTCTCTCCCCTGCCCCTTAAGTTAGCTTTTCTACACCCTACCTGGATAAGGATAAGAAATAGAAGGAGGGGACACTTTAGGATGCTACAAAATAAAATACAACAACAACAACAATAACAGCAGCAGCAACAACAACAACAGCAACAAAAGGGGAAGAAACAAATCTGGCCACTGCACATTCCTCCTTGCCAACAAAAAGCCGCGGATGCAAAAAGCTGCCCTTCACTGCATAGACAGAACAGGGCGCGCTCGAGCTATGAATCTCGGAAATTACTCAAACCATCAGCCTCTGCAAGAAGCAAAGTGGACGGCCGGGCGCGGTGGCTCACTCCTGGAATCCCAGCACTTTGGGAGCCCGAGGTGGGCGGATCACGAGGTCAGGAGATCGAGACTGTTCTGGCTAAGCCAGTGAAACCCCCTCTCTACTAAAAAAATAACAAAAGCGAAGTGCATCTCCCATAAACGAGGTACTGCAGGAAGAAAGCAGAAAATGAGACCCGAGTACACACATGCACGCGGGCGTGCGCACACACACACCAGAAGAAATGAACCAAGAGGAAAGGAAATATTTTCAAGTAAGCATTTGGAGATGGGAAAAACACCTTGAAACAGAAATTCATAAAGTACACACATGTTTTTTTTTTAAGTTAAAAGAGGAACAATAATAAACAGGCAGAAAATGAATAAAAAATAAAATGTCATATCAGAAGTGAAGATAAATTAAAAGTGGTCAAAGGAGAAGAGATCTAAATGCAAACTTAAGAAGGGGCAATTTTTTTTTTTTTTTTTTTGAGACGCAGCCTCACTCTGTCGCCCGGGCTGGAGTGCAGTGGCGTGATCTTGGCTCACTGAAACCTCTGCCTCCTGGATTCAAGCGATTCTCCTGCCTCAGCCTCCCAAGTGGCTGGGATTACAGGCATGAGCCACCATGCCCGGCCTAGAGTCATCATGGAAATTAAACAACCTGCTTCCAAATGACTTTTGGGTAAAGACTGAAATTAAGGCAGAAATAAAAAAATTATTTGAAACTAATGAAAACAAACATACAACATCCCAGAATCTCTGGGACACAGCTAGAACAGTGCTCAGAGGAAGTTTCTAGTGCTATATGGCTACATTAAGAAGCTAGAAAGATCTCAAATGAACCGCCTAACATCACACCTAGAGGAATTAGAAAAACAAGAGCAAATCAACCCCAAAGCTAGCAGAAGAAAAAAAAAAAACAAAATCAGAGCTGAGCTGAATGAAATTGAGATGTAAAATACCATACAAAAGATCAATGAAACCCAAAGTTGATTTTTTAAAAAAATTATTTATTTATTATTTATTCCATAAATTATTGGGGTACAGGTGGTATGTGGTTACATAAGCTCTTTAGTGGTGATTTGTGATTTTGGTGCACCCATCACCTGAGCAGTATACACTACCCCCTATTTGTTGTCTTTTATCCCTCGCCCTCGCCAACTCGTCCCCCTAAGTCCCCAAAGTCCATTGTATCATTCTTATGCCTTTGTGTCCTCATAGCTTAGGCCCCACATATCAGTGAGAACATACGATGTTTGGTTTTCCATTCCTGAGTTACTTCACTTAGAATAATACTCTCCGGTCTCATCCAGGTCACTGCAAATGCTGTTAATTCATACAAAGTTGATATTTTTGGAAGCATAAATAACATGGAAAGACCACTAGCTAGATTAATAAAGAAAAAAAGACAAGATCCAAATAAACACAATCAGAAATGACAGAGGTGACATTACCACTGACCCACAGACATACAAGAAACCCTGAGACTATTCCACATGCCTCTATGCACAAAAACTAGAAAACTAGAAGAAATAGAGAAATTCCTGGAAACATAAAACCTCTCAAGATTGAACCAGGAAGAAATGGAAACCCTGAACAAACCAACGATGAGTTCCAAAATTGAGTTAGTCATACAAGACCTACCAACCAGCGCAAAAAACCTTAGACTAGACGGATTCACAGTCGAATTCTACCAGATGTGTAAAGAAAAGCCGGCACCAATCCTACTGAAATTATTCCACACAATTGAGGAGGAGCAACTGCTCTCTAACTCATTCTATGAGGTCAGAGTCATTCTGATACCGAAACCTGGCAGAGACACAACGAAAAAAGGAAAATAGGTAAAGTAATACATATGTTAATGATCTTGATTTAGCCATTCTACGGTATATACATATTTCAAAACAATATGTACATGATAAATATGTACAATTTGTCAATTAAAAATATATAAAAGGAAGAGGAAAAAATTCAAATGGCGTAGAATTTGAAAGGAGAAGATACAGAACAAACTCCAGTGTCTTCTTTATTCAACTATATATACACACGTTCAATGGACCGGGAGCAGTGGCTCAAGCCTGTAATCACAGCACTTTGGGAGGTCAAGGCGGGCAGATCACCTGAGGTCGGGAGTTCGAGACCAGCCTGACCAACAGAGAGAAACCCCAGCTCTACTAAAAATACAAAATTAGCCGGGCATGGTGACGCATGCCTGTAATCCCAGCTACTCGGGAGGGTGAGGCAGGAGAATCGCTTGAACTCAAGAGGTGGAGGTTGTGGTGAGCCGAGATGGCACCATTGCACTCCAGCCTGGGCAACAAGAGCGAAACTCAGTCTCAAAAAAAAAAAAAAAAAAAAAAAAAGGATTTAATGAATGAATGATGAGACCGTTGGTGACATCTCCCACCTTCTCCCTCTCACTCCACTGCAGCCACACGGGGCTCCTCACTGTTCCCGTAGCAGCAGGCATGTGCCCCCACAGGGCCTCTGTACTGGCTGTTCCCACTGCCCGAACACCCTCATGCACCATCTGCACTGTCCAATACGGCCGCCTCTGGCCACACATGGCTACTGAGCAGTTGAACATGGCTGGTCCAAACCAAGATTTCCAAGACGTCGTGTGGTAAAAAAAACAACATAAAATTTTGCAAAAATGTTTCTATTGATTATGTTAAAATTATGATGTTTTAGGTATATTAGGTTAAATCAGCTATTTTATCAAAATGAATCTCGCCTGTTTGTTTTTGCTTTTTTTTTTTTTTTTTTTTTTTGAGATGGAGTCTCGCTCTGTCGCCCAGGCTAGAGTACAATGGCGTGGTCTCAGCTCACTGCATCACTGCAACCTCTACCTCCCAGGTTCAAGCGATTCTCCTACCTCACCCTCCCAAGTGGCTGGGATTAAAGGCGTGTGCCACCACACCCAGCTAATTTTTGTATTTTTGTAGAGACAGGGTTTCACCATGTTGGCCAGGCTGGTCTCAAACTGCTGACCTCGTGATCTACCTGCCTCGGCCTCCCAAAGTCCTGGGATTACAGGTGTGGGCCACTGCGCCGGCCATGTTTCTCGACTTCTGCTGGCAAGCATGTTCCAGTATTTGCATGGCTCCTAGCCCTCATCTCCATTTCTCTGCACAGATGTTATCTTCCCCATGAGGTCTGCCTTATACATGAGGCCTGTATTATAAAGTGCAACTGCCAATTCGCCAACCCCGTTGTTTCTTCTCTCCAGAACACTAGGCACCATCTGATCTCCTATGCCTTTTCCTTATTGTCAGATACTGAACTCTCAGATACAGTTCCCCTTCCTCCCTCCAGGGGGCGCCATGGAACGCAGGGCCCTCACTGGCCCTGGGGACTGGGTGACGTCAGGGGTGAGCCTCTGGTGATTGGCTCCCTCACCCTGCGTAAGATCAAAGGGCCTAAAGGTCAGCCCCGACACCCGGAGCTATTGTGGCTCCGGCCGGTTGCGCGGGCCCTCGGACCCTCAGAGAGGCGAGGGTTCGAGGGCTCGAGTTCGAGGCCAACCTGGTCCACATGGGTTGAAAAAAAAATTTTTTTTATCGTTCCCAATATAACAACAAAACATAAAGGGAGGACGCCTTGATAGGAAGAAATGACATCTTCCTAAGTGTTTTTAAATTACTTCAATGTATCTTTCTTTTTTTTTTTTTTTTTGGGAGACCGAGGCTTGCTCTGTTGCCCAGGCTGGAGTGCAGTGGTGTGATCTTGGCTCACTGCAACCTCTGCCTCGTCGGTTCAAGGGAGTCTCCTATCTCAGCCTCCTGAGTAGCTGGGATTACAGTCGCCTGCCAAGAGATGGGGTTTCGCCATGTTGACCAGGCTGGTCTTGAACACCTGGCCTCAAATGATCCACTCGCCTTGGTCTCCCAAACTGGTAGGATGACAGGCGTGAGCCACCGCGCCCAGCCTCTTCTATTCTTTTAGAGACAGCGTCTCACTCTGTTGCCCAGGCTGGAGTGCATTGATGTGATGTGTGATCATAGCTCATTGCAGCCCTGACCATCCGAGCTCAAGCAATCCTTCTGCCTCAGCCTCCTGAGTAGCTGGGGCCGCAGATGTGCACCACTGCACCTGGCTAATTTTTAACATTTTTTGTGGAGCCAGAGTCTGTATAAAATAAAGTGTAAATAGTACCATAAATAAAGAATACATAGTACCATTTTATAGTAGTATAAAACGGACATTAGAAACTCTGGACTTAAAGTTTAAAAAAATACACAAAAGTAGTTCTCAAGTTCTAGAGACTTGGAGAATCCAGGAATCAACAATGTCGTGGAACTCCTACAGCCTTTCATAAAGAATGGCCCTCGAGGAAAGTGGAATTGTCAGTGGGCATTGTGTTCGTGCCTCAGCTAAACACGGCAGGAATTTATTTATAACCTAGTGTAACATCCTCGAGGCACTGTTCAATTATTCAAGCAATTGTAAAATTCTCCCAGTCTTAGAAAAGATACATGTGTGTGTCCCTCTGCTGTGGCTGTGCACTGACGCTTCAGTAAAAGTTGCCGTCTAAAACCACCGGCCTGCCCTTGAATTGTTTTGTTTTGTTTTGTTTTGTTTTGTTTTGTTTTTTTGATTCGCAGCCTCACTCTATCACCCAGGCTGGAGTGCAGTGACACGATCTCTGTTCACTGCAACCTCCGCCTCCCGGGTTCAAGCGATTCCCCTGCCTCAGCCTCCTGAACAGCTGGGATTACAGGCACCCGTCCCCATGCCCGGGTAATTTTTGTATATTTAGTAGAGATGGGGTTTCACCATGTTGGCCAGGCTGGTCTCGAACTCCTTACCTCAAGTGATCCATCCGCCTCAGCCTCCCAAAGTGCTGGGATTACAGGCGTGAGCCACTGCGCCCGGCTTCTTGAATTAGTTTCTAGGAGAAGCCAAGAACCCCCCCGGGCTAAGCCTCAATTTTGGGGCTCGCCTGTGCTGCATCAGCTTCACACCTAGAGAAGAGAGTGAAAGAGAAGGGAGAGCCGTCCTTTTGGGCTGCCTTGAAATAAAGGTTGACCCATGGGTTCATGTATTGTCATTCATTCTCATTTTCTCTTCCTCTCTTTCTCTCTCTCCCCTGCCCCTTAAGTTAGCTTTTCTACACCCTACCTGGATAAGGATAAGAAATAGAAGGAGGGGACACTTTAGGATGCTACAAAATAAAATACAACAACAACAACAATAACAGCAGCAGCAACAACAACAACAGCAACAAAAGGGGAAGAAACAAATCTGGCCACTGCACATTCCTCCTTGGCAACAAAAAGCCGTGGATGCAAAAAGCTGCCCTTCACTGCATAGACAGAACAGGGCGCGCTCGAGCTATGAATCTCGGAAATTACTCAAACCATCAGCCTCTGCAAGAAGCAAAGTGGACGGCCGGGCGCGGTGGCTCACTCCTGGAATCCCAGCACTTTGGGAGCCCGAGGTGGGCGGATCACGAGGTCAGGAGATCGAGACTGTTCTGGCTAAACCAGTGAAACCCCCTCTCTACTAAAAAAATAACAAAAGCGAAGTGCATCTCCCATAAACGAGGTACTGCAGGAAGAAAGCAGAAAATGATACCCGAGTACATACATGCACGCGGGCGTGCGCACACACACACCAGAAGAAATGAACCAAGAGGAAAGGAAATATTTTCAAGTAAGCATTTGGAGATGGGAAAAACACCTTGAAACAGAAATTCATAAAGTACACACATGTTTTTTTTTTAAGTTAAAAGAGGAACCATAATAAACAGGCAGAAAATGAATAAAAAATAAAATGTCATATCAGAAGTGAAGATAAATTAAAAGTGGTCAAAGGAGAAGAGATCTAAATGCAAACTTAAGAAGGGGCAATTTTTTTTTTTTTTTTGAGACGCAGCCTCACTCTGTCGCCCGTGCTGGAGTGCAGTGGCGTGATCTTGGCTCACTGAAACCTCTGCCTCCTGGATTCAAGCGATTCTCCTGCCTCAGCCTCCCAAGTGGCTGGGATTACAGGCATGAGCCACCATGCCCGGCCTAGAGTCATCATGGAAATTAAACAACCTACTTCCAAATGACTTTTGGGTAAAGACTGAAATTAAGGCAGAAATAAAAAAATTATTTGAAACTAATGAAAACAAACATACAACATCCCAGAATCTCTGGGACACAGCTAGAACAGTGCTCAGAGGAAGTTTCTAGTGCTATATGGCTACATTAAGAAGCTAGAAAGATCTCAAATGAACCGCCTAACATCACACCTAGAGGAATTAGAAAAACAAGAGCAAATCAACCCCAAAGCTAGCAGAAGAAAAAAAAAAAACAAAATCAGAGCTGAGCTGAATGAAATTGAGATGTAAAATACCATACAAAAGATCAATGAAACCCAAAGTTGATTTTTTAAAAAAATTATTTATTTATTATTTATTCCATAAATTATTGGGGTACAGGTGGTATGTGGTTACATAAGCTCTTTAGTGGTGATTTGTGATTTTGGTGCACCCATCACCTGAGCAGTATACACTACCCCCTATTTGTTGTCTTTTATCCCTCGCCCTCGCCAACTCGTCCCCCTAAGTCCCCAAAGTCCATTGCATCATTCTTACGCCTTTGTGTCCTCATAGCTTAGGTCCCACATATCAGTGAGAATATACGATGTTTGGTTTTCCATTCCTGAGTTACTTCACTTAGAATAATACTCTCCGGTCTCATCCAGGTCACTGCAAATGCTGTTAATTCATACAAAGTTGATATTTTTGGAAGCATAAATAACACGGAAAGACCACTAGCTAGATTAATAAAGAAAAAAAGACAAGATCCAAACAAACACAATCAGAAATGACAAAGGTGACATTACCACTGACCCACAGACATACAAGAAACCCTGAGACTATTTCGCATGCCTCTATGCACACAAACTAGAAAACTAGAAGAAATAGATAAATTCCTGGAAACATAAAACCTCTCAAGATTGAACCAGGAAGAAATGGAAACCCTGAACAAACCAACGATGAGTTCCAAAATTGAGTTAGTCATACAAAACCTACCAACCAGCACAAAAAACCTTAGACTAGACGGATTCACAGTCGAATCCTACCAGATGTGTAAAGAAAAGCCGGCACCAATCCTACTGAAATTATTCCACACAATTGAGGAAGAGCAACTGCTCTCTAACTCATTTTATGAGGTCAGAGTCATTCTGATACCGAAACCTGGCAGAGACACAACGAAAAAAGAAAAATAGGTAAAGTAATACATATGTTAATGATCTTGATTTAGCCATTCTACGGTATATACATATTTCAAAACAATATGTACCTGATAAATATGTACAATTTGTCAATTAAAAATATATAAAAGGAATAGGAAAAAATTCAAATGGCGCAGAATTTGAAAGGAGAAGATACAGAACAAACTCCAGTGTCTTCTTTATTCAACTAACTGAAGCACTTATTTAAATAATTAACTTGTTTAATTTATTTTAATTAAGTTAATTATTTAAATTATTTAAACAAGTGTTGAATTGCTTTAGTTTCTGCTAATTGTTCTAAATAAACAGACATAGAATACAAAAATCACAAAATGTCAGAATAAAATTTCTTTTCACAAACATACAACAAAAACTTAGCAATAATTAATGTAGTAACATAGACTGGTTTGGTGTCTTACATGTGTGAAGAACTTGTGAACAGAATTTGATTCCTCAGTTGAATATTGGTTCTAGAATTTGAGGATCATTATTCATTCTGAGCAATCAAAGTTTAACCTAAAATTAAACAGAAAAATATTTAACTTAAAGCTAGTCCCAGAATAGCACAGCTAACATCACACTGAACTGTGAAACCTTTTCCTCTAAGATCAGGAAGAAGACAAGGATGTCCACTTTTGCCACTACTGTTTAACAGAATAGTGGAAGCCCTTGCCAGAGCAATTAGGCAAGAAAAAATAGTAAGAGGCAACCAAACTGGAAAGGAAGAAATAAATTATCTCTGTTCACAGAAAACATGATCTTGTGTATAGGAAACTCTAAAGATTCTACATACAAAATGTGTTAGAACTAATACATGAATTCAGCAAAGTTGCAGGATATGAAATCAACTCATAAAAATCAGTTGCATTTATATACTAACAACGAAGAATCCAAAAAAGAAACAATTCCATTTATAATAACACCAAAACCTCCCAAAGCTTAGGAATAAATTTAACCAAGGAGGTAAAAGACTTGAAGTTAAATAAGATATAAATAAATTAAAAGACATTCCGTGTTCATGGACTGGAAGATTTAATACTATTAAGATGTCAGTATGGACCCAAAGCAATCTACCAATTCAATGCAATTCCTACAAAAGTTATAAAGGTTCTTTGCTTTGTTTTGTTTTCGCAGAAATAGACAAATCTATCCTAAAATTCATACGGAATCTCAAGAGACTCAGAATAGCCAAAACAGGCTGGGCATGGTGGCTCATACCATGTAATCCCAGCACTTTGGGAGGCTGAGGCAGGCAGATCACCTGAGGTCAGGAGTTCAAAATCAGTCTAGCCAACACGGTGAAACCCTGTCTCTACCAAAAATACAAAAATTAGCCAGGCATGGTGGCACATGCTTGTAGTCCCAGCTACTTGGGAGGCTGAGGCAGGATAATTGCTTGAATCCAGGAGACAGAGGTTGCAGTGAGCTGAGATGGCGCCACTGCACTCCAGCCTGGGTGACAGAGTAAGACTTTGTCTAAAACAAACAAAAAAATGAATAGGCAAAACAATCTTGAAAAATAAGAACAAAGTTGGAGGCTTCACATTTCCTAATTTCAAAACTTAATACAAAACCACAGTAATTAAAACAGTGCGGCGCTGGCATAAAGACAGCCACATAGACCAATGGAATAGAATACATTGAAATTTTCTAAAGGACAATTTTTTCAATTTCCAACTTTTATGTGGTTTAACATTCGTAAGCAAGTTTGTGTTCTTTGAATCACTGAGAGCTTTTGAGCATGTAGCAATATCCTGCACAAATTTTGCATGAGTGTGTTAAAGACGGGTAAGTATTAAATGTCTCATGCAGCCGGATGCAGTGACTCACACCTATAACCCCAGCACTTTGGGAGGCCAAGGCAGGTGGATGAGTTGAGGTCAGGAGTTCGAGACCAGCCTGGCCAACATGGTGAAACCCCGTCTCTGTTAAGAATACAAAAATTAGCTGGATGTGGTGGTGGGGGCCTGTAATCCCAGGTACTTGGGAGTCTGAGGCAGGGGAATCACTTGAATCCGGGAGGCAGAGGTTGCAGTGAGCCGAGATTGCACCACCGCACTCCAGCTTGGGTGACAGAGCAAGACTCCGACTCAAAAAAAAAAAAAAAAGGTCTCATGGAGGAAGTCAGTTCTGTAGAATGACCCCACTGCAAGATGCTCTTCCAGTGCCAGGAAGTGGATTATGTTCTAGGAGCCATGAAGGAGAGTTTACAGAAGCCCATTCTCCGCTTCATCATCATTGTAACACAATGAAAGCTGATGACATGGCTGCTTGGCTACACTGTGTTTATCAGCTTCTCCTGCATTTAGAATGGGGGCATGTAACTACACACTCTAAGTAGGTGCTTACCCAGGTCCAGAGTCTCCAGGAATAAGATCAATGTAGAAGAGCAGCTACAGAAGGAGTCGGTTGACTTGAATGACATAAAAATAAATCATGGTAATTGCTTAAGCCTCAGCATTTTTTTTGTACTGTCCCATTTAGATAAATGAATAGAGTTTGACAACAGTCTTTCATGTCTTTGTTGGTGCCACCAAGCTCTGAAATTCCCAAGGAACATAATGTTTCTTCACGCGCTCCATTCTCGTAGGAGGCTAACTACGATGACGTGCAATGTGACTTTTCCCTATCTTAATAGCTGGGCCCAAGGGTCTGGGAACCGATGTGAGTCATACGCCTTTCTGAAAATATTTTTTTCAAACTGTATTACTCCTGGGCCCTGCGGAAATCATTGCAGAAAGTATTTGGTATCACACTGAGCTAACAGAGAAGTGAACCTAACTCAGGACTCTGTCTCATGTTCCTATAATCTTCCACTCTAATCACTGGATATCAGTGGTATTCCTAGTCCTTGAAAACTAATCTTTGCTCAAAACCAGTATTCAGTAGGCTCTGGAAAGTTTATGTATTTACCTTTGTAATTTCTTTCTTTCTTTCTTTCTTTCTTTCTTTCTTTCTTTCTTTCTTTCTTTCTTTTTTCTTTCTTTCTTTCTTTTTTCTTTCTTTCTTTCTTTCTTTCTTTTTTTTCTGAGAGACTAGAGTTTCGCTCTAGTCTCTCACGCTGGAGTGCAATGGCGCGATCTCAGTTCACTGCAACCTCCGCCTCCCAGGCTCAAGCGATTCTCCTGCCTCAGCCTCCCGAGTAGCTGGGATTACAGGAATGCGCCACCATGCTCAGCTAATTTTTGTATTTTTAGTAGAGATGGGGTTTCACCATGTTGGCCAGGCTGGTCTCGAACTCCTGACCTCAGGGGATCCACCCCCCTCGGCCTCCCAAAGTGCTGGGATTACAGGCGTGAGCCACCGTGCCTGGTCCCTTTGCATTTTCTTACTGTGTCTGCCTATGGCCTTATAGCAGTGCCTGGTTACCCAGCCTTGCCTTCACTCAAGGGGCATTGAGTTGGTGAACTGTCTTGTGCCTGGAACTGGGAGAAAAGCCATGACTCTAGCGCGATGGTTCCAGTCTGGCTGTTATACTGTGGATCTTCTGTGCAATGAACGTCTTTTTTTTTTTTTTTTTTTTGAGACAGAGTCTTGCTCTGTCACCAGGCTGGAGTGCAGTGGTGCAATCTCAGCTCACTGAAACCGCCCCCTCCCGGGTTCAAGCAATTCCCCTGCCTCAGCCTCCCAAGTTGCTGGGGCTACAGGTGTGTGCCACCATGCCAGGCTAATTTTTTGTATTTTAGTAGAGACGGGGTTTCACCATGTTGGCCAGGATGGTCTCGATCTCATGACCTCGTGATCTGCCCGCCTCGGCCTCCCAAAGTGCTGGGATTACAGGCATGAAGCACTGCACCTGGCCACAATGAATGTCTTTAAGTGAACTGTCAGTTGAATTCATTTCTGAAAAAAACCTATGATTATCACCACCAGATGTCGCTCTTGCACCAGCCATTCTCTATGATCTGATTAGTAATTATACCCTGTTGCCTGGTATCACTTTGCTTCTTAGGGATTAATTGCCACCACCTGGGCTCAATCACACCAGGCTCTGCCTGTCTCCACTGGAACCCTGAAGCTCACTTCAAAAAGCATGGCTTTCTGCTAGCATTCCTAGAGCGGAAAAGCAAGTCAGCCATATTCTTTACAAAAGATTTCCTATGCTTTGTGAAAGATTAAGATGAGATTTATGGGTTCACAAAGACAATGTTTCCGTTTTTTTAACCATAATCTATAGAAAGAATAGACTTTAAAATATGAGCTGACTTCTATCTATCCATCATCTATATCTTTCTATTTAGGCATCCCTATCTATCTATACAATCTCTAAACCTTTTTAGAAATAACTCATGCCATACACATGAAACACTCTGTGTTTTTCCATCCACGTTTGCAGTATTTTTAATTTAAACAATGCTGGTTGTGCTTTGATAAATGGAAGATTATGACTCACCATTTGAAAAGAGCTGGCCTAAGTGTGTGTCTTTCTTTTCTTTTCTTTTCTTTTCTTTTCTTTTCTTTTCTTTTCTTTTCTTTTCTTTTCTTTTCTTTCTTTTTTTGATGGAGTCTCACTCTGTCGCCCAGGCTGGAGTGCAGTGTTGCTATCTCGGCTCGCTGCAGCCTCAGCCTCCCGGATTCAAGCGATCCTCCTGCCTCAGCCTCCTGAGTAGCTGGGATTACAGGCGCCTGCCACCACACCTGGCTAATTTTTGTATTGTTAGTAGAGATGGGGTTTCACCATGCTGGCCGGGCTGGTCTCAAACTCCTGACCTCAGGTGATCCACCCGCCTTGGCCTCCCAGTGTTGGGATTACAGGCTTGGACCACCGTGCCTGGCCCTAAGTGTTTTCTAACATAAGCATGGATAGGTTTAAGAGTGGAGGGTGGGCGTTTGTGTGTGTGTGTGTGTGTGTGTGTGTGTGTTTGTGTGTGTGTGTGTGTGTGGTCACAGGGCCTCTGGACATTGCCATCCCCCTTCACCTCTGCACCTGCCTAATTGTCATTAAACTATCGGGACCCAGCCTGGTTGTTGTCCCTTGTCCCTTCCTAGAAGTGATCCCTGATCCTGCAGGCTGAGCAAGGGTCCCGTTCTCTGGCCTCCTCTTACCCCTGGAGTCTCTGGTTTTTTTTTTTTTAAATTAGTTAATTAATTAATGTATTTTTGAGACGGAGTTTCACTCTGTCTCCCAGGCTGGAGTGCAGTGGTGCAATCTCAGCTCACTGCAACCTCCACCTCCCGGGTTCAAGTGATTCTCCTGCCTCAGCCTCCTGAGTAGCTGGGATTACAGGCAGGCACCACCACACCCAGCTAATTTTTGTATTTTTAGTAGAGACAGGGTTTCGCCATGTTGGCCAGGCTGGTCTCGAACTGCTGACCTCAGGCGATCCACCTGCCTCAGCTTCCCAAAGTGCTGGGATTACAGGCATTAGCTGCTGTGCCCAGGCATATACTCACTGTTTTCTTGGCCATTCATGAACACGTGAACAGCAGGGAAGAACTGGAGTTGTTCAATGCCCTCATGCCCTGCTGAGGTTGAACAAGGTGATGCTCCACCTTCTTGTTTCGGCTTTCAGTGTATACAAGGGTCCTTCAGGCTGGGCGTGGTGGTTCACAACTGTGATCCCAGCACTTTGGGATGCCGACACGGGCGGATCACCTGAGGTCGGGAGTTCGAGACCAGCCTGACCAACATGGGGAAACCTCGTCTCTACTAAAAAATACAAAATTAGCTGAGTGTAGTGGTGCATGCCTGTAGTCCCAGCTATTTGGAAGGCTGAGGCAGCAGAATTGCTTGAACCCGGGAGGCGGAGGTTGCAGTGAGCTGATATCTCGCCATTGCACTCCAGCCTGGGCAACAAGAGTGAAACTCTGTCTCAAAACCAACCAACCAACCAACCAACAAACAAAACACACACACACACACACAAACAAAACAAAAAATAAACAAGTGTCCTTGTGATCTATTTAGTCTCATGTTTTTCCCATTTTTGTATTTTTTCTTGGCGATGTCACTGTTTAAATGACTCCCAAGTGTAGTCCTAAAAGCAAGGGGTTATGGCGCACCTTATGGAGAAAATATGTGTATTAGAGAAGCTTCATTCAGACCTGCATTCAGCCCTGTTGGTCTTGAGTTCAGTGCTAATGAATCGACATTATGTATTAAATGAAACATCTTTAAACAGAAACACATATAAAAGAAGGTTATGTATTAGTCAGTTAACAAAAACATTGTGACCAGAGGCTCTCAAGAAACTAACCTTCTATTTCCCCTAAAAGCACCAGCTCGGTATTCACTAATTCAGTGTACATGGCTACTTTCTAGAACACATTTACCACATACAGCAAGAATTGACTGCATCAGCTTATTTTAGATTCACAAAGACCTATGAGACTTCTATCTCCACTTTACAGATGAGGAAACTGAGTCTTAAGAGAGATCAAGAAACTTGCCCTTCATCAATGATGCAGCCTGGATAGCAAACATATCCTTTGTCCTGTTGCTCAAAGAATACTCAAGAAAGGCCAGGCGTGGTGGCTCACGCCTGTAATCCCAGCACTTTGGGAGGCCGAGGGAGGGTGGATCACTTGAGGTCAGGAGTTCGAGACCAGCCTGGCCAAATCCCCATCTTTACTGAAAATACAAAAATTAGCTGGGCGTGGTGGCATGTGCCTATAGTCCTAGCTACTTGGGAGGCTGAGGCAGAACAATCGCTTGAACCCAGGAGGCGGAGGTTGCAGTGAGCCGAGATCACGCCACAGCACTCTAGCCTGGGCTACAGAATGAGACTCTGTCAAAAAACAAAAACAAAAAACAAAACAAAATAAACAAAAAAACTTAAGGAAGCTCACAAAGCTCATAGGTGTTTAGAAAATAAACGTCCTCTGCCACGTTAAAAAAAAAAAAAAAAGGTATACTGGCAGCTGGAGTAGGAGACAACCTGCAGGGGAAGTACCTGAGCATACTGTTCTCTTCTTGGGATGTACGAATGGGGTCGATCAAGGGGACTCGAGCTGGGGTACACACTGAGGTCACCAGGGGAGCTTTATTTAGAAGGTGTGATGCCTGGGCGCCACCCTAGGACTTTCTGAATGAATTGATATGGGCAGCATACTGGCCATGGAGACTTTTTAAAGTTCTACCGTTGAATGTAAACTAGATCAAAGTTCAGAAGCACTGGGGCCAGGCACGGTGGCTCATGCCTATAATCCCAGCACTTTGGGAGGCTGAGGCGGGCAGATCACTTGAGGTCAGGAGTTCGAGACCAGCCTGGCCAACATAGTGAAACCCTGTGTCTACTAAAAATACAAAAAAATTAGCCTGGCACGGTGGTGCACCCCTGTAATCCCAGCTACTCGGGATGCTGAGGTGGGAGGACTGCTTGAACTTGGGAGTTAGAGGCTGCAGTGACCCGAGATCATGCCACTGCGCTCCAGCCTGGGTGATAGAGTGAGACTCCATCTCAAAAGAAAAAAAAAGAAAAAAAAAAAAGCACTGGGATAAGCCTAGGGCTCAAGAGACCAGGCATTTCATTTCTTTCTTTCTTTTTTTGACTCGATGGATGTTTAATGATTTAAAATTTAATTTAACTTAATTTTAGATTCAGGGGATACGTGTGCAGGTTTGTGACATAGATATATTGCATGATGCTGAGATTTGGGCTTCAATGGATGCCGTCACCCAAATAGTGAACATAGCACCCCACAGGTAATTTTTCAACCCTTTCCTCGCACCTTCCCCCCGCTTTTGGGGTCCCCTGTGTCTATTGTTCCCATCTTTTATGTTCATGAGGTTTGTTTAGCAACCTCTTATAAGTGAAAACACGCAGTATTTGGTTTTCTGTTTCTGCATTAATTCACTTAGATGGCCTCCAGCTGCAATTATGTTGCTGCAAAGGATACGATTTCATTCTTTGTTATAGGAGACTGGCCATTTCTAGTAAGCTGCATGCTGCTGTCTTCTTTCTCCTTTGTCTTCTGTATTAGTTTGCTGGGGCTGCCATAAAAAAGTAACACAGATGGGGTGGCTTAAACGACAGAGATTTATTTTCTCACTGTTCTGGAGGGTAGAAGTACAGGATCAAGGTGACATCAAGGTTGGTTTCCTCAAAGCGTCTCTCCTTGCCTTGCAGATGGCCACCCCCTTAGTCCTCACAAGGGCTCCCCTCTGTGCACACACATCCCTGGCATCTCTCTGTCTGTCCAAATTTTCTCTTCTTATAAGGACACCAGTCATATTGGATTAGTGCCTACTCTGAATACCTCATCTTAGCTTAATTGCCTCTCTAAACACCCTTTCTCCAAAAACAGTTGCATTCCGAGGTCCTGGGGGTTGGGGCTTCAACATATGAATTTTGGAAAGGACACAGTTCAGCCCATAACAACATCTCTAGCCAATTCTGAGGTATTGTTTGAACATTACAGCCTACTTCCATCTGTGTTGCTTGGAAATAGAAGTTATATGTCAACCCATAGAAAGGATATTGAAGGGGAAGTCATTGATTCCTGTGGCCACCATGTTGGTAGGAACCACAGTGAATGTGAGGTGCCCGAAGGAAGATGCATCTTAGTGGATGGATGCCTGGACTCTGATGTCCACTCATCACTCTCCCTGCAAAGATTTCCCTTTTGCTAGAAATGCTGGAGAAAAAGAGTTTTATTTTATTAAGAAAATTGGGGGTTACTGTATATCAGACCATTCTGACCTGCTGAAGAATCCATGGCTTTCAGGAAGAAGATTATTACTGCTGGATGCATCGATCATGTTTTGTCTGTATCTGATAGCCAGCAGATGCAAGCAAACCTAACCCAAAGAACAGAAGCAGAAATCAGAAAGCAGACACAGATTGCCCCAACATTTCCTGCTCATTCTCTGCCAGGTACTAAAACATCTGATCTGGAGTCTGTGGAGACACACATCTTTTCTGCATATAAAATCAGTCTCTCTCTCTTTTTTCTTTTTTTTTTTTTTTTGAGACAGAGTATCTGTCTCCCACACTGGAATGTAGTGCTGCAATCTCAGCTCATTGCAACCTCTGCTTCCCGCGTTCAAATGATTCTCCTGCCTCAGCCTCCTGTGTAGCTGGAACTGCAGGCACGTTCCACCATGCCCAGCTAATTTTTGTGGCCTCAGCTACTTAGGAGGCTGAGGTGGGAGGATGACTTGAGCTTAGGAGTTTGAGGCTGCAGTGAGCTATGATGGCACCACTGCACTGCAGTGGCATGATCATAACTCACTGCACTCCAGCCTGAGTGACAGAGCAAGACCCTGTCTTAAAAAAAAAAAAAAAAAAAAAAGAAATCACTGATGGACCAGGCACAGTGGCTCATGCCTATAATCCCAGCACTTTGGGAGGCTGAGGTGGGCGGATTGTCTGAGCTCAGGAGCTCATGACCAACCTGGGCAACACTGTGAAACCCCGTCTCTACTAAAATACAAAAAATTAGTTGGGCATGGTGGCGTGCACCTGTAGTCCCAGCTACTCAAGAGGCTGAGGCAGGAGAATTGCTTGAACATGGGAGGCGGAGGTTGCAGTGAGCCGAGATCACACCATTGCACTCCAGCCTGGGCGACAGAGCGAGACCCTATCTCAGATTAAAAAAAAAAAAAAAAAAAGAAATCACTGACGGCTGCCTGGAGGGTGGATTTTAGGAGGATGTGAGTGGTAACAGTAAAAGTAGCCTGGAGACTATTGTTGTTGGGGCTGGTGCTGGTGACACCAGTGCACCTGCAGACAAGTAGATGGATTTGGCACGTTTTTTGAAGACAGTCTTGGTAAAACTTGTAAATTAGTTGGACGTGGTAGACATGGGAAAGAGAAGAGTAAAAACAGACTCTTAGGTTTGGGGCTGGGCAAATGGGTGGATGGTCATGAGATGGGAAGATTATCAGAGTTCCTGGCCTGGGGATATGAAGCAGAATTGAGATTCTATTTTGTTTTGCATGATTATTCAACATCCAAGTAAACAGATCCTTTATCCAGTTTGATATATGCTTTTGGGGTTTAGGAGATAACTCAGGACTGGAAATAGAAATTTGTGTGTCAATGATGTATGGGGGATATTCAAGTCATGAGGCTTTATAAGATTCCTGTGTCATTCAGGATTCAGTCAGGAGACAGAAACGACACCTGTAATTCAAATGGAGAAAAATGTAATATAAGGATATATTATAAATGGTGAAAGGGTATTAACTAGAAGGGATAAAGAGAATCTTAAGAACCCTAAGGAACAGCAGATTGTAGGAAGAAGCCACTACCTGTAAGGCAGGGAGAGGGGGAGAGAGAGAGAGAGAGAGAGAGAGAGAGAGAGAGAGAGAGACTTTAGAATGTATGTGTGTGTGTGAGAGAGAGAGACTTTAGAATTTATTTGTGTGTGTGTGTGAGAGAGACTTCAGAATTTATTTGTGTGTGTGTGAGAGAGAGACTTTAGAATTTATGTTTGTGTAAGAGACAGAGAGAGACTTTAGAATTTATTTTTGTGTGTGTGAGAGAGAGACTTTAGAATTTATGTTTGTGAGAGAGAGACTTTAGAATTTATGTTTCTGAGAGAGACTTTTAGAATTTATGTTTGTGAGAGAGAGACTTTAGAATTTATGTTTGTGTGTGTGTGAGAGAGAGAGAGAGACTTTAGAATTTATTTTTGTTTTATTTTATTTTTATTTTATTTTTGAGATGGAGTCTCACTCTGTCACTCAGGCTGGAGTGCAGTGGCACGATCTTGGCTCACTGCAACCTCCGCCTCCTGGGTTCAAGTGGTTCTCCTACCTCAGCCTCTGGAGTAGCTGAGATCACAAGTGCGCACTAACACACCCAGCTAATTTTCGTATTTTTAGTAGAGACTGGGCTTCACCATGTTGTCCAGGCTGGTCTCAAACTCCTGACCTCAAGTGATCCACCTACGTCAGCCTCCCGAAGTGCTGGGATCACAGGCATGAACGACTGCGCCTGGTCAACTTTAGAATTTATGAGACCAGTGTCTTATTCTTCTCTTTTTCAGATATGTGGGTTGGTTGTTGTTATCCTATTTCTGTCCCAACATTGTATCATGATATGTTGGGGAAAAGGACTAAAATGTGTATTTTTAGTTCAGAAGTCTCCAAATAAGGATAGTACAAAGGTTGACTTGATGCGGATCGCAAGATCCTAATGCTGTGTCCCGATGAGATTTGGGCACTCTTGGGATGTTGGCTAGATTGACTTGCATGTGGAATAAACATGAATAATAGTGATGAACAGGTGGGCTGTGATTATTTTGGTTATTGTTTACCAAATACCCTTCTCCTCTTCCTACCATGAGCAGAATTTACTTCCCTGTCCTATTAATAGTGGACCTGTTCATGTGCCGTGATGTGGCAATGGGATGTTAGCAGGATGGATACAAGCGGTCATTTTAAATGTGTTTCTTCAGTCTTTGTGCTTCTGCCTTTAGTCATGAGAAGAGGATGGCTCAGGTAGTCGCTCCTTATGGGAGGATGAAAAATCTGCATCTCAGAGCCGAACTAAGCCTAAATCAGACAAATCCTAGCTGACCCATGAATGCATGGTTACAAAAATAATGCTTATTATTTTGAGGGTGGTTTGTTATGCAGCAGCATTGTGAATAGCTAACTGATACAGGGAGAAAAATATGGTGGTGGCACCAATGGATTCAGCAGTGGCAACTTCCTGACTTCTGAACCACAGCCATGGTGTTGGGATCTCTAAAGCATTATCACTGGGACCGTCCCTGCTTTGGCTCTTCCTACCTTTCCAGCGATTTTGTGAGCCACTAATTCTCTGTATTTTATCGTTTAATTAATTAATTAATTATTTTTGAGATGGGGTCTTGCTCTATCTTCCAGGCTGGAGTGCAGTGGCATGATCTCTCGGCTCACTGCAACTTCCGCCTTTTGGGTTCGAGCGATTCTCCTGCCTCAGCCTCCGGAGTAGCTGGGATTACAGGCGCATGCCACCAAGCCCAGCTAGTTTTCGTATTTTTAGTAGAGATGGGGTTTCACCATGTTGGCCAGGCTGGTCTCGAATTTCTGACCTCAGGTGATCTGCCCGCCTCGGCCTCCCAAAGTGCTGGGATGACAGGCGTGAGGCACCGCACCCAGCCTGTATTCTGTCTTTTAAAATAAAGAGATTTTATTGTCTGCACAGACTCATCAAAGGTCTTCTTTGACCGAATCCCTCTCATTTTTTATAGTATAGCCATATTTCTCTTGTTCTAGTCCTCAATATGCCACACCTGTTCCTGCATTAGGAACTTTGACTTGATGTTCTCACTGTCCCCAGATAACCTTTCACTGGATCTTCACATAGCTGGCCTACCAATCTGAAACAGACTGTCTGTCACTTAATATTTTATTGCCCTAATTTTTAGCATAGCATCCATTCATACTAAATTCCTTCTTTATTAATTGAGAGCACTCCTAAGAACACGCGTCTTGTTTTATTGTGCAAGAAGGAGATTTATAATAACATTAATATCTGTTACCAATGTGTCTTGTTCATTGTCAAAGCCTTGGAAATATAATTTGAATAAAAAGGTTTTGGAATACTGAAAAGTCTTTAGAAATTTTTGTTCTGTCCTATGTTCATAGTCTTTGAAGAAAAAGTTATTCTGACTGTTTTTCATACTTGTTCATCTGCTTCGCTGGTTGTAATTGATGTCTCTGCATTCCTAAACAAGATAAATACCTGGGGTTTGCTCTATTAAATCGGAAGATAATTGGCACTTTCCTCGTCTTCAACATGTGTAAACGGTGAGTGGAATCTAAAATCTGCTAGATTTCACAATTTAACAAGGGAGTGGTGTTGAAAGTCTTACCTCATTGAGGTTGGCAGACTGAATGCTTGATTCCAGTTGTCCCATGCTAACCTTGATATTCTTTTTTTTTTTTTTTTTTAACTTTTAGGTTCAGGATACATGTGCAGGTTTATTATACAGGTAAATTGTGTGTCACAGGGCTTTGGCGCACATATTATTTCATCACCAACATAATAAACATAGTGCTTTATAGGTAATTTTTGTATCATCTCCCTCCTCCCACTCTCCACCATCCAGTGGGCCCTGGTGTCTGTTGTCCTTTTCTTTTCTCCATGTGTTCTCAATGCTCAGCTCCCACTTATAAGTGACAGCATGCAGTATTTGGTATTCTGTTCCTGCATTAGTTTGCTTATAACCTTGATATAGTTACGTGAACCAAATATCTTACTGTATTCTTTAAGGTAGTTATATAGAGCTGGATTTTAAATAGAAATTGGAAATAGAAAATTCTTCACAATGGTTACCTCGGATGTGTGGAATTAGAATATTGAAGCTGAGGTGGAGAGAGTGTTTATTTTAATATATTAAAATAGCATAGTATTTCTTTTTAATGTAATTTTTAAAAAATTAAAAAATTCCCAGTTTTATTTCCTTCCTATATATGCGTGTGTGTGTGTGTGTATACCCACACACACATCCCCACCCCCACCCCCACACGTACGTAATTGAGAGCATATCCAGATTTGGTAAATAAGTCTTCCTATAATAATGTAGGCGGCCGGGCGCGGTGGCTCACGCCTGTAATCCCAGCACTTTGGGAGGCCGAGGCGGGTGGATCACGAGGTCAGGAGATCGAGACCATCCTGGCTAACACGGTGAAACCCCGTCTCTTCTAAAAATACAAAAAATTAGCCTGGCGTGGTGGCGGGCGCCTGTAGTCCCAGCTTCTCGGGAGGCTGAGGCAGGAGAATGGTGTGAACCTGGGAGGCGGAGCTTGCAGTGAGCCGAGATCGCGCCACTGCACTCCAGCCTGGGTGTCAGAGCGAGACTCCGTCTCAAAATAATAATAATAATAATAATAATAATAATAATAATAATAATAATGTAGGCAGTAACATGCCAGAGACAGTAGTTTTTACATGATTCTGTGTTTTTCATAAAAGATTTGGAATATTTTACTCACTTCTAGGGAACAGTCTCCTGTCATTTTATTGGTACCATCTCATCAATCACCAGCACGCTCAATTAATTCATTTTAGGACAACTCATCCATCTCTGTGGTCCTTCCACCTCCATGGGGATCCATATGTGTGCACACAAACACATACACTTTTCATTCATAACGACAATAAAAAGTACAGCTCCCATTTTATTCTGCAAATATTTTGAGGTTAAGAGAAAGGGGAAGCTGGTTGAAATTCTGGTTCAACATTTGAGAGTTGCTGGTTGCTACAACAGTTGGTTGTTGAGAGATTGGACCCTTCCTTTCAGCCAGAAAAGAAAGATAATGTTTGCCTGGATATTATTGGGTATTACAAGAGAAATAAGCAAGCCAAGTACACGCGGGGAGGGCGCCATCTTGTTCTTGTTCCCGCCACTGCTCTGACGCAGCAAGAAGAAGTCAAAATCAGTTGGAGCTTCCAATCTACTGAGCCTCTACCTGCTTCTCCTTTCATTCACTGCCATCTTTTCTTTGCTGTTTGTTCACTTCTGGCTCCACGTTTATCCTTATGATCTTTCTTTTGCACATACTCTATCCTTAGCACTCTGTTCTTCTCCCACACCCACCAAACACCCACTTGGAAATAAACCCAAACATCGCCCTTCTCAGTGTGATCCCATGAGCAGGTATAGCTGTGGTGAAATCTCATAATTTAGTTTGGTGGGATTACAAACTCATGTTCCCCAGCCATGCTGAGTGCTATCTGCATGCACCTCCCGGCTCTCTCTCCACCCCTCATTCTGCTCTGAGCTCCTTTCCCTTTGCTTTCTACTTGGGCTTGACCAATGGGATGCACTGGCAGGAGATTAAAGGGAAGAAGGTTGAGGTATTAATTCCCTTGGCTCCCATGGATTGGTCACTTCCACAGCCACTTTCTCTCTCTCTCTCTTTTTTTTTTTTTTTTTTGAGATGGAGTCTTGCTCTGTCACCCAGGCTGGAGTGCAATGGCACGATCTCGGCTCAATGCAACCTCCACCTCCCGGGTTCAAGCGATTCTCCTGCCTCAGCCTCCCAAGTAGCTGGGATTATAGGTGCCGGCCACCACGCCTGGCTAACTGTTGTATTTTTAGTAGAGACAGGGTTTCGCCGTGTTGGCTGGCCTGGTCTCAAACTCCTTACCTCAGGTGATCCTCCTGCCTCAGCTTCCCAAAGTGCTGGGATTACAGGCGTGAGCCACTGTGCCCGGCCTCTCTCTTTTCTACCCGACCCTCTCTCCTCCCTCCTTTCCATTCTCTCCTATTCTGTCTCTCGCTTGCTCTCCATCTCTGTCCTTTTTCTTCCTCCCTTGCTCTCCCACGCTCTCAATTCCAGGAATTTCTCTTCCCCTCACTGTTTAGGTATTGCTCTTACTATCCCTGAATACTGCACTATTATCTATAGTTTCCAGTTTCCTCTAACTACCCAATTTGAGCGTGCAGTAAGCTTCCTGACTGACGCATTAACCTCAACCAAACCCCCTACACTAGCCAGACGTCTTCCAACATTTCTCTGGTCACCTCACTCTCCACTCTCTTCAATGACCATGACACACCTACCCCACTATACCCATCCCTCTCATTGTCACAAGATTACTTTTCCTACTACTTTCCTGATAAAATACAATTAAAAAAAACTCTCTCACATATGAATCCCCTCAAATCTACAAATCTGCTTATATCCACATGCACTTACATTTTCTTATACCTCGTAACAATGGAAGACCAGTTTCTACCGAAGGTGACTCCACTCCCTCCTCCTGGGATCATCCCATCTCTTCCTTTTTTCTCTGGGCCTTCTATCAGATATTTCCTCTCTACTATTCTTTGTTATTTCCTTTCATGTTTTTTTCCTTTTGAGATGAGGTCTTGCTATGTTGCCCAGGCTAGTCTCGAACTCCAGGGCTCAAGCAATCCTTCTGCCTCTGCCTCCCAAAGTGCTGGGATTACAGGCGTCAGCCACCGCTCCTGGCCTCTATAATCAAATTGGATTGTATCCAGATTCTGCTTACCGAACGATGCTCTGTGGCTTCTCTTTGGACTTAGCCAGCTCTCAAGTGCTGGCTTGCCCACTGCCTGGCTCCCAGGGCACTCACCATGGACCAGCCCCAGTGGCTTTCCCTCACTTTGTACAGCGCACCCATCTTTGTTGCCCTTGTTCGTGTGGTTCATATCTGACCCTTTTTAAACCTCACTCTGGTACTTTATCTCCACACCTGTATTCCTACCTCAGGTATCACCTCAGTTATCACTTTTTTTCTGTTTTAGAAATATTCTTTATTAAGGTAATGCATTTTTTTTTTTTTTTTTTTTTTTTGAGACGGAGTCTCGCTCTGACACCCAGGCTGGAGTGCAGTGGTGCGATCTCGGCTCACTGCAAGCTCCGCCTCCCGTGTTCACGCCATTCTCCTGCCTCAGCCTCCTGAGTAGCTGGGACTACAGGCACCCGCCACCACGCCCGGCTAATTTTTTGTATTTTTAGAAGAGACGGGGTTTCACCGTGTTAGCCAGGACGGTCTCGATCTCCTGACCTCGTGATCCACCCGCCTCGACCTCCCAAAGTGCTGGGATTACAGGCGTGAGCCACCGTGCCCGGCCAAGGTAATGCATTTTTAATACACGTTATTTTTTAGAGCAGTTTTAAGTCACAGAAAAATTGAGTAGTAGGTATAAAAATTTCCATGTACACATAGCCACTGTGTTATCAATATCCTCCACCAGAGTGGAACATTTGTTGCAATTGATGAATCTACATTGACACATCACTATCACCCAAAATCCATAAGCTTATTTTACTTCATTTATTTTATTTTAGAGGTGGGTCTCTCTTTCATCACAACTCAATGCAACCTTGAACTCTTGAACTCAGGTGATTCTCCTGCCTCAGCTTCCCGAGTAGCTGAGACTACAAGTGTGTGCCACCATGCCTAGTTACATTTTTAAATTTTTTCTTTTGTAGAAACGGGGTCTTGCTATGTTGGTCCAGGCTGGTCTTGAACTCCTGGCCTCAAGCAGTCCTTCCTTTTTGGCCTCCCAAAGCGCTGGGATTATGGGCATAAGCCACCACGCCTACCCCATAGACTTAATTTTTAAAAGGGACTAATTTTACACAGTTAGCAATTAAAGTGCTGAGGCTAAACTACAGATTTCCATATTAAAACCCCATAATCCTGAATCGAAAACCTCTAGTTATTTATAGTTAGATCACCTTCAACTCACATCCCAGAAAAAAAAAAAAAACAAAAAAAAACCCTCTCTAATGAGAAAGGGTTCTCCTCTGCCAACAAAAACTCTAGGTTCTTTCCAAGGAGAATGATTAAACGTCTTCATCCCCCTCCCCTGGTAAATCTCACCATCATTCACAGTATTTCCAAATTCGGTCCTTGTTAAAATTCTTGGTCAGTGAACACCATTTTTTCCCAAATGCTTCCCCATCATCAGTACACTCCCAGTAGATCAAGCGTCTGTACCAGAAGGGAAATACACAGTTTGCAAAATCTGCAGAGGAGGAAGAGGAAGAAGCAGAGTAAGAAACCTTTCTAATTTGCACCCACCTCCACCACACCATGCACACACATGCACACATATGCACACATGTGCATGCACGTGAACAAATGTGCACACATACACATGCACACTCACACAGACATACATGTATGCACACTGGTGCGCTCACACACACACGCGCAAATACACACTTTTGCTTCCTATTCAGTATCATCTGCTCTGCCCTATTTCACCAAAGGCACATGGGAACAATATTGGTGGGGGATTCAGATCCCACATCACTTTGCTGTTCTATTAAAAAGATTCTTTTCAAAATAATGTGGTTGAAATGCTCATAACATATCTATGGTGCAATGTGATTTTTATATCGTCAGAAATCGAACATCCTTTATTTTCACAACTTAATTGGCTATGGATTCTATTTTCAGAACCCTCTTGTGTTTTGCCTCAGATCCCAGCCTCAGAGACCAAGATTACTGCTCTGAGGTATTTAGAGACAGGACACTCACCTTCTGCACTGCAAAACTTCCAGTATCCTTCGTAGGTCTTGTTTAACGAGCACCACTTGTGTCTTGCCTTGGACTTGATGCAGTCATAATATGTTCCATTTTTATAGTGGAATGGAAAGACACACTCCCCATCTAGAGAAAACAAAATTCTTCCTCTGTTTCTGGGTGTGTTAGGAGAGAGGTTATCAAGCGACTGTCTTCCTAGGCGCTGTTGCCCTTTGAAATCAGAGTCATTGGCTGTGGCTGTAGTAAATGTTATTGTGCTACTCAATAGCAGAGCTTTGGCTCTCTAATGACAAAGCTCTTTTGTTTTATATTCCTGCCCCTGCCCTACTTCTTTTCCAGGTTATAAACAGTCTCAAAATTTTGCTTAGCATTTGCCCCAGTTTCAGAAATCTCTCCTAAGCGTAGAAATATAAATGTGGGCATTTATCTACCCAACAATTCTTCCCCCCTGCCCCTGGATCTCTTATTTTTACCTCTTTCCGTCATCTCTCTTTCTCTCCCTCTCCCATGCAACTATACATGTGTGTATGTGTGTCACCTGGGTATATCTGTGTTGTATGGTTTTATATATATACTTATATATGTTATATGGTTTTGTATATATGCTGTATGGTTAATACAGGATATATATATATATATATATATATATATAGTTATAGGTGCATACACACATACAGGCACACATACATAATTTTTTGCTACCCTTCAAAATGAATCATATTTTATACTTGAGTTTCCGACTTAACACATCACAGAAATCTTCTTAAAGTGATTGTGTAGCCCTAACTTCTTCATGGTTCACTGCAGCCTTATCCTCCTGGGCTCAAGCAATCCTCCCACCTCAACCTCTGGAGTAGCTGGGACTGCAGGTGCGTGCTACCATGCCCAGTTAATTTTTAAATTTTTTGTAGAGATGAGATCTCACTATGTTGGCCAGGGTGGTCTCAAACTCCTGAGCTCAAGCATCTTCCTGCCTCGGCTTCCAAAAATGCTGGGATTACAGTCATGAGCCACTGAGTCCGGCCTTAACTTCTTTCTAATGCTGATTCATGTTCTGTGATATGGATTCAACACAATTTATTCAGTATTTCCACATTCAGATTTTTCCTACTGTAAATACAGCTGTAGTAAACATTTCACATATTTAAGTCCTTATGTATTGAAGCATTTGTTTCTATAGAATCCCCAAAGCAAGGTTGCAAGGACACAATGTATATACAATTTTAACATTGATGAATATTGCTTTGTCAAAGGAAAATGGCAATTAGTCTTTCCCACCAATTGTGCTCCTTTACCTGAATTTTCATTAGCACGAAGCATTTACACACTTTAAAAATGTTTACCTGTATTACAGAAGATTTCTGCCTTGCTTTAAAAGATCTACTGGTCTTTAGGCCATACATATATTTTCCATTTTCTTCTTAAATTAAACAATTTTGTTCCTTTTACATTTAAAATTTGATTAAGCTAGAATTTAGTTTTGTATATGATGCCAAAGGGCAATGCAACTTTATTTTCTTTCAAACATATTTAGTAATGACAGATCGATGATGAAATAAATCACCTGTACATTTAAACAATCATGTTTAAAACCATGGATTATTCTAATATATCCTGGGATCCATTCTATATTTTCTATAAAGTTTCTTGAAATTATTAGAGAGGTAAGGAAGCATGGTGGTAAAATGAGCAGGCTCTGGAGCCAGCAAGCATCACAAAATATTTCTTCTTTTCTTCTCTCCTCTTCCTTCTCCTCCTCCTTCTTCTTCTTCCTCTTCTTCTTCCTTCCTCCCTCCTCCTCCTCCTCTTCCATTTTTCTAGGCTGATTCCATGTTGCTTATATTACAATATTTTAGTATGTCTACATATCTGATGAGACAAAATATTTCTCTACTACAGCACTTTGTTCATACTTCTAATTATTATTGGATGTTTTTCTATATAAATTTTAAAATCTATTATTTCCTGTTAGATTGGCAGAAATTAAAGAGTAGACACATTTAGTGCTGATGAAAGTTCAGAGTGACTTCTATACCTCTGTTTTCTTTATCTGTTTATGAGGCACTTATGTTACATTTTATATAAGGAGAAAAAATGATTTTTTTTACTGGAAAAACATTACTGATTTCCTCACTTTTACAAAATTAAAAGAAAATATACATTAATAATCAAAGTTTTCTGATCGACTTACCTGTAACTTCTGGAAAATGAGTTATAGTTTCTGAAAAATAAAATTTAGAGCTGACATTTATTTCACTATTATTAGGCTTTAAAATGGGCTCTTACGTAAAATAAAATTAAATAAAAATGTTAGTTTAGGAAAAAGTGATATTGTTATGGCATTATGTTTTCCATCCAAGAACATGGCATCTGCTCTTTTTCAAAATGTATTTTTTTGCTCTTCAATATGATTTTCTTATTTATTCTATATAAATCCTACACATTTCTCACAAATTTAATTCCAAAGTGCTTTTTTTTGGTCACTGATGTTAAACAGAATGTTTTCCATTTCCATCAATGTCCAGTTGGTTCTTATCAGTATAGAGAAAAACTATTGACTGTTGTATGTTTATCTTGCATCCAGCCACATAGCCATATTACTTTATTAAAACTAATAATTTTTATTCATGTTCTTAGGGATTTAAGGTATACAATCATAAAATAATTTTGCCTGTTATTTTATATAGAGTTTGTCCTTTCTACAATATCACTTATGTTAGAACCTAAAATAGTGTTAATGTAACACCCCTGTGCTTTCCTAGTTTTAATTGGTATGACACTTAGATTAAGAATGTTTATTTCAGCATGATTAGTATTAGATTAAAAATAATAATTAAAAAATATTCATCCCTGAGGGAATTTTAAAATGAAATTGGCTTTATAATATCAAGTAGGCATTAATAAAGATGAGTATATAAATAGATACGGAAAAATTTGTACTTCATTTTTAGGTGGCAAAAGGCATTTTCTATTTCCTTCTTTTCCAGAATACTTGATTTTTGCTAAAAATCACATTATGAAGTTACATGTAATGACATGTTTAATCACCCAAAAGTAAAATTAACAGTAAAATTATGATTTATCTCCTCTTCTTCTTTCTTTTTTTTTTTTTTTTTTTTTGAGACTGTCACCCAGGCTGGAGTGCAGTGGCGTGATCTCGGCTCACTGCAAGCTCCGCCTCCTAGGTTCACGCCATTCTCTTGCCTCAGCCTCGGGAGTAGCTGGGACTACAGGCGCCCGCCACCATGCCCAGTTAATTTTTTGTAGTTTTTTAGTAGAGACGGGGTTTCACCTTGTTAGCCAGGATGGTCTCGATCTCCTGACCTCGTGATCCCCCTGCCTCGGCCTCCCAAAGTGCTGGGACTCTTCTTCTTTTTTCTTAACATTTTTAACATGAAATTTACTTTATATATAAGTACATAAAATAGTAATCTTTAATGAAAAGTATGATTTCTTACCAGGAAAGGGAATACTCAATGGTTTCACATTTTATTGCAAAAATTTGAAAAGAAACGCTAATAAAAGTTTTTTGATCAACTCACCCACAGTTGATGATAATTCATCTGAAAAACACAATTTTGAACAAATATTTATGTCACTTTAAAATAAAAGAGATGAAAGGATTTCACCAATTTCTATTCTAGTAAGAATAATACTATTTTGAAAGTTAGACATCAAAGTTCAATAGAGCTTATTTTTAGTAGTGTGATTGTGGGTGATTTCTTACTTTCCTTTTGCTTTAATTGTATTTTTCAAATATTATTAAAGGATAGGAATGATTAAAATTATTTTTAAAACAAAAAATTCAGCAGGCAAAGGAAATGATTTACTTTTCTCACATTTTTCTATAAAATAAACCACTTCATCATAGGTTTCTGATATGAACACTATAGGTTTTTATTTCTGTCACCACTTCTCACTGAATACCTGAATTCTACTATTAGAGATTCATGTCTTTGGAGTTGCCACTTTCAAAATGGAAACCTCTTCCTCTAGGAGGGAAAAATAAGAATGATACCTCTGAGGTATGTAGGAAATGCAAATAAATGCTCTGAACGTCTTCTCTATCCTGGGCACTATATTTTATTTAACTTATCAGAACAATTTTGTGAGGCAGGCATTGTTTCCATCATCTTAGAGATAAAGTTCAGAAATGTTAGGTTCCATTAAATTAAAAAAGTTAAGCATATGGCAATTCAATTTGAATCCCCCCGGAGGGGTTGGTTCAGTAGGAAGTAACGGCCCAAACCCTGGCACAGGCTCAACCACTTACCAACCATCTGCCCTCAGTTTACTCTGCTGTAAAATGGAGAGAGAACATTAGGATGTCAAGTCCTCCCCAGTTTGAATATCCTAATATTCTTGGAATGAAGGAAACTGCCTGATAGCTTTACTTTTTTTTTTTCTTAAAGCAGCATTTTTCAACCATTGTTCCTTCATGAGCCATTCAACCTGTAATATTTACCTCCCCCTCCTTAGAACTTGAATTTTTTGTTTTGTTACTTTGCATGGTTCCTGATGAAGTGATTTTAGGCAAAGGCTATTTGATTTAAAACCAGCATGTTTTAGTTAAATATTACATAACTGTTACAAAGTTCATTTAATTGAGGCTTTAAGAACAGTCATAACTTTAGGATGAAATACAACATAGAATGAATTGTAGAATAAATATAGAGTGAAAAATTTGATTTTTTCCCAAATAGCCCGTAATAGATGATGCTTAATAACCATTAAGATGATGTCAGATAGAAAAGCACAATTTACCAACAAGTAAATTTACAAATGTCATGTTTGGTTAAGAGAACATCCACGTATTATAATGTAATTAGCAGATATCTCTCATATTAAAGCATTATAACTCGACATATTCTGTGTTCATAACTAGTTCATCAAATTTGTGGATTACACTTGAAAGAGCAATGACTTAATTTTTTATTTTTTGAAAAGATTTTTGCAAAAGCAATGATTTTAATTCTGAATTTGTTGTGTATATTTCATTTATTACTGACGATTTTGCTATTTGCTCGTGTTTATTCATTCCACAAGTTTGTTTTTCAGCTAAATTGTCCTGGCTGCCATTGTGGCTTGAAATTAAAACGTTTTTCCTTAGGCACATCTTATTTAAGAAATAGTCATAATGGACCAGCACAATGGTTCACAAGCTTTGTTGCATATTAGAATCACCAGCTGAGTTTTTAAAAACCCAGATCCCTTCCACTTCTGGGTATATATACAAAATAATTGAAAGCAGAGACTCAAACAAATATTTGTAAACCCATGTTCATGGTAGCATTATTCATAATAGCCAAAAGGTGGAAAGAACCCACATGTCCGTGAGCAAATGAGTAAATAAAGAAAATATGGTAGACACATACAATGGAGTATTATTCAGCATTAAAAAGGAACAAAATTTGAATAGATGCCACCACATGGATGCACTTTGAAAATACTAGGTTAAGTAAAATAAGCCAGACACAAAAAGACAAATATTATATGATTCTACTTATATGAGGTAACTAGAATAGTCAAATACATAGAGACAAAAAGCAGAATGGTGGTTGTTAGGAGCTGGAGGGAGGGAGGAATGGGGAGTTATTATTTAATGGGTGCAGAGTTTCAGTTTGGGACAATGAAAAGGCTCTGGAGATAGATTGCACAATTTGAATGCATTGAATGCCACTGAACTGTGCACTGGTTCCAGTATATAGGGAAGATCTCACGATGAAGGGATCTGCATTTATTCAGCCAGTCCATCAACCCACTCATGTAGACAACAAATATGGATTGAATGCCTACTATGTGCCCAGCCTAGTGCTAGGTTCTGGGCTACCCAAAAAGGGAGTGGCTGAAATGGTAGACTCTGGACTACAGAAACCATGAGATTCAGGTGGGAATCCAAGATCAATGGACTCATCAGGAGTTAAGCTTGTCTTTCTCTGAAATATGGGGATTATAATTGTTTCTACTTCCTGGATTTGTTGGGTTCATTCAGTATGCATTCCATAGTGAAACTATTAGGAAATGGATTTTGGTTTTGAGGATCATGATAGGCCTGATTTCATGAATGGGGAGATACAGACGAGTGATTCCAACATAGCCTGTCTGCTAAGCACTATGATCTTAGAACAGGTATCACCAGGTAAGCATCAGAATGCAACATCCCCATATCATAAACACAGTGCACCATCCTCGGTGCTATAAAATTATGAGTCCCCACTCAAACGTCCCACTCTGATTAACACCAGAAATTCTGCCATCCACCTGGTGGATCATTTGTTGTGAATGTTGGGATGTTATGTTTCAAAAAATACCTTGCAAGTACAATGCAACTGCAAAGCAAGTGGACTACAAAATGAAGCCGGTCACTTTGTGAAAGATGCAAGAATGTATGAATTTAATGACAGTGATACAACAAAGTTAAAAAGAGCACATATTGTAACTCCATAAGGGCTTTGAAGAGAAATTTTTTTTTTTTTGACACGGAGTCTCACTCTGTCACCCAGGCTGGAGTGTAGTGGCACGATCTCGGCTCACTGCAACCTCTGCCTCCTGGGTTCCAGGGAGTCTTCTGCCTCTGCCTCCCAAGTAGCTGGGACTACAGGTGTGCACCACCACCTGTATTTTTACTTGGCTAATTCTTGTATTTTTAGTAGAGACAGGGTTTTGCCATGTTGGTCAGGCTGGTCCCAAACTCCTGACCTCAGGTGATCCACCCACCTCGGCCTCCCAAAGTGCTGGGATTACAGGTGTAAGCCACCATGCCTGGCTTGAAGAAAAAAAAAAAAATATATATATATATATAATATAAATATATATAATATGTATATTATACATAAAATATAAATATATATATTATATATTTTTAAATTCAAAGGATTAAGAAGGGCCCCTAAAAATTAATATAGTCCTAGAATTAGTCTTAGAATACTTATACAAAACTGGCTTTCTTTATGACCCTTTGAGGAAAGTGTAGAATGGAAGAAGACAAAGCTATGCACTGGAAAATCGTAACAATTTTGTCAGGAAAGTCCTGCATCCCAATTCTTTTCATTCTCAAGAATTCACCTTTGGTCATAATTCAAGCTAAATTCTGTTATAATATATAAGGTTTTAAAAATACCCTTATTTGAAATAAAAATGAGTCTCATTTTTTCAGTTAAACCCAAATCGAAATTGTTTTATGCAGCCATAACAAAGAACAAAATCATGTCCTTTTTAGCAACATGGATGCAGCTGGAGGCCATTAGCCTAAGCAAATTAGTGCAGAAACAGAAAACCAAATACCACATGTTCTCACTTATAAGTGGGAACTAAACATTGGGTGCACAGGGACACAAAGATGGGAACAATAGGCACTGGGGATTACAAAAGTGGGGAGGTAAGGAGGGGACCCAGGCTTGGAAACCAACTATTGATGGCCGGGTGCAGTGGCTCATGCCTGTAATCCCAGCACTTTGGGAAGCTGAGGTGGACTGATCATGAGGTCAGGAGTTCAAGACCAGCCTGGCCAACATGATGAAATCCCGTCTCTACTAAAAATTAGCCGGACATGGTGGTGGGCGCCTGTAATCCCAGCTACTCAGGAGGCTGAGGCAGGAGAATCGCTTGAACCTGGGAGGCAGAGGTTGCAGTGAGCCAAGATCGCACCACTGCACTCCAGTCTGGGCAATACAAGACTCTGTCTGAAAAAAAAAAAAAAAGAAAGAAAAAGAAAAAGAAAACTGCCTACTGGGCACTATGTTCATTATTTGGGTAATGGCTTCAATTGAATCCCAAACCTCACCATTTATGCAACATACTCATGTAACAAATCTGCACATGTACCTCCTGCATCTAAAATAAAATTTTTTAAAAGAAAAATCTTTTGAAAGAAGCCAGAGGGGGAAAAATACCTTACCTACAGAGAAGCAAAGATAAGAATTATGTCCAACTTCTTTCCAGAAACCATGAAGATAAGAATGAAGCATTTACAGTGTTGAGAGAAAAAAAAGTCTTCAATCTAGAATTCTGTACCCTGCAAAATTATTCTTCAGAAGTGAAGGAGAAAGAAAGACAAAGATTCTCAGACAAACAAACATTGAGGGAATTTGCTACCAGAAAACCTGCCTTGAAAGAAATGTTAAAAGTTCTTCAGAGATATAAAGAGAGGAAGCACATTAGAAAAAGAGTAAGTAGGCCCGGCATGGTGGCTCACACCTGTAATCCCAGCACTATGGGAGGCCGAGGCGGGCAGATCACCTGAGGTCAGGAGTTCGAGACCAGCCTGGCCAACATGGTGAAACCCTGTCTCTACTAAAAATACAAAAATTAGCTGGGCATGGTGGTGTGCGCCTATAATCCCAGCTACTGAGGCAGCTGAGGCAGGAGAATCACTTGAACCTGGGACGTGGAGGTTGCAGTGAGCTGAGATCACACCACTACACTCCAGCCTGAGTGACAGGGCAAGACTTTGTCTAGAAAAAAAAAAAAGGAAAAGAATAAGTGAATGTAAATAAAATGAAAGCATGTGAAATGTGTTCAGGAGCTTATGAAGTCCCCTGAACCCGATCACTTTTCCAGAGGATGAGCAGTGAATTTCAGCATCGTCAACAGCATATATTGGCATTCTTGCAGTTGCCCGCAGGAGGATATAGTTTATCAGACTTTATTCTTCCAAGCTACGGAGCCCCAGAGGAGGGAGGAGTCTGGGGAAGCTGGTCGAACAGACTAGGGAAAAAAAGCTGCAGTGGCCTCCCTATCGTGGGGAATTGCTGTAGCCTGCTACATGGTAGTCCTACGATCCTAACTTGGCCAAGATTCTTGTTTGGGTTCAAGAGCTGGGTCAGGAGTCTTCCCAAAGTGCTGCACTTGCTGTTCCATTCTATGTTCAATGGAATACAGCACAAGATAGAAGACAAAACTTACGAATCTAGAGAATGTCAGAAGGCCTGGAAGAGCACTGGTGAAGAGCAATAACAATGAATGGGGAGGAGTTGGGGTCCTTGGGTACCAAACCATGGGAGGCTCATCCCCCAGACAGGAGAGCCGCGTGGCCTCTGTGATTGCTTCTTCCTTGGTTTTGTGCTGTAGAATTTTACTGGTCAGGCATGGTGATTTACGCTTGTAATCCCAGCACTTTTGGAGGCTGAGCCAGGAGGACTGCTTGAACCCAGGAGTTCGAGACCAGCCTGGGCAACATAGCAAGACCCCATCTCTGCAATAAATAAAGACACAAAAATTAGCTGGGCATGGTGGCGTGCACCTGTAGTCCCAGCTACTTGGGAGGCTGAGGCAAGAGGATCACTTGAGCCTGGGAGGTCAAGACTGCAGTGAGCCGTGATTGTGCCACTGCACTCCAGCCTGGGTGACAGAATGAGACCCTATCTAAAAATAAAATAAAATAAAATAAAAATAAAAAAAATCTAGACAAAGTACCATAGACTGTTTGGTCTAGAGCAATAGACATTTATTGTCTCACAGATCTGGAGGCCAGAAGGCCAAAATGCCAGGGTTGGTTCCTTCTTAGGAGCTCAGAGGCAGAAACTATTCCATGCCTCTCTCCTTGCTTTTGGTGGCTGCTGGCAAGCTGTGGCATTCTGTGACTTGTGGCAGCATCACTTTAATCTTTTCTTGTGACTATGCGTGCTTGTCTTCCCTGTGTGTGTCTGTTTCCTCTTCTTATAAAGATACCAGTCATTGGATTAGGGCCAACCCGTATCCATTGTGACTACATCTTAATTACCGACATCTGCAAGGACCTATTTCAAATACAGTCATATTCACAGATCTCTGGTAAACATGAATTCTGGAAGGACACTATGCAATGCAACCCCAGACAGTGAGGATGAAGACGAAGAATTTGAGTGTCACTAGACAATCCAGTTTGTGGAGGCTAAAACACCTCTGTCTTGGGTGCTAATTCGCCGTGTTGGTTTCTGATTAACCCCGTCCTCGGAATGTCCCTACAATTTCTATTTTATCTACTGTTCTTTGTGTAAGAACACGTACTACATGTACTTAGTACTTACTTTTTTTTTTTTTTTTTGGAGACAGAATCTCACTCTGTCACCCAGGTTGGAGTACAGTGGCGCTGTCATAGCTCACTGCAGGCTTGACTTCCCAGGCTCAAGTGATTCTCTTGCCTCAGCCTCCCAAGTAGCTGGAACTACAGGCACACACTACCATAGCTGGCTAATTTTCAAAAGTTGCTGTAGAGACTAGGTCCCACTATGTTTCCCAGGCTGGTCTCGAATTCCTGGGCTCAAGCAATCCTCCCACCTTGAACTATGCATGGCCAGAGCTTGTCTTTACTATTGATCCTGCCCTTAGGTCAAAACAACCTTGATCAAAGAACCTTTAGGCAGGGCTGGGTGTGGTGGCTCACAGCACTTTGGAAGGCGGAGGTGGGCAGATCGCTTGAGCTCAGGAGTTTGAGACCTGCCTGGGCAACTTGGCGAAATCTTATCTCTACCAAAATTACAAAAAAATTAGCTGGGCATGGTGGTGTGCTCCTGTGGTTCCCGTACTGGGAGGCTGAGTTGGAGGATTAATTACTTCAGTCCCGGGAGGCGGAGGTTGCAGTGTGCTGAGATCACACCACTGCACTCCAGCCTGGGTGACAGAGTGAGCCCTTGTCTCAAAAACAAATAAAATAAAATAAAAATAAAAATTACAAAATCAGAAAAATTTTAAAAATTAAAAAAAGAGAAAATCCTGCCGTTTTCAGTAACATGGATGAACCTGGAGGACATTATGCTAAGTGAACCAAACCATTCACAGAAGGACAAATATTGCACGATTCCACTTGTATGAGAAGTTTAAAGTAGTTAAACTCACTCTGTGAGTATCGACTACTAAATCCAAACCCTTATCCTGCCTCTTTAATACTGTAATAGTACTTTTGGTACTATAATAGTAGTAATAATGACTTAATGATAACAGTTCTGTTCTGAGCGTCACGCATGCTAACCCATTTAATCTTCCAGCAACCCTGGGAGTCAGCAAGAATCACGATCCTCCTGTTTCAGATGTGGGAACTCACAGACATCCAGGACTCAAAGTCTTGCTTGAGGCCACAGGCTAAGCTTGGTTGGAACCCGGAGATGCTGGAGGGAAAACTGGTCTCCTGAGCTTGCCAGGAGCAGAGTTGAGTGGGACAGAGGAGGCGAGAGGAGCCTTCAGTTCTTGGTGAGTGGGGGTGCATGAGAGCTCTTAGCCATGGTTCCTCCTCATCCTCTTTAAATAATAATGGCTCTTGCAATGCAAGATTCACATTTTAGCACAAACGTTTGTTGACATCAAACGATCGGTTGGTGGGCAGTCCTACCGCACCAAAGCCTGAACTGGCAAAAGTGAAAACCCCAGAGTTCTGGGTGCACGAAGCATGTCCGGGTCTACACACCTGGACAGTTCTCCCCGCAAGGGACCCCACTCCCATGTAATCCCTTAGGCAACCCATCAAGTTGGAATAGTAATTACATGTTGGACATGGCAAATTCCTAGCCCTGGAACAAGATCACTCAATCAAGTCCTTTGTGAAGTCTTGCCAATTCAATTATTTTTTCTTTTTCAGGCTAGGCGTATAGCTGATTTAGCATGTGCCATACACATGGTCTGTTTCCTCTTCTGTCTTCCCACTAGATCGTGCACTAGTGGGAAGAGGTGGGGGTGCATATCACATGCTCATGAGTGGAGATGCTCATGCTATTTAGTCTCTGCATCTGTGCATCCAGCAAACCTATCAAGTCACCGTTTTATTATTATTATTATTATTATTATTATTATTATTATTATTATTATTATTTTGAGATGGAGTCTTGCTCTTGTTGCCCAGGCTGGAGTGCAATGGCATGATCTCAGGTCACTGCAACCTCCGCCTCTTGGGTTCAAGTGATTCTCCTGCCTCAGCCTCCTGAGTAGCTGGGATTATAGGCACCTGCCACCATGCCCGGCTAATTGTTGTATTTTTAGTAGAGACGGGGTTTCACCATGTTGGCCAGGCTGGTCTTGAACTCCTGACCTTGTGATCCGCCCGCCTCGGCCTCCCAAAGTGCTGGGATTACAGGTGTGAGCCACCGCACCCAGTCTGTCACTGCTTCTAAAACACCAAAATGTAGTGCTCCTCTGATGAGGATGAGGAGGAACCATAGCTGAGAGCTCTCATACATCCCCACTCATCAAGAACTGGGACTCCCTTCACCTCCTCTGTCCCACTTGACTGCTCCTGGCAAGCTCAGGAGTCCAGATTTCCCTCCAGCATCTCTGGGTTCCAACGAAGCTTAGCCTATGGCCTCCAGCAAGACTTTGAGCCCTAGATGTCTATGAGTTCCCACCTTCCGCTTATTTGTGACGACATCTTATTATCTGCAAGCCGGATTGCTGTGGGGACCCAGCTGTTATTGTCTGTATTGAATTCGACCAGCATCAAAAACTTGCAGTTTGCTACTCAGTAGCTCAAAAGAAACTCTTAAGAGACAATAGGCTGTGTGCGGTGGCTCCTGCCTATAATCCCAGCACTTTGGGAGGCTGAGGTGGGTGAATCACCGAAGATCAGGAGTTCGAGACCAGCCTGGCCAACATGGTGGAACCTGGTCTCTACTAAAAATACAAAAATTAGCTGGGCATGGTGGCACGTGCCTTTAGTCCCAGCTACTCGGGAGGCTGAGGCAGGAGAATTGCTCGAATCTGGGAGGCTGAGGTTGCGGTGAGCCGAGATCATGCCACAGCACTCCAGTCTGGGTGACAGAGCAAGACTCCATCTCAAAAAAAAAAAAAAAAAAAAAAAGAGACAATAAGTCCAGGAGGCAGATGCTTGCAAGGGAGAGAGAGGGAGATAGTGAATAGGCAACAGTTCTGCAGATCAAAAGTAGACTAGCACCACATCATTTAAAATACAGGCTAACGAGCCCGGGGCCCATGAGTTTTTATTCTCTGATGCATTATTAAAAGAAATGCTTCATCAGTAAGGCTCTGAATAGCACAAGTATTATGTGGAAAAATATGACATCCATAAATTAGGAGACCAGACATTGACAGCGGAGAAGCTTTAGGATCGTCTTAATTTGCCTTTTTCCACTTATCTATATTCCTTTTTATGTATCTACAAACATGATGTCTGATTTAAAAAAAAAACCTGTGGCCAAGTACAGTGTTATTTTTCAGTAAGTATAAAATAATTCTAGTGGATAAGAAAGCAGTGGTCATAGTTACATTGGGAGTATATTTTCTTTTCTGTTCTTTAAAAAAAAATAGCAAGCAGTGTTATTTTTTTTTAATGCAAAGATGTCCTGAAGAATACTTAAAAGAAATATCTGCAAGATCATTCTTCTTGGTCATTCCATAAAAAATTGTTTTTGAAACTATGCTTAGTCCTCATCAAACGTTGTCAGATGCATCCATAGTGAATTCCCTTCTTATTTTTCTATTTCGCTTCATAATTGTTACAGGCAACACGACTTTGGAAAAGGAATAAAATCGACTTTATGAAAATTAGTCTCATTTTCAAAACCTCTGCAGGAGGCATTTAAAATCTCCTAGCATGAAGGGAGGAGACACATGGTTTTCAAGTAACATGTCACTAGGATTTTCCAATTTACATTCTTAGTCTTTCATTATTTTATTAGCCGAACTTTCTTATTTTTTAAAAAATCTTTACCTATGGATTGTGTTTCTGACATGGAAGGGAGAGTATCTTTTTCTTTCTTAAGGTACCTAAAGCAAGGGAGACTGTTGCCCTCCATGGCGACTGGGATTTGATTACATACAGCAGCCGATGTGCAGGACTCCGTCCCAGCCAGGGTCACCTGTCTCCTCACCTTCTTCCAGAACGTTAAATACAGCGCCGACCACACCACCGACCACACCGCGAATCAGGCAGACCCAAACCAGCAGGAGCCCCATGTGCCGGGCCATGCTCCTGTCAGACACTCGTGGTCGACCAGCTGATGTCCAAGATTTTATAGCCCCTGGAACTAACCACAACCACTTCCCCTCCCTGTCCCTCCTCTCTTTCCCTCCTCCCCACTTCTTCCTTGTCCCTCTCCTTTTTCACCTTCTCCTCCTCCTCATTCTTTTTCTCCCTTCTCCTTCTCCTCTCCTCCTCCTCCTTCCTTTCCTCCTCCTTCTTCTTCTCTTCCTTCTCCTCCTCCTCCCCCTCCTTTTCCTCCCCTCCTCCTTTTCTTCTTTCTTCCCCTCCTCCCGGTCATCCTCCTCCTCCCTCTCTTTCCCCTCTGTCTCCCCCTCCTCCTCCTCCCCCTCTTCCTCCTCTTCCCTCCTCCTCCTCCTTCCCCTCCTCCTCCGTCTGCTCCTCCTCCCCCTCCTCCTCTTCCTTCTCTTTCTCCCCTCCTCCTCTCCTCCTCCTTCTTCCTACTCTCCCTCATTCCCCTCCTTCTCTCCCTCCTCCTCTTCCTTCTTCACCTCCTCCCCCCTTCTCCCCCCTTTCCCTCTTTCTCCCCTCCTCCTCCTTCCTCTCTTCCTCCTCTTCCCTCTTCCACCTCCTTCCCTGCCTCTTCTCCTTCCTCCTCCTTCCCCTCTTCCCCTTCCTCCTCTTCTTTCATCTTTCATCCCCACCTTCTCCCTCCTTCCTTGCTCTCACTCTGCTCCAAAGTTAAGCTATCTACCTTGCATAGGAAGAAATATAGAAAAAGAAATACTTAAAATAACAGGGAAGATGCAAGCTGAGGAATTTCGCGTCGTTTCCACGAAGAGAAGCATCAGGGAGCCCATGGGCAGTCACAGGCTTCCCGGTATCTCAGATCTTCCTGGTCTTTGTCAGCCAGGGCTCAAGAATCCCCTGGAGAGGCCCAGGGAGGCTTCTTGGAAAAGCAGGTTTGCTTCCCTAATATAAGCACCTTTGTTGATGCTCCACAAACCTTCAGTGTGGGCCACTGTTCTCTGGAGGCCCTTGGTGATTAACCTAATGGGCTGCAGATGGCTTTGAAGTTCTGAGGAACAAGTGGTGCAGCCTTATGGACACCTACATTTCCAACTATGAAATAAATAAATAAATAAATAAAAGTATTTAAAAAAGAAAAATCAGATTAATCCTGAATTCTGAAACCCAACGTGTTCTTAGTTACTGTTCCTTTTTTTTTTGAGACAGAATTTTGCTCTTGTTGCCTAGGCTGTAGTGCAATGGTGCAATCTTGGCTCACTGCAACCTCCGACTCATAGGTTCGAGCGATTCTCCTGCCTCACCCTCCCGAGTAAATGGGATTACAGAAGCCTGCCACTACATCTGGCTAATTTTTGTATTTTTAGTAGAGACAGAGTTTCACCATGTTGGTCAGGCTGATCTCAAACAAGGTGATCCACCTGCCTTGGCCTCCCAAAGTGCTGGGATTACAGGCGTGAGCCACCACGCCTGGCCCTTAGTTACTATTCTTAGAAGAGGGGCTGGGCACAGCGGCTCACGTCTGCAATCCCAGTGCTTTGGGAGGTTAAGGTAGGGGGATCGTTTGCAACCAGGAGTTTGAGACCAGCCTGGGAAACATAATGAGACCCCCCATCTCTACAAAAAAAAAATTGACGAATTAGCCGAGCATGGTGGCATGTGCCTGTTGTCCCAGCACTTTGGGAGGTTGAGGTAGGAGGATCGTTTGCAACCAGGAGTTTGAGACCAGCCTGGGAAACATAATGAGACCCCCCATCTCTACAAAAAAAAAATTGACGAATTAGCCGAGCATGGTGGCATGTGCCTGTTGTCCCAGCACTTTGGGAGGTTGAGGTAGGAGGATCGTTTGAGCCCAGGAGTTTGAGGCTGCCAGGAGCTATCATCGCACCACTGCACTCTAGCCTGGGCAACAGAGTGAGACCCTGTCTCAGAAAAAAATTGTGGAAAACGGGCTATCTTTTCATCTCCATTTTTTTTTCTCAGTAAGATGGAATCTCCTTTGGAAAAAAGTGTCAAAAGAAAGCCCTCCCCCCAACTAAACTGTCAAAAATGTCAGCAACTATCAAATTAGAAACTCTTATGAAATAAAAGCCTATCCAAGACTTTAAAAATACCTTTGAGGAATCCTAGTTTTTGGAAATGACTGTTGCCTTCACTTATTTCTAACATTTCTTTTTTCTTTTCTTTTTTTTTCTTTCTTTTCTTTTTTTTTTTTTTTTACATGGAGTCTCACTCTGTTTCCCAGGCTGGAGTGCGGTAGCGTGATCTTGGCTCACTGAAACCTCCACCTCCTGAGTTCAAGCGATTCTCCTGCCTCAGCCTCCCAAGCAGCTGGGACCAGAGGCGTGTGCCAGCAGACCCAGCTAATTTTTGTATTTTTACAAAAATACAAAAATTTTATTTTTGGGGTGTGCTGGGGTGTGCCAGCAGACCCCAGCAGAGATGGGGTTTCACCATGTTGGCCAGGCTGGTCTTGAATTCCTGACCTCAGGTGATCCACCGGCCTCGGCCTCCCAAAGTGCTGGGATTACAGGCATGAGCCACTGTGCCTGGCACCTCTTTCCTTCTTGTTTGAACATCTTTTACAGATCTTGATTATATTCTACAACATAATGGGTGGTCTCTGGCACACTGCCTTTTTGCTATTATTATTGATACTTTATGAAGACCAAGTGTGCTAAGACATTGTACATTTGCGGAGCCACCCATTCTCCCCTTTAACATCTTTGTTTCATGTCACTCTTCACTGCATTGCATGTCATCAGTTTCCCATTCTGCAAGTATTTCTTCAATCAGTTTCCCTTTATTATTAGCCATACGAGATCCAAAAATCCCTTAGCAGGTTAATGTGGACTGGGTGCAGTGGCTCATGCCTGTAATCCCAGCACTTTAGGAGGCCAAGGTGGGTAGATCACCTGAGGCCAGGAATTTGACACTAGCCTGGCCAACCTGGTGAAACCCTGTCTCTCCTAAAAAATACAAAAATTAGCTGGGTGTGGTGGCATGTGTCTGTGGTCCCAGCTACTTGGGAGGCTGAGGCAGGAGAAAGGCTTGAACCCGGGAGGTGGAGGTTGTGGTAAGCCAAGATCATACCATTGCACTCCAGCCTGGGCAACAGAGCAAAATTCTATCTAAAAAAAAAAAGAAAGAAAGAAAAGAAAAGAAAATAGTAGGGCTTTTTCATTGTTCAGCTGAAACCTCTCCAGCTCCTCATAGCTGAATTTCTGGGAACGTTCCCTCCTCTGTTCATTGATATTCTTGTCCCTGACCCCAGCCCCCGCAAGGCCCCTTCTGTGTACACTTGACTGAATTTTATGGGCCTCGTGGATATGCATGGGCTTATCTCCAGACATCATAAATTAACCACAGCTGATCTCATCCAGACTGCCTTCTGACAGTAACCACTGATGAAGAACCCTCCTTTGAGAAGCTGCCTTTGTGTCCTACAGACAGGCTGGGGCCAAAGCCATTCAACCAATCCCCAGATAATCCAGAGCTCTTGGGAGCAGAACCTTAAAGAGAGATCGTGGAGAGAGCCAGGGCCCAGAAGAACTCTCTCAAAGGTACATTTTGACCCGGAAACTTGGGAGGGTGTGACAAGTGGGGTCTTAGGGCCCCCATAGCAAAGAAGGAAGGTCTAGAGCATCATGGTGCACTAGAAATATAATACGAGCCACATAAATCATTGTAAGTTTTATAGCAGAAGCACTTTAAAAAACTAAGAAGAGTGCAATTTATTTTAATAACATGTTCTGTGGAATCCATGTATATCTAAACGATTATCATTTCAACACATAATGAATACAAATAATTATTAATGAGATACTTTACATTTTTTCCCTATACTTTGTCTTCAGAATCAATAGGTATCTTACACTTACAACATAGAACAATTTGAACTTTCCCATTTCAAGTGCTCAAGAACCAGAAGTAGCTGGTGGCTGCCATATTGGTTCTGGAAGGGGACAGCCAGAGAAAGTAGGGAAGGTGGTCTTGTGGGTGAGGTCCTTTCTCTGTTAATAAACTCAAAGAAATGGGTTAAACCAGATTCTATGAATGATGTAATGCTAAGGAAGGTTGCCTGAATCCCAAGCTTAGGGAAGAAACTGAAGAAAAGGGAACAAGTTACCTGTTAAGAGACTGGGTGAATTACTTATTAAATTCTTGGTAGTGGATTAAAATCTTCATGGTTCTGTCAATGTTTGGACCATTTCTCCAAGGTAAGGCTTACTCTCCCTATTTTAGGAAAAAGAAAGTTGAGATTCAAAAAGAGCTTACTGAGATCCTGTTGCTTCTCCCTCCAAAGGCAGCCTAAATATGTAATAGAAGAGGTGTGTGTGTGCGCCTAGAGGTGGAGGGAAGGCTTACACTGAAGTTTTGTTTCAGATCTGGGGTCATTTGCTGCTGAGAAGCAGAAGGACTCATTATTTTGAAGGTACACTATACTTCAGTGACTTTACAGCCCCATGTGTGCCTGTAATTATTCACAATGGCTTCTATAGTTTAGGTTTTATCTCCACTAAACAGATAGGAATACTGACTTGGAGTTCAGAGAGGTGAAATGACCTTCCCAAGGCCACCCAGTTGAAACATGGGAGAGGTAGGATTTGAACCCTGGTTGGTTGGGTGCTATTATCTTCTCACCGCTCCACTGTGAAATTATTTTGGCTTAAGAGAACGAGAGGGCAGAGGCTGTGGGCTAAGCTGCCTCTTGGGCACCCTATCAGGGCCTTAATACTACCAGTTGTATCTGCCATTATTTTCCATGTTGGGTGGTAGATATTGGTGCCAATGTCTTATCTATAGCTGTTTGAAGACAGCTATCATATCTGGTTCCTCTTGGTACCCACCACATTTCCTTATAGATGATAGGGTTCTTGAATACTCATTGGATGGGTGGTGGATTGAAGGAAGATTAAAGAATGAAAGGAAGGATGGGTGGATAGAAGAATGGATGAACAGTGAAAGAATGGATGGATGGAAGGATGGATGAGAAGTGGATGAATAAACTGAAGGATGGATGAAACGATTTATCTCTGATTGTTGAAGGCAGAAATCATGTATGGTTCCTCTTGGTACTTGACACAGTTTCTTATGGATGGTGGGTTTCTTAAATACTTATTTGATGAATGATTGATGGATGGATGATAAGAGGATGGATTCAATGAATAATGGATGAATAGAAGGATAAATGAATGGACAGATGAGTGGATAGATAGATGGCTGGTGAAAGATGGGCAAAAGGATGGGAGAATTGATAGACAGATGGAAGAATGGGTGGAAGGATGAATGGGTGGATGAATTGATGGATGGATGTATGGATGATGGAAGAAGATAGATGAAAAGATGGATAGATGGAGGAATGGATGTAAGAATGGGTGGAAGGATACATGGGTGGATGGGTGGATGGATGGATGATGAAAGAAGAGTTGGTAAAGGGATGGTTGATGGATGGATGGATGAGGGAATATTAACAATGAAGAGTATCATTAAGCAGAGAAAAAATTTCTCAGAAGGTAATATTTTCAGGAAAGTTTGAAAGCCAATAAATAACAAAAGTAAAAGAAGAGAATTAGAACATTCTCAAAATGTTTGCTTAATTAATTAATTACTGCCGGTCTAGCATGGTGAATGAATGTTATCATCATCATCATCGTCATCATTAATGGCCAACATTTATTGTGAGTTATCTCTATAGCACGCATTGTCTTAAGCATTTTGTATCTTTCATCTAATTCAATCCTCCCAACAACTCTATGAAGTAGAACTGTTTATTAGCATCCCCATTTTATAGAGGGGTAAGCTGTGAAGTACCTTATTAAATGTCACTCTGCTAGGCACCACTGAAACATCCACACAGGTTTTTAATTACTGGCATGCCAGTGGAATTGGAATGCCAACACCAAGAGGCCCCGGCACAGCGCTTTGCTCTATAGATGTTCAATAAATTTGGTAAGTCAATAACTACCTCATAAAATTAATCCATTCCTAAGACAGCCATCTCATTGTTGCAGATTTTTCATTTTGTGATTTTAAACTGCCTCCTATTGCTTTACTCAGGGTGTTCTATCTTTTTTAAAAACCATTTTAACTCTGCATGTTTTCATGTGAGCATATGTGCATGCATATACCTGTATATGTGCACATATGATGTGTGTATATTACACATGCCTGTATACATATATACACATCTATAATGTATACAGGCATGTGCACGTATATGTATATACACATTATGTATGTGCATATACATGTATAATTACTGTTTCTAAAATGTTTTATTGATACACAACAATTGTATATATTTATTGAGGTACGCGTGATTTTTTTTCTTTTCCTTATTTATTTATTTAATAGACATGGTGTCCCACTCTGTTGTCCAGGCTGGTCTCAAATTCCTGGTCTCAAGTGATCCTCCCACCTCAGCCTCCCAAAGTGCTGGGATTACAGGTGTGAGCCACTGATGTGATATTTTGATACATGCAGACAGTAATGATCAAATCAGGGTATTTAGGATATCCATTACTTTCAACATTTATCATTTCTTTGTGTTGGGAATATTGCAACTCTTCTCTTCTAGGTATATACATAATTAAATTGTTTTTAAAGACATAAGTCACACATCTGTGATAAAAACTTAATTGGAAAGAAGTCTCCTATTTACCCCTGGTTCCCACTTCCAGAGGTGATTGATATCAGTGGCTTCTCACATGCCCGCTCAGGAAAACACTCTGTACATGTATGTGCATGGGGAACACAGATGCAGTGTCTTGCTGAGAACTACAAGGCTCTGACCTAGGTTTGCTAGTGTCACCATCTTTTCGTTCCTCTGCACTTACTCCAAAATTGGTAGTCAGCAGCTTCCAGTAAAATCTCAAGGATGGCCTGGGCGCGGTAGCTCAATCCTGTAATCCCAGCACTTAGGGGGGCTGAGGTGTGTGGATCATGAGGTCTGGAGTTCAAGATCAGCCTGGCCAAGATGGTGAAACCCCGTCTCTACTAAAAATACAAAAATTAGCCGGGTGCAGTGGCAGGCGCCTGTAATACCAGCTACTCGGGAGGCTGAGGCAGGAGAATCGCTTGAACCGGGGGACAGAGGTTGCAGTGAGCTTAGATCGTGCCACTACACTCTAGCCTGAGTGACAGAGTGAGACTCCATCTCAAAAAAAAGAAAAAAAATCAATCAATCAATCAATCAATCTCAGGGATTGGGCTAATGAGCCCGGGCATGCGCATTAAGAGACAAAATGGCAGAGTCCGGGGCGCGGTGGCTCACGCCTGTAATCCCAGCACTTTGGGAGGCCGAGGCGGGCGGATCACGAGGTCAGGAGATCGAGACCATCCTGGCTAACACAGTGAAACCCCGTCTTTACTAAAAATACAAAAAAATCAGCCGAGCGTGGTGGTGGGCGCCTGTAGTCCCAGCTACGCGGGAGGCTGAGGCAGGAGAATGGCGTGGACCCGGGAGGCGGAGCTTGCAGTGAGCCGAGATCGCGCCACTGCATTCCAGCCTGGGTGACAGAGCCAGACTCCGTCTCAAAAAAAAAAAAAAAAAAAATGCAGAGTCCAACCTTTTGGGGGACATTTCACTGGAAAGGGAAGAAAGTCTCAGACGAGCTTGTGTACAAGTCCAGTAAACACACCGCGCATGCTCACTTCCCAAGCCTAAAGGAGGCACTGCGCATGCGGGAGGCCCACCCTAAGGGGAAAAATGAAGGGTCCAGCCATGTGGCCCTCCCTTCTGTGCGTCAGAACATGTCACATTGTTTCCCACATCAGCAGCTTTGCCCTCACTGATCCCTGTGCCTGGAATGCTTGTTCCTCACACTGTGTGTGGCTGACTCTAGGTTTTGGTTCAAACATCACCTGCTCAGAGAGGCCTTCCCTGACCACCAAAGGAGACATCTGTCAGGCATGATTGTTTACATTCCCCTGTTTATTATTTTTTTTCATTGCACTTTTCATATTCTGAAATGATTTTGGTTTTGGTTACTGTGGTAGAATACACATAAGATTATGATTTTAACTATTTTAAAGTGCACAATTTAGTGGCGACAAGCACATTCACAATGTTGCACCATCATCACCATTATCTATTTCCAGGAACTTGTCACCACCCCATACTGAAAGCCTCATTTCTTTTTTTTTTTTTTTTTTTGAGAAAGAGTCTCGCTCTGCCACCCAGGCTGGAATGCAGTGGTGTGATCTCGGCTCACAGCAACCTCCACTTCCTGGCTTCAAACAATTCTGGTGCCTTAGCCTATGGAATAGTTGGGATTACAGGCATGTGTCACCACGCCTGGCTAATTTTTGTATTTTTAGTAGAGATGGGGTTCAACATGTTGGCCAGGCTGGTCTTGAACTCCTGGCCTCAAGTGATCCACCCACCTCGGCCTCCCAAAGTGCTGGGATTACAGGCGTGAGCCACCACCCTGGTCAGAAAACCTCATTTGTATTTTGTCTTTCCCACCCTAGTAAAATATTAGCCTCATGCAAGAAGGAATTTCACCTGTCCAGTCTACCGACAACTCCACATAGTAGGAGGAACACAACAAATATTTATCACATACGTGATTTTTTTTTTTTTTTTAGGAAATGGGGTCTCGCTCTGTCATTCAGGCTGGAGTGCAGTGGTGCAATCATAGCTCACTGCAGCCTCAATATCCTGGGCTCAAGTGATCCTTCCCCCTCAGCCTCCTGAGTAGCTGGGACTACAGGTGTGCACCATCTTGCTCAACTAATTTTTAATATTTTGTAGAGAAGGAGGGGGTCTCACTACGTTGCACAAGCTGGTCTTGAACTCCTGAACACAAGTGATCCTCCCACCTTGGCCTCCCAAAGTGCTGGGATTACAGGCCTGAGCCCGCACGCCCAGCCTATGTTTACCATGATTATTTGTTGAGCACTCAGCATGTGCCAAGAACTCTGCTTACATTGTATCATTTCATTCTTCCCCCACCCCGGCCGCCCCCCAAAAATCCTGCCCCCTCCCCCATCCCCCATAGATGGAGTCTCACTCTGCCCAGGCTGTAATGCAGTGAGCCAAGACTGGCACGATCTTGGCTCAGTGCAACCTCTGCCTCCTGGGTTCAAGCAATTCTCCTGCCTCAGTCTCCTGAGTAGCTGGGATTACAAGTGCGTGCCACCACGCCCAGCTAATTTTTGTATTTTTAGTAGAGACGTGGTTTCACTATGTTGGTCAAGCTGGTCTCTAACTCATGACCTTGTGATTCGCCCTCCTCGGCCTCCCAAAGTGCCGGGATTACATTCATTTCATTATTAAACAGTCCTACGGGATAGATTTCAGTTGTCTCATATATAGAAAAGAAAGCTGAGAGTCAAATACATTCCATAACACTCTGAAGGTCACACGGATGAGCAGAAATTCGTATACAGGCTACCCTTTTCCGAAGCCACAACCACTTACGTATTTCTCCATTGTGGAGATGAGGACTCCGAGCTGTGCGTGTGTCCATGGAGCCACACAGCTGGCTTGAGAGGGAGCCTAAGGTTAGACACCTTTGCTCCGTACCTGTTCCAGGATGGCTGATTCAAATGGGACAGAGATAATGAAAATGATAACGATTAATATTTACAAAGCACGTTTTATGTGGCAGGCAGGGTTTTCAGCCCCCTGTGTGTGCATTAGTTTTCTGCAGTGGCTGTAACAAATCCCCACACACCTAACCGACTTGACACACATTTGTTCTCTTACAGTTCTGTGAGTCAGTCTCACTGGGGCTAAGATCAGGGTACCAGCCAGGCTGCATTCCTTCTGGAGGCTGTAGGGAAGAATCCGCTTCCTGGCTTCTTCCAGCTTCTAAAGGTCGCCTGCATTCTTTGGCTCGTGGCCTCTTCCTGGCATAACTCTAACCTCTGCTTTCTGTTGTCACACCTGGTTTTCTGACTCTCCTGCCTCTCTCTCTGTTTTTTTTTTTTTTGACACAGAGTCTCGCTCTGTTGACAGGCTGGAGTGTGGTGGTGCAATCTTGGCTCACTGCAACCTCTAACTCCCTGGTTCAAGAGATTCTCCTGCCTCAGCCTCCTGAGTAGCTGGGATTACAGCTGAGTAGCTGGGATTACACCACACCCAGCTAATTTTTTTTTTTTTTGTAGTAGAGACGTGGTTTCACCATGTTGGCCAGCATGGTCTCAATCTCCTGACCTCATGATCCTTGTGATCCACCCGCCTCGGCATCCCACCACCTCTCTTTTATAAGGGCCCTTGTGATGACATTGGGTCCATCTGGGGAATCCCGGATCATCTTCCCATCTCAAGATCCTTAGCTTTATGACATCTGCAAAGTCTTCCACACTCCTTTTTTTGAGACAGGGTCTGGCTCTGTCACCCAGGCTGGATCATAGCTCACTGCAGCCTCAAAACCCTGGGTGCAAGTGATCCTCCTGCCTCAGCCTCTTGAGTAGACAGGACTACAGGCATGTGCCACCATGCTAGTTTTCTTTCTTTTTTTTTTTAAGATTGTTTGTAGATAGGGGTCTCACTGTGTTACCTAGGCTGATCTCGACCTCCTGGGCTCAACCAGTCCTCCCACCTCAGCCTCTCGAATAGCTAGGACTGCAGGCATGTGCCACCATGCTGGCTGTTTTTTTTTAATTTTAAGATTTTTTGTAGATACGAGGTCTCACTATGTTGCCCAGGCTGATCTCAAACTCCTGGGCTTGAGTGATCCTCCTGCGTCAGCTTCCTGAAGTGCTGGGATGACAATTATGAGTTACCATGACTGGCCCGCAAAATCCACTGTGCCATGCAACCTAGCATATTCGTGGACTCTAGGAATTAGGACGTGGACAGATTTGTGTTGGGTGGGTATTATTCTACCCACCAAGCGTCTATGAACGACACTAACATTCTGTAGCAGCAACAGTGATCACCATCCCTTCCACTGTGCGGATGAGGACTGAGACCCAGGAAACTCAGTACTTTGTTGGGGTCACAAAGGTAGTAAGAGGCAAAGCATGGAAACCCAGGTGGTTGGGCTCCAGGGCAGGCTCTTTCTGGCATTATAACCTTCTGCCTGTCTGGATCTTAGCATCTAAGCCAAAAATTATTCATTTGAATCTTGAGGAGAAGGGTCAAAATGAAAGCTTGAGGTTAATGAACCAATTAAGGTGTAGGAATTGGGGTTTTGGGCCAGGCAGGAATATAAGCATGACACTGCAGGTAGTCAAGGGTTTAGAGGAGGTGGCAAAATTTGTCTCTCCCCCATCTCCATAAATAGTAATTAAAACATCTCGCTTGGGCCGGGCGCAGTGGCTCATGCCTGTAATCCCAGCACTTTGGGAGGCCCAGGTAAGCAGATCACTTGGGGTCAGGAGTTCAAAACCAACCTGGCCAACACGGTGAAACCGTGTCTCTACTAAAAAGACAAAAAAATAGCTGAGCGTGATGGCTCGTGCCTGTAATCCCAGTGACTCAGGAGGCCGAGGCAAGAGAATTGCTTGAACCGGGGAGGCGGAGGTTGCAGTGAGCTAAGATCGTGCCACTGCACTCCAGCTTGGGGTGCAGAGCAAGACTTCATCTCAAAAACAAACAAAAATTCTGGCTTGTATGCTGTCTTCATAAATAGTAATGAAAATATCTGGCTTGTATGCCCCCTCTGACATTTACACAGTGCTTTCCAGCATCTGCTGCATGTATAAGATCCCAAGGTGGAGTTTATTCTCCCTCATTTGATGATTGGAAAAACTATCCCCATATTTTCCTGTGGTTTGACTCCATAGCCACAGCAACCCTTTTTCCGACCAGCCAAGAAACAGCAGCGGTGGCAGGATGCTGGTCCCAACCACCCCGGGGCTCAGGACAGAGGGTTCTCCAAGCATCTGAACCTGCCAGTGCCCAAAGCATAACTTGGTCCTCACCTGGATGTTCCAGACGAGACATGGGTGTCTGGCTATTAGGGCTTGTTTTACAGTTGAATAATTATTTTGAATGGCCCCTAAAATATTTTCTATGAATATCCATAACTTGGTCTGTGCAGAGTCATAAACCTTCCAGACCATCAGTTGCTACCAATTCTTCGAATTTGCACAGAACTCTTTATTGCACAAAGAAGCAAGCCATGCAAATAGCTGGGGTCAAGGGATCATCCCAGGCAAAGAGAAGAGCGAGTGCAAAGGCCTTGAGGTGGCTTCTGCAGGAAACAACTAAAAGGCAGATCGAGGGAGGGGAAGGAAGATAAGAAATGAGTTTGAGGGAAGGCACAGTATGGACTAGGGATTGTATTCTAAAGGTGATGGAGGATTTTGAATGAATAAATGCCACCCCTGCTCTTTTTTTTTTTTTTTTTGATGGAGTCTTGCTCTGTCACCCAGGCTGGAGTGCAGTGGCACGATCTCGGCTCACTGCAACCTCCGCCTCCTGGGTTCAAGTGATTCTCCTTCCTCAGCCTCCTGAGTAGCTGGGACTACAGGCACCTGCTACCACGCCCAGCTAATTTTTTTTTTTTTTGTATTTTTAGTAGAGATGGAGTTTCACCATGTTGGCCAGGCTGGTCTCGAACACCTGACCTCAGACGATCTGCCCACCTCATCCTCCCAAAGTGCTGGAATTATAGGCATGAGCTACCGTGTCCGGCCCACTCCTCCTCACTTTAACCCCTCCCGTGGCTTCTGGTTGCTTCTATTCTATTCTATTCTATTCTATTCTATTCTATTCTATTCTATTCTATTCTATTCTATTCTATTCTATTCTTTTGAGACAGTCTTCCTCTGTTGCCCAGGCTGGAGTGCAGTGGTATGATCTCGGCTCACAGCAACCTCTGCCTCCTGGGTTCAAGCGATTTTCCTGGCTCAGCCTCCCGAGTAGCTGGAATTACAGGCACGCACCATCATGTGGAGGGAATTTTTGTACTTTTAGTAGAGATGAGGTTTTACCATGTTGACCAGGCTGGTCATGAACTCCTGACCTCAGATGATCTGCCCGCCTCGGCCTCCCAAGGTGCTGGGATTACAGGCATGAGCCACCACACCTGGCCTTCTGGTTGCATTTAGAATCTGAGGGAGGCTCTACAGGGTCCGGTCCCATCCATCTCACCATGCATCTCTGTGGCCTTGCTCCTCCTCACTTGTTGTAGAGACGAGGTGTCACTGTGTGGCCCAGGCTGGTCTCAAACTCCTAAGCTTAAGCCATCCTCCTGCTCAGCCTCCCAAAACACTGGGATTATAGGCATGAGCCACTGTGCCCAGCCTGGGCCTTAGCCATGCGGGTCCCACTTGCTCCTTGAGCACATCTAGCTTTTTCCATCTCAGGCAGTTTCCACGTCGGCTTCTCCTGCCTGGATGTATCCCCCACCCCCATACCTCCAGCTCCTCTCACGTCTCCCTCCTCCATCTGTTCCTCCAGGTGTCAGCTTACCTGTCATTTCTCAGAGCACCCTCCCCTCACCTCTCAATCAAAAGTGACCTTGTCCTAGTTGTTCCTGAGACTCGTCCACAGCAATGATCACAGCGAAGAGTTGTATTTGTTTCTGGTTTCTTCGCTTCATATCTGTCTCCTTGGTTGACTCTCAGCCCCACGAAGGCAGGGCCTATGCCTGCTTTACCCACTGCTGCATACTCATCGTGTAGCCCTGGCCCCACATCTTTTAAATGCTCAATAAATACTCATTCCTGAGTGGATGCATAAAGCATGCATCAGGAAAGGGCCCATACTGGGCACAGTGGCTCTTGCCTGTAATCCCAGTGCTTAGGAGGCTACGCAGGAGGATGGCTTGGGCTCAGGAGTTTGAGACCAGCCTGGGCAACATAGCAAGACCTCGTCTCTACAAACAATAATAATAGTTTAAAAATTAGCTGGGTGTGGTGATGCGTGCCTGTAGTCCCAGCCACTTGGGAGGCTGAGGTGGGAGGATCACTTGATGGGAGATGGAGGCTGTAGTGAGCCATGATGGCGCCACTGCACTGCAGCCTGGGTGACAGAGCAAGACCCTGTCTCAAAAAAAAAAAGAAAAGAAAAAAGAAAAAAACAAAAAGAGAAAAAGAGCTCAGCCTTGTAGAGGAGAGAGGCTGGAGGCTGCATATCAGTGAGGCAACAGGACAACAGTTGAATAGTTGAGAAGAGAAATGAAAAAGGCCTTCCTTTAGTCTTTAACAGCAGAGGCAGGAAAAGCGGATAGATTCAGGAGCTCCAGAAAGTAGAACCAACTGACTGATAGAACACAGCAAGAGACAGGGACAGCAGATCTACACTGGGGGCTACAACTCAGGTGGTTGAGAAGAACATAGTGCAATTAAATGAAGTAACATGGGGGAAGGATAGCATATTTTGGGCTGTATCTCAACAGCCAAAGCTTGGAATTTGAGATGCTTGAAGGACATCTAGGTGGACATGTCTGGGAGGCAGTTGAAAATACAGTTCTGGCTCTCAGAAGTGAAACAATACTATATGAACAATACTATTTTGGATGATATTTATGAGTTCTTAGCACATGTCCGGTCCCATGTTAAGCCTAGAGGCAGCATCGTACATTGGTTAAGAGCTCAATTACTCTGAACTGAGTCAGATTGTTGGAGTTCACTTGCAAGTTCTCCAACTTGCATGATCTGTAACCCTCAGCAAGGTGCTTAAGCTTACTGTGCCCCATCTGTGCATATCTGGGGTAGTAATGGTACCTACCACGTTGGGCTACTTCCTATCAGGATTACAGTGAATTTAGAATAGTGTGTAGCACTCAATGAGTTTTATCTGTTTTTTGTTTTGTTTTGTGTTTTGAGACAGAGCCTTGCTGTGTCGCCCAGGCTGGAGTGCAGTGGTGCGATCATAGTGCACTGCAGCCTCGACCTCCTGGGCTCCAGTGATCCTCCCACCTCAGCTTCCTGAGTAGCTGGGACTACAGGCATGCACCACCATGCAAGGCTATTTTTTTTATTTTTGTAGAGATGAGGTCTCACTATGTTGTCCAGGCTGATCTCAAACTCCTGGCCTCAAGCAATCCTCCCATCTTGGCCTCCCAAATCTGTCATATTTTTATGATTGTCGTTAATCATCATAACAAGGCTGAGTGGTAGATAGGATTAGCATCCTCATGTTTTGACACGACGAAACTGAGGCTTAGAAAATTTAAGGTTGGGCCCAGTGGCTCACGCCTGTAACACTAGCACTTTAAGAGGCCGAGGCGGGTGGATCATTTGAGGTCAGGAGTTCAAGACCAGCCTGGCCAACGTGGTGAAACCCTGTCTCTACTAAAAATACAGAAATTAGCCAGGCGTGGTGGCACGTGCCTGTAATCCCAGCTACTTGGGAGGCTGAGGCAGGAGAATCGCTTGAGCCTGGCAGATGGAGGTTGCCGTGAGCTGAGGTGGTGCCACTGCACTCCAGTCTGGGCGTCTGGGCGACAGAGTGAGACCCTGTCTCAAAAAAAAAAAAAAAAAAAAAAAAAAGAAAAGAAAAAGAAAATTTAAGTAATTTCCCTGAAGTCACCCAGCTGGTAAACGGTGGAGCTGGGATTTGAATCTGACTCATTCATCCTGCATTGTCAGGTCTAAGTCCTGACTGAGCCACTAGCCAAAGAGAATGAGAGTCCTTCACAAGTAGTGAATGAGACATCACTCAGAAAAAGCCTGTTTGAGGCATGGTGCTGGGGTTAAGAGTAAAAGGCTTCAAGGAAGAACGACAAGAAAAAGGGAGAAAGACACTTTGATGTGTAGCGGGAGAGCCAAGCACTGTTGGGAGAGGAAAAAAGTTTGGGGCGTGTTGTGTGGCTCAGATACTCAGTGGTGCCACCTACCTGTGGGAGGACTTAAATCAGTAACTTTGGGATTTTGATTCCTGGCGGTATCTGGGTTTCTTGCTAAAAGTTGGTTCCATCTGATGCCTTCCCGAGCTATCCTGACCTTGGCTTTAATAATTCATAAATGCCACTAACGATCTACAAGTGAAAAGCATTTTCACATCAAGGTCTAATTGGACCCTCGTGGCCACCCGGAGACACAGGAACGACTAAATACATTCTGCAGATGAGGAAACAAAGGCTCATAGAGGGGAAGGGGTTTACGTTGCCTAAGAACTCTGACACTAGTATAGACAGGCCCGCACTGACTCTGAGATACATCACGTACCAGCTGTGGTCCTTTGGTAAGTTACTTAACCTCCCAAGCCTCAGTTTCCCTTTTCTGTGAAGTGGAGATGATCATGCCTGCCCTTAGATTTTCAGGAGCAAATTGGATTGTGGATACAAAGCTTAGGACATCCGGTATACAGTAAGCAGTCAATAATTGGGAGCCAGCCGTAGAAGTGGTGATAGTAGCTGAGACTCAAGTCAAATCCAGACCACCAATTCCAAACTGTGGGTTCTTGTTGCTGCTGAGAATGGCATGGTCATCTGTCATCAAGGAAACGGCACGAAGGAAAATAGAGCTAGTAATAACTATGGTTAATGAGGACGGTAAATGCTAATCACTGAAGGACTTTCGTCTCCAGCTAAGGAGATGAGTGTGATTCATGGGGAGGATTTAAGGCTATTGTTAAGGTTCCAACAATGAGAAGGGCCCTTGCAGCCATTAATATGGGTTAGAACCCAGACCCTGCCCTTTCCTCCCTGGGTGACCAATCCAGGTCTGAGTGTTAGTTTCTGCATCTATAAAATGGGGGTTAAAACATGTATTACTTGATTTATGAAAGCCAAGTGACATAAAGTGTGTTGAACATCGAGCCTGGAGTACAGTAAGTGTTCAACAAGTGTTTCATTTTTTTCTTTCCATCACACTTTCCTAAGGACAGTACATGACAGTAGAGTTATGCATCAGGAATACAGTCTGAGAAGTGCATTGTTAGGCAATGTCGTCCTTGTGTGAGCATCATAGAGTGTACTCACACGAACCTAGATGGTAGTGCCTGCTACACACCTGGGCTATATGATACAGCCTGTGCTTCCAGGCTACAAACCTGTACATACACACATGTAGAAACACACACACATATCACACACACATATGTAGAAACATATGTGTGTGTGTGGTATATGTGTGTGTATGTGTGTATTTAGAGATAGGGTCTCACTCTGTTACTGAGGCTATAGTACAGTGGCACAATCATAGCTCACTGCAGCCTTGACCTCCTGGGCTCAAGTGATCCTCTTGCCTCAGCCTCCTGAATAGCTGGGACCACAGGCATACACCACCATGCCTGGCTAATTTAAATGAAAATTTTGTAGAGGTGGGGTCTCACTATGTTGTCCAGGCTGGTCTTGAACTTCTGGCTTTAAGCGATCCTTTGTCTTGGTCTCCCAAAATGCTGGGATTACAGGTGTGAGCTACCATGCCTGGTCTATTTTTTAAATTACTGTGGATGGAAAGAAAAATGGCATGTATGACGTCAAATCTAGGAGGTAATGGGAAGAGGAAGGGGACGTGTGGGATGAAAATTTTTGTCTTCTTTTCCACAGAGAAGAGGGCAGCCAAGATGACCCGATGGTCCAGTTACCTGTTGGGATGGACAACCTTCCTTCTCTATTCCTATGAGTCAAGTGGAGGTAAGGACACTCAAAGCAACAGGGAGGATTTAGAAGCTGGAGAAGAATGAATGGGGCAAAGCAAAGATTCCTGGAACTAAGTAGGCAGGAGATGGCTTAGCAAAAATCTCAGAAGAAGCTGGGCGCGGTGGCTGACACCTGTAATCCCAGCACTTTGCAGGGCTGAGGCAGGCAGATCACTTGAGGTCAGGAGTTCCAGAGCAGCCTGCCCAACATGGTGAAACCCCATCTCTACTAAAAATACAAAAATTAGCCAGGCATGGTGGTGAGCGCCTGTAATCCCAGCTACTTGGGAGGCTGAGGCAGGAGAATCGCTTGAACCCAGGAGGTGGAGGTTGCAGTGAGCCGAGATCGTACCACTGAACTCCAGACTGGGAGACAAGAGCAAAACTCCCTCTCAAAAAAAAAAAAAAAAAATCTCAGAAGACCTGGGGTTTGGACCCTGGATCTGCCACTTCTTTTCTTGGTAACTTTGGTCAAGCAACATAAGCTCTCTGAAGTCAATTTCCAGACTGTAAAAGAGAAGTAACGGCATTTATCTCACGGGGTTATTTTGAAGATCAAATAAAATAATGGGCACCAGCATCTTTCATAATGCTCAGCACATGGTGGGGGTAAAAGGCAGGCTATATAATTCCAGTGAACAGAACCTTCAGACCCCAACCTGGACAACCTAATTATATCTTAATATATCTCAGAATCTAAATTAACCACTAAAAGACTGTAAGGTAAGCATGGAAACAGAACAAGAGGAAACCTTGCTTACATGTCATTCACTCAAGCCTTGGTGAGTCATTCTTCACAATTAGAATCCTTTTCTGCCTGATAAATCGTTCTCCTCTGGATAAGGCTCAGGAACCATTTGCATATTGATGCACCTTGATCCCACATTCTTTATTCCAGAGATTCCTAACCTGGGGTCATTGAGTGAGGATTAGAGTCCATGAAAACTGGAATTTACGTTTTAAAAAAAGTGTGTATTTATGAGGGTAGTGAGAATAGCTATTGTAACAAACAAAATCCAAACTATCAGCTGCTTGACACAATAACATTTTTTTTTTCTTGGTTCTGCAAAATCCCAGAAGGGTGCATCTGGTCAGGAAACAATGCTCCACATGGTCATTCAGGGATCCAAGCTTCTTACATCCTGGAGCCCCAACATCCCCTACGGTTTCAGAGTCTGCTGAGGTTTCTTTGCTTTTAGCTTGTAGACAAGTATCAAGAGAGTCTGGAGGACCTTGGAGGAGAGGGTTTTTTGTTTGTTTGTTTTCTTTTGGCCAGGACAGGAAGTGACATTCATCCCTTTCTCCTGCTTCCACTGGCCAAAACTGATATGGCTCTTAACTGCAAGCAAGTCTGGGAGATGCAGTGTAGCAGTGCATTTGGGAGGAAAGTGAAACTGATTTCGGTGAACACACAGCCATCTCAACCATAAGGGCATATGAATATTCTCCTAGAGAGAAGTTCTGGGTTCTCAAAGAACTGACAAATTCCTGAAAGTTTAGGAACTCACAGTTTATTCAGACAAGGAACAATGTACTTGATGGGGTATCCACTTTTCTAGTTATAATCTCATTTTTGTCATGCCTCCCTGAGACCACACCCACATACTTGTGGTGAAACTCAGTATTCCAAGTTCCCTTTGCGTGTATTTACAGATAAATTATTCAGTATACACTTACTGAGTGATCTTTAAGTTCCAGACATTGTGTTATGGACCAGAAGTGCAGAAATAAACAAAACCTAAACCCTCCACTCAGAGAGTTCACAGTAATCGGGAGTTATAGACACATAAATGAATTATTTTTAAAAAATTGGCAACTGCATTCATTTATAGAGATTGACTCTGAGTATTATAAGTGTGAGGAAGAGTATTGACCCAGACTGAGCCAAGTCTTCATGGATGAATAGCAGGGACTAAAGCTGGGAAGAGAGGAAAGGCATTCAGGACAGGGTGAAGGGCAGGACCAAAATCTCAAAGACGAGAAAGAACATGGAATAAGGTCAAGGGAATGTTAATCAGGGAGTGAGAACAGGCAGGTCAGCAGGGTCTGGATTATAGAGGATTGTAACTCAGTTAAGAAGATTAGGCCATCTGCTGGATTACTTTGCAGATGGCTAATAGTATTCATTATGTGCTGATTCTTACTAACGACTCCCAAAGATAACCTTAATTCCACCTACAGGGGCATCTGCCCTCTCCCTCAACACAGTATCCTATATACTCAGTGGTGTTCGTGACTGAGGCAAAGCATTGATAATGACAATAATGACAGTGAAGATGACAATGATAATGATGAGGATGATGATGATATGACGATGATGACAATGATGACGGTAATGATGACAACAATAATAGCGACAATGACAATGATGATGGTGACAGTGATGATGATGACGATGATGATAATGATTATGACAATGATGTGATGAGGAGGAAAATAATGATTACAATAATGATGACAATGATGATGAGAATGACAATAATGGGGTTGATGATGATGATGACAATGATTGATAATGATGATGACAATGACGATGATGATCACCATGATAATGACAATAATGAGGTTGATAATGATGGTGACAATGACTGATGATGATGACAATTATGACGATGATGATGATGATGGTGACAATGATGATGACGATGATAATGATGATGTCAATAATGATGTGATGAGGAGGAGAATAATGATCACGATGACAGTGATGATGATGACAATGACAATAATGAGGTTGATGATAATGACAATGACTGATAATGATGATGACAATGATGATGACAATGACTGATAATGATGACAATGATGATGATGACAATGATGATCATCATCACATGATAATGACAATAATGAGGTGGATTATGATGACAATGATGATGACAACGATGATGATGATCATCATCCTGATGACAATGACAATAATGAGACTGATGATGGTGACAATGACTGATGATGATGATCATGACAATGATGATGAGCATTATGATGATGCCAATGACAATAGCGTGGAGAATGATGATGATGACAGTGATGGTAATGATGATGATGATGACAATGATAATCATAGCTAATATTTATTAAGCAGCAGCCATGCTCCAGGTACTCTTCTAAGCACTTTCCAGATTTAAACTGGTTTAAGTTTCACAAAAATAAATACCAAACAGTTCTGAGAAACAAGGTGAAAAATGCAATGAACTAACAGTTGAGCAAGTTGAGCTCTCATCCCAGGTCTACAAAAAAAAAGCAATCAACTTTAATTAGTCCTTATTGTACGTGGGTTTTCATGTAATGAGGAATTTGGGATAGAATAGCATTTCTTTCTTTTTTCAAAAAAATTTACACATCAAAATTCTGCAGAACACCGTTTTTGTTTTTTGTTTTGTTCTGTTTTGTTTTGTTTTCAGACAGGGTCTCACTCTGTCACCCAGGCTGGAGTACAGTGGTGCAATCATGGCTCACTGTGGCCTCAACTACTCAGGCTCAAAGGGTCTTCCCCTCAGCCTCCCAAGTAGCTGGGATTACAGGGGCACACCACCATGCCCGGCTAATCTTGTTTGTTTGTTTTTTTGTAGAGATGGGGGTCTCACTTTGTTGCTCAGGCGGGTCTTGAAGCGATCCGCCCACCTCAGCCTCCCAAAGTGCTGGGATTACAGGCATGGAGCATTGTGCCTGGCCGAGAACAGCATTTTTTGATATATTTCAGGGACCATTAGTCTCTAGTGCCATTGAATTTTGAAAAAAAAGAAGGACAACTCGATATACTGTATTCATCAATTCTCATTTTCATATTAACTTTTCTGTTGAGTCCTTCATTAAAGAAACCTGTTTAACTTTATTTCACGTGGCATTTTTCCAAACTTATTTTATTGTTTCTGTTGTTTCTTGAGCAAATAATTATTCTAGGTTCTGTAGATACACTGCACAAAAAACAAAGTTCCTGTACTCATTGAGAAGAATAAGGACGTCGAAAGTTGTCCCCTCAATATTTGCCACATCTGGGTACCACCAGTACTATTATTTACTCAACATTTTTCTTTAAATTTGCTTACTTTTCTTCACTTTAAAAAATTCATTTTGGGAGATTGGTTAACATCAGTATTATAATATAAAAAAGCACTACCACTTTCCATAAATAGGAAGTACGACCAAAAAGAAATACTGTACTATGAAAACAAAATCCCATTATTAAATTCTGCTAGACTATCGTCCGAATAAAGCTTTGAGTTTGAGTCCTGCTCCCCACCCCCCTCTCTTTTTTGTTAAAATGGGAGATTATTAAGTATTAGAGATGCAGTAGAGAAATACTACTATTAAATTGAAGCTTTCTCTTTTGCGTAAGCAGAAGGACTAAAAGGACCACTGGAAAATGATTTTTTTCTAGTCTATATTTCAAAATTATTTAATGTGTGTCCTTACATAACCTAATGTGATCTTGTGATCCACCAAAAAGTATTTTGTGTAATGTCATTGGCCCCCCATTTTATGCTCTGAGAAACAGTGGTCTCAAGGAACAACACACCACGGTTGTCTTGGTTGTGTATGAAACTCTTCCCCAGTGCTCCTGGCCCCAACATGAACTGGATATGCTCTGACATGTCATTAGGAAATTGGATGCTAAGCCTAGGTGTGTAGCCTTCAGGCCACCATGAGAACTGTCTCAGTCCATTTGGGTTGCCATAACAAAATACCACAGGCCAGGCATGGTGGCTTACGCCTGTAATCCCAGCACTGTGGGAGGCCAAGGTGGGAGGATCACCTGAGGTTAGGAGTTTGAGACCAGCCTGGCCAACATGGCAAAACCCCGTCTCTACTAAAAATACAAAAATTTGCTAGGTGTGGTGGCGGGCACCTGTAATCCCAGCTACTTTAGAGGCTGAGGCAGGAGAATCTCTTGAACCCAGGAGGTGGAGGTTGCAGTGAGCTGAGACCAGACTACTGCACTCCAGCCTGGGTGACAGAGTAAGACTTCATCTCAAAAAAAAAAAAAGTAAATAAAATAAAATTTAAAAAGTACCATTGACTGCGTAGCTTATAAACAATATAAATTTCTGTCTCCCAGTTCTGGAGGCTGAGAAGTCCAAGGGCAAGTCACCAGCAGTTTCAGTTGCTGGTGAGGGCCTGCCTCCTGGTTCACAGATGGTGCCTTCTTGCTGTATCCTCACATCGTAGAAGGGGCTAGCTAGCTCTCTGGGGTCTCTTATAAGGGTTCTTATCTCAGTCATGAAGGCTCTGCCCTTACGACCTAATCACCTTCCAAAGGCCCCTCGTACCATGACCGTGGGGGTTAGGATTTTAACATATGAATTTTGCGGCGGGGGCAGGGAGGGAACACGGACATTCATATTAAAGCAAGAGCCAAACCAAGACTCATCCTTTGCTAATTCATCGTGATTCTTCCCCACTCCTGTTTTCTCCTTCTGCCCTTCAGGGATGCATGAGGAATGTGTCTTTCCTTTCACCTACAAGGGATCTGTTTACTTCACTTGCACCCATATTCATAGCTTATCCCCTTGGTGTGCCACCAGAGCCGTGTACAACGGCCAGTGGAAGTACTGCCAGAGTGAAGGTGAGTGGTATCACATTGTCCCTGCCAGTGGCCTTTGAATAGGGTGGATCACAAAAGAGAATGTGTGACTGTCTATGACATGATCACATTTTTGCAGACAAACGGTAATACGTATGCGTGCGTAGAAAAGGCTCTGGGTTTTAATGATCGCCATTCTAACTTGTGTGAGAACACATGGACACAGGAAGGGGAACATCACACACCGGGGACTGTTGTGGGGTGGGGGGCGGGGGGAGGGATAGCATTAGGAGATATACCTAATGCTAAAGACGAGTTAATGGGTGCAGCACACCAGCATGGCACATGTATACATATGTAACAAACCTGCACATTGTGCACATGTACCCTAAAACTTAAATTATAATAATAATAAAATTTAAAAAAATCAGTGATAATGTAATGGGTAATAAATGATATATAATTACTGTTTTTAATTTCCACAAATAAAAAAAAAAGAAAAAGAAAAGGCTCTGGGATGCCTGACAATGAATGCTAATAATGGGTAATAATGTTAATAATGCTAGTGTTAAAAATAGTGCTCTCTGGATGAGGGTCTTGTGATACTGTAAGACTAGTTGACCCAATAGAACCATCCCATCTTTATGCCTTTCTTAATTTTCTAAGTTAATAAGGAAAAAGGAAACGAAGTGTAAGAAACGGGATTTGAGGCTGGGCGAGGTGGCTCATGCCTGTAATCCCAGCAAAACTTAACTACTAATAGCCTGCTATTGACGAGACGGCTTACCAGTAACATAAACTGTCAATTAACACATATGTTTTATGTCTTATGTATTATATACCGTATCTCATAATAAAGGAAACTAGAGAAAAGAAAATGTTAATAAGAAAATGGTAAAAAGGAGGAAATATGTTTGCTATCCATTAAGTGGGAATGGATCAGCATAAAGGTCATTAGCATCATCTTCATGTTGAGGAGGAGGAGGAAGAGGAAGGGTTGGTCTCACCATCTTGGGATGACAGAGGCAGAAGCAATGGAGGAGGTGGAAGGGGAGGCAGGAGAGACAGACACATTCAACATAACTTTTTTTGAAAAACACCCATGCCCACTGGGCACAGTGGCTCATGCCTGTAATCCCAGCACTTTGGGAGGCCGAGGCGGGTGGATCACCTGAGGCCAGGAGTTCGAGACCAGCCTGGGCAACATGGCGACACCCCATCTCTACTAAAAATTAAAAAAAATTAGCTGGGTGTGGTGGCAGGCATCTGTAATCCCAGCTACTCGGGAGGCTGAGGCAGGAGAATTGCTTGAACCCAAGAGGCAGAGGTTGCAGTGAGCCAAGATCTCGCTATTGCACTCTAATCTGGGCAACAGAGTGAGACTCTGTCTCGAAAAAAAGAAAAGAAAAGAAAAGAAACTCACATATAAGTGGACCCGAGTTCAAACTTGTGTTGTTCAAGAATCAGATGTATATGGCATAGGCAAATGCTTGATGAAATAATGCATAAAGTCTCTTCTGAACCTTATGTCTGTCCTGTCCTATGATGGTTGATTGATGATTAAATGACTCTGTCCTGTGAACGACTAGAGGAAGTTAAGACACTCACGAACTCTGTTCCTAACAGATTACCCACGCTGTATCTTCCCTTTCATCTATCGAGGAAAGGCTTATAACAGCTGCATCTCCCAGGGCAGCTTCTTAGGCAGTCTGTGGTGCTCAGTCACCTCTGTCTTCGATGAGAAACAGCAGTGGAAATTCTGTGAAACGAATGGTGAGCCCCTGTAGCAGGGATGGGATGTGTGGTGGGAGGGAGAGTGGACAGCATGGATCCTCCTGAGGGGAGGCTGGGCAAGGTAGAGACCAGAGCACCCAGGGGGAAGTACTTACAGGAGCCAAGTGTCTGCTCAGAGAGTTCGCTATGACAACGACAGACAGGGGTATCCCGAGGCCATTCGCCCAGTCCCCAGTCCAGCATGAAAAGACAGGAGTCCTGAGAACTGAAACAATGAGCTGAAGTCCTGATATTGGCTTCTGAGTATTTCTGTTTCTAGAACTGACAATAGTGAGATTCACCCACTGATGGACCCAAACTGCCTTTTCTTTCCTTCCTTCCTTCCTTGCTTCCTTCCTTCCTTTCCTTTCTTTCCTTTCCTCCCTCCCTTCCTCCCTCCCTCCCTTTTCTCTTTCTTTTCTTTCCTTCTTTCTTTCTTTCTTTCTTTCTTTCTTTCTTTCTTTCTTTCTTTCTTTCTTTCTTTCTTTCTTCCTTCCTTCCTTCCTTCCTTCCTTCCTTCCTTCCTTCCTCCCTTCATCTCTCTCTTTCTTTCTTTTTCTCTTTCTTTCTTCTGTTTTTTACAGGGTCTTGCTCTGTCACTCAGGCTGGAGTGCAGTGGAATGATCTCAGGTCACTGCAACCTCTGCCTCCCAGGTTCAAAGGATTCTCCTGCCTCAGCCTCCTGAGTAGCTGGGATTGCAGGCGCCCACCACCACACCCAGCTAATTTTTGTATTTTTAGCAGGCACGGGGTTTCACCATGTTGGCCAGGCTGGTCTTGAACTCCTGGTCTCAGGTGATCCATCCGCCTCGGCCTCCCAAAATGCTAGGATTACAGGCATGAGGCACTGTGCCTGGCCCTGACCTGCATTTCAATGCAGCCTAACATCATATTAAGTCTACACATAATCTTAGGTGAATAATGACCAAAATTCATTGAATGTCCTCTCTGTCCTACACTGATCCAAGAGCTTTGTATACAATATCCTGTTGAATCTTTCCATAGCAGCTCTATGAGCTGCTGCTCGCCACCACCTGTTCAATAAATGGTCCCAGTATAACTGAGCCCTTCCCAAGGTCACAGTCCTACACTATATTAGAATTAGAGCTTGAGTTCTAGTCCATATAGTTCCAAAGCCCATGCTCTCTCCTTAAGCATTGTTGCGTCCACAGAGACAAAGATGTGTGAAGGCAGTTATTCGTAGGCATGCTTACTCTTGCGTAAAAATCTTAATTCTGTTGTTCCCTTAGCACTCAACAAATCCTAATTCCATCTAAACCTTAATTTTATTCTAGCCCTAATCATCCACCATTTGTGTTCTTTACTATAAACAAAACTTAACCTTAAATCTCACTATAGCTTTGTCCTAGTAGTTAACCTAATCTTTCATCCCAAGTCCAACTCTTTCTCCATTTCCATTCCTAACTCTAAATTGTATCATTAATACATACATTCCATCATTAATAAATACATTAATAATATACTCTGTCATTAATACATCATTAATTCATAACCTTAGCCATTTCTTAACCCTAAACCAAATAGATGAATTAGGAAAGGTATCAGTGAGACCAGGCTCAGTGGCTCATGCCTGTAATCCCAAAAGGGATTGGGAGGCTGAGGCAGGAGAATTGCCTGAGGCCAGGAATTTGAGACCAGCCTAGGCAACATAGGAAGACCCGCTCTGTAAAAACAAGAATTAAAAAATTAACTGATCATGGTGGTGCGTGCCTGTAGTCCCAGCTACTTGGGGAGGCTGAGGTGGGAGGATTCCTTGAGCCCAGGAGTTTGAGGCTGCAGTGAGCTATGATCACATCATGGCATTCCAGCCTGGGCAACAGAGTGAGATCTTGTCTCAAAAAAAAAAAAAAAAAAAAAAAAGGAGGAAAAGAAACATCACTTTTGTGGTAATATAACCTTAATATCTAAGCTCCTGTTTATCCTTAAAACTATCCAATCTCCTTAGACCCAGTTTTGATGGAGTAACAGATTCAAATTTGCATAAATCACCAAACGGATGTCCAAGAAGAGATACCTTTTAGCTTTGGCTTCCCCATTAGGTTAAGAAAGTTGTTGATTATTTCCTTTCTATGGATAAGTGAGAACCAAGACCACCCATGGCTGCATGCTACTGTCTCCATGAACATAGCTTTACCGCTTCACAGTCATCATCAACTTGACTCTACTAACCCAGGAAATTCGTGCCTGGGAAGTCACTTTTATTATCTGCAAAATGAGAATGCTAAGGCTGGCATCACAGGGTTTTTGTAAAGACTGGAGTTTATTTTCATGCAGGATTGATGGTGATGCCATACCAGGTACCCAAGAAATGTGAGCTTTCTTCTGCTATCATCTGAGACACTAGGCAAAAAAATGGGCTTTGAAGTTAGACCCGAGTTGGAATTCTGTTGTTTCCCTTACCATCTATGTGATCTTGGACACATTAGATCATAGAAGTAATAATTATCATAACATAATGAACTTTTAATAAGCATTTTCTATGTGCCAGGCAGTATTTTAAGTGCTTCACATGAAATAACTCATCTATTCCATACAATAATCTCTATCAGGTAAATGTGATTATTAGCCCAGTTTTACACATGGACAAACTGAGGTTAATAGAAGCAAAGCTGTGATTTTGATCCCAGGAAGTCTAACCTTCAGAATTTGTGCTCTTAATCACCAGTCATTACTGCCTGAAAACCCCAACCCCTTAGTCAAATTCTAGCTCCCCATGAAAGACCACCAAAGGAAATTAAAAAAAAAAGCCTGCTAATTAGGCAAGACTGAGTTTATTGCTCACTTCCTTGACAGCATCTTAATAACGTCTTGGGCTGGGCGTGGTGGCTCATGCCTGTAATCCCAGCACTGTGGGAGGCCGAGGCAGGTGAATCACCTGAGGTCAGGAGTTCAAGACCTGCCTGGCCAACATGGTGAAACCCCTTCTCTAATAAAAATAGAAAAATTAGCGACGCATGGTGGTGCATGCCTGTAATCTCAGCTACTCGGGAGGCTGAGGCAGAAGAATCTCTTGAACCCGGGAAGTGGAGGTTGCAGTGAGCCGAGATCGTACCACTGCACTCCAGCCTGGTTGACAGAGAAAGACTCCATCTAAAAAAATAAAAAATAACGTCTCGAAGTGGGGAGGGAAAACTCAGCATATTGATGGGGTCTTGGAGTCTCGTCTAAGGTGGGTCTTTCAATGGGGGATGTGATTTGGATTGTGTAAGGATCATGATATAATAGTTAGGATTGGTGTTCACAGCAAGGTGAAATGACCAAAGATGGGGTTTTAAAGAGTCTAGGAGAGTAAATAGTGTTTTGACACAATCGATATTTATGTAACTAGCTTTTCTGGAGGCTTCTGGAATGAATAATAGGGCTATTCGCAACTCTTATCTTCCTGGGCAAGAATTTCCTAGCTTAGTAGAGTCAAGGTGATGGCGACCGCAGAACCGTGAAGTCGTGTTAATAGAGACAGTAAGCTGTGCACGAGTTGATAGTTTTGGTTCTCACTTATCCGTAACATTGGGATAATAACGTCATCCGGAAGTTGCTTGGAGAATCCAATGTGACGTTGCCTTTAATGGGATAAAGCGTGGCACAGTTTGTGTGTCATAAATGGAAGCTCTTTTCATCTCCTCTTCTTGACCCGTAACCTTTCCATAATCCTTTTCAGAGTATGGGGGAAATTCTCTCAGGAAGCCCTGCATCTTCCCCTCCATCTACAGAAATAATGTGGTCTCTGATTGCATGGAGGATGAAAGCAACAAGCTCTGGTGCCCAACCACAGAGAACATGGATAAGGATGGAAAGTGGAGTTTCTGTGCCGACACCAGTAATCTGGGGATGGGGGTTGGGTGGGTGTGGGTGGAGTCTTTCTTTCATTTGCTCAACAAACACCTCCTGAAACCCCACTGTGAGCCAGGCACTGAGTTGGGCACTGAGGATCTGGTGATGAATCCGGCAGACAGAGTTCTGGCTCACGAATAATGTCAATGATGTGATATGCCACAGGCTTTAAAATCCAAGAGAAAGGTGCCAAAATGAAATGCTCAAAATGTTAAACACCTAACCATGATGCAAATACAGAGTAAACACACGCCAGGGTTTTTAAAAACCCCAGTGTGAGCCACGAATGGTGGCTCACGCCTATAATCCCAGAACTTTGGGAGGCTGAGATGGGAGGATCACTTGAGCCTGGGAGGTTGAGGCTGCAGTGAGCTGTGATCACACCTCTGTACTCCAGCCTGGGTGACAGAGTGAGACCTTGCGTCTAAAATAAATAAATAAGCAAACAGTGAAATCACCCAACAAAAGGCTCAAACATTTGGAAAACATAATACTATACTGCTAAAGTGCACCTGTTCACAGTACAAGAGCTGAAGTGAGCCAAAAGAGCATCCCCTTGTTCCCCCTTGGGTGAGAACATGTGTGTTGGGAGACTCAGACTCAAATTTCCTCTCCTGTGTGTGTCCACAAATGACCACAGAAGCGTCATGAGTGTCGATTTCATCAGTGACAAAGTTTAGCGAGTTGACGCATTTGCACCTGTGGAATCCATGAAAGATGAGGACACTGGAATTAGTCCTCTGAGACAAATCCTCCATCCACCAGGTGCTCCTGGTGACCAGCATTCTCCTTCTCCCTCCTTCCTCCAGGGCCCTCTGTGCTTCCACTCTGCCCTTCTTCCCTATTCCAGTGCCTGCCCTATCTTCCAGCCTTTCTCATGTCCTACACTCTTGATAGCTTCTGAGGGAAGAAAATACCCAAGACCCAGTGGAAAGGAAAGGGAAGTCCTTGGGCAAAGAGGAACTAGAAGGAGTTATATTTCTGCGCCACTCCGGGCAAGGGGTCAGTCCGAATAGCTGTGGGTGGGGGGGTGTGTTGTTCCAACAACTTGGGACTTTCCTAAATAAAATAAATTATTTCTCAGCTGGTCATGGGAGATGTGACAGCAAAAATTGAGACCCATTTACCCTCTGTTGCCTCAAGCTGCTGTGGATAGAGGCTTCCAGTTTGTACTATTTATGGGGTCATCTTTCATGAGGACATCATTTACGTCCTCATCTTTCATGGATTCCACAGGTGCAAATGTGCCTACTCGCTAAACTTTGTCACTCAGAAAATTGATACTTGTGGTGCTTCTGTGGTCATTTGTGGACACACACAGAGTTAGGAAGTTTGAGTTTGAGTCTCCCAACACTCATGTTCTCAGCCAAGGGGGAACAAGGGGGTGCTCTTTCGGCTCATTTCAGCTCTTGTACTGTGAACAAAATTCTTCTTTGGCTTAGGTTTAGGTCGGCATTCTGAGCAGTGCCCAGGCAGTGTCTTCATGTGTAGGGTTTACCCAGATTTTATTTTTTAGTTTTTTTTTTTTTTTACTTTTTATATTTTGTTTTATTTTATTTTATTTTTGAGACGGAATCTCACTCTGTCGCCCAGGCTGGAGTGCAGTGGCGTGATCTCGGCTCACTGCAACCTCCGCCTCCTGGGTTCAAGCGATTCTTCTGCCTCAGCCTCCCAAGTAGCTGGGATTACAGGCGCTTGGCACCACACCTAGCTAATTTTTGTATATATGTATTTTTTTAGTAGAGATGGGGTTTCACCACGTTGGCCAGGCTGGTCTCAAACTCCTGACCTCAAGTCATCTGCCTGCCTCAGCCTCCCAAAGTGTTGGGATTACAGGCATGAGCCACAAAGCGCAGCCACATTTTATATTTTAGAGACCGGATCTCCATCTGTCACCTAGGCTACAGTGCAGTGGTGCAATCATGGCTCAATGCCGCCTCGACCTCCCAGGCTCCAGCAATCCTCCTGCCTCAACCTCCCGAGTAGCTGGGACTACAGGCATACACCACACCCAACTAATTAAAAAAATTTTTTTTGTAGGGACGGGGTTTCACTATGTTGCCCAGGCTGGTATTGAACTCCTGGCTTCACATGATCCTCCTGGCTCAGCCTCACAACTGAGCTGGGATTAAATGCGCGCGATTAAATGCTGGGATTAAAGGCGCGAACCACCACACTCAGCCCCAATTTGAAATCTAGGGTGGGCCTGAAGCCCACGCCTCTACGACAGTGTGAAGCCTGAGGAGTAACCTTTGTTTTATCCCCTTCTGCTTCCTAGGAATTTCCGCGTTGGTCCCTGGCTTTCCTTGTCACTTTCCGTTCAACTATAAAAACAAGAATTATTTTAACTGCACTAACGAAGGATCAAAGGAGAACCTTGTGTGGTGTGCAACTTCTTACAACTACGACCAAGACCACACCTGGGTGTATTGCTGATGCTGAGGTGAGAGCAGGGACCAACAGTGGTCATTTCACGGATGCAGAGGTGAGACAGGTGCACAACTGGTGTGTCACTGATGCGAAGGCGAGATCTGCTTTTTCAAGCGTGTCTGATTAGCGTCGCTGATGTGAAGGCGAGATCTGTTGCTTTTCCAGCATGTCTGATTAGCTGAGGTTCCCAGCAATGCGGGCTCCTGTTGTCAAAGATAAGGTGGAGTTGGGGAAGACTGGAACAACTCCCCAGATTAGAAGGATGAAAGAAATTGGGATTTCCCCCAGAAGCAGGAGAGCAGAGGGGGATTGGCAAACTTTTTCAGACCCAGGAAGGTATCATTCCAAGTTTCAAGTCTGGGAGGCTTTGGCTGTTGATGATTAGAAAAGTGGAATTTCTCAAAGTGGAGCATGGTATGAAAAAACAACCCAGAAAAGGGGATAACTGACCAGCTGTGGTGACTCACACCTGTAATCCTAGTGCTTTGGGAGGCCAAGGCAGGAGGATCAGTTGAGGCCAGGAGTTTGAGACCACCCTGGGCAATGTAGCAAGACCCTGTCTCTACAAAAAAAAAAAAAATTAGTTGGGTGTGATAGCACACATCTGTAGTCCCAGCTACTCAGGAGGCTGAGGTCAGAGGATCCCTTGAACTCAGGAGTTGCAGTGAGCTATGATTACACCACTGTACCCCAGCCTGGGGAACAGAGTGAGACCTTGTCTAAGAAAGAAAAAGAGAAAGATGGACGAAAGGAAGGAAAGAAGGAAGAAAGATGAAGGAAGGAAGGAAAGAGAGAGGGAGGAAAAGAGAGAGGAAGGGAAGAAAGGAGGGAGGGAGGGAAGGAAGGAGGAAGGGAGGGAAGAAAGAACGGAGGGGAAAGGAAGGAAGGAGGGAAGGAAGGAGGGAGGGAAGGAAGAAAGAGGAAAGAAAGGAGGTAGAGAGAGGGAGGAAAGAAGAAAGGAGGGAGGAAAGGAAGGAAGGAGAGAAGAAAGGAAGGAGAGAGGGAAAGAAGGAAGGGAGGGAGGAAGGAAAGAAGGAAGGGAGGAAGGAAGAGAGGAAAGGAGGGAGGAGGGAGGGAGGAAGTGAGGGAGGAGGGAGGGAGGGAAGGAGGAAGGGAGAAAGTAGGAAAGGGAGGAGGGAAGGAATGGAGGAAGGGAGGAGGGAAGGGAGGGAGGGAAGGAAAAGAGGAAGGAAATAAGGAAGGAAGGGAGGAAGGAAAGAAGGAAGAAAAGGGAAGGGAAAGGAAGGGAAGGAAGGGAGGGAGGAAGGAAGGAAGGGAGGGAGGGAGGGAAGAAAGGGAAGGAGGGAAGGAAGCAAGGAAAGGAAGGATAACCCAGAAGCCAAGACACCATGGTGTGCATCCATTGCCCCCATCACTGAGTAGCTGACCAAGGGAAAAATGGGGTTTATTTCTCTTCCTTCACCATTTGGGCCTCCTGCCCCACCTCAGCCCGCTGGTCATCAAGTACCTCCACAGAACCAACTTTATCCCTCTTTTCTTTTTTTCTTTTTTCTTTCTTCTTTCTTTATTTTTTTCTTTTTCTTTATTTTATTTATTTATTTTTTTTGAGACGGGGTCTCACTCTGTCGCCCAGGCTGGAGTGCAGTGGTGCAATCTCAGCTCACTGCAGCCTCTGCCTCCTGGGTTCAAGAAATTCTCCCACCTCAGCCTCCTGAGTAGCTGGGATTACAGGGGTGTGCCACCATGCCCAGCAATTTTTTTTTTTTTTTTTTTGTATTTTTAGTAGAGACGGGGTTTCACCATGTTGGCCAGGCTGGTCTCAAACTCCTGACCTCAGGTGATCCATCCAACTCGGCCTCCCAAAGTGCTGGGATTACAGGCGTGAGTCACTGTACCTGGCCTATCCCTCCTTTTCTTCTAGTCTTTTCCTCTCTCTACATTCTTCACAAAGGACCAGCTGATTGAAGCAGGTGGTGCAGAGGGTATTTCTAAAGGTGGTTATTTAAGCTTGAAAGATGTTCTCCAGCCTGTAGAAATGGTCTCTAAATCTCCCGCATGGATCAACTGACCTCACTGCTCTGTGACTTCTGGAATCTAAATAAAAAAAGAGAAGCCCTTTCATCAGATGTGTAGACAAAACCCCATCCCTCCTCCCTTTGGGGTGGAAAACCCTGGTGGTTCTAGCAATGTCTGTCCTTACAATGCATGTGGCTTATGGATGACACTAAATTAGCGGGCCCTTCCTGAATTTTGCCTTGGTAATGAAAATCATCTTCCTGGAATAGAGGAGAGGGAAAGGAGGGGGTTTGGAACTCTGGGCACCATCTTAACAGGGTAGATATTAAAAAACACCCACAGTGGCGTTCAGTCTGTGGCTAGGACTAGGAACAGCGTCCAGCCTCTGACTTCTGTCCATCACAGCAGAACTGGCACTTTGCAGGTCCCCTTCCCCTTAGCATAGAGGTGAGATTGAGGAGCTCATTGTTCATTGATCTCCTTGCTCCTATGAGCTAGGCAGGGATGTGGGGGTGGGGGCGTCTGATTCCTCTCAGCTCAGCTGCTTCCGACTAAGTCTGGAAAACCAATACAAAGTCATTTTTAATTCACCTTCCTCTTTGAGTCAATGCCTACTTATTCATTAAACTCAGATCTTTGCTTCTATTTTCAAGGAAAGGAGAAATATCTTCAGAGGAAGACTGCCGCCATACTGAGGCTGAGCACAGATTTGTCTTTTTCATTGCATCTGTCAAGCTTAAATAACCACCTTTAGAAATACCCTCTGCACCACCTGCTTCAATCAGCTGGTCCTTTGTGAAGAACGTAGAGAGAATGCGGCATAACCACCAATAAAGGAGTCTTGATTTAACCCTGGGATCTGCCTTTTCTGCTTCCTAAGATGAGACCGATGGTGAATGTGTGGGGAAGGAAAGATTGGTAGCCAGGCTGTCGAGTCTCATAGTGTGGAGAGGTCAGACTCTCAGGCCAGGGACCTCTAGGAGTCATTACAGCCTGCTCTGTCTTCTGAGGGAAATCACAGATTTGGGTGGGGTGTTTGTAGATACATATTAAATTATTAATGAATAAATTAGGAAGTAAACAGAGGGTAGAAAATTCACCACAAGACTGCCTCAACCATTCCCTCCCTGTGCCCATGGCAGATATCAAGAACTGATTACAGAATCTGATTCCCTCTCAGCCCAGATGGAAATTCACATTGTTGTTCTTGTTCTTTCTTCTTCTTCCTTTCACTCTTCTTCTCCCTCTCCTCCTCCTCCATCTTCTCCTCCTTCTCCTCCATGTCTCCTCTTACTCCTCTCCTACTCCCTCTTGTCCTCCTTCTTCTACTCCTCCCTCTTCTCCTCCTCCCTCTCCACCTCCTTCTCCTCCTCCCTCTCCTTCTCCTCCTCCTTCTCCTCCTCCCTCTCCTTCTCCTTTTCCCTCTTCACCTCCTCCTTCTCCTCCTCCCTCTCCTTCTCCCTCTCCTCCTCCTCCCCCCGCCTCCGTGTCTTCCTTGTGCTGGAATTCTCTTACCCCTTGTCTTCCTGCAGTCTCCTCCTCCCTTCACTCATTGTCCGTGGAATTGCCCCTGTGATGGAGATAGACGTGGGCTTCCTAGATCCCCCTTCAAGAAAGGACTTGCTGCCCAGCTCCAGTGAGTGCTGTCTGCAGGCAGCCTTTGGTGTTCAGCCCAAATCAGAGATGGTCTCAGCTTCAAAATGGCCTCCCTCGCCCAAACCATGCCCTTCCCAGGGTAGGCCACAACTAACGAATGACCAATGCTGGGTTTAAAGGCCTGGCTATTCCAGTCCAAGTGAGATAACTCAAAAAGAGCTACATCCAGAGCTCCCGTCTGTTCCGCTGAGGTTGTAGAGCCTGCACCGTGGCTCAACCTCTCCCTCTGTCCAATCCCAGTTCCTTCCCTTCCCTTCCATAACTGATCCCAAGGAAACTCCCTGATAAGCCTCCTGCCTGCTGTCTCTGCTCTTGGACAGAGGAGGAGCCCTGGGGAACCCAACCTGAGACAGCTCATCTTTAAGAGATGCCCATTCTGGCAGGGCATGGTGACTCATGCCTGTAACCCCAGCACTTTGGGAGGCCAAGGCAGGAGGATCACTGGAGGCCAGGAGTTTGAGACCAGCTTGGGCAACATAGCAACACTCTATCTCCACAAAAAAATACAAAAATCAGCTGGGTTTGGTGGCTCACACCTGTAGTTCCAGCTACTTGGGAGACTAAGGCAGGAGGATTGCTTTAGTCCAGGAGTTTGAGGCTGCAGTGAGCTGTGATTGCACCACTGCACTCCAGCCTGGGTGACAGAGCAAGACTCTGTCTGAAGAAAAAAATAGAGAGATGTCCCTTCTGACCACTCTGATTAAGCCCCTTCCCCAAATTATCTTTGTATCCAACCATCCCAATTTATCCTCAAAGTATTTGTCCCAATCTGAGCTGCTTCTGATGGATTTAATTTTTTACTCCCCTGGCACTGGAATGTAGCCTGCAAGAAACCAAAAGACCTTATTGCTGGGCACATTCCAGGACCTAGAATAATCCCAGGCATATAACATGAAATTGTGATGTCCAATATAGTAGCCACTAGCCATAAGGAGCTAGTTACATTTAACTTAAGTAATTAATAACATTCCTTACCGATATGGTTTGGCTATGTCCCCAACCAAATCTCATCTTGAATGATAGCTCCCACAATTCTCATTCCATCTACACATTCACCCATCTTCCCCTTCATTTCTTCAGTCACCCATTCAAAAAAGATTTTCTAAGTACCTGGTCTATGCCTGGCATTGTTCCAGGTAATGGAAATAGAGCAAGGACAAGGTATTTGGCCTCAACAAGCTTATATTTTGAAACATGCAATTCAATAGAATCTTCTGCGAGGATGGAAATATGGTTTGGCCATGTCCCCACCCAAATCTCATCTTGAATTGTAGCTCCCATAATTCCCATGTTACCTATTGATGTGGTTTGGCTGTGTCCCCACCCAAATCTCATCTTGAATCATAGCTCCCGTAATTCCCACATGTTGTGGGAGAAACCTGGTGGAAGATAATGGAATTATGGGGGAAGTTTCCTTCATACTGTTCTCATGGTAGTGAATAAGTCTCACAAGAGCTGATGGTTTTATAGGGGGAAACCCCTTTCTCTTGGCTCTTATTCTATCTTGCCTGCTGCTGTGTAAGACGTGCCTTTCACCTTCCGCCATGATTGTGAGGCCTCCCCAGCCACGTGGAACTGTGAGGCCATTATACCTTTTTTTCTTTTTCTTTTTCTTTTTTTTTTTTTTTGAGATGGAGTTTTGCTCTTTCACTCAGGCTGGAGTGAAGTGGCATGATCTCGGCTCACTGCAACCTCCACCCCCTCAAGTTCAAGTGATTCTCCTGCCTCAGCCTCCTGAGTAGCTGGGATTACAGGCATGCACCACCACACCCGGCTAATTTTTTTATTTTTAGTAGAGATAGGGTTTCACCATGTTGATCAGGTTGGTCTTGACCTCCTGACCTGAGATGATCCACCCACCTCGGCCTCTGAAAGTGCTAGGATTACAAGCATGAGCCACCATGCCTGGCCTCTTTTTCTTTATAAATTATCCAGTCTCGGGTATGTCTTTATCAGCATCATGAAAACAGACTAATGCACTTATGTATTCATTAATAAAACTGTTCTCACTTGATAAAAATAAAATAAAATTTAGTTTCTCAGCCTTGCTCACACATTTAATACTCAGTAGTCACATGTGGCTACCATAATAAACAGCGCGGGTCTGGAATATTTCTATCCTCGCAGAAGATTCTATTGAATTGCATGGTTCTAAAATATGAGACTGTTGAGGCCAAATACCTTGTCCTTGCTCTATTTCCATTACCTGAAACAATGTCAGGCATAGACCAGGTACTTAGAAAATCTTTTTTGAATGGGTGACTGAAGAAATGAAGGGGCGGATGGGTGCATGTGTGGATGGAATGGGATGGAGCTGAGGAAAGAGCTTGAGATTAGGAAATAACATTATTCTGCTTCCACTTTTTCTTTTTTAGAGACAGGGACTCACTCTGTCACCCAGGCTGAGTGCAGGGTGCCATCTTGGTTCACTGTAACCTTGACTTCTGAGTTCAAGCTTTCCTCCTGCCTCAGTCTCTTGAGTAGCTGGGATCACAGGCACACACTGCCATGCCTGGCTATTTTTTTTTTCTTTTCTTTCTTTCTTTTTTTTTTTTTTTTTTTTTGTAGAGATAGGGTCTCATGTTGCCAGGCTGGTTGTGAACTCCCAGCCTCAAGTGACCCTCCCTCCTCGGCTTCCCCAAGGGCTCCACTTTTTCTTAATTTTTTTATTTTATAAAACAAAGCTATTGGCTGGGTGTGGTGGCTCACACCTGTAATCTCAGCACTTTGGGGGAGCTGAAAAGGGTGGATAGCTTGAGCCCAGGAGTTTGCAACCAGCCTGGGCAACATGGCAAAACCCTGTCTTTACAAAAAAAAAAATACAAAAATTAACCAGGCATGGTGGCATGCACCTATGGTCCCAGCTGAGGAGGGTGAGGCTGAGGTGGGTGGATGGCTTGAGCCCGGGAGGTAGACGTTGCAGTGAGGTGAGATCACTCCAGCCTGGACAACAGAGTGAGACCCTGTCTCAAAAATAAATACATAAATAGGCTGGGTGCAGTGGCTCACGTCTGTAATCTTAGCACTTTGGGAGGCTGAGGCAGGCAGATCACATGAGGTCAGTTCAAGACAGCCTGGCCAACATGGTGAAACCCCATCTCTACTTAAAAAAAAAAAAAAATTAGCTAGGCATAGTGGCACACGAGTGCACGCCTGTAATCCCAGCTACTCTGGAGGCTGAGGCGTAAGAATCGCTTGAACCCAGAAGGCGGAGGTTGCAGTGAGCCGAATTCGCGCCACTGCACTCCAGTCTGGGTGACAGAGTGAGACTCTGTCTCAAAAATAAATAAATAAATGCATGCATACATACATAATACATAAATACAAAAATAAAATAAAATAAAATAAAACAAAGCTATTGAACCAGATGACTCATTTTAAACATCTAATTCATGGACTTCAAAGCAAGAAAAAGTTGGAGGAAGGCATGAAGTTAATTCTTTATTTTGACTTTTATTTTAACCTTTGCATTGCTGGAGTGTCTTGCTTTGGGCGGAGGTCAGGAGGAATCTCTCTTTTCTGTTTCATGGCACAGATCGATGTCAGGACGTGAGGGACGGAACAGACGACCCATCTAACAGAGACACAGCCTCTGGGTGGTCCAGGACAGACCAGCGCGGAGGTAGGAGGCTTCTAGGAAAGACTTTGCAACAACCTGGCTGAACTGGGGATTTGGGGGATCCTGTCATCTCTCTCTTTGCATGATGACATTTTTTCAGGGGATTAATTCCCCAAGGATCAGCTAGCTCTAAACCTTGATAATCCAGATTTGTGGTTTAATTCAGTCCCCTGAGTATCTTACACAAAGGAAGGGATGTGGGAGGGGAGACAGAGACAGACAGACAGAGAGAGAGAGAGAGAGAGAGAGAGAGAGAGAGAGAGAAACCAGACAGTGCTTCCAGGAAATCAGGAAAAGGAAGGAGTTGACTTTGAATGCCACTTGCACGAGCCATTTCCAAGCCCAGCCTCAACAACAACTCTGTTTCCAGCTCTGTGACTGATTTGCATCCTTTTTATTTCATTTTGTATTTCTATAGATTTAGGGAGTACAAGTGCGGTTTTGTTACATGGATATATTGCGTAGTGGTGAAGTCTGGGCTGTTCATGTAACCATCACCTGAATAAAGTATAATTTGTCCCCTTACCGGGAGAGAGAAACGGGATTTGCAACAGTTGATGCAGGCAGGGGAAGAGTAGAGACTACGTTCTGAACCTTTTGATACCCAACAGGAGAAGAGACTATTTTCACCCAAGGGGAAGCTGGGGAAGAGACTCTGGCAGGTCACAGGGACTTAGGACTACGTGAAGTGAAAAGATGTCAAGAATCATTGGAATTTTTGGGGGTGGCAACTGGACCCTCCCACGCTTCCTATTTCCATCCACAGACTCTTCCTTCTTAATCTAGTTCTGCAGACGCCCCCATCCTGGCAAAGATACCGCTCTGGGTCTCACCCCATGCACAGCGCCGCATGCCAATGCCCTCCCTCCCGCCTGCCCTCCCTCTCTGCTTTAAGGGGATCTGGGGCTTTTGGGCTTTGGTTCTCCACAAGCGCTTGCTCCATGTTGACCAGGTGGAGAGGGTCTGGAGCTTCCAGGACCTCCTCAGCGAGACATCATCTTCACAAACTCTGCAAAGAAAAAAAAAAATCCCCAGTAAGGCATCTCGTTGTAAAAGCCCCCAACATTATTTTTTGAGCCCTTCCTATGTGGCAGGCACTGCTGGTGATCCCTGGGAAATTACTTAATCCCTCTATGCTTCCATTTCTCCATCTATGAAATGGGAATCAGATCTCTGTGGCAAGTTACTTAACCCTGTGCCTCAGTTTCTCATCTGTCAAGTTGGCATGTTTAATAGATCTACCTCATGAGGTTGAGATAAAATTGGCTTACAGGCTGGGCTCGGTGGCTCACGCCTGTAATCCCAGAACTTTGGGAGGCCGAGGTGGGCAGATCGCTTGAGCCCAGGAGTTCGAGACCAGCCTGGGCAACATAGCGACACCCCCAACTCTACAAAAAAATTAAAAAATTAAATAGGTAAATAAAATTTGCTCAGAACCGTGCCTGCCATCACAGTCACCCCATGTAAACTACTGTGGTTATTATTATGCTCCTACTTCTGAAAGACTAATTTCAGTATGTTGCAGTTTCTTCATTTCTGTTATGAAAATAATCTTGCATGTAAATAAAACATTAAATTTAAAAAATGGGAATCCTAGTATTGCTATTTCCTTATATGGTTTTTAAGACCATTAATGGCATAATGCTCACAAAACAGATTAAGTATCCCATAAACAGCTATTGTTGGCCGGGCGCGGTGGCTCATAACTGTAATCCCAGCACTTTGGGACGTCAGGGAGGGTGGATCACTTGAGGTCAAGAGTTTGAGACTGGCCTGGCTAACATGGTGAAACCCCGTCTCTACTAAAAATACAAAAATTAGCTAGGCGTGGTGGCGGGCGCCTGTAATCCCAGCTACTCCACAGGCTGAGGCAGGAGAATTGCTTGAACCCAGGAGGTGGAGGTTGCAGTGAGCCAAGGTTGCACCACTGTAGTGCAGCCTGGGTGACGGAGTGAGACTCCATCTAAAAAACAAAACCCAAAAAACCTGTGATTGTCACTATGAGATTTCATCATCTCAACCATCCTGGAGGGATAAGTGTCACTTTACAGATAAGGAAACTTACGCCAGCGAGGGTCACCAACATACCTGAGGCCACGTGGATAGTGAATGGTGAACCCTGGAAGGAATGCAGGTTGCACCTGACTTTGCTGTGGCTCAAGACGATCTTGCTGCCCACCCGGGTCTTGAGGTCATCCTGACCTTCCCTTGCCTTTGGTTGGCCTGAGGATCATCTCCCACCCCCACCCCACCTTCTCCAGATGTCACTTGATGTCCACTGCACACCTAATCCTGGCTAGATCTAGCAGGTGTCCAACCAGCCTCTACTGTGTTTCCATACTGGGACATACAGCATATATGGTTTAGAGAATGGCCCTTCCTCCTCTCTATCTAGGATGGAGGCCTTGGAAGCTAATACAACTCAACACAGCAAGGTCTGCTGTGATAACTTCCATGGAGAGGAACAGAAAAACTTCTGTAAGACTTCACAGCTGGGAGGAAGACATGAGGGAAGGATGGAGAGAAGCTTCCTGACAAAGGTTGCCTTGATGTGAGTTCCTGAGGGATGGATGAGACTGAAAGATGTGGTAAGTGGACGGAGCATCTGATGCCTAGGAACGGAGGTTGGAGAACATAAAGCAGGCACCAAGTTTGTGCCAGAACTTAAAAGTTCAGAGAATAGCTACAGAAGATACAGGCTGGGTGGGTGGGCGAGGCCAGATGATGGATAGACTTGCATATCAGACAAATAATTTTGGACTTTTTTTTTTTTTTTCTGGAGACGGAGTCTCGCTCTGTCACCCAGGCTGGAGTGCAGTGGGGCGATCTCACTGCAACCTCCGCCTCCCAAGTTCAAGCAATTCTCCTGCCTCAGCCTCCCAAGTAGCTGGGACTACAGGCACATGCCACCACCCCTGGCTAACTTTTTGTATTTCAGTAGAGATGGGTTTCACGGTGTTGCCCAGTCTGGTCTTGAACTCCTGAGCTCAGGCAATCTGCCTGCCTTAGCTTCACAAAGTGCTAGGATTACAGGTGTGAGCCACGCGCCTGGCCTTTTTTTCTTTTTTTCTTTTTTTGAGATGGAGTCTCACTGTTGCCCGGGCTGGAGTGCAGTGGTGTGACCTCGGCTCACTGCAGCCTCCACCTCCTGGGTTCAAGCAATTCTCCTGCCTCAGCCCCCGTATAGCCTGGGACTACAGGCGTGCACTGTCACTCCTAGCTAATTTGTATATTTTTAGTAGAGATGGGGTTTCACCACGTTGGCCCCCCTGGTCTCGAACTCCTGACCTCAGGTGATCCGCCAACCTTGGCTTCCCAAAGTGCTGAAATTACAGGCATGAGCCACTGAGCCCGGCCAGAATTTTGGATTTTTGTCCATAAGCAGCAGATAGGTGCTGAGATCTTTGAACCAAAGAATGTCACAATTAGAACTTGACATGCTTTTTTTTTTTTTTTTTTGGACGGAGTGTTGCTCTGGAGTGCAATGGCGCGATCTCAGCTCACTGCAACCTCCGCCCCCAGCGTTCTAGCAATTCTCCTGTCTCAGCCTCCCAAGTAGCTGGGATTACAGGCACCTGCCACCACTTCCGGCTAATTTTTTTGTATTCGTAGTAGAGACAGGATTTCGCCATGTTGGCCAGGCTGGTCTCAAACTACTAACCTCAGGTGATCCACTCGCCTCGGCCTCCCAAAGTGCTGGGATTACAGGCGTGAGCCACCATGTCCGGCCGACATGCCTTCCTATGCCTCACATAAAAAAGAACCCCACGTCTCATCCATGTAGAACCCCAATCCTTTTCACTTATTCAGTGATCCAATATACTCATGCTGGGCTCAGTGCTAGGATTTGGGGATATAGTGATGATGAAGGAATTGGTCCATGGTCTCAGAAGGAAATAGGCAATAAACTCTAGAGATGCCACGAATCCGTATTACTGCAGAAGCAAGCGGGAGGTATTACTGGGGAGCCAGCAGAGGGACACGGAGCCCAGTAAGAGAGGTGGGAGGTACCTTCCAGGAACATAACTAGGAGTTAGCCAGGGGAGAGGGGAAAGGGTATTCCAGACGGAAGGACAACTTGAGCAAAGACAGGGAAGGAAAATTTAAAAATACAGTGGTGCTTTGTGCATGATTTCTTTTAGTTTTCTCCAAAAGGTGTCATCATCCACCTCATTTTACAGATGGGAAAACTGACCCTTAAAGAGAAAAAGGGAGTAGCATAAGCCACATGCTGAGTCAGCGATGATCCTGAATTTGAAGCCCCTGAACCTGACCCCAGAGCTCCAGCTGCTAGCCAGTCCAGTCTCTTTCTGATGGGACAAGTTCTTCCTAGGATAAAAGGTGCCCTGCAAACTAACAAGGAATGGGCAAGGCGGAAGGGCGTCCTGAGCATGGGAAGGAAAGGGCCTTGGCTGAGGTGTTCCTCGGAGCCACCAGAAGTGAGCGACACCCAGCTCTTTGAAATGAATAGCCTGGGAAGAAAGGGACAGAACAAATGCTTCCAAAACCTGCCACCCGCTTCCATTCTCAAACTTGGAGAGGAGTGAGAAGGAGTGGCCAACTTGGAAAATCTGACAGTGAGTTGGAAGTGGATTCCTGCGGTGGCTGCCCCCGCTCCCCACCACGCCCCGTCAATGTCACCTTCAAAGTCAACTGTGCCGTCTCCATTAACATCAGCCTCCCGGACAACCTCAGAGATCTCCCGGGGGGTGAGCCGCTCCCCCAGGAGTCTCTGCATGGCCTGCTGTAGCTCCACCAGGGTGATCTCCCCATCTCCATTCGTGTCAAACTGAATAGAAGCAGAAATAGATTATATCAGCAATGACAATGATGATAGCCACGAGATGATGGAGTTTACCTATCGCTTACTGTGGGTCAAGCACTGAGATAAAAGCTTTGGGAATGTGAGCCACTAGAACGTCAGCTCCAAAAGACAGTTTTGTTCTGTTTTTTTTTTTCTTTTTTTCTTTCTTTTTTTTTTTTTTTTTATTTGAGACAGTCTCACCCTGTCACCCAGGCTGAAGTGCAGTGGTGCAATCTCAGCTCACTGCAGCCTTCACCTCCTGGATTCAAGCGATTCTCGTCCCTCAGCCTCCCGAGTAGCTGGGATTACAGGCGCGCACCACCAAACCTGTTTAATATTTGTATTTTTAGTAGAGACAGGGTTTCACCATGTTGGCCAGGCTGATCTTGAACTCCTGACCTCAGTTGATCCACCTGCCTCAGCCTCCTAAAGTGCTGAGATTACAGGCTTGAGCCACTGTGCCCGGCCGAAACTTTTTTTTAATGAGACGGGGTCTCACTATTTTGGCCAGGTTGGTCTTAAAATCTTGGCCTTAAGCAACCCTTCCACCTTGTCCTTCCAAAGTGCTAGGCTTACAGTCCTGAGCCAAAGTGCCCAGCGATACATTTAAAACTTACTTTTTAGGTGATTTTTGAAACATACATTATTATTTACTATAGTTATCCTGCTGTGCAATAGATCTCAAAAGTTATTCCTCCTGTCTAACCAAAACTTTGTACCCTTTGACAAGCAACTGTCCATTCCTTCTCTGTGGCTCCCCAGCCTCTGCTAACCACCTTTCTTTTTATTTGCATGAGTTCAATTTTTTAAGATTCTGCATGTAACATCATGTGGTATTTGTCCTTTTGTGCCTGGCTTATATAGCTTAGAATAATGTGCTTCATGTTTATTCATGTTGTTGTAAATGATAGAGTTTCCTTCTTTTTAAAAGCTGAATATGCCGGACTCAGTGGCTCATGCCTGTAATCCCAGCACTTTGGGAGGCCAAGGCGGGTGGATCACCTGAGGTCAGGAGTTCGAGACCAGCCTGACCAACATGGAGAAACTCCGTCTTTACTAAAAATACAAAATTAGCCAGGCGTGGTGGCGCATGCCTGTAGTCCCGGCTACTCGAGAGGCTGAGGCAGGAGAATCGCTTGAACCTGGGAGGTGGAGGTTGTGGTGAGCCAAGATTGTGCCATTCTACTCCAGCCTGGGCAACAAGAGCAAAACTGTCTCAAAAAAAGAGAAAGAAAATTTTAAATGACCCATGCTGCTTACATTGTATTTATTTTGGATGACACAGCTGTAGGCTGAGGAAGCTGCAAGTTAACAAGTGCCGTAAGGCAGGAAGGTGTACTTGAGGAAGAGGCAGAAGTGGGGAGTGTTTAGGGAGGCGTGAGCTGGGGAGAAATGAGCATGAAATAGACAAGGTCTCAGTGTTGCAGAAGGCAGGGCCCAAGTACGTAGGGGCTTGTGTGTCATGGGACGTTGTCAGGATTTGGTTCTGAGTAAGACAAGAAGCCACTGGAGAATTTTAAGCAGGGGAGTGACCAGATCTGATATACATTTTAAAAGAATGTGAGCATGAAACCCTGTTGTGTAGAGAACAGACCACAGTAGGACCACGATGGGAGCCAGGAAACCAATTAGAGGGCCGCCATGATCATCCTGGTAGGAGATGGTTGTGGTTTGAGCCAGTTAGCACCAGCAGAGCTCAAGAAGGAGAGTTCACTCCCCGATGTTTTGGAAATTGAACGTACTAGACTTTCTGGTAGACTAGTTAAGGGTGTGCAGGGCAGAGCTTTGGAGGCAGTTCATTAATTCAACACATATGTATCCATATTGCTAAAAAAAAATGTGTCAGTAGTGCCCATGTGGAAGGCACCGTTCTTGGGACTGAGCACGGAGCAGCAAGCAAGACACTTAGAAATACTTGTCTTCTGTACCTGGCTTATTTCACCCAGCATACTGTCCTCCAGGTTCATTTGTGTTGTTGTGTGGGGCAGGATTTCCTTCTTTTGTAAGGCTGAATATTGCATTTAAATATATACCACGCAGAAGGAGAAATACTGCATGATTCCACTTACATATGAAGTACTTAAAATAACCACACTCATAGAAGCAGAGAGTAGAAGGATAGTTGCTGGGGGTTAGGAGGACAGGGAAATGGGGAGATATTGTACCATGGGTATAAAGTTTCAGTTACGCAAGATAGGTTCTAGAGATCTGCTGTGTGGCATTGTGCCTATAATTAATAATACTGCATAATGACAAATATTGCTTTTAATGGCAAAATCACAATTACTTTTGCATCAATCTAATAACTATGGGCAAAAGACGTGAACAGCCATCTCTCTAAAGAGGACAAATGGGCAAAAGACGTGAACAGCCATCTCTCTAAAGAAGACAAATGGGCAAAAGACGTGAACAGCTATCTCTCTAAAGAAGACAGACAAATGGCAAACAAGTTCGTGAAAAAAATGCTCAGCATCACTAATCATTTGGGAAATTTAAATTAAAACCACAATGAAATATCACCTCACATCTGTTAGGATGGCTACTGTTAAAAAGATGAATAATAACAAGTGTTGGTGAGGATGTGGATAAAAGGGAACCCTGGTACACTTTTGCTGGGTATGGAAATTAGCACAGCTATTATGGAAAATGGTATGGAGGTTCCTTAGAAAATTAAACCTAGAGCTGCCATATGACCCAGCAATACCACTTCTGGGTATGTATCTAAAGTAATTGAAATCAGTATATCAAAGGGATGTTTGCACTCCCCTGCTCATGGCAGCACTATTCACAATAGCCAAGGTATGGAAGCAACCTGTGTCCATCAAAACAGAAGAGTGGATAAAGAAAACATGGCATAAGTACACAATGGAATACTATTCAGCTTTTTTTTTTTTTTTTTTTTTTTTTTGAGGTGGAGTTTCGCTCTTTTTACCCAGGCTGGAGTGCAGTGGTGCGATCTTGGCTCACTGCAACCTCTGCCTCCCGGGTTCAAGCGATTCTTCTGCCTCAGCCTCCTGAGTACTTGGGATTACACGCATGTACCACCACGCCTAGCTAATTTTGTATTTTTAGTAGAGACGGGGTTTCTCCATGTTGGTCAGGCTGGTCTCAAACTCCCGACCTCAGGTGATCCACCCACCTCAGCCTCCCAAAGTGCTGGGATTACAGGCATGAGCCACTGCACCTGGCCTTAAAATTTTCTAGTAGTGACGTTTAAAAAAATGTTAAAAGGAACAAATGAAACTAATTTTTAATATTCTCTTTTATTTGACACAATATATCTAAAGTGTTATCCTTTCATCATGTAATCCACTTAAAAATTATTAATTTAGCTATGTAAGTAGCATTCTTTTTATACACACTGGATTTCATAAGGCAGTAAGTTCTAAGTTCTTAGTAGGTGCTTAGCATGCTTAATTAGGATACTTAGCCTAGAAGTTTACTTAAGTATACAAGTACGTTATGCTAATTATATTAGCATACTAAGTCTTAATACAGTGTTCACGTTACACTTACAGCACTTCTCAATCCAGACAACTTTTTCTTTTTGTTTTGAGATGGAGTTTCACTCTTATAACCCAGGCTGGAATGCAATGGTGCGATCTCAGCTCACTGCAACCTCTGCCTCCCAGGTTCAAGCAATTCCCTGCCTCAGCCTCCCAAGTAGCTGGGATTACAGGCGCCCACCACCATGTCTGGCTAAATTTTTTTGCATTTTTAGTAGAGACGGGGTTTCAGCATCTTGGCCAGGCTGGTCTTAAAGTCCTGACCTTGTGATCCACCTGCATCGGCCTCCCAAAGTGCTGGGATTATGGGTGTGAGCCACTGAGCCCGGCCAGCTGTAGATCTTTATAAGAAGCTGGGGGAGGCACTTGCACAGCCAATAGGTGGAGGCCTCCTAGGATTTGAACCCATGTTTGCCTGGTTCCAAATCCTTTGCTCCCAAACACTCTACTACTCTTTATTTTCACCTTGTGTTGCTGAAAGCTCTCAGAACGAGAAGGTATTTTATCAGGGGATATAAGCAAGTCTGTTATTCTCACTGGGTCTGATATTTTTTAGTATGTCTGCAGCAAGTGGTTCGTACCAGATGACCACTTTGCATTCCCTTCTGGGATCTCAAATTCTTGGATTCTTCCTGTTACAGGCACTAAGAATAGAGGCCCTGGCCAGGCACGGTGGCTCATGCCTGTAATCCCAGCACTTTGGGAGACCGAGGCAGGTGGATCACTTGAGGTCAGGAGTTCGAGACCAGCCTGGTCAACATGGTGAAACCCCGTCTCTACGAAAAATACAAAAATTAGCTGGGTGTGGTATCGCGCACCTGTAATCCCAGTTACTTAGGAGGCTGAGACAGGAGACTGGCTTGAACCCGGGAGGCAGAGGTTGTAGTGAGCCGAGATTGCACCATTGCACTCCAGCCTGGGGACAACAGTGAAACCCCGTCTCAAAAAAAAAAAGTCCTAACATTTATTCTAGAGATGGCAGGATCTTGGATAAGATTTATAATCTTCATGAGCCTCACTTTTCTCATCTGTTTAATTGGGATACATGACTGCTTGCTTACTCCTAATGTGTTTGTGTGCGTGTTTTTGTTTTTGTTTGTTTGTTTTTTTGAGGATTAAATCAGATAAAGTATACAGAGGCATTGATCCATTGCAGGTGTTTGGAATACGTTATTTTTCTTCCCTATTTATTGATCCCACCATGGCTGGAAAAAAAAAGGTGGGGGCCTGGTTGGTGGGTGCTGTCCATGGCATTGGCTAATTACAGGCAGACCTCAGAGGGTCTGCCTCTACCATCACCAGCACCATGACACTGTTAACTCACCTCCTTGAAGGCATCCCGCATCTCCTGGACACCGATCATCCCAGCTGTTTCTGCAAGCAATTTGGGGGTCATCAGCTCCACAAAGTCATCAAAGTCTACACGGCCACCCACTGAGGAAGATGGCACAGGATTAGCGAGACCCCACAAGCCCTGGCCTTCCATTACCTCACTTTGTGCTTCGAGTCAGTTAGATCAGCTCCCTTCTCCCTGCCCTATAAGAGCCGTCTTTGACTTCCTCCCTCCAGCAGCTAACTCCAAGCTCCAAACTCATGTCCCTCTAGCCTGAACAGGAGTGGATAGGGTGTGGTATGGTGGAAGTAACTGCCTGTGTGACTTTCAGACAGTTGGTTAAGATGTTTCTCCTCCTCTGTAGACCTGTACAAAGAGGAGCATGAATTAAATGAGCATACAATTTTTTTTTCAGATATGAATACTATCATTACCTTGAATTCAACCTTGTTTAGTTCGTTACATGCCCAGAAGCAAACCCAATAGCTTTTTTTTTTTTTTTTTTTTTTTTTTTTGAGACAGAGTCCCACTCTGTTGCCAAGGCTGGAGTGCAATGGTGCGATCTCGGCTCACTGCAACCTCTGCCTCCCGGGTTCAAGCGATTCTCGTACCTTAGCCTCCCGAGTAGCTGGGATTACAGGTGCACGCCATCACGCCTGGCTAATTTTTTGTATTTTTAGTAGAGACGGGGTGTCACCATGTTGCCCATGCTGTTCACAAACCCCTAACCTCAGGTGATCTGCCCACCTCAGCCTCCCAGAGTGCTGGAATTACAGGTTACAGGTGTGAGACACTGCGCCCAGCCTCAATAGGAATTTTATTCTAGCTAAAATCTAAAAATCAGTTATGATCTCCATCCAAAAATCCATCCATCCTTTTTGCAGCTGTATTCACCAACATTAGCTCCAGCTCCAAGTTTGTTTCCAACATCCAATACAGCTCCAATCTCGTGCTCCACTGATGAATCTTAGTGGTGATAGTAATAACTACCTTTAATAAGAATTTACTGGAGGCTAAGACTTTAACTGCATCAGCATCTTTATCTCTTCCTTCTCTTCCTTTCCACAGTCCCATGAGGTAAGGAGAGAGGCATCTTCCTCTATAGATGAGGAAATGGAAACTGAAGAGTAGCGGATAACTTCACTTTTCAAAATGACTGTAATTAGTAAATAATAGAACTGAGATTTGAACCCAGACCTATCTCTAAAAGCTTTTAACCACTTCAAATGCTGCCTTCCTGAGTCGAATCTGACCTGTTTTCTTCCAGACTTCTAGTCCCTCTCATCCTCCTCTCCACCCCCAACTCTACTCTTAACCTCTACATCCTTCCCAATTCTGCCCTGATCCCTTCCCTAACCCCGGCCATCCCTCCCATTCCCTGGACTCACGGTTCATGCGGATTTGCTGGCCGAGCTCAATCAGTTCCATCTCCGTGGGCATGTAACCCATCGTCCTCATGAGATTCCCCAGATCCTTACAAGAGATGAACCCATCTCGGTCCTTATCGAACTCAAGAAATGCTTCCCGCAGCTCTGAAAGTTAAGAGAGAACTTTGGGGGAACTTGAAGCAGTCAGTGGGGAAGAGTGGCATCTCTTGAAGCTATCAATGAGGCTCCAACTAGAGACTCCTTAAAGGAGCGTACATTAGAAACAAAACAAAACAAAACAAAAAAACCAAGGCCGGATGTGGTGGCTCATGGCTGTAATCCCAGCACTTTGGGAGGTCGAGGTGGGTGGATCACCTGAGGTGAGGAGTTTGAGGCCAGACTGACCAACATGGCAGAACCCCATCTCTACTAAATACAAAAAAATTAGCTGGGCATGGTGGCTCATGCCTTTGATCCCAGCTACTAGGGAGGCTGCCTCAGCCAAGGCAGAAGAATCGCTTGAACCTGGGAGGCGGAGGTAGCAGTGAGAGGAGATCGTGCCATTGCACTCCAGCCTGGCAACAAGAGCAAAACTCTGTCTCAAAAAAGAAAAAAAAATTCAAAAAGGAGTGATGTATGAAATGTGTTAGCAAAAGAGGCATCATTCCTGAGACCACTAAATGAGAGCACTGGCGTCCTTCAGATTCCTGGATGAAGTTATGGGGAACCTCAAAGTCACCAAGAGAGAAACTCATTTGTTTTCACTCCTGAGTCTTGGAGATACTTGAGGATGGATATGCCTTCGAAATACTTTGGGAAGTCCTTCAACTGCCACGAGAAAGAGTTCTACAAAATTACAGTTGAGTGGGAAGAGAGAGGGATTGTAAAAATTCCATGTAATGGAATTTATACGGAAATGCACAAAGGGACTGAGGGCAGGTCAGGTGGGTGGATGGCAACGTGGAAGCAACTGGGGAAGACGGTGTTACCTTCAATCTCATCTTGTCCCAGTGGTCTTTCCTGGAAAGGAATGCAGATGAGAGGGAATTTGGAGAGAGGGTCACCCATTCTCCAAAGGGTCTCCTTGTTCTCCCAAGCTCCTCCCCACGCTCTCGTGGTTCTCTTTCCATTCTCTCTCTCCTCCTCCATCCCTCCCATTCCTTTTCCCATCTCCTGACTCCTGTTCCACAGTTCTTGGCTCCCCACCCCCCTCTCGATGTCTCTCTCCCACCCACGAATCCCAATCTCCCTTTTTCTCCCTTTCTGAGACAAACACCCATCACATTGTGTCAAAGGGGGTCTTAAACACTGGGGAGTCCAATCTCCAGATGAAAAAAGTGAGACTTCACAACCACAGCTAACTCATTCAGAGTGGTGACTCTGTGCCAGGCAGTTTCCACAATCATTTCATTTAAACCTCAGTACTGCTCTGTGATGCAGATCTACATCTCGTTTCCATCTTACCCATGAGAAAGCTGAGGAACAGAGAGGTTAAGGAACCTGCACAAGGTCACACAGCTCACAAGCAGCAGATCCCCTCCCAAGGGAGGAAGGCATTCACCTGCTCCCTGGAGGTCATGGGGCAAGTCAGACACAGTATTGGGATTTGAATTCAGGGCTCCTGACTCCCAAGTCAGAATTCTTCACACTAGCCCCCATTCACTCCTTTCTCACCTGCCTCCAATCTTCCTGCCAAAGGTTAGAATCTCTGTGCATGGAAACAGCATTCAATGGCTTTCAGGCAGGAGGGTCAGTGCCAGCATGACCAGTTCCTAAACACTCTGAGAATGTCCAGTTATTGCTGCCCCACCTACTCCTGCACATACCTGAAGGGTTGGGCTTACATATACATGGCATGTTAACAAGGAAATTCTACTGACCTCTGGTCTCTTTAGCCTTCCCATCTCCCTTTATCCCTGGAGCCTTTCCCTCAGCTTCTCTTTCATCTGATCCCCTCCTTGCGGTCCCTTATCACCCTTTTTTTCATTCTCTCTCTCTTTTTTTTTTTTGAGACACAGTCTCGCTCTGTCACCCAAGCTGGAGTGCAGTGGCACGAACTCGGCTCACTGCAACCTCTGCCTCCCGGGTTCAAGCGATTCTCCTGCCTCAGCCTCCCGAGTAGCTGGGATTACAGGCGCCTGCCACTGCACCCGGCTAATTTTTGTATTTCTAATAGAGACAGGGTTTCACCATCTTGGCCAGGCTGGTCTTGACCTCCTGACCTCGTGATCCACCTGCTTTGGCCTCCCAAAGGGCTGGGATCACAGGCGTGAGCCACTGCCTGGCCTTTTTTATTCTCTTTTTTTGGTGATCTTAAAGCCTAACAATGAAAAGTATGCCCACATATCTGGACAAGTTGGTATATATGGAAAAATAAAAAAATTTTAAAAAGCATGCCCACAGGAATCAAGCAAACCCGACCCTGCCACTTACTTTTTTTTAACGAGACAAAGTCTCACTTTGTTGCCCAGGCTGGAGTGCAGTGGCATAATCAGGGCTCACTGCAGCCTCCACTTCCTGGGCTCAAGCGATCCTCCTGCCTCAGCCACCTGAGTAGCTGGGACTGCAGATGCATGCCACCATGCTGAGCTATTTTTTTGTATTTTTAGTAGAGATGGGGTCTTGTGTTTCCCAGGCTGGTCTCAAACTCCTGGACATAAGTGATCCTCCCGCCTCTGCCTCCCAAGATGCTGCGATTCAGGCATGAGCCACTATACTTGGCCGACCCTGCCACTTACTAACTGTGTAAGCTTAAGGCAAATGACTTCATGACTCAGAGCTTCACTTTCCTCACCTGTAAAATGGGAATGAAAGTCACTGACCTCATGAGTTGTTCTGAGGTGTAAATAACATCAGGTGTGCAAATCCCTTTGCACAGGGCTGGGCACAGAACAATGACTTAATAAGTGGCAGCTATTGTTATTAACGTCATCATTATCATCACCACCACCACCATCATCACCACCATTATCACAATGAGCATCCATAGAAAAGAATGATGGTAATCTCAACAATGACATCATCCCACTTTCCCTTTTCATTTTTCTTCCTTTTCTCTCCTTCTCTTTGCTCCTGACTTTTGATTTTACCCCCACCCATTTATCTCACTGGCTTACATGACCCCACCAGGGTCCTTGGAATTTCTTATACCTTCTCAGCTCCTGCTCTATCCACCTGTTCCCCTGGTTCTGTGGCACCATCATGTCCCCTTCTTTGTCCCACACCCCTGCTCCCTTTGCCCCGCCCACCGCCCTTCCCCCTCACTCCCCACCTCACCCGCTGTTTCTCAGCAATGCCTTTCCTCAAGAAGATGCAGGCGGGGCCCATGGGGAACTGCATGGAGGGGTGGGGTGGAGCTCGCAGGGCACCAGTCTCAAGATGGCCCCTCCTCCCTGCTCCCTGTCGGAGCTCAGCCTCCTTATCTTCTCCAGCACTCCTTTGCCACCTCTTCCTGCCTCTCTTGGCTTCTCCTTCGGTCCCGGTGTCTTAGAGCTGTGACAGCTGGGCTGGAAATCTCTACCCGGGTTGGGGAGGGACCAGAGCTGTCCCTGCCTCCCCATCTGGCTTGAATGATATGGGTGGGGAAATGCAGAGTCAGGTTCTGTGACGCCTTTATCCCCAGAGTGGAATTGGAAAGTGCATTTTATAAATGGGGATTAGAGGCTGGATGTGGTGCTCATGTCTGTAGTCCCAGCGCTTTGGGAGGCTGAGGTGGGAGGATTGCTTGAGCCCAGGAGTTTGAGACCAGCTGAGCAACATACGGAGAGGCTGTCTTTACAAAAAATAAAAAAATTAGCCGTGCATGGTGGCACACACCTGTAGTCCCAGCTGCTCCAAAGGCAGAGATGGGAGGATTGCTTGAGCCCAGGAGTTCAAGGCTGCAGTGAGCTATGATTGTACCATTGCACTCCAGGCTGCAGTGAACTACGATTGCACCATTGTACTCCAGCCTGGCTGACATAGTGAGACCCTGTCTCGAAAAAAAGAAAAAAAAAGAAAAAAAAGAAAAGAAAATGGAGGATTAGAGCAGACGGCATCATTTATTCAATGTTCCAACAAGCATGTGAAGGGTCACTCCAACACTGGCCTCTGGGCAGTGAGATGGAGAGCTCAGCACCCCTGGCCTCAGGGAGTTTTCCTGGGTGAGTCGGGAATGTGTGAGAGTGAGCAGGATGCAAGCATGGACTTCAGGAAGTGGGCGTACACGGTGACTAAGAGCATGGCATTTGCTCTTCCTCTGTTCATCTCTTTCCTTCTGTCTTTCCTGAATGATTTAGAGGGAAAAAGCAAGGTGGGGGTGTCAGGGAGGGTGTGAAGTTATGGTGGTGTCAAAGCCCAAAGGGGTTTTGCGACTCCACACTAGGTAGGGTTAGGGGAGGAGGGGGCTGGGGGCCATCTGGCGTGGAGAGCCAGCATTCCAGTGGGGTAGTGGGGTGAGGAGAAGTCCACATAGAGGGGCAGCATGACCCAGGGTGTTGGGGCTGGAGATGGTGGGGATAAATCCACAGATGGGCAGCTTGGTGTGCAGTGTTGGAACATGAGCTGAGTGGGGCGGGGGCATTTATATGCAGGCATTGTCTGGGGTGGAGGTTTGCACTGTAAGGCAATTAGGAAGGAGGCCACATAGAGGGGATCTGGCATGGGTTGTCATAACCCAAGCAGAGAGAGAAATGTCCACTCATGGGAATAGCATGGTGTATGGTGTTGAAGCCAGACTAGGCTGGGAAAGACATCCCCACAGGGGTGAAATGGCAAAGGAAAAGGGAAATTGGCTACACACAGTGAGTAAGGGGAATGGGGGCCAGGTCTCCTACTGTTGGAAAAGGGAGTTACTAAGACAGAAAGGAGGAAAGTCGAATGAGCCCTGTGGTGTTGGACTATAACTGGAGGCGTTGGTATGTCCTCATGGATCTCAATTATACATAGAGAGATAAAAATAAACACATAGTTTCAGTGTGTATAGGAACATTTGTACACATATTCTCTAGCTCTCTCCACTAAGAGAACATAGAAACAATGATGGCCCATATGAATGAGCACCACTAGCATCCAAATCTTGACTTCTATATACCATTCTCCACCAAATGGAACCAGAGTGCCTAGGAAATTTGGCTGATTCCATGTCTAGAGCAAAAAAAGAACAAGATGAGCCTACAAACGTCCTATGCTTAAAGCAAGAAATTGCTCAAAGTGTTGTGAGAACATGTGGAAAGAACACAGGAGTCTGCTTGAAGAAGCTCCATTGGCCATACTGGGCAGTTTGAGAGTCAAAATAAATAATGATAGTAACAAATTATACAGGACCACAGAAGAAACCAGGAGTCCATACTCAGATAAATAAAAAGCTAAGTGAGAAGTTTGATATTTACAGAGCTCAAAATACCTCCCTACAAAATACCAATTTCAAAGGAGTTACGTTATAGTGGAGAAACGTGGCAAACACCATCTTAGTCAATGAAAGTGGACATCATCAGTAATGTGACAAGTTGGAATTTCACACCACCTGACAGGATGTCACGAGAACAGCATCGCTTCTGTAAGATTCCTGAATCTCATCATAATCAGACGTCAGACGAACCCACATGGAGGGATGGTTTACAAAATAACTGGCCTGTAAGCTTCAAAAATGTCAAGGTCATGAAAATCAAGGAAAGATTGAGGAACCGTTCGAGATTGGAGGAGACTAAGAAGACATGGCCGAGGCTGGGCGCGATGGCTCACACCTGTAATCCCAGCAATTTGGGAGGCTGAGGTGGGCAGATCACCTGAGGTCAGGAGTTCGAGACCAGCCTAACCAACGTGGAGAAACCCCGTCTCTACTAAAAATACAAAAAAATTAGCCCGGCATGGTGGCACATGCCTGTAATCCCTGCTACTCGGGAGGCTGAGGCAGCAGAATCGCTTAAACCCAGGAGGCGGAGGTTGCAGTGAGCCCAAGATCGTGCCATTGCACTCCAGCCTGGGCAACAAGAGCAAAACTCTGTCCAAAAAAAAAAAAAAAAAAAAAAAAAAGCTACGACTGAATGCAACACAGAATTCTGAACAGGATCCTTCTGCTATCAAGGTCTTCTTTCGGATGACTGGTGGTTTGCTGGCAATAGTTTGGCGGCCCTTGGTCAGTAGAGCCTCACCCCAATCCCTGCTTCCATGTTCACATGGTTTCCTCTCTGTATACATGCCTGTCTCTGTCTTTAAATCCCCCCCCCTTTTTTAAAAGAATTTTATTTCAAATCTGGGATACATGTGCTGAACATGCAGGTTTATTACATAGGTATACATGTGCCATGCTGGTTTGCTGCACCAATCAACCCGTCACCTAGGTATTAAGCCCTGCATGCATTAGGTATTTGTCATAATGCTCTCCCTCCCCTAAATCCCCCCTTTTCTTTCCTTTTTTTTTTTTTTTTTTTTTTTTTTTTGAGACAGAGTCTTCACTCTGTCACCAGGCTGGAGTGCAGTGGCATGATTTGGCTCACTGCAAGCTCCACCTCCTGGGTTCAAGCGGTTCTCCTGCCTCAGCCTCCCGAGTAGCTGGGACTATAGGTGTGTGCCACCATGCCCAGCTAATTTTTGTATTTTTAGTAGAGATGAGGTTTCACCATGTTGGTCAGGATGGTATCAATCTCTTGACTTTGTGATCCACCTGCCTCGGCCTCCCAAAGTGCTGGGAGTACAGGCGTGAGCCACTGCGCCCGGCGAAATCTCTCCTTTTCATAAGGACACTAGTCATTGTGGATTAGGGTCCACACGAGTGACCTCATCTTCACTTGATGACATTGGTAAAGACCTTATTTCCATGCAAGGTCACATTCACAGGCACTGGGGGTTACAATGGCCACATCTTTTGGTGGGGGTGGGACACACAATTCATCCCATAACAGTCCTGCTTTAATTCTGGAAAGCCTGTATGAATAATAATTGCTCTGGAACTCCGTCGGTGCCAGACTAACTATTCTAAGGTCTTGAGACTCATGAACTCATTTAAGCCTTTCTAGGATACAGGCTCCGTGATGGTCTATTCTACAGACGATGGAACTGGGGCATGGAGGCGAAGGCTCTTGCCCATGTTCTCATGGTAAGCAGATAACAGAAGTAAGATCCAAACCCAGCTGTGGAACCACCATGCTTAATTGCTGAGATATAGATGGAAGAAGATGGAAAGGAAAGGGGGAAGGGAAGAAAGGAACAAGTAAAGGGTACACAGAGGGTGAAAAGGGCCGCAGCAGGGGTGGTGGCAGACCAAGACACACACACACAGCTAATCCATCAGTCAATCAGCAAGCATTTATTGAGCACTTGTTGTATTCTCAGAGCTCCACTTGGCTGTGGAGAGATAGCCCATGATTTAAGCCCAAGTTCTTACTTCTACAGAGCTAACTTGTGCAGAGCTACTGGCTAGAAGTGCAGTCATAAAGGAGCAGTGGAAGGCATTGGTCTGAACTATCACATTCATTCTGGCCATCTGGACATTGGACATGATGCTTCTGATTGTCAGACACTCATGCTCCAGCTCCAGGATCTCCCGAGGGACCTGCAGGACAAATTTCACCACCTTCAGCTCCTTGGACGCCTTCTTCTGAATGACGCTATCAAAATCACAGTCTAGCTGGTCACTGGTGATTGGCCCTGTTAGGACAGCCAAGGTGAACTCAAGGCCATGAAGCGTGTGGCTGAAGGGAGTGAAGAACAGGAAGGCCAGGTGGACATCAGGGCCCTAGTAGACCAACAGGCCCACAGTGCCCTGGAAGCTGAGGCTCATCTATGCCAAGCAGCAACTTCGGGCACTATCCTTCGGGTAGTAGAGCCTGGGGAGAAAGGAAAGTTAGAAGTTACCACTGTGCTTTGTAGGCAGTGTTGCACACTGGATAAGATTAGAAGACCTGGAAGCCTCTACAGGTCATACATGACTTAGGAGAAAGACATTCATCCATTCTTTCATTCATTGAGAAGACCTGGAGCTCCACCACCTCCTCCTGTGGAGCTCTTGTGATCTACTTTTACCACGTAAACGTTTATTTATCCAACACTACGCTTATTAAGCATGTATCAGGAGCTGGGCTAGGAGGTAACTCTTTGGCCTACATCGAATGTCATGATACCTGCCAGAATTCACAAGATCTGATCTCTGTCCATCTCTCCAATCACATTTCATTCCGTGCTTCCCCTACCCTGATCCAGCAATAACAGCTTTCCTTCTGTTCCTCGAATAGACTGATATAGTTTGGAAATTCGTCCCCTCCAAATCTCATGTTGAAATGTGATCCCCAGTGTTGGAGGTGGGGCCCAGAGGGAGATGTTTGGATCATGGGAGTGGATCCTTCATGAATGGGTTGGTGCCTTCCCTGCGGTAATGAGTGAGTTCTTGCTCTATTAGTTCACTTGAGATCTGGTTGTTAAAAGGAAACTGGTGCTTTCCTCCCTTCTCTCTCTCTTGCTCTCTCTCACCATGTAACACGCCAGCCCCCCTTCCCCTTCCACCAGGATTGGATGCTCTCTGAAGCCTTCACCAGAAGTAGATACAGGCGCCATGCTTCTTGCACAGCCTACAGAACCATGAGCCAAATAAACCTCTTTCCTTTATAAATTACCGAGCCTCAGATATGCCTTTATATTAGTACAGAATGTTATAGACATAGGTAAGACACAGATCAAGGTCTTTCCCACTCCAGACACTTTGCATTTACTTTTCCTTTGCACAGAATTCTGTTCCCCAAGACTTCCTCATGGCCACCCCTTCTCAGTATTCAGCCCCAGGTGAAAGGTCTCTCCCTCAGGATGCCTTCCCAGACCCCCAGACCCTTTCCTAAAAAGCTTTCACTTTACTCCTCAGCACACCGCACGTTCGGTCGTCTCCATGGCACTTACTCTCCATGGCCATCCTGTTGACTTCTTTGTTTACCTGTTTATGTCATGTTGCCCCCCGGGAGGAGGTACATTCTACAAGAGCAAGAGCCTCATCTGACCTGTATGCAGCCACGGCTGCAGGACCTGGGCGGACTGGATCTAGCAGGCATCCAGGAAATGTTTGTGGAATCAATGAATGAAAGAATGAACACCATGGTGAGCAAAGTGATGTGGTTCCTGACCCCACACTGCTGCACACCTTATTATGAGGAGAGAGAGTCAACAAATAAGCATAAATAAGCCCTGAGTTCTACAGGTGAGAAGGTGGGGAGTGGACAGGCACAGAGGAAAATCATGTGTAGACACAGGGAGGCACCATCTGCAAGCCAAGGAGAGAGGTCTCAGGAGAAACCACCCCTGTTCACACCTTGATCTTGGACTTCCAGCCTCCAGAACTGTGAGACAATAAGTGTCGGTTGTTTAAGCCACCTGATCTGTGGTACTTTTTTCTTTGAGACGGAATCTCCCTCTGTCAGCAGGCTGGAGTGCAGTGGCATGATCTGGGCTCACTGCAACCTCCACCTTCTGGGTTCAAGCGATTCTCCTGCCTCAGCCTCCCAAGTAACTGGGACTACAAGTGTGCACTACCATGCCCATCTAAGTTTTGTATTTTTAGTAGAAATGGGGCTTCACCATGTTGGCCAGGTTGGTCTCGAACTCCTGACCTCATGATCTGCCCACCTCGGCCTCCCAAAGTGCTGGGATTACAGGTGTGAACCACCATGCCCGGCCTCTGTGGTACTTTTTAATGGCAGCCCCAGCAAACTAATATACAACCCCTCATTAGAAGACAGATGAGCAGCAAATAACCGCCCTGCCCCATGCCAGGCAGGGCTTTTGGGGAAACTCTCTGGGGAACATAGACTGGTCCAGAGGCCCAGAATGGCTTTCTCTTCCCTCTACCTTGCGACCCTGAGGTCATTGACCCAAACTGCTCCTCAGGGTGCTAATTATCTCACCTAGGGACCAACCGCACAGGAGCTAGGGTGGGCCTTTGAAAAGGTGACTCAGATAAAGCTACTTCCCTGCTCAAAACTTAACAGCAGCTTCCCACCATATTCAGAATAATATTCCAACTCTTCCCCTGGCTTCTGTCATCTGGTTGTGTCTGTGTCTTTGTGGCAGGTTGAATAATGTCTCCTAATGATGTCCCTATCCTAATCCCTAGAGCCTGTGAGTATGTGACTTTTTTTTTTTTTTTTTTTGAGACAGGGTCTCGCTCTGTCATCGAAGCTGGAGTGCAGTGGTGTGATCTGGGCTCACTGCAACCTCTGCTCCCCAGGGTTCAGCAATCCTCCTACCTCAGCCTCCTAAGGAGCTGGGACCACAGGCATACACCACCATGCCTTGCTATTTTTTTGTACTTTTAGTAGAGATGGTGTCTTGCCATGTTGCCCAGGCTGGTCTGAACTCCTGAGCTCAAGAGATCTGCCTGCCTTAGCCTCCCAAAGTGCTGGGATTACAGGTGTGAGCCACGGCTCCTGGCCAGTACATGACTTTCCATGGCAAAAGGGACTCTGCAGATGAGATTAATCTAAGGATCCTGAGATGAGGAGAGGATCCTGGGTATCTGGGTGGGCCCAGTGGAATCCCATGGATCTTTCCTTATAAGAGCAAGGCGGGAGGTCAGAGCAAGGAGGAGATGAGATGATAGAAGCAAGAGGCTGAAGGAGGGGCCATGAGCCAAGGAATGCGGGTGGCCCCTAGAAGCTGAAAAAGGCAAGGAACAGCTTCTCCCCTGGAGCCTCCGCAGGAGTTGGCCCTGCTAACGCTTTGGGTTTTGCTCCATAACACTCGTTTCAGATTTCTGACTTCTAGAACTGTATGAGTCCATTCTCACACTGCGATAAAGACACTGCCTGAGACTGGGTAACGTATAAACAAAAGAAGTTTAACTGACTCACAGTTCCATGTGGCTGGGGAGGCCTCAGGAAACTTATCAGGTTGGCGCAAAAGTAGTTGTGGTTTTTGCCATTACTTTTAGTTGCAAAACCGCAATTACTTTTGCACCAACCTAATACAGTCATGGTGGAAGCAGGGCACCTTCTTCACAGGGTGGCAGGAGAGATGAGAGAGAGAGATCGAGAGAGAGAGAGCAGGGGAAACTGCCACTTAAAAACCATCAGATCTCGTGAGAACTCCCTCACTCTCACGAGAACAGCATAAGGGAAGCCACCCCCAAGATCCAATCACCTCCCACCAGGTCCCTCTCTTGACATGTGGGGATTACAATTCGAGATGAGATTTGGGTGGGGACACAGAGCCAAACCATATCGATAGAGTAAGTTACCTGTGGAGATATCTGTGGCCTTTTATCTGTGGCTTAGGAACAAAAGGAAAGACAGTTTCTTGCATGACTCAGCTTAATTAAGCTTTCAGCTTAATTTTTTTTTTTTTTTTTTTTTTTTTAGAGGCAAGGTCTTGCTCTGTCGCCCAGCCTGGAGTGGGGTGGTACCATCATAGCTCACTGCAGCCTCAAACTCCTGGGCTCCGGCAATCCTCCCACCTCAGCCTCCTGAGTAGCTGAGACTATAGGCTTGTGCTACCACACCCAGCTAATTTTTAAAATTATTTGTAGAGACTTGGTCTCACTATGTTGCCCAGGCAGATCTTGAACTCCTGGGCTCAAGCGATCCTCCTGTCTTGGCTTCCCAAAGTGCTGGGATTACAGACATGAGCCACAGTGCCCAGCCACAGCTTAAGTTTTTCCTTTTGGCATAGTGAATTGGGGTCCTGAGATTTCATTTTCCTTTCACAGAGATATGGTTTGGCTCTGTGTCCCCACCCAAATCTCATCTCAAATTGTAATTCCCATGTGTTGGGGTAGGGGCCTGGTGAGAGGTGATTGATGGGAGCGTACTTCCCCCTTGCTGTTCTTGTGATAGTGACGGAGTTCTCATGAAATCCGGTTGTTTGAAAGTGTGTAGCACTTCCCGCTTTGCTCTCTCTCTCTCCTTCTCTGCCATGGTAAAGATGTGCTTGCTCCCCCTTCACCTTCCACCATGATTGTAAGTTTCCTGAGGCCTCCCACCCATGCTTCCTGTTAAGCCTTCGGAACTGTGAGTCAATTAAACCTCTTTTCTTCATCAATTACCCAGTCTCAGGTAGTTCTTTACAGCAGTGTGAAAACGGACCAATATACACGGAGACAAGCGTGGAACAAATTCTCCCTCACAGATCCCAGAAGGAACCAGCGCTGCTGATACCATGAATTCACACTTCCAGCCCCCAGCACCATGAGACCATCAATTTCTGTGAAGCCACCCAGCTAGTGGTATTTTGTTACAGCAGCCCTAGCAAACGAACACAGCCTGCTTCACTCTTCAGAAAACCATTCACTCCTGACCCTGTTCATGGTCTGTCCCCTGCTGAGACGCAAGCTCAAGTAGGGGAGACACTGCCTATCTTTTTTCACCCATGCAACCCTCCTGCCTGTTGCAGAGAAAGTTCTCCAACAGATACTTACTGAACGAGCATAGGCATCAGAGCGACTATGGTCTCCCACCTACCCGGCCACGTTCATCAACTCTCTAAGGATCTTCTTCTTGTTTTCCCTGACATTCTTCTTGGCTAATGCCAAGAGTAGCACCACCACATCTAGAGTGTAGGTGTCAGCAAGCTTGAATGTGTCGTATGTGTCACTCCATGCCTCAATATCACCTGAAGCATAACCAAACCAACAAAGAAAAGGCATCATGAGTTTGGACAATTAATTCTGCAGATTTTTGTCTATTTACATCAGGGCTTGGCAAACTACAGTTGTGGACCAAATCCAGTCGGCCCACTACTTTGGCTTTATAAATAAAGTTTTATTGACACATGAGGTTATGGATTTATCTATATTTTTATGATCCATGCCCCTTCCGGTCCTTTTTTCTTTTTTTTTTTTTTTTTTTTTTGAGACAGAGGCTCGCTCTTGTCTCCCAGGCTGGAGTCCAATGGCACAATCTTGGGTGACTGTAACCTCCACCTCCTAGATTCAAGCGATTCTCCTGCCTCAGCCTCCCAAGTAGCTAGGATTACAGGCGTGCATCACCACGCTTGGCTAATTTTTTGTATTTTTTAATAGAGACGGGGTTTCACCCTGTTGGCCAAGCTGGCCTTAAACTCCTGATCTCAGGTGATCTGCCCCGGCTTGGCGTCCCAAAGTGCTGGGATTACAGGCGTGAGCCACCGCGCCTGGCCCCCTGCTTCCTGTCTTCTTTACTACTCTAGCCTGCCTCTCCTGGAACCATGGCTGATGCAGCATAGGTAACCAATAAATGTTCGTTAAATGAAGGAAGAAAACAGACACAATTTATCCCTAATGGGAGTCTCATCGCAGGAGACACGATTGACAAGCTAAAAGGAGCCCACTGTGGGAAGTGGCACAATCAGGCCCCGGAGGACCACCCATCCTGGATGCTAGGCCTTCCAAGCAGCTGCTCACCTGAGACTGGATGAGGAATGTGGGATGCCCAGGTGGAAGGGGTTGGATATTCAGGTAGGACAAGAAGGCTGCAGAGAGAGGCAGCAACATGCATAAACATGCAAGACCGAGAGAGGCAGCCTGGCATCCTCCAGGCCCAAGGGTGGACAGGATGACTCACTCAACCATCAGATGTTGGAGCGTAACAAGATGTCCCCAGGGCACAGCACAGCTCCATTCGGCCTGGCCTGGTGGTGATATGGTTTGGCTGTGTCCCCACCCAAATCTCATCTTGAATTGTAGTTCCCATAATCCCCAAGTGTCGTGGGAGGTAATTGAAGCATGGAAGTGGTTACCCTCATGCTGTTCTCGTGACAGTGAGTTGAGTTCTCACGAGACCTGATGGTATGTATTTATTTATTTATTTGAGAAGGAGTCTTGCTCTGTCCCCAGGCTGGAGTGCAGGAGCGCGATCTCAGCTCACTGCAACCTCCGCCTCCCAGGTTCAAGCGATTCTCCTGCCTCAGCCTCCTGAGTAGCTGGGATTACAGGCACGCACCACCAAGCCCAGCAATTTATTTTTTTTTGTTGTTGTATTTTTAGTAGAGATGGGGTTTCACTGTGTTAGCCAGGATGGTCTCAATCTCCTGACCTTGTGATCCGCCCGCCTCAGCCTCCCAAAGTGCTGGGATTACAGGCATGAGCCACCGCGCCCGGCTGATCTGATGATTTTATAAGCATCTGGCAATTGCCCTGCTGGCACTCACTTCTCCTTCCTGCCGCCTTGTGAAGAAGGTGACTTGCTTGGCCTTCGCTTTCCACCATGACTGTAAGTTTCCTGAGGCCTCTCAATCCATGCTGAACTGTGAGTCAATTAAACCTTCTTCCTTTGTAAATTACCCAGTCTCAGGTATGTTTTTATTAGCAGTGTGAGCATGGACTAATACAGGTGGCTTCTCACCTGCTCCTCCCCTGCACCTACCTCCACAGGCATCTATGTTGAACAGGGGAAAATGCATCACCACTGGTCCAGTTTCTCCTTTCAGGATGTAGCAGCTGGCGGGGGCCTTGGACCACAAATCCAGCTCAGCCTCTTCTACTTGGGGAAAGGGGATCTTGTGGCGGCGGCAGTAGTCAGTGGTAGCCCGGATGGTCTGAGAAGGAGGCAATAAGAAATGGTTGCAAGACCTCTCCAGAAGACCCCTCCAGAAGACCCCTGGGGCCTGGAGACCCAATGGGACCTCAGCTAACAGCCCAGACACACAACAGAGCAAGGGTCAGCTTGGACAGGGACAACATCTTCTGTAAGGGAAAGAGTAAGCCTCTGCCATCACCCGCACTCCCCAGCCCACCTAGAGACAACATTCGCGAGGTTAGAGAGTAACCTTTGGGGCTGGGGGCTGCGGGACTCAGAGGGCAAGGAAAATGGTGCCTAGATGAGGCTTTGAATCCCAGCTCTGCCACAGAAAGATGTTGGAGACCTCATCTCTACAGTATATATATATATATATATATTTCAATTAGCCAGGCATGGGGGCGTGCACCTGTAGCCCTAGCTACTCAGGAAGCTGAGATGGGAAGATCATTTGAGCCCAGGAGCCCAACGAGATATGTGGTATGGGTGCATCTCATCACCTCTGCAAAGGATCTCTGTAATAGCCACCTCACAGGGGTATTTGGAAGATAAATGAGATATTCTCCATCATCACTGTGTAACAGAAATATAATGTCACCGTGAAGGTACTTTTCTTTTCTTATTTTTGAGGCAGAGTTTCACTCTTGTTGCCCAGGCTGGAGTGCAATGGCATGATCTCAGCTCACTGCAACCTCCGCCTCCCTGGTCCAAGCGATTCTCCTGCCTCCCGAGTAGCTGGGATTACAGACATGCTCCACCACGCCCGGCTAATTTCATATATTTAGTAGAGACAGGGTTTCTCCATGTTGGTCAGGTTGGTGATCCTCAGGTGATCCGCTCGTCTCAGTCTCCCAAAGTGCTGGGATTACAGGCATGAGCCACCGCGCCCGGCCGTAAAGGTACTTTTCAATTGTCTACTTGCTGCACTTGAAGAAAGTAAAAAGAAGTAGGAGAAATTAATTTTAAAAATAAATATTAAATAAAGGTGACACCATGGGGAAACTTAATGAGAAGTAGTTTCTCAGTTGTAACAAGTTTCATTTATTCTCTTTCCTGTGGCCTCCTTCCGTGCTGTCCTGAACCAGAGCAAAAGGACACTGCATGTCTCATTACTGTAGCACTGAGGTTACTAAACTTACATAAAACACATCTCAGTCTCTGTGTCTTAGAAAGGCATCTGTTAAGTCCTGCAAGCTGACTGACAAAACTAAGCAAGGAGAATTAAGATCAATGCGGGCCAGGCGTGGTGGCTCATGTCTGTAATCCCAGCACTTTGGGAGGCCAAGGCGGGCAGATCACCTGAGGTCAGGAGTTTGAGACCAACCTGGCCAACATGGTGAAACCCCGTCTCTACTAAAAATACAAAAATTAGCCAGGCATGTTAGCAGGTGCCTGTAATCCCAGCTACTTGGGAGGCTGAGACAGGAGAATCGCTTGAACCCGGGAGGCAGAGGTTGCAGTGAGCCCAGATAGCGCCATTGCACTCCAACCTGGGTGACAAGAGCAAGAAAGAGGCTGGGCATGGTGGCTCATGGCTCATGCCTATAATCCCAGCACTTTGGGAGGCTGAGGTGGGTGGATCACGAGGTCAGGAGATCGAGACCATCCTGGCTAACACAGTGAAACCCCATCTCTACTAAAATTACAAAAAATTAGCCGGGCATGGTGGCACATGCCTGTAGTCCTAGCTACTTGGGAGGCTGAGACAGGAGAATCGCTTGAACATGGGAGGCAGAGATTGCAGTGAGCCCAGATAGCACCACTGCACTCCAGCCTGGGCAACAAGAACGAGACTCTGTCTCAAAAAAAAAAAAAAAAAAAAAGATAAATGTATAAATGTGTTTCCAGGAACAGAAAACCAAATACTGCATGTTCTCACTTCTAAGTGGGAGCTGAATGATGAGAACACATGGACACACAGAGGAGAACAACACACACTGGGGCCTAGTGTTGGGTGGAGAGCGGGAGGAAGGAGAGGGTCAGCAGAAATAACTAATGGGTACTAGGCTTAATACTGGGGCGATGAAATAATCGGTACAACAAATCCCCAGGACACAAGTTTACCTATGGAACAAACCTGTACTTGAACCCCTGAACTTAAAAGTTAAAAAAAGATCAGTGTGTTTGTGTTTTGCACACAAATGCAGAAGTTGCATAAGCATATGACTTCATAGTTGTGATCTCAAGAAAAAGGGCATTTCTCCTTTATCTTGTTCTTGCAGTTAACGTAAGAATATTTTAAATTTCTAAGTTTCTGAAGTGTTAGAGGAAGAGATGGCCCAGTAGAGATGTCGGAGTAATGTCTTATCCTTTTAACATGTGGTTATTTTTCCTTATGTACTCAAAGGTGGCTTCTTTATTCAGAGGAGTGATATTACAACTAGAAACCACTCATTAGCAAAAGGAGATGCAGTCTCAACAAGTGTTTCTTCTTCTTCTTCTTCTTCTTCTTCTTTTTTTTTTTTTTTTTTTTTTTTTTGACAGAGTCTCGCTCTGTTGCCCAGGCTGGAGTGCAGTGGCGGGATCTTGGCTCATTGCAACCTCCGCCTCCCAGATTCAAGCGATTCTCCTGCCTCAGCCCCACTAGCAGCTGGGATTACAGGCACGTGCCACCATGCCTGGCTAATTTTTGTATTTTTAGTAGAGACAGGGTTTCGCCATGTTGGCCAGGCTGGTCTCAAACACCTGACCTCAGGTGATCCACCTGCCTCTACCTCCCAAAGTGCTGGGATTACAGGTGTGAGCCACCGCACCCGGCTTCTTCTTATTTTATATTGAGTTGAATATTTGAGTCTAACAGTTTTCTACATATACTTATCTTTAGAGACAGGATCTTGCTGTGTCGCCCAGGCTGGAGTGCAGTGGTGCAATCATGGCTCACTGCAGCCTCAAGCTCCTAGACTCAGGTTATCCCATCTCAACCTCCTAAGTAGCTGGGACTACAGGCGTGAGCCACCATGCCCAGCTAATCAAAAAAAATTTTTTTGGCCGGGTGTGGTGGCTCACGCCTGTAATCCCAGCACTTTGGGAGGCTGAGGTGGGCAGATCACCTGAGGTCGGGAGTTCAAGACCAGCCTGACCAACATGGAGCAATCCCATCTCTACTAAAAATACAAAAATTAGCTGGGTGTGGTGGCGCATGCCTGTAATCCTAGCTACTTGTGAGGCTGAGGCAGGAGAATCGCTTGAACCTGGAAGGTGGAGGTTGTGGCAAGCCGATATCGTGCCATTGCACTCCAGCCCGGGCAACAAGAGCGAAACTCCGTCTCAAAAAAAAAAAAAATTTGTGTGGAGATGGGGTCTTGCTATGTTGCCCAGGCTGGTCTCAAATTGCTGATCTCAAGTGATCCTCCCACCTTGGCCTCCCAAAGCACTGAGATTACAGGAGTGAGCCACCGTACCCAGCCACTTTTCTACACATAAAACAGAAATATCATGAAGGTGCTTCATACCTGTATTACAGAGGAATTTACTGTCATAAGTACCTTCTAAAGATTTGACATTCAGCTGGGCACAGTGGCTCATGCCTATAATCCCAGCACTTTGGAAGGCTGAGGTGGGCGGATCACCTGAGGTCAGGAGTTCAAGACCAGCCTGGCCAAAATGGCAAAACCCCGTCTCTACTAAAAATACAGAAATTAGCCGGGCATGGTGGCGGGCGCCTGTAATCCCAGCTACTCAGGAGGCTGAGGCAAGAGAATCACTTGAACCCGGGAGGCGAAGGTTGCAGTGAGCCAAGATCGCACCACAGCACACCAGCCTGGGCGACACAGAAGACTCCATCTCAAAAAAAAAAAAAAGATTTGACATTCAACTATAGTAGCTACATGTTGGTTAGTTTCCTTATAAGCCCCATCATGGAAAGAATTAAAGATGAATTTGAGAAAAATGAAAAAAAACTTAGACAATCAGGTTCTGTTAAATTGTTACAGATATGTCTTGCTTAAATTTCTGTTTATTGGCCGGGCGTGGTGGCTCACGCCTGTAATCCCTGCACTTTGGGAGGCCGAGGCGGGCAGATCACAAGGTCAGGAGTTCAAGACCAGCCTGGCCAACATGGTGAAACCCCGTCTCTACTAAAAATACAAAAATTAGCTGGGTGTGGTGGCGCATGCCTGTAATCTCAGCTACTCGGGAGGCTGAGGCAGGAGAATTGCTTGAACCCAGGAGGTGGAGGTTGCAGTGAGCCGAGATTGTGCCACTGCACTCCAGCCTATGTGATAGAGCGAGACTCTGTCTCAAAAAAAAAAAAAAAATTCTGTTTATTACTTTGTAACCACCCAATTTGTAGGAAAAAGTTTCATCTCATGCAATATGTCAAAAGTGTGATTGCCTCGATGTGTAATCAATTGTGATGGTGAATATTAGGTGTCGACTTGATTGAAGGGTGCCTGGAAAGCTGGTATTGTTTCCGGATGTGTCTCTGAGGGTGCTGTCAGAGGAGATGAACATTTGAGTCAGTGGACTAGGAGAGGAAGACTCACCCACAGTGTGGGCGGACACCCTCCAATTGGCTGCCAGTGTGACTAGAACAAAGCAGACAGAAGAAGGTGGGAGAAGCTGGCTTGCTGGGTCCTCTGGCTTTCATCTTTCTCCTGTGCTGGATACTTCCTGCCCTTGAACATCACACTCCAGGTTTTTTGGCCTTTGGACCCTTAGACTTACACCAGTGGCTCGCCAGGGGCTCTACGGCCTTTGGCTACAGACTGAAGGCTGCACTGTGGGCTTCCCTACTTTTTTTTTTTTTTTTTTTTTGAGATGGAATTTTGCTCTTGTTCACCAGGCTGGAGTGCAATGGCACAATCTTGGTTCACTGCAACCTCCGCCTCCTGGGTTCAAGTGATTCTCCTGCCTCAGCCTCCCGAGTAGCTGGGATTACAGGCACCTGCCACCACGCCCAGCTAATTTTTTTGTATTTTTAGTAGAGACGGGATTTCACCAGGTTGACCAGGCTGGTCTCGAACTCCTGATCTTCTGATCCACCCGCCTCGGCCTCCCAAAATGCTGAGATTACAGGCGTGAGCCACCAGGCCTGGCTGGGCTTCCCTACTTTTGAGGCTTTCGGACTCGGACTGAGCCACTATTGGTTTGTTTCTTCCTCAGCTCGCAGACGGCCTATTGTAGGACTCCACCTTGTGATCCTGAAACTCCCTTTCATCTAGACATAGATCCTATTGGTTCTGTCCCTCTGGAGAGCCCTGCCTAGTATGTCAATATACCAATTACGAATAAGGTCTTTGACATGCATTTTCCATACTCGGTCATTAAAATCCGAGGTGTATTTTATCTTCATAGCACACTTCAACTTGGGCCAGGCACATTTCAAGTCCTCAAGTGCCACATGTGGCCGGCAACCACTGTAGTGGACAGCTTAGGTCTCTGAAGTCGTCTTTGATTGAAGTTTAACAAATGCTGCCGGTTTTCTTCCTATTACTCTTGCTATTCTCATCATCACCAGATAAGCATTGTTGTTAATCCAGAACACCAGCTATGGACCAGGCATGGTGCAGAGACTCTGCAGATCTCCTGCGAGCCAGATGATGTGATTCCCATTTTCAGGATGAGAAAACTGAGGTTCAGAGGTTAAGCCTATCGCTCGGGGTCATGCAGCAGAGATTTGGCAGAAAAGGACTCCCAAGACCTTGATATCTCATTCCACCTTTATCATATTGTCTTGGGATATTTATTTCAGCAGAAATCCTAAGACCAGAAAGCCTGGGTATTCCTGGGCCAAGGGTCTAGAAAGATGGTGACAAGTTGGTTCTGGATCATGGTATGGGGAGGAGGATGGATGTTCCTAATTCATATTACAGAATGTAAACTGATAGAAGTGTGTGAATATAAATATATATTACATTACACATAAATATAATAGATGATATGTTTTACCATGATTATTTTATATATACTACTATGTATTGGTATGTATCATGTAATAGATATAGTTATATATTATGTAGGTGTATATATTTTTTAATAAAATAGCTGGGCAGGGCGGCTTGTGCCTGTAATCCTAGCCTTGGGTGGTGGGAGAATCGCTTGAGGCCAGGAGTTCAAGACCAGCCTGGGCAACATAGCAAGACCCTGTCTCTAAAACAATTTAGAAAACTAGCCTGGTGTGGTGGTGTGTGCCTGCAGTCCCAGCTACTTGGGAGGGTGAGGTGGGAGGATCGCTTGAGCCCAGGAGGTTGAGGCTGCAGTGAGCTATGATCACACCATAAGACCCAGTCTCGAAAGGAGGCCATGAGGGGAGGGGAAGGGAGGGGAGGAAAATGTTTATAAACCCCACAGTAAGTGGCAGATACTGTGCTAAGCACTTCACATGTATTAACAAGTATTAATTTAATCCACAGAACAACTCCTGGTGGAGCCATCGTTAGCCCAATTTTACAGCTGAGGAAACCGACATGCACAGAAGTTACGCACATTGGATCAGGCCACACAGCTGGTAAGTGGCAGAGCTGGGATATGAAGGCAGGGAGAACGGATCCTAGTGGCCACTGGGAAGGTGCAATATGTACTAAGACAAATATACTTGCATATGTTCTCACTCAGCAAACATTTATTGAGGGCCACTATTTGCCCAGGAAACCCAGATGAGCAGGAAGACACGCGCTCGGGGCTGGAGACGTGCACACCCGGGGAAGGAGGTGCACAGGTGAGGAGCTAGGCTGTTGCAGTTCAAACTGGTATGAATGGGCAGGCAGGACGCAGAAGCGGGGAGAGTCATCTGCCAGGAAGAGGGGCCCGGGAAGGTCTGGGATGGCTTTGGATCAGAAGTTCGTTGGATGTGGCCGACCGCGGGTGCTTCGGGAGCGATGGGTGAGTTGATTTGGCTCTCTGGACTTCCCAGCCAGCACCTCCCCATTGCCCGCTTCCCAGCCCGCGTCCTCAGTTCCTCCGCAAAGTCAGCTTCGCCGCAGCCCACCTCCCACCCAGGACCGGCCCCAAAGCCCTTCTCGATTACCTCGAAAGGATCTCCGGCACTGAAGTCGAAGGAGAGGATGAGGTGAACCTCCCGCGTCGGGGGCAGCACGAGTGGGAAGGGAGTGTTGATGGCTAAACCAGCATCCACCAGGTGGAGGTGCTTCCGGCTGCTCATTATCTTGTCCCGGATGCCACCTGTGGTGCCCAGGAAGAAAGAGGATCAGCTGCTTCTGGGGACTGAAAGCAAGACTTGGAAATGGAAGGCAGAGAGGGGGATGGGAAAATGATCGTTGTCAGTGTAGACAGCAGTTGTGAGGTTGCCAACTAGGAGCTGACTTCTCTCTCTTCCCAGATTCATATGTTGAAGCCCTGGCTGGGTGCGGTGCCTCACACCTGAAATCCCAGCACTTTGGGGGCTGAGGCAGGTGGATCACTTGAGGTCAGGAGTTCAAGATCAGCCTGGCCAACACAGTGAAACCCTGTCTCTACTAAAAATATCAAAATTAGCCAGGCGTGGTGGCGGGTGCCTGTAATCACAGCTACTTGGGAGGCTGAGGCAGGAGGATCACTTGAACCCATGAGCCGGAGGTTGCAGTGAGCTGAGATCGCGCCACTGCACTCCAGCCTGGGTGACAGAGCGAGACTCTATCTCAAATAAATAAACAAATAAACAGACAAACACATGTTGAAGCTCTTACCTCCAGTACCTCAGAATGTGACTGTATTTGGAGACAGGGTCTTTAAAGAGGTAATTAAGGTAAAATGGGGTTTTTGGCGTGAAGTTCCAAATGAAGCTGCCTTCTCAGCAGCAATATGTGAGAGTGTTGTTAACCCAATGTTTCTGAGACAGGTCTCGGTCAGTGTAGAAAGTTTATTTTGCCAAGGTTAAGGATGCACAACCGTGACACAGCCTCAGGAGGTCATGATGACATGTGCCCAAGGCGGTTGGGGCACAGCTTGGTTTAGACATTTTAGGAAGACCCGAGATGTCAATATATGTAAGATGAACACTGGTTCGGTCTGGAAAGGTGGGACAACTCAAAGCAGGGAGGGGGCTTCCAGGTCACAGGTAGATAAGAAGTGAATGGTTGCATTCTTTTTTTTTGAGAAGGAGTCTCGTTCTGTTGCCCAGGCGGGAGTGCAGTGGCGCAATCTCCACTCACTGCAACCTCCACCTCCTGGCTTCAAGTGATTCTCTGCCTCAGCCTCCCAAGTAGCTGGGATTACAGGCACCCGCCACCATGCTGAGCTAATTTTTGTATTTCTAGTAGAGACAAGGTTTCCCCATCTTGGCAAGGCTGGTCTTGAACTCCTGACCTCGTGATCTACCCGCTTCTGCCTCCCAAAGTGCTGGCATTACAGGCGTGAGCCACGGGCCGGCCAACATTCTTTAGAGTTTCCATTAGCCTTTCCAACTGGAGGCAATCAGATACGCATTTATCTCAGTGAGCAGAGGGTGACTTTGAATAGAATGGGAGGCAGGTTTGCCCTGGGCAGTTCCCAGCTTGACTTTTCCCTTTAACTTGGTGATTTTGGGGTCCCGAGATTTATTTTCCTTTCACAGCGTAAACCAAAAATAAAATGATAAGCCCCTCCCCCCCACCCCCATCCCTCCCGTCCCCCCGCCAACACCCTCCCCAACTCCTACCCCCCCACAACACCACCCCAACCATCTGAATGAACCCTTCCTCTTGGCCAGGGCACCCCAGAGTTAACCTGAAAACCTAGTTCTGGCCGTGACAGGAAGGGAGGGTCAGACATGCCTCACGATGCCCTCCTCCCTTTGGGGATTTAAGGAAAGCTGACCAGCATTTAATATCCACCCAGAGCTTAAGTCTGACAAGAATCATTTACAATCTATTCTCTCTGAAGCTTGCTACCTGGAGCCTTCATCAGTTACTGGAAAGGGGTCCTGATCCAGACCCCAAGAAAGGGTTCTTGGATCTCATACAAGAAAGAATTCAGGGTGAGTCCACAGTGCAAAGCGAAAGCAAGTCTGTTAAGAAAGCAAAGGGGTGAAAGAATCGTTACTCCACAGAGTAGGGTGTTACGGAAAGTAAGAGGAGAAATGCAACCACCTCCTCCTTTTGTTATATATAGGAAAACAACAACAACAAAAAAACATGGGGAGATGTGCTCTGCTACAAGTATTTGTGATAAAGGATTAATTTTCATAATTACTCTATTTTGGCCGGGCACGGTGGCTCACGCCTGTAATCCCAGCACTTTGGGAGGCCAAGGTGGGTGGATCACCTGAGGTCAGGAGTTCAAGACCAGCCTGACCAACATGGTGAAATCCTGTCTCTACTAAAAACACAAAAATTAGCCAGGCGTGGTGGCACCTGCCTGTAATCTCAGCTACTCGGGAGGCTGAGGCAGGAGAATCGCTTGAACCCGGGAGGCGGAGGTTGCAGTAATCTGAGATTGTGCCACTGCACTCTAGCCTGGGCAACAAAGAGCAAAACTCTGTCTCAAAAAAAAAAAAAACCAAAAACCATAATTACTATATTTTACAAGAACTTATATTATTATTTTTAAAGCAAAATTAGGAATGCGTCTGTTCTCAAGATATCAGGATATCAGGACATTCCTGGGTCTGAGTCTGTTTAGTAAACATTATGAATCTGTTCCCTTAACCATAACCATCTAGAGGCTAGGAATGCCTAACTTCCTGGGGATACAGCCCAGCAAGGCTGAGCCTCATTTTTCCTAGCCCTCATTCAAGATAGAGTCACTCTGGTTCCAATGCCTCTCACACATCTGCATGATAAAACTTTGAAACATTCCAATAGAATGACTAGTGCTCTTCTAAGAAGAGGGGATTAGAACAGAGACACACATGGAGCAAAGACCATACGAGGATATGAGAAGGTGGCTGTCTGCAAATCACAGAGAGAGTCCTCAGAAAGAACTCACCCCACAGACAACTTGATTTTGGACTTCCAGCCTTGAGAACTGTGAGAAAATAAATGTCTGTCGTTTAAGTCACCCAGTCTGTGGGATTTTGTCACAGCAGCCTGAGCAGACTAAGACAGTACCTCTGGGAATGGTTCCTCTTGCTGATGAAAAGAGTCAAACTCTGGAAAATATTTGAAGAGGTTTATTCTGAGCCAAATGTGAGTGACCAATGGCCCGTGACACAGTCCTCAGGAGATCCTGAGAACATGTGGCCTAGGTGGTTGGGGCACAGCCTAGGTTTATACATTTTAGGGAGATATGAGACATCAATCAAATATATCTAAGATATACCTTGGTTCGGTCCAGAAAGGTGAGACGACTTGAAGTCATGGAGGGGTAGAGGTGAGGGGTGAGGAGGGGTCGGGGGGGGGCTTCCAGGTTATAGGTAGATTTAAAGTTTTCTGATTGACGGTTGGGCACAGTGGCTCACACCTGTGCACCTATAATCCCAGCACTTTGGGAGGCCAAGGTGGGCAGATCATTTGAGGTTAGGAGTTTGAGACCAGCCTAGCCAATGTGGTGAAACCCTGTCTCTACTAAAAATACAAAAATCAGTTGAGCATGGTGACATGTGCCTGTAATCCCAGCTACTCAGGAGGCTGAGGTGGTGGTTGCAGTGAGCCAAGATTGTACCACTGTACTGCAGCCTGGGTGACAGAGCGAGACTCCATCGCAAAATAAATAAATAAATAAATAAAAATAATTAATAAATAAATATATGGAAAATAAAATAAAAATATCTGATTGGCTATTGGTTTAAAGAGTTATTAGCAATAGAAAGGAATGTCTGGGTTATGACAAGGGGTTGTGGAGACCAAAGTTTTATCACGTATATGATGCCTCCAGGTAGCAGGCTTCAGAGAGAACAGAATGTAAATGTTTCTTATCAGACTTAAAATCTGTGTTGAGGTGGCTCACGCCTGTAATCCCAACACTTTGGGAGGCCAAGGTGGGTAGATCACGAGGTCAGGAGTTTGAGACCAGCCTGACCAACATGGAGAAACCCTGTCTCTACTAAAAATACAAAATTAGCCAGGCGTGGTGGCGCATGCCTGTAATCCCAGCTACTCGGGAGGCAGGAGAATCGCTTAAACCCAGGAGGCGGAGGTTGCGGTGAGCTGAGATCGCGCCATTGCACTCCAGCCTGGGCAAAAAGAGCAAAACTCCATCTCAAAAAAAAAAAAAAAAATTTGTGTTGACATGACTGCTAGTCAGCTTTTCCTGAATTCCAAAAGGGAGGAGGGTATAAGGAGGCATGTCCGACCCCCACTTCCCATCAGGGACTGAACCCATTTTTCAGGTTAACTTTGGAGTGCCCTGGCTGACAGGAGAGGTCTATTCAGATGGTTGGGTGGTGGGGGGCTTAGAATTTTATTTTTGGTTTACACTCTCATATATTGCTACTGAGAAAGCGACTTCATCCAACCCCTTCAGGGAGAAATTTGATGCTAAAACACTCATCGCCATGATCCAGTGACTTGATGCTTGATGGTGTATTCCGAGGCCATAAGACCCGGCAGCTGCATGGCATGGTGCGCAGACACAGCTGAAGTCCTGTGTGCCTTGTAGGAAGCACCCCAGGAGAGGTGAGCAGGACTGACATCCAGCCAGGGTTCCCTTCCCAGGCCACACACAGCCCTGGCCAGGGGGGCACATTTTGGAATTCACCCCCCTGGAAGATGCACCTTTTCTCGATTTGCACAAGGGCAACAGGACCACAAACATAAAGATGTTCACGATAGTCTTGTAACAAAAGAGTGGGGAAGGCCAGGTGTGGGGTGGCTCACACCTGTAATCCCAGCACTTTGGGAGGCTGAGGTGGGAGGATCGCTTGAGCCCAGGGGTTCAAGATCAGTCTGGGCAACATAGTGAGACCCCATCTCTATGAAAAAGAAAAAGAAAAATTAGCCAGGCATGGTGCTGTGTGCCTGTGTTCCCAGCTATTCGGGAGGCTGAAATGGGAGGATTGCTTGAGCTGGGGAGGCTGAGGCTGCAGTGAGCCATGATTGCACCACTGCATTCCCACCTGGGCAACAGAGCAAGACACACACACACACACACACACACACACACATACACATACATGAGTGGTGCAGGGATTGGCATGGTCATAGGAGAGGATCTCCACCAGCTATGAACATTGGAGCTTATGGAGACTATTAAATGGCCTCAGTGTGAGTTCCCAGGAGTCTGACATCAATTCCACCTGAATGAGAGGGTCAGTCCCCTGAAGGGAAAACCCATACAAATGTGTGTTGTTTTTTTTTTTTTTAGATGGTGTCTCGCTCTGTTGCCAGGCTGGAGTGCAGTGGGATGATCGCGGCTCACTGCAACCTCTGCCTCCTGGGTTCAAACGATTCTCCTGCCTCAGCCTCCTGAGTAGCTGGGACTACAGGCACCCGCCACCCTGTCCGGCTAATTTTTGTATTTTTAGTAGGGACAGGGTTTTACCATGTTGGCCAAGCTAGTCTTGAACTCCTGACCTCAAGTGATCCGCCCGCCTCAGCCTCCCAAAGTGCTGGGATTACAGGCATGAGCCACTGCGCCCAGCCCATACAAGTGTTTTTGAAGACCAGGTCCTAGGACTAGCTGACAAGAAATTAGGGTTTTTTGCATTTTTGCAAAACCAGAGAAAGCCATCAGTGAGGCTTTTCACGATGACTGGGACTCGCAGCGAGGCCACACATTTTTCAGTATGGACCACACCACTGAGCGAAAGTTCCCCTAATCAGATCCCTGGGCCCTTTGACACCACCCCCCTCCAAAGCTCTGGGGAAGGACCAGCCTGGGATTGTTTCAGGCCCACCCCCTTCCCCTACTCCAGCCCATTCACACGCAAGGACAGACCAGGGCGGTGGGAAGAGGGTCTTCTCACCGTGTTTGTACAGGAAGTTGTGAGTGGTCCCCCATTCCCACTTTGAAGCGCAAATGCCTGTTTTCTTCACAAAATCCATCAAGTTACTGAGTGAGCCTAGGGAAAGAAGCCGAGACAGCCAAGGTGAGTTCAGGAGACTGAGTGGTTTCTGCCCCCACCAAAGTCATATGTGGAAGCCCTCATCCCCCATGGGGTTGTATCTGGAGACAGGACTTTTAAAGAGGTCATTCAGGGCCGGCGCGTTGGCTCACGCCAGTCATCCCAGCACTTTGGGAGGCCGAGGCAGAAGGATCACCATATCAAGAGATCGAGACCATCCTGGCCAACATGGTGAAACCCTGTCTCTACTAAAAATACAAAAATTAGCTGGGCGTGGTGGTGGCGCATGCCTGTAGTCCCAGCTACTGGGGAGGCTGAGGCAGGAGAATCGCTTGAACCTGGGAGGCAGAGGCTGAAGTGAGCCGAGATCGTGCCACTGAACTCCAGCCTGATGACGGAGCGAGACTCCATCTCAAAAAAAAAAAAAAAAAAAAAAGTGGGGGGGTCATTCAGGATAACTGAGGTCATGAGAGTGGGATCCTAATTCAATAGGACTGGGGTCTTTATGAGAAGAGAAAGAGTGCCAGGCACCAGAGTAATCCCAGGACTTAGGGAAGCCGAGGTGGGAGGATTGCTTGAGCCCAGAAGTTTGAGACCAGCTTGGGCAAGAGAGCGAGACCACATCTTTACAAAAATAAAATAAAATAAACAAATTAGCTGGGCATATTAATGCATGCCTGTGGTCCCAGCTATTCAGAAGGCTGAGGCAGGAGGATCACTTGAACCCAGTAGTTCAAGGCTGAAGTGAACTATGTATGATTGTGCCACTGCACTCCAGCCTGGGCATTCCAGCCTCACTTGTATCACTCAGATCATTTAGATACAAGGGAGACCTTGTATCTAAAAAAAAAAAAAAAAGAAAAAAAGGAAGACACCAAGAATACCAAGAATGCGTGTGCACTGAGGAAAGGCTGGGCTGAGAGGATGCGGTGAGAAGGCGGCCATCCCTCTGCAAGCCATGGAGAGAGGCCTCAGGAGAAACTGACCCCACTGGCACCTTGATCTTGGACTTCCTGCCTGCAGAATTGTAAGAAAATAAGGCTGGGCACAGTGACTCACATCTGTAATTCCAGCACTCTGGGAGGCCCAGGTGGGTGGGTCACTTGAGGTCAGGGGTTCGAGACCAGCCTGGGCAACATGGTGAAACCCCATCTCAAAAAAAAAAAAAAAAACGGTGAGGAAATAAAAGCCTATAGTTGAAGCCACCCCACTTCAACTTTTGTTAGGGCAGCAGAGCTGACAAATCTGGTGAGCTGGGAAAGGTTGGCATACAGGGGCCTGGGGGTCCTGGCCGTCAGATCCAGCATCTATCATTGAGCCACAGGTGAGATGACTTTGAGCCATTGGGGTTGGGGGAGTTGGCAAGGAAAAGATGGCGATTTAATGACTGTATGATCACCTGTGTATCTGGGGAAATGAGCTTGTTCTCTTTAGGTTCATGGGGGAGAACGACGCAGAATGTTCCAGGAGCTGTTCCAAAATGCCCAGCACACTTTCCCGTGCTCCCTTCCCCAGCCCAAGAGGCTGCCAAGTCAGTCAGGGATAAACCAGGTCATTATCCCAGACGCCTGCCTCTTCCTCACCCTCACCCTGGACTATCACCAAGACCTGCCAATTCCACCTCCTCTTCAGTGTCTCTGCTCCTCCCAATCTCATCTGCCAGTACCTTATGCAGCATCTTTTCCATCCAGGATGCAACACTGCCTCCCCCTCTGATTTCCCTCTTCCTGGTTTTTCAGCTCCAATCCTTTCTCTGAACAGCAGGGGCAGAGTGGCAAGAGAGCAAAGCTAGTAGGGAGGTGGGTGCTTGAGCTAGATGCTGATTTGAATTTGACTTCATCACTCATTAGCTGTGTGACCCTGAGCAAGTTACTTTTATTTATTTATTTTTTCTTGAGACAGTCTTGCTCTGTCACCCAGGCTGTAGTGCAGTGGTGCAATCTCGGCTCACTGCAACCTCCGCCTCCTGCGCTCAAGTGATTCTCCTGCCTCAGCCTCCCAAATAGCTAGGACCACAGGCACCCACCACTACGCCCGGCTAAATATTTTTTTGTATTTGTAGTAGAGACGGGGTTTCGCTATGTTGGTCAGGCTGGTCTCGAACTCCTGACCTCAGGTGATTCACCCACTTCGGCCTCCCAAAGTGCTAGGATTACAAACATGAGCCACTGCACCGGGCCCCTGAGCAAGTTACTTAACATCTCTGTTCTCATCTGTAAAACCAGGAAGAGAGTAACACCTATCCCTTATAGATTTATGAGGAATAAGTAAGAGCCTGCCTATAGCACTTAGGATGTTGGGAGGATGGTTTAACATGTCAACTAGGCTGGGCCACAGTAACCAGTTATTTAATCAAACACTAGCCTAGATGTGGCTGTGAAGGTATTTTGTAGATGTGGTTGACAGCTAAAATCAGTTGACTTCAAGAAGATTATTCTCAGTAATGTGGGTGGGTCTCATCTACTCAGTTGAAGGCTTTGAGGGCAAAACAGTTTCTAGAGAAGAAGAAATTCTACCTCCAGACTGGAGCGTCAAATTCTGCCTCATGCATGCGTATGCTCATTGCAGCACTATTCACAATAGCAAAGACATGGAATCAACCAAATATACCCATCAATGGTAGACTGGATAAGGAAAATGTGGCACATATACACCATGGAATACTATGCAGCCAGAAAAAGGAACAAGATCATGTCCTTTGCAGGGACAGGGATGGAGCTGGAAGCCATTATCCTCAGCAAACTAATGCAGGAACAGAAAACCAAACACCACATGTTCTCACTTATAAGTGGCAGCTGAATGATGAGAATATATGGACACAGGGAGGGGAACAACACACACTGGGGCCTGTTGAGGGGGCGGTGGGAGGGAAAACATCAGGGTAAACAGCTAATGCATGTGGGGCTTAATATCTAGGTGATGGGTTGATAAGTGCAGCAAACCACCATGGCATACGTTTACCTGGGTAACAAACCTGCATGTCCTGCACATGTATCCTCAAACTTTAAATTAAATTAAATTTTAAAAAATCCTGTCTCGGTTTCCGCCTGTTGGCCTGCCCCATGGATTTTGGACTTGTCATCTTCACAATCCCATGAGCCAATTTGTTAAAATAAATATCTCTAGTTAGATAGATAGAGATAGATAGCTATAAATACATAGATATAGATGCATAGATTTGGGCAGACAGAGACATAGATAGGTAGATATAGATAGATAGATATCTTATTGGCTCTGTTTCTCTGAAGAAACCTAACACATCCAGCAAATAGTAGGCACTTAATAAATATTAACTTCTACAAGAGTTTAGCAGCAGAAAAGCAAATCACACCTACATTGCTTTGATAGCCCTTTAATATTTAACATGTTAAAGAAAACTAAATGTGGCCTGAGGACTCCATACTTCTTCTTTTTTTTTGAGACAGAGTTTCACTCTTGTTGCCCAGGCTGGAGTGCAATGGCGTGATCTCAGCTCACTGCAACCTCCGCCTCCCGGGTTCAAGCGATTCTCCTGCCTCAGCCTCCCAAGTAGCTAGGATTACAGGCATGTGCCACCACGCCCGGCGAATTTTGTATTTTTGCATTTTTAGTAGAGACAGAGTTTGCCATGTTGGCCAGGCTGGTCTCAAGCTCCTGACCTCAAGCGATCCGCCCACCTTGGCCTCTCAAAGTGCTGGGATTAAAGCCATGAGCCACCACACCCGGCCATTCTATCTTATATTTTTATTTATTTATTTTAGAGAGGAGGTCTCACTACGTTGCCCAGGCTTGCTGGTCTTGAACTCCTGGCCTCAAGCGACCCTCCCGCCTCAGCCTCCTGAGTAGCTGGGACTACAGGCGTGAGCCATCACACCTGGCTTTTTTAAATGTTTTATCTATTTATTAATTTTGTTTAAAAAAGATGAGGTCTCACAGTGTTTTCCAGGCTAGTCTTGAATACCTGGGCTCAAGTATATCTTATAGTAAGTTAAGAATTGGCCGGGCACAGTGGCTCACATCTGTAATCCCAGCACTTTGGGAGCCTGAGGTGGGCGGATCACAAGGTCAGGAGTTCAAGACCAGCCTGGCCAATATGATGAAACCCTGTCTCTACTAAAATTACAAAAATTAGCCGGGTGTGGTGGTGCATGCCTGTGGTCCCAGCTACTCGGGAGGCTGAGGCAGGAGAATCGCTTGAACCCGGGAGGCAGAGGTTGCAGTGAGCCAAGATTGCACCACCGCACTCCAGCTTGGGTGACAGAGCGAGACTCCATCTCAAACAAACAAACAAAAACAAAAAACAAAACAAAAAAAAGTACGTTTTTTAAAAGAAAACTTTTTAAGGGATGGGGGTCTCACTCTGAGTGCAGTGGTGCATTCATAGCTCACTGCAGCCTCCAACTCCTGGGCTTAAGGAATCCTCCCACCTCAGCCTCCCCGAATAGCTGGGACTACAGGTGCACGCACCACCATGGCCGGCTAGGATGCATGTTCTCATTTCAGCACAGGAGCCAGGCATTATAGAAAGTCATAGTGAGGCTTCGTGTGGCACATTCCATCTCTCTCCATTACCCACCGGAGGGGTAAACCCAAGCCTCTCATCTGCCAGACTGAAGTCAGTAGATGAACTCTGGCTGACTTTCCCCACATTTCCACTTGGTAGGCTCATTGTCACTCATTCTTCAAGTTGCTTCTGAGCTATCACCTTGGAAAAGGAGGCTTCTTCATTAATCCCATCTAAGGGGAGCTTGGCCAACAATAGCTCAGAGACATCAAGTTAATAGTCGGCTCCCTCTTTAAATTGTAGACAAAGGAAACCAGAGAATAGACTGATTTCATCCAACAGAGATAAAAACAGGAATTTATGTAACATGAATAAAAGGAGGAGGAAGGGAAATCTAGAGTCTGAAGAGAGTACACCTTGATTTCCTTTCCTTGGTGAGCTGCTGATGAGCTGGTCAGGAGGACTCTGGGTGTGTCTGTGCCTGGACACCGGGTCATCACAGAGGTGAGAGGTTGGATGTCTGGGGGTGAGACTGGCTGTACCTGGGTCATCTCAGGAAGGCAGTGGCTTCAGCGACCAACTGTCTTCATTGTCCCTCATCCACGCTACTTCACTCTCAGAATTTTTCACCGGATACCTGCTCTCGCCTCTCCTTGTCTCTCCATATAATTTACTTATTTATTATTTTTTCGAGACAGGGTCTTGCTCTGTCACCCAGGCTGGAATGCAGTGGCACAATCATAGTTCACTACAGCCTCGACCTCTTGGGCTCAAGTGATCCTCCTGCCTCAGCCTCCTGAGTAGCTGGGACCATGGGAACGCACTACCATGTCCAGCTAATTTTTTACAAAAAATTTTGTAGAGATGGGGTCTTGCTATGTTGCCCAAGCTGGTTTTGAACTCCTGGGCTCAAGTGATCTTCCTGCCTCAGCCTCCCAAAGTGCTGGGATTACAGGTGTGAGCCACTGCACCCAGCCCTCTCCATAGAAATTAGCCCAGTCGGGGATGGACTTGCCTGTGGTTGGCTTACCTGTCTATTCTCCATCTCGTCCTCTAGACCATGAGTCCTCCAGGCAGGCACTTGGTCTGACATTTCCCCTTTGTCACCCCTACCCCCAGCCTGCTAGTAGGAGAGTTATTATTTCATGCTAATGACTCAAGACATCCTAGATGGATGGATGGCCGGTTGGGTGGATAGAGGGTGGGCGTATCAGTCCATTCTTGCATTACTATAAAGAAGTACCTGAGGTTGGATAATTTATAAAGAAAAGAGGTTTAATTGTCTCACAGTTCTGGATGCTGTACAGGAAGCGTGGTGCTGGCATCTGCTTCTGGTGGGGCCTCAGGAAGCTTCCAATCATGATGGAAAGTGAATGGGGAGCAGGCACATCACTTGCCGAGAGCAGGAGCAAGAGAGCGAGGGGGAAGGTGCCACACACTTCTAAACAACCGTATCTCACATGAACTCAGAGCAAGCACTTACTAATCACCAAGAGGATGACGCTAAGCCATTCATGAGGGATCCGCCCCCATGATCCAATCACCTCCCACCAGGCCCCACCTCCAACACTGGGGATTACATTTCTTTTTCTTTTAATTTAATTTAATTTAATTTAATTTTAAGTTCCGGGACACATGTGCAGGACGTGTAGATTTGTTACACAGGTAAACATGTGCCATGGCGGTTTGCTGCACCTATCAACCCATCACATAGGTATTAAGCCCCACATGCATTAGCTAATTTTCCTGGTGCTCTTCTTCTCCCCACCCGCCCCCAACAGGCCCCAGTGTGTGTTGTTCCCCTCCCTGCGTCCATGTGTTCTCATCATTCAGCTCCCACTTATAAGTGAGAACATGTGGTGTTTGGTTTTCTGTTCCTGCAATAGTTTGCTGAGGATAATGACTTCCAGCTCCACCCATATCCCTGCAGAGGACATGATCTTGTTCCTTTTTCTGGCTGCATAGTATTCCATGGTGTATATGTACCACATTTTCTTTATCCAGTCTATCACTGATGGGCATTTGGGTTGATTCCATGTCTTTGATATTGTGAATAGTGCTGCAGTGAACATACATGTGCCTGTATCTTTCTAACAGAATGATTTACATTCCTTTGGGCATATACCCAGTAATGGGATTGCTGGGCCAAATAGTATTTCTGGATCTAGATCCTTGAGGAATTCCACACTGTCTCCTACAATGGTTGAACTAATTTACATTGGGGGATTACATTCCAACATGAGATGTGGAAGGGAACAAATATCCAAACTGTACCAGTGGGACATCTGGTCATGTCCCCTGCAGGACTGGCCCACAGGGGTGGGGAAGAGCAAGAGGGGGGAGAAGGTTGGTGGCACTTACTGTTGATGACACTTATCACACTACACATGGTACCTTTCCTTTCGGGGTCCTCATGGGGCTGCTCCTGCTTTTCCAGGGAGGTCCTGGTCCAATTCTCGAGCATCTCAGTCAGCCAGGTGTGTTCAGGCTCACCGCCTTCATCTACGTCAAGAAATCCAGGTGGTCTCAGACACTGTCCAAGTACCCTACCAAGAACATCACAGACCCTGCTCTGCCTCATCTTCTGCAATGCCCTGCGGTTCCTCCTGAGGTGACCTCCTTCTCCAGGTGACCCTCTCTCCCCTTGCCTTCTGCTGACCCCCATGTTACCTCACTCTCTCTGACTTTCTGGCCTCTTTTTTCTAGCTCCTTCATCTCTGCCTCCACCTCTACTCATCTTTTGCACGCTTATTTTCTTCAGGGTTGGAGGCAAAGTCTCCCATTTATTTATTTATTTATTTATTTATTTATTTATTTATTTATTTATTTGAGACAGAGTATTGCTCTGTTGCCCAGGCTGGAGTGCAATGGGGCAATCTCAGCTCACTGCAACCTCTGCCTCCCAGTTTCAAGAAATTCCCCTGGCTCAGCCTCTGGAGTATCTGGGACTACAGGCACGCACCACCACCAGGCCCGGCTAATTTTTGTATTTTTAGTACTGATGGGGTTTTACCATGTTGGCCAGGCTGGTCTCGAACTCCTGACCTCAAGTGATCCACCCCCCTCAGCCTCCCAAAGTGCTGGGATTACAGGCATTGAGCTATCATGCCTGGCATCCCCTCTTATTTTTATCCACACTCATGAATTAGATGATGTTCAACTCTCTCTCTCTCACACACACACACTGATAATAGCTCTGCTCACGTTTGCTGAGAACGTCACCTGCCAGGCTCATCTTGGCATTTTGCATAAATTCTACACTTCAACCTTCACCGCATTCCTTGGAGTGAGCTCTCTGAGGCTTCTTTTATAAGGGATTAATCCAAATCAAGAGGGCTCCACCCTCATGGTCTCAACACCTCCCAAAGGCCCCATCTCTTAATACCATCACCTTGGGGTTGCCATTTCTTTTTTGTTGTTGTTGTTGTTGAGACAGGTTGTCGCTCTGTCACCAGGCTGGAGTGCAGTGGTACAATCACCAGCCTACCATCCCACAACATTAGTTAGCCATTTGCAGGTTGGAGATAGATTCTCCTTCCAGACTTGTCTATAACCAGCATATGGTGAATGCTGATGTCAAAAAACAACATTAAAGCCCGCCATGTGGCAAGAAGTTGGCTCTCTGCAACCCAGAAGAGGGTTCCCCAGAATCCAACCCTACTGGTACTCTGATCTTGGGCTTCCAGCCTCCAGAACTGAGAAATTAATCTCTGTTGTTGCTAAGCCAGCCAGCCTATGTATGGCACTTTGTTCTGGCAGCCTTCACAACTAAAACAGGGAGGGAGGCATGAAGTGGATGAAGGGCTGTGCTCAGGACCTACCTTCACTCTGTACCTGACTGTTGACCTGTGAAAAAGCCACACTTGCATCTTCCACAACTGGAAGGAAGACCATCTTTGTCAGCCTCTGCTGTAGTTAGGTTGGGGCCATGTGACTGATCCTGGCCAACAGGAGGTGTGTGGAGCTGGTGCCCAATACTTCCAGGCCTGGCTACAAAAGGCCTTCTGTGGCACTCCAGCTCTCTCCTCTCATGGAACAGACAAGGAGACCTTGTGCCAAGAGGAGAAGCAACGAGATGCAAGCAGCTTGGCCCAGCGCGGTGGCTCACACCTGTAATCCCAGCACTTTGGGAGGCCCAGGCAGGCAGATCACTTGAGGTCAGGAGTTCGAGAGTAGCCTGGGTAATGTAGTGAAAACTCGTCTCTACTAAAAATACAAAAATTAGCCAGGTGTGGTGGCAGTTGCCTGTAATCCCAGCTATTCAGGAGTCTGGGGCAGGAGAATAGCTTGAACCTGGAAGGCAGAGGTTGCAGTGAGCTGAGATTATGCCACTGCACTCTAGCCTGGGTGACACGGCTAGACTCTGTCTCCAAAAAAAAAAAAGAAAAAAGAAAAGGAAAGGAAAAAAAAGACGCAAACAGCTTGGATGCCTAAGTCCCCACATGGAGCCAAGTTGCCCTGGAGGAACACTCAACCCATATCGCTTTTTGGGTAAGCAAAATATAAACCCTTTGTGTCTTAAGCTATAGCAATTTGTGGTTTCTTTGCGCAGCATAGCCTCTCCTGAACAAATATAGTCTCCTCCATAATATAATCTAACTTCTCCATACAGAATTCATCTGATACTTTGTTCTTGTTCTCCGTACTCCCACCATGGGTCAAGTCTGATTCCTTCATGACTCCCAACCTATGTAGTTTTGGGAAGTATTTTTCCTCTCAATTTGCTAATTGCCTCAGGCTGTTCCCATTTTCTGCCTCTGACACTTGGATCCTAGGCATACCTAGGGTATATCTGACGACTATGTACATGGATCCTATGGTTAGACTCATCCAAAAAGCTCCTAGGTCTAATGAATGAATTCAGTAGAGTTTCAGGATACAAAATCAATGTACACAAATCAGTAGCACTGCTATACACCAACAATGACCAAGCTGAGATTCAAATCAAGAACTCAACCCCTTTTACAACAGCTGCAAAAAAATAAAATAAAGTACTCAGGAATATACCTAACCAAGGAGGTGAAAGACTGCTACAAGGAAAACTACAAAACACTGCTGAAAGAAATCATAGATGACACAAACAAATGGAAACACATCCCATGCTCATGGATGGGTAGAATCAATATTGTGAAAATGACCATACTGCCAAAAGCAATCTACAAGTCCAGTGTAATTCCTATCAAAATACTATCATTTTTCACAGAGTGTCAGTTTGAACTCCGATCCTGCCCCTCCTGGCTGCGTGGCCTCAGGCACCTGGGAGAGTCCATGCTCCTCTCCATTCCCAAAGGAGCACCACATGAATCAGACACGTAAAGTTTTTAGGACAATGGCTGGCTTCAAGCCAGTGTGCAGTCCACACTATCATTAGGGATTCATGGCAAAGTAGGATGCTTACCTTCTGGGGGAGGATGTTCCCCTTGTGAACTTTCTTGCAGCCTCAGTAATCGGGCTGCAAAAGAGCAGAGGCAGGGGGAATGTTTAACTGTAAAGTCACTAGTTATAGAAAATACAGATTACCTGCAGCGACGTCTCTTTAATAGAAATGGCAGCCATGGGTTGGAGTCTGTTGATACGGGTTCTGGAGAGCTAATTTTGTACCCGTCTTCCAACTCTGTGCTCGCTGACCTCATGTTGGTAGCTTGAAATTTGCCATGATGTGATCAAGTGGGTTTCATACTAGGAATGCAGGGATGGCTTAACATATGCAAGTCAACAAATGTGATATATCACAGAAACAGAATTAAAAACAAAAATCATAGGAGATGCAGAAGCATTTCACAAAATCCCACATCCCTTTATGATTAAAGCCCTCAACAAAATCGGTATACAAGAGACATACTTCAATGTAATAAAAGCCATCTATGACAAACCCACAGCCAACATTACACTGAACAGGGAAAAGTTTAAAGCATTCCCCCTGAGAACTGCAATAAGACAAGAATGCCCACTCTTATCACTTGTATTCAACATAGTACTGGAAGTCCTAGCCACAGCCATCAGACAAGAGAAAGAAATGAAGGGTATCCAAACCAGTAAAGAGGAAGTCAAACTGTTAGTGTTCACTGATGATATGATTGTACACCTAGAAAACCCTAAAGACTCATCCAAAAAGCTCCTAGGTCTGATGAATGAATTCAGTAGAGTTTCAGGATACAAAATCAATGTACACAAACAGTAGCACTGCTATACACCAACAATGACCAAGCTGAGATTCAAATCAAGAACTCAACCCCTTTTACAACAGCTGCAAAAAAATAAAATAAAATACTCAGGAATATACCTAACCAAGGAGGTGAAAGACTGCTACAAGGAAAACTACAAAACACTGCTGAAAGAAATCATAGATGACACAAACAAATGGAAACACATCCCATGCTCATGGATGGGTAGAATCAATATTGTGAAAATGACCATACTGCCAAAAGCAATCTACAAGTCCAGTGTAATTCCCATCAAAATACTATCATTTTTCACAGAACAAAAAATCCTAAAATCCTTTTTTTTTTTTTTTTGAGACTTAGTCTCGCTCTGTTGCCCAGGCTGGAGTGCAATGGCCAATTTTGGCTCACTGCAACCTCTGCTTCCCAAGTTCAAGCGATTCTCCTGTCTCAGCCTCCCAAGTAGCTGGGATTACAGGCGCATGCACCATGCCTGGCTAATTTTTGTATTTGTAGTAGAGATGGGGTTTCGCCATGTTGGCCAGGCTGGTCTCAAACTCCTGACCTCAGGTGATCCACCCGCCTTGGCCTCCCAAAGTGCTGGGATTACAGACGTGAGCTACCATGCCCAGCCACAATCCCAAAATCCATATGAACCAAAAAAGAGCCCTCATAGCCAAAGCAAAGACTAAGCAAAAAGAACAAATCTGGAGGCATCACATTACCCAATCAAATTATACTACAAGCCTATAGTTACCAAAACAGCACGGTACTGGTATAAAATTAGGCATGTAGAACAATGGAACAGAATAGAGAGCCCAGAAATAAAGCCAAATACTTATAGCCAAGTGATCTTCGACAAAGCAAACAAAAACATAAAGTGGGGGAAAGGACACCTTATTCAACAAATGGTGCTGGGATAACTGGCAAGCCACATGTAGGAGAATGAAACTCGATCCTTATTTCTCACCTTATACAAAAATCAACTCACAAATTCAATGTGAATTTGCATCAAAGACTTAAATATAAGACCAGAAACCATAAAAATTCTAGAAGATAACATCAAAAAAACTCTTCTAGATGTTGGCTTAGGCAACGAGTTCATGACCAAGAGCCCAAAAGCAAATGCAACAAAAACAAAAATAAACATATGGATATATGGGAACGATGGCTCACGCCTGTAATCCTGGCACTCTGGGAGGCCCAGCTGGGCGGATCTTCAGGTCAGGAGTTCCAGACCAACATGACGAAACCCCATCTCTATTAAAAATACAAAAATTGGCCAGGTATGGTGTTGGATGCCTGTAATCCCAGCTACTCAGGAGGCTGAGGCAGGAGAATTGCTTGAGTCTGGGAGGCGGAGATTGCAGTGAGCCGAGATCGTGCTGCTGCACTGAAGCCTGGGTGATGGAGTGAGACTCCGTCTCAAAAATAAACAAATATATGGGACCTGAGTAAATTAAAAAGCTTCTGTACAGCAAAGGAAGTAATTATCAGAGTAAACACACAACCCACTGAATGCGAGCAAATATTTGCAAACTAGGCATCCACAAAAGACGATTATACAGAACCTATAAGGAACTCAAAGAAATCAGCAAGAAAACGAATAATCCCACCGAAAAGCATCCCAATGATATGAATAGACATTTCTCAAAAGAAGATATTCCAGTGGCCAAGAAACATATGAAAAAAATGGTCAGCATCACTAATCATTAAAGAAACGCAAATGAAAGCCACAATGAGATACCATCTTACTCCCACAAGAATGGCCATTGATAAAAATTCAAAAAAAACCATAGACGTTGGTGTGGATGCGGTGCAAATGGAACACTCACACACTGCTGGTGGGAATGTAAATTAGTACAACCTCTATGGAAAACAGTATGGAGAGTCCTCAGAGAACTAAAAGTAGATCTACCGTTCGATCCAGCAATCCCACTACTGGGTATCTACCCAAAGGAAAGGCAGCCATTATATGAAAAAGACACTTGTGGGCTGGGTGCAGTGGCTCACGCCTGTAATCCCAACACTTTGGGAGGCTGAGGAGGGGAGATCACTCGAGGTCAGGCGTTCAAGACCAGCCTGGCCAACATGGTGAAACCCCATCTCTACTAAAAATACAAAAATTAGCTGGATGCGGTGGTGCACATCTGTAGTCCCAGCTACTTGGGAGGCTGAGGCAGGAGAATCACTTGAACCCACGAGTTGGAGGTTGCAGTGAGATTGCACCACTGCATTCCAGCCTGGGCAACAGAGCGAGACTCTGCCTCAAAAAAAAAAAAAAAAGACACATGCACATGTATGTTTATAGCAGCACAATTCACAATTGAAAGATATGGAACCAGCCGAGCATGGTGGCTCATGCCTGTAATCCCAGCACTTTGGGAGGCTGAGGCGGGTGGATCATGAGGTCAGGAGATCGAGACTATCCTGGCTAACACCGGTCTCTACTAAAAATACAAAAAAAAAAAAAAAAAAAAAATTAGCTGGGCGCAGTGGTGGGTGCCTGTAGTCCCAGCTACTCAGGAGGCTGGGCCAGGAGAATGGCGTGAACCTGGGAGGCGGAGCTTGCGGTGAGCCGAGATCGCGCCACTGCACTCCAGCTTGGGTGACAGAGTGAGACTGTCTCAAAAAAAAAAAAAGATATGAACCCACCTAAGTGCCCATTGACAAATGAGTGGATACAGAATATGTGGTATATAAACACCATGGAATATGACTCAGCCATAAAAAAGAATAAAATAATGTCTTTTGCAGAAACTTGGATGGAGGCCATCATTCTAAGTAAAGTAACTCAGGAATGTAAAACCAAAAACCATATGTTCTCACTTATAAGTGGGAGCTAAGCTATGGGTACGCAAAGGCATACAGAGTGGCATAACGGACTTCAGAGATTCAGAAAGAGGAGGGTAGGGAGGTGGGGATAAAAAACTACACATTGGGGCCAGGAGTGGTGGGTCATGCCTGTAATCCCGGCACTTTGGGAGGCCGAGGCAGGTGGATCACCTGAGGTCAGGAGTTCGAGACCAGTCTGAGCAACATGGAGAAACCCTGTCTGTACTAAAAAAATACAAAATTAGCCAGGCATGGTGGTGCATGCCTGTAATCCCAGCTACTCGGGAGGTTGAGGCAGGAGAATGGCTTGAACCCAGGAGGTGGAGGTTGCGGTGAGCAGAGATCGCTCCATTGCACTCCAGCCTGGGCAACAAGAGTGAAATTCCGTCTCAAAAAACAAGAACAAAAACAAAAAAACACTACACATTGGGGCCAGGTGTGGTGGCTCATGCCTGTAATCCCAGCACTTTGGGAGGCTGAGGCGGGCAGATTGCTTGAGCTCAGAAGTTCGAGACCAGCCTGACCAACATGGCAAAACCTCATCTCTACTAAAAATATAAAAATTAGCCGGGCATGGTGGTACGTGCCTGTAATTCCACCTACTAGGGAGGCTGAGGCAGGAGAAGCACTTGAACCCAGGATACAGAGGTTGCAGTGAGACGAGATCTTGCTACTGCACTCCAGCCTGGGCAACAGAGTGAGACTGTCACAAAAAACAAAACCAAAAAACTACATATTGAATGCAACATACTCTAAAACATACACTGATGGGTGGACTACAGTCTCAGAATTTACTACTACATAATTCATCGTGTAACAGAAACCACTTGTACCCCAAAAGCTATTGAAGTAAAAATTCAAAAAAAAACAAAAAAATCTTAATATTTAAAAATATTATTACCTAATAGTAGCAGTGTTGATCCTTATAATTAAAATATTGTACATGTTATAACTTTTTACTTGAGACCAAATCAAAATTCAATTTTTCCACATGTGCTGAAAATGCGATAGAAAGCTAAGTCCTGATACACGTCGGTTAGGTCAAGCTTCTGCTTCATCTTTTTCAAATTTTTGAATTGTCAATAAATAAATTTTGTCTGCTTTTTTTTCTTTTTCTTTCTTTCTTTCTTTTTTTTTTTTTTTTTTTTGAGACACAGTCTCGATCTGTTGCCCAGCCTGGAGTATAGTGGTGCGATCTCGGCTCACTGCAACCCCTGCCTCCCGGGTTCGAGCAATTCCCCTGCTTCAGCCTCCCGAGTAGCTGGGGTTACAGGCGCCCGCCACCATGCCCAGTTAATTTTTATATTTTTAGTAGAAACGAGGTTTCACCATGTTGGCTGGGCTGGTCTCGGACTCCTGACCTCAAGTGATCCACCCACCTCAACCTCCCAAAGTGCTGGGATTACAGGCGTGAGCCACTGTGCCCGGCTTGCTTTTTCTTTCTTTCTTTTTTTTTTTTTTTTGAGACGGAGTCTCGCTCTGTCGCCCAGGCTGGAGTGCAGTGGCTCGATCTTGGCTCACCGCAAACTCTGCCTCCCAGGTTCACGCCATTCTCCTGCCTCAGCCTCCCGAGTAGCTGGGACTACAGGCGCCCGCCACTACGCCCGGCTAATTTTTTGTATTTTTTAGTAGAGACGGAGTTTCACCATGTTAGCCAGGATGGTCTCGATCTCCTGACCTGGTGATCCACCCGCCTCGGCCCCCACAAAGTGCTGGGATTACAGGCGTGAGCCACCGCGCCTGGCCCTGGCTTGCTTTTTCTAACAATACAAGACATAATAAAAATAATATTGACATTTAAGAGGACACTCCCATGTGTCAAGCTTTGCTCTAAGTACTTTACATACATGAGGTCATTTAAACCCCACATCAAATAGTACATAGTCCCAATCTTGTATATTTGATGTATATTTACATTTATTTGATATAAATATACAAGATTGGGGCTATGCACTATTGTATCCATTTTACAAAGGAGAAATTGGGTCACAGAGAATTTTGTTGTTGTTGTTGATTTTCTTTTCTTTTTTTTTTTTTTTTTGTTTGTTTCATTTCTTTTTTTTCTTTTTCTTTTTCTTTTTTCTTTTTTTTTTTTTGAGACTGTGTTTCACTCTTGTTGCCCAGGCTGGAGTGCAATGGTGTGATCTCAGCTCACTGCAACCTCCACCTCCTGGGTTCAAGCGATTCTCCTGCCTCAGCTTCCCGTGTAGCTGGGATTACAGGCATGTACCACCACGCCCGGCTAATTTTGTATTTTTAGTAGAGATGGGGTTTCTCCACGTTGGTCAGGCTGGTCTCAAACTCCTGACCTCAGGTGATCTGCCCACCTCAGCCTCCCAAAGTGCTGAGATTACAGGTGTGAGCCACTGCGCCCGGCCCCTCATTTCTTTATTTTTTAATTTTTTTCACAGAGAATTTAAGCAGCTTTCTAGGGTCACTAACGCATGAGAGGTGGAGCTGGGATGTGGATTCAGGCAGACAGGCTTTGGATCAGAACCACCATACGATTCCCCTATAGATCCCTGTGTCTGCACTCACCAACCAGTTACATAGGTGAGTCACGCATCCTTTCCATGACCCGGTGGCTCTCAGCAAAATGGAGGGGACAACAGCATCCACTTCTTCAGGTCATTCAAAGGGTTAAATGATGAACAGGTAACGAATGCCAATTTTGTGTGTGTGTGTGTGTGTGTGTGTGTGTGTGTGTGTGTGATGGAGTCTTGCTCTGTTGCCCAGACTGGACTGTAGTGGTGTGATCTTAGCTCACTGCAGCCTTTGCCTCCTGGTTTCAAGCGATTCTTGTGCCTCAACCTCCTGAGTAGCTGGGATCACAGGCGTGCACCACCATACTTGGCTAATTTTTGTATTTTTAGTAGAGACGCATTTTCACCATGTTACCCAGCTTGCACTCGAACCCCTGACCTCAAGTGATCTGTCCGCCTGGGCCTCCCAAAGTGCTGGGATTACAGGCATGAGCCACTGCGCCGGGCCAGGCTGCTTGCATCTTGTTGCCCAGGCTGGAGTGCAATGGTGTGATCTCAGCTCACTGCAACCTCCGCCTCCTGGGTTTAAGAGCTTCTCCTCTTGGCACAAGGTCTCCTTGTCTGTTCCATGAGAGGAGAGAGCTGGAGAGCCACAGAAGGCCTTTTGTAGCCAGGCCTGGAAGTAGCAGGCACCAGCTCCACACACCTGTTGGCCAGGATCAGAAACCTGAACTCCTGGCCTCAAATGATCCGCCCGCCTTAGCCTCCCAAGTGTTGCGATTACGGGTGTCAGCCACTGCATCCAGCCAGATTGCTAATGTTTACTGAGTGCCTTTATCTACCAGACACTGTCCTATGTGCTTTTGATGAATTAACTCATTTAATCCTCATAACTACTATTATTATCACCCACATGGCACAGAGGCAGAAACTGAGGCACAGAGAGGTTAGGTAACTTTTCAGAGGTCACAAAGCTCACATGTACCACAGCAACATTCCTTCCAAGGGTGTCTGTACTCTCATCCACTCTGTGGTCTTCCTGGCTGCCCATAATCAATGTTCAGTGTATGAGAATAAATGTCAGGAAATGTGGTTGTTAGAACCATTATACACAGGCCTCTTTTCTGCCACATGCAGGAAAAGTACTGTGAATCTCCTTGCATAAAATATCTCTAGGCTTTGACCTTTCTGTTCCCCAAATACTCACCAAAAATAAGGTGTCCAATGCTTTTAGCATTAGCAACAGCCCTTCTCCATAAACCTGCCAAGAAAATAGCAATAAAATTCAAACATTCTCCATCACATGACTGTCATGTTTGATATTCAAAGCACCAGCAGACTGGCATAAAGCACTGCAGGGATCTGCAGCAGGAAGAAAGATCATTCTTCCATTCCATAAATATTTATGAAGCAATCAGTGGGCACCCGGCACTCTTCTGACTGTTGGAATAGAGCAGTAAACAAGACAGATTTGTCCTCAGGAACCTTCTATGGGTGGAGCCAGCCGGGCACTGTAGACTGGCTACCCCAAGGCCATTTCAAGCTCCCTTCCATGCCAACGTTTCTCAGCCCACAGGCAGGAAGGGCAAATATTTCCCAGCCTCCCTTGCAGCTAGAGGGAGGTCAAGCTCTGGCCCATGCAGATTTATGGGGGCACTTCTGGAAAGTCCTAGCTGTCCTACTATGAAAGAGCAGGACAGCAAACATGTTGGATTAGAGGCATTGCTGGCATACCCCTCCCACTTGGAAGGACAAAACACTGTGTAGAGATTCACACTGTGAACTTTTTTTTCAAGAAGTGATTCAGGAATTAGACAGGAAATCTGAAGGAATCCACAGTCCCTTTGAAGGAAGTGACGGGCTGCAGCCTATACTGTGACTCAAGTGAAGGGCTGCGAGTCCCCAGGGTGTGAGATGGGGAAAGACTGTTTGCAGGACACACGCCCCCACCACACCAGGGAGCCTGAAAGTCCAGTCTCTGGGGTAAGGCCTTAACCCTATTCAGTGCAGGATATGACTTGGGGAGGTTCGTGGAATATAAGTAGGAGCTGTGGGAAGAACCCTGCATGCACTCCCAGATCCCAGTATGGACCCAGGGAAGCCATTCCTTATTGTTCCTCACAGGGCACCCTGCAGTGGTCAGCCAAAAAGTTCAGGTGGGTGGTCGCAGGTTGAAAGAAGCCCCCAGCTGGGTTTCATGAGATAACTGTGGGTGGAGGTGAACTTCTCCACCCACATGGGGTGAATGAAAAGCAAGCTGCAGACACGTGTGCAGGACCCTGGCACATGGCTAGGTGGGATAGATGGGGAGGGGCATGGCCTGAGAGCAGTGGTTGCTATCTCTGCAGGGAAAGCTTATGACTTGGGGGCATTTGCAAGTTCTGAGCACAGGCTGCCTGGAACTTAGCTCACCACTGCCAGTGGAACAGGGTGGGAGGGGATCTGCCTCGCCAAGTGTGTGGGATCCGCGTGGGGCTTACTGCCACCTGCCACTCCCCACTCCCTACACAAACTCTTCTGTGCAGCAGAGGCAGAAACATTCCTCTCTGGATTATCAGCACATGGGTCTGAAAACCACCCCCACCCCCTGATACCCACAGGAGCTGCTGCTTGCCCTGCACAGGGAGAGTTAGAGCACAAAACTGCCTGACCCAGCCCACACCTGGCTTTGCCCTGCCACCCGCCCTGGTGGCTTTAATACAAAGGACGGAAACTTTTGGGAACTCTGTGGCTCTGCCCATTGCCTGAGAAACAAGAGTAGCCACCCTGGGCAACATAGGGCAAGTGAATATCCCACTGCTACTACTGCAGCTGGTGCTCCACCTGCTGGGTGGAGGCCAACCAACACAGTCCATGACAGCATCTCCTGGTAGGATAACACTGGGCCCAGGAAGGAGAAAATGGCTCTATGTCCTCAGCTATCACCACTGCATGCACCACTCTGGCTAACCAGGAGGTCCTGAGTCTGTCCACATGATCAGTTCATTACTACTATAACTAGCATTCAAGGAAGCCAACCTACTAAGGCTGTCCATCAGCAAGGAATCTCACAGAGCCTGTGTCTCTCTCCTGCCACCCCCATTAGAGCTGGTGCTGCTTCCCATTGCTGGGAGTCTCGAGGACAGGGGACATTACCGGATTCCTTGGAGACATTCCCAAGAACCAGCCTGAAGTGTGGCAGCTTCACTGGGTGGCTAGACCCAGAGGAACAATAACACTCACTGTAGTCTGGTGCTCAGTGACTCCTATCCTAGGGGAATGGGGAGTGCACCACATCAAGGGAACACCCCATGGGACAAAAGAATCTGGACAGCAGGACTTGAAAATCAGATCTTTCTGCTGGTGGGAAGTTTCTTTCAGCAGGGACACAGTTTCAGTGCTGGGCTCAGCACGGAAAGCCCACAGCTCTAACCCAACCATCAGACAGCCCTGGTGTGCATGAAGGGTCTTGGATAAGGGGATGTCTTTCCCCTCTCTTCCACTGCCACAGGCACAGTTGGGGTTTCTCCCATGGGAGCTCAGCATGGGTACAACTATAGACAGCCTTTCTGGAACATATCAGGGCGACTGCATCCCCACAGGAGGAGCCCCTCTAGGTTTAGGCTTGCATAAGAGACAGATTCACAGTTCCTCTCTACTCAGAACACCAACATTCCTACAGATGAAAAGAGGTGCCCGTCTGATCTGAATAGCTGGAGCACTGGATCACGAGTGTGTCTGAGAGATGGATGGCTTTCTGGCTGACCTGGCAGGGGAGCTGAGGTGGCTCCAACCCTTCTGCCTGATAAGACCACGGTGCACAGCCAGGCATGGTGGCTCACGGCTGTAATCCCAGCACTTTGGGAGGCCGAGGTGGGCGGATCACCTGAGGTTGGGAGATCGAGACCAGCCTGACCAACACGGAGAAACCCCATCTCTACTAAAAATACAAAATTAGCTGGGCATGGTGGCAAGTGCCTGCAATCCCAGCTACTCAGGAGGCTGCGGCAGGAGAATTCCTTGAACCTGGGAGGCGGAGGTTGTGGGGTGAGCTGAGATCATGCCATTGTATTCCAGCCTGGGCAACAAGAGCCAAACTCTGTCTCAAAAAAAAAAAAAAAAAATCTCGATGCAACTCACTGAGAGCTCCTCCAGCCACCTCTGTCAAGGCTGGGACCTTTGCTCACCATTGGGTGTTGCATTTACTCACATGTTTTGGCCACAATCACTTCCTATGCACTCCCCTACAGACCTGAAGCCTGAACCATCAAACCAGTCAATAAAATACTGGGGAAAAAATTGCATGCCTTGTGGGGAATGAGTTAAGCTTCAAGAGTCTTCTACCATTCCAGCCCTGTAGGCAACAGTGAACTTGCTCACACAGTGAGCACATCGCTTCTACAACCAGCATATGAGAAAGCCATCACACGAAGACTCCCTATATCCAAGGAACTCTTACAATCTTCACCCCTGAAAGCACCAAGGACCAAATTAGGCTATAATTAGCTAGGGACATTAAAGTCACATCCTTAAGCGGAAAAAAGAAAAAAAAAACACAGTCAAATCCAACATAAATTCAAGAATAATTAAAAGAAATAGTCTACTCAAATGAGAAGGAATCAGAAAAGTAACTTTGGTAATATGACAAAACATGGTTCTACAGCACCCCCAAAAGATCACACTACCTCTCCAGCAACAGATCCAAATCAAGATGAAATCTTTGAAATACCAGATAAAGAATTCAAATGGGCACCAAATGAATCATACATGTAATGTTCCTAGGACAATGGCTGGCCTCAAGCAAGTGTGCGGTCCCCATTATCATCAGGGATTCATGATGAAGTAGGATGCTTACCTTTCAGGGTCAGATTCCTTAACTGGTCTGCAAAAGAGTAGAAGCAGGAGGAATGTTTATCTGTACAACAAAGTCCCTAGTTATAATATAAAAAATACAGATGACCTGCAGGGATATTTCATTAATAGAAATGGCAGCCATGGGCTCCAATGGCAGCCAATGGCTCTCGAGAGCCAATTTTGCACCTCTCTTCCAACTCTGTGCTCAGTGACCTCATGTTGGTAGCCTGAAGTTGGCCACGGTGGGAACATTTACACCACAGGAATTGGCAAACACTACATATCAGGAATTTTGTTTTTGTTTTTTAGAGAGAAAGCTTAGCAGACCCACTGGAGAAGTAACACTCAGACCCATCTCACACCTTTAGTTAGCCATTTGGAGGTTGGATATAGATAGATTCCCTTTTTAGTTTTGTTTTTAACCAAGCTATGGTGAACACCAATGTCAAAGAACAACATCAGCCCGGGCGTGGTGGTTTATGCCTGTAATCCTAGCACACTGGGAGGCTGAGGCAGTGAATCACTTGAGGTCAGGAGTTCAAGACCAGCCTGGCCAACATGGTGAAATCCTGTCTCTACCAAAAATACAAAAATTAGCCAGGCACGGTGGTGCGCGCCTGTAGTCCCAGTTACTCGGGAGGAGAGTTGCTTAAGCCTGGGAGGTGGAGGTTGCAGTGAACTGAGATCATACCACTGCACTCCAGCCTGGGCAACAGAGCAAAACTCTGTCTCAAAAAAACAAACAACAAAAAAAGTCAAAGTGTAAGAACTAGGACAGTGCCTGGCACACAGGAGGTCCCATGAATATACATTAAATGAATGACGAGTGGTTTAGGGTGTGAACTCAGTAATGATCCTAAAAATAAGATTAACATGTAATGAAACACTCCCATGTGTCAGGCTTGGCTCTAAGCATTTTACATACATGAGGTCATTTAAACCCCACATCAAATATACGAGACTGCGACTACGTACTATTGTCTCCATTTTAGGAAGGGGAAATTGGGTCACAGAGAATTTAAGCAGCTTTCCAGAGTGAGCAGTGCAGGAGAAGCAGAGCCGGGATGTGGATCCAGGCAGACAGGCTTTGGATCAGAACCACCACACTATTCCCCTAGAGATCCACCACCCAGTTCTCCTATAGATCCCCGCGTCTGCACTCACTGACCAGCAGTGTGGGTGAGTCACGCATCCTTCCCACGACTTGGTGGATCTCAGCAAAATGGAAGGGACAAAAGCGTCTGCCTCTTAGGGTATTAAAGGGGTTAAATGTTAAATGAGGGACCAGGTAATGATTGCTAATGTTTACTGAGTGCCGTTATCTACCAGGCACTGTCCTACAAGCTTTCAATGAATTAACTCATCAAATATTCATAACTACTGTTATTATCACCCGCATGGCACAGAGGCAGAAACCGAGGCACAGAGAGGTTAAGTAACTTTTCGGAGGTCACAAAGCTTACATGTACCAGAGCAACATTCCTTCCAAGGGAGTCTGTACTCTCATCCACTCTGTGGTCATCCTGGCTGCCCAATTATATGAGAATAAATGTCAGGAAAAGCAGTTGCTAGAACAATTACACACAGGTCTCTCTTCTGCCATGAGTAGGAAAAGTACTGTGAATCTCCTTGCATAAAATATCTCTAGGGTTTGACCTTTCTGTTCCCCAAATACTCACCAAAAATGTATTCCCTAATGACTTCAGTGTTACCAAGAGCACTTCCCCATAAACCTGCCAAGAAAAGAGCAATAAAATTCAAACATTCTCCATCACGTGACTGTCATGTTTGATATTCAAAGCACCAGCAGACTGGCATAAAGCACTGCAGGGATCTGCAGCAGGAAGAAAGATCTTTCTTCCATTCCATAAATATTTATGAAGCAATTAGTGGGCACCCGGCACTCTTCTGGCTGTTGGAATAGAGCAGTAAACAAGACAGATAAAGTCCTTGTCCTCACGAACCTTCTATGGGTGGAGCCAGCCGGGCACTGTAGACTGGCTACCCCAAGGCCATTTCAAGCTCCTGTCCATGCCAACCCTTCTCAGCACACAGGCAGGAAGGGCAAATATTTCCCAGCCTCCCTTGCAGCTAGGGGACGGTCAAGCTCTGGTCCATGCACACTGCTGGGGGGACTTCTGCAAAGTGCTTGTTCTCCTTCTCAGAAGGAGCAGGCCAGGTATGGTGGCATGCAACTCTAGTCTCAGCTACTTGGGAGGCTGAGGCAGGAAGATCACTTGAGGCCAGGAGTTCAAGACCTGTATTGGGCTATGACTGTGCTTTTGCACGGCAGCTTGAGTGACAGAGAGAGACCCTGACTTCAAAAAAAAAAAAAAAAGTTGCAGCTTCATTGGATGCAGCCGCCATCCCGTGGTGTGGAGGAGTTCAGCATGAGGGTGACTTAATATGCTAAGGATGGAGGAGCAGAAAATCTAGAATAAACCTGGGTCCTTCTGCTTAATGTTGCACAGCTAAACCAATGTCACCAGCCACCTAACTTTGTATTATTTATTTATTTTGAGATGGGATCTCGCTCTGTTGCCCAGGCTGGAGTGCAGTGGTGTGATCTCGGCTCACTGCAACCTCTGCCTCCCAGATTCAAGTGATTCTCCTGCTTCAGCCTCCCGACTAGCTGGGATTACAGGCATGCACCACCACGCCCTGCTAATTTTTGTATTTTTTAAGTAGAGACGGGGTTTCACCATGTTGGCCCGTCTGGTCTTGAACTCTTGACCTCAAGTGATCTGCCCGCCTCGGCCTCCCACAGTGCTGGGATTTCAGCTGTGAGTCACGGTGCTCAGTCTGTCTTTTTCTTTTGTAAGAAAATTAATCCCACATGTCCTCGGGGCACTGTGGTTGGTTAGTGACTTTTAGCCAAACACATTTGTATATGATACAGGGAGACATAAAAAATGAATAATCAGCCAGGCACGGTGGCTCACGCCTGTAATGCTAACACTTTGGGAGACTGAGGTGGGCGGATCAATTGAAGTCAGGAGTTTAAAGTCAGCCTGGCTAACATGGTGAAACCCTATCTCTACTAAAAAATACAAAAATTAGCCAGGCCTGGTGGTATGCACCTATAGTCCCAGCTACTTGGGAGGCTGAGGCAGGGGAATAACTTGAACCTGGGAGGTTGCAGTGAGCAGAGATCACACAACTGCACTCCAGCCTGGGAGACAGAGTGAGACTCCATCTCAAAAAAAAAAAAAAAAAAAAAAAAAATAGACACACCCATTAGGATGGCTGGTATCCAAAAAACCCCAGAAAACAATAAGTGTTGATGAGGACGTGGAGAAATTGGAAACCTGGGACACCATTGGGCAGAATATAAAATGGTACAGCCACTGTGGAAAATGGTATGGTCGTTCCTCAAAAAAAAAATTTTTTTTTTTTTTGAGATAGCCCAGGCTGGAGCGCAATGGCGCGATCTCCGCTCACTGCAGCTTCCGCCTCTCGAGATCAAGAGATTCTCCTGCCTCAGCCTCCTGAGTAACTGGAATTACAGGCATGCACCACCATGCCCGGCTAATTTTGTATTTTTTGTAGAGATGGGGTTTCACCATGTTGGTCAGGCTGGTCTCCAACTCCCAACCTCAGGTGATCCACCCGCCTCGGCCTCCCAAAGTGCTGGGATTACAGGCATTAGCCACCACACCTGGCCTCAAAATTTTAAAAGTAGAATTACCACATACATGATCCAGCAATTCTACCTCTGAGTATATACCCAAAAGAATTGAAAGCAGGGTCTCAAAGAGATATTCATAGACCCATGTGCATGGCAGGTTCCTTCACAACAGCCAAAAGGTGAAAGCAATCCATGTGTCCATCGATGGATGAATTGATAAGCAAAATGTGGTATATTCGTACAATGGAATATGATTCAGCCATAAAAAGAAAGGAAATTCAGACACATGGTACAACATGGATGAACTTCGAAGTCATTTTCCTCAGTGAAATCAGACAGACACAAAAAGACAAGCACTGCATGATTCCATTTACATGTCATACTCAGAGTAGTCAAAATCGTAGAGGCAGAAGGTAGCATTGTGGTTGTCAGGGGCTAAGGGAGGGGGTGACAGGGACTTAGTATTCAATGGGCGTAGAGTTCCAGTTTTACAAGATGAAAAGTGTTATGGAGATGGATGGCAGTGATGGTTGCACAACATTATGAATGTATTGTATTTATACCACTGTACTTGACACTTTAAAATGGTTAAAATGGCAAATTTTATGTTATGTTTATTTTATAATAATAAATAAAAAGCACCCTGGTGTGTGAGGGGAGGGATAAAATACACGTACAGAATCCCTTCAGTAGGTGATACATACATCTAAGGAAATAATAATGTTATAGGGAGTACCTGGGAGTGACAATTTCAAAATCTCTGATGCCCAAGACCAGATTTAGCAAAGAGATGGTGGGGATAGGAGACAGGAGCCAGGCTTGGCAATGTGAAGGACCCCGTCTGTCCAGACCAGAGAAAAGGGGAAGATCCCCTTCATCCTACCTTGTTCTCCTCCCCTGAGAACACCCCTCCATCTACCAGGTTGCAGAAGCTGGAACCTTTGATGTCATCTCTGATTCTCCTTACTCTCCACATCCAATCCAGGTGTAATTCTTCTTCATCCATCTCCAGGTTTCCAGAGTCCATCCACTTCCCTCCCATATCCATTCTGGTACCCAACCTTAAACTGCCATTATCTGTCACCAGGACCATTAGCTTCTCAACTGCTCCCAACTTCTAAGTTTACACACCCACCCCTAATCCATGCTCAGAGAGAGAGAGAGAGAGTGAGATGTTTTACCATATAAACTGAATCGGTCACCACCCTAATTAAACTGCCTCCCTGGCTCTCCTATCGCACTTGGAATCCAAACTAAACTTCATCTGTGTCCTTCAGGGTCCCATATGATCTGGACCCTGCCTACCTCTCTAGCCCTCTCTCTCAGCCTCATTCAGGAGGCTCCAGCCTCACTGGTCTTCTCATTGGTTCTAGAGTAAGACAAACTTGGTCCTGGCTTAGGGTCTGATATGGTTAAGCTTTATGTCCCCACCCAAATCTCTCGAGTTGTAATCCCCAGATGTTGAGGGAGAGACCTGGTGGGAGGTAATCAGATCATGGGGGCAGATCCCCCCATGCTGTACTCGTGATAGCGAGTGAGTTCTCACGAGATCTGATGGTTTGATAAGTGTTGGGCAGCTCTTCTTTGGCTTGCTCTTCTCTCTCCTGCTACCACTTGAAGAAGGTTCTTTCTTCCCTTTCACCTTCTGCCATGATTGTAAGTTTCCTGAGGCCTCCCCAGCCATGTGAAACTGTGAGTCAATTAAACCTCCTTTGTCTACAAATTACCCAGTCTCGGGTAGTATCTTTATAGTAGTATGAAAACGGACTAATACAGGGTCTCTGCATTTGCTCTTCCCTCTGTCCATGATGCTTTTCCTCTAAGATATCTGCATGGCTTCACTTTTCATCAGGTCCATGCTCAAAGGCCATCTCCTGTCAGAAGCTCTGACCACCAATTAAAAATAATACTGTAGTCACTCTCCAGTCCCTTACCATGAATTATTTTTCAAGATAGCATTTACTATGATCTGACATTATAATACATACTTATTTTTGTGTGTGTTCATTCATCATCTCCTTCCCTGGAGTGCAAACTTCATTAGGGAATGAGCCTTCACTGTCCTGCTCATGACTGAATCCCCTGCATTTAAAATAGTATCAGGCTCCTAGTGTGTCTCAAAAGTGTATGCTAAAATCATGGAGAGTCAACCATCCTTAATTTCCTACCATGTGCTGGACACTGGGCTGAGTGTTTTATTTGTGGATCATACCTAACTCTCACACCCACATTTTGAGGTAAGTACTTTCCCTATGAGAAAAACGAGGCTCAGGTAACATTAATGACTTTCTCAAGCTGGCATGGTTGGTCCTATGTAGGGGAGCTGTCTGCCCAGCAGGGTAATGCCTTCAGACCCTGAATGCTGAGAAGATTATGAAGCCACAACTAAAAGTGATACCAGTGTGTAAGCTACAGTCAAGGACATTTAATCAAGTTCTGATTTTACTCACTATGACTGTTTTGTTTTTGGTTTTTGTTGTAATTTTTTCTGGAAATACCCCATTTAAAAAAAATTGTATGCCCCTTGCTTTGCTGGTGCCCAAAACACATTCTAGTTTTTTGTTTGTTTGTTTGTTTGTTTGTTTGTTTTGAGACAAGATCTTTCTCTGTCATCCAGGCTGGAGTGCAGTGGGGCGATCATAACTCACTGCAGCCTTGAACTCCCATGCTGAAGTGATCCTTCCACTGCCTCAGCCTCCTGAGTAGCTGGGACCACAGGCACATGCCACAATGCCTGGCTAATTTTTAAATCTTGTGTAGAGACACAGTGTTGCTATGTTGCCGAGGTTGGTCTCAAACTCCCAGTCTCAAGGGATCCTCCCAGGTCAGCCTCCCAAAGCACCATGTAATCCCAAACACATTCTGAATCTGCTTATTGGAAGCCACAGCCCTGGACTTGAGCCCCTCTATTAAGCTCCCTCTCCTGGATTGTTTGATAGGATATCAGGTATCTGCCGCATTAAGGAGACCTTTGAGAGACACTGAAGACTCAGCAGAAGGAATACACCATTCCTCTTTCTGGAAGCCTACCAAGTCCTTTTCTTTCCCCCAAGAAATTTAAGAGCTGGGCAAACTAGACCCTCAGAAGGAAAATTCTTGCCTCTCCTCCACTTCCCACCCCCTTTTAATCCCCTCTGACCCCAGCGCTGACCTCTCAGGAAAGTCAGGTCTCTCTCAGGGTGAGTTCTGACCAGTCTTCCCTTCTTGAATTTGCTTCCGAAGTGGGTTATGGAAACAAAGGCCCCCAGTGCAGAGAAGCCAGCGTGGTGAGGGGTGAACTCGAACCAGGTCTCTGCAGAGGAAATACAACGGCAAGTGAGTCCCAGCACAGAACCAGGAATGTAGCAGGTATGCAGGAAAAAGAAATCTATTAATGAGGAATTACAACCATGACAGGAGAATGTTAGAGATGGACTGTGTGGTATCAGAAACCACTGGGGATCTCATCCTCAGACCTGAGTCTACGCTGCTGGTGGCAGCTCATAACTTCCACAGCAGCCTGTTTCCAATATTTTCCAGAGCTTGAACCCTCAGCCCTGCCTCTCTCTTCCATCTCATTGTGGCTGCAACTCCATGGAATCCTGGAGTGCAAGGGAAGAGTGTAGCCACACGATTGCATGGAGGATTGTCTGTGGGCATAAATCTAATGCATGATTCCAATGTGAGTCATTAGAATATTCCAGGGAAGAAAATGACATGATCAGATTTTCATCCTGGAAACTTCCATCAGGTAGCCAGGGAAGGAGGTGGACAGCTTGGGATGGGCGGGCCAGTGAGGAACTAATTACAAGAGTCTCCCAGGAGACTGGGAGACCTGGTCTGGGGATGATGTAGAAGAGCACAAAGGATGAAAATGAGGAGGGGGTGATTTCTAGGTCTGGGAATGACTGAATTTGTGGGGCTTATGGAAAGGACGGAGTCAGCTGTATCTGCTCTGGTGAGAAAACAGCACAAGGATCCACACCGAGGAGAGAGATAAAACATTCATGGCCGGGCGTGGTGGCTCACGTCTGTAATCCCAGCACTTTGGGAGGCGGAGGTGAGTGGATCACCTAAGGTCAGGAGTTCGAGACCAGCCTGATTAACATGGTGACACCCCATCCCTACTAAAAATACAAAAATTAGCCAGGCGTGGTGGTGCATGCCTATAATCCCAGCTACTTGGGAGGCTGAGGCAGGAGAATCACTTGAACCTGGGAGGCAGAGGTTGCAGTGAGCCGAGATCGTGCCATTACACTCCAGCCTGGGCAACAAGAGCAAAACTCTGTCTCAAACAAACAAACAGACAAACACCATTCACACTGGGGGCTTCTGAGCCTTGAGATGCCAGGAGACGCCCAACCACAGGTAACTGGTAACATTGCCTGATGTATCGTGAGAACTTACCAGGACACAGTTGCTGAACAAGTGAGTGCATTTTATGCTTAGGAAATAGGGTAAGGAGGTCTGGATCTCAGGAGAGAGATGAGCTCAAAAGAGAAACTGGAATGTCTGGAGAGCTGCCAGCATTTGGGTGATAATCGGACCTATGGAGAAGGAAGACATCTAAAAAGTGAGAGATGGCCGGGTGCGGTGGCTCATGCCTGTAATCCCAGCACTTTGGGAGGCCGAGGCGGGTGGATCACCTGAGGTCAGGAGTTCGAGACCAGCCTGACCAACAGGGAGAAACCACGTCTCTACTAAAAATACAAAATTCGCTGGGCGTGATGGCGCATGCCTGTAATCCCAGCTACTCGGGAGGCTGGGGCAGGAGAATCGCTTGAACCTGGGAGGCGGAGGTTGTGGTGAGCCGAGATCGTGCCATTGCACTCTAACCTGGGCAACAAGAGAGAAACTCCGTCTCAAAAAAAAAAAAAAAAGTGAGAGACAGCCCCACCCACCCACCCCGCCATCCTTCAAACATCCCTTATTACAGTTTTCTTTACTTTTTTCTTTTTTCTTTTTTTTTTTTTTTTTTTGAGACGGAGTCTTGCTCTGTCGCCCAGGCTGGAGTGCTGTGGCGCGATCTCAGCTCACTGCAACCTCCGCCTCCCGGGTTCACGCCATTCTCCTGCCTCAGCCTCCCGAGCAGCTGGGACTACAGGCGCCCGCCGCCACGCCCAGCTAATTTTTTGTATTTTTAGTAGAGACGGGGTTTCACTGTGTTAGTCAGGATGGTCTTGATCTCCTGACCTCGTGATCCACCCGCCTCGGCCTCCCAAAGTCCTGGGATTACAGGCGTGAGCCACTGCGCCCGGCCCCTTTTTGTCTTTTGTCCCTCCTCTCCTCTGTTTTCTTTTTTCTTTCTTCTTTTTGGGGGGACAGGGTCTCACTTTGTCACTCAGGCTGTAGTACAATGGTGCAATCACAGCTCACCGAAGCCTTGAATTCCTGGGCTCCAGTGATCCTCCTGCCCCAGTCTCCTGGGTAGATTCTTCAGGTTCCTGCCACCATGCTTGGCTAATTTATTGTGTTTTTTTGTTTTGTTTTGTTTTTTAATGTTGTTGTTTTGAGATGGGATCTCACTATGTTGCCCAGGGTGGTCTCCAACTTCTGGTTTCAGGCGATCCTCCCACCTCAGCCTCCCAAACCACTGGGATTACAAGCGTGAGCCACCATGTTGGCCTCTTAAAGGTTTTCTTGATCCATGCAAAGCAAGTGCATGTCCTCTGGTCACTTCTGGGACTTCCCTCTTCTCTCGTCTAAGCTGAGCACCCTGTTTTCTGCAATCCTGAGCCCTTCCCTCTTCCTGGGCTCCCCAAGGGGAGGGCAGGGAAACATTCTTCCATTCCACTCCGTGCTGTTCCATCCCTTACTACCTCTCCCTCCCTCTAAATGTTTGCTTACCTGGTGCTCTTGCCTCCTGCCAGGAAGGTTGCAGGTCATTGTCAATGGCTGCAAATATTGGGTAGGGTAGTGTCCCTTCTTCCACGGGCTTCTTCATATTGGACAAATGAGACTCCGGCAGCTTTGGGAGAAGGTGCCAAGACAGTGTGAGGGAGGCATGTGGGTCCCACAGGGTGGAACCTCTGCACGTAGGCCACATTTTTTTTTAGAGGGGTCTCAGTCTGTCACCCAGGCTGGAGTGCAGTGGTACAATAATGGGCCACTACAGCCTCAACCTCCTGGGCTCAAGCAATCCACCCACCTCAACCTCCCAAGTAGCTGGGACTACAGATGCATGTCACCATGCCCGGCTAATTTATTTTTTGATAGAGACAGGCTTTTGCTATGTTGCCCAGGCTGGTCTCGAACTCATGGCTTCAAGCAATCCTCCCGCCTCAGCCACCCAAAGTGCTTGGATAGGCTAGGTGCTGTGGCTCATACCCATAATCCCAGCACTTTGGGAGGCTGAGGTGGAAGGATCACTTGAGCCCAGGATTTGGAGACCACCCCGAGCAAAAAAGCGAAACCCTATCTCTAAAAAAAAAAAAAAAAAAAAAAAAAAAAAAAAAAAAAAATTTGTCAGGCCCAGTGGTGCGTGCCTGTAGTCCCAGCTACTTGGGAGGCTGAGCTGAGAGGATTGCTTGAGCCCAGGAGGTCAAGGCTGCAGTGAGCTGTGATTGCACCACTGCACTCCAGCCTGGACGACAGAGTGAAACCCTGTCTCAAGAATAAACAAAACAAACAAAAAACAACAAAAACCCGATGTGTTAGGATAGGCTGGATGCAGTGGCTCATACACGTAATCCCAGCACTTCGGGAGGCTGAGATAGGAGGATCACTTGAACCCAGTAGTTGGAGGATTGCTTGAGCTCAGGAGTTTGAGACCAGCCTGGGCAATATAGCAAGATCCCTGTCTCTACAAAAAAAAAAATAATTAAAAATTAGCCAGGCACGATGGTGCATGCCTGTTGCCCCAGCTTACTCAAAAGGCTGAGGCAAGAGGATTGCTTGAGCCCAGGAGGTCGAAGCTGCAGTGAGCCATGATCTCGCCACTGCACTCCAGCCTGGGTGACAGAGCAAGACCCTGTCTCAAAAATAAAATGAAATAAAATAAAATAGTGAATTCAAGACATCAAATGGCCAAGCAGAGATGGAGAGGAAAGTTGTCTTGGGTCTGACACTTTCCCTATTTCTGCCTTATTCCATCATAAGTCCTCATTGTTCTTCTTGCCCTGGATGTCTGTGTATCTTTCTAGTAAATCATATCACTTTATTTGTTGCATAAACGAATCAGAGTCAATTTCTGTCACTTGCAACCACAGTAATCCTGATATACTTTAGTTTTGAGGCATCAACCGAAGTGCCCAGATTTTGATGACTTGAAAATCCTGAAGGACTTAAAAGGTGGTGCTGGTCAGCATCTTTGGTAACCCCACACCCTGAGACCCCTTGCTCCTACCCCCACCCCAGGTCCCCAGCTGGGAATGACTTACTTCTCTGGTTTGCTTAGAGATAACCATGTAGGCCCAGAAGTCGGTCAGAGAGTAATTCTCAGACCTCGCTGCTTGGATGGTTTTCTGTAGGCTCTTAGCCAAGTCCCACTCCTGTCGGGTAAATCGATGTTTCAGGTCAGCCTCGAGAGCTTCCATGTCACCATCATTGGTGTAGAGAGAAGATATTGCCCTGGAGGACAGAGGAAGAGAGTGAGTTGGGCATTTTAAGTGTGGACGATGAAGACTGGGGAAAGATGTGTGCAAGGAGGTCCTTCACAGGAACACCTGCCTCATGGAGAGGGCGACACACAGAGGAAACGGAAAATTTCCATTAAATAAATACAACTGCAGAACGATCAAGTTCGAAGGAGGACTCAAAATCATCTGGGACAATCCTTCCATTTCACAGGCAGGAAAATGAGAGCACGATGGGAGAAAGGCCTCATCAGAGTCAAATGTTTTTTGCAGCCAGCACTTATTAAAAGGTTTATATGTGACAGCAACAAACTGTCTTTAGTCTTTTATACCTATTAACTCACATAATCCTAGAAAATCAATGAACGGGGCCAGGTGTGGTGGTTCATGCATGTAATCCCAGCACTTTGGGAGGACGAGGCGGGAGGATTGCCTGAGGTCAGGAGTTCGAGACCAGCCTGGCCAACATGGTGAAACCCCGTCTCCACTAAAAATACAGAAAAATTAGCCAGGCGTGGTGGCATGCGTGGTGGTGGGTACCTCTAGTGCCGGATACTCAGGAAACCCTGTCTCTACTAAAAACACAAAAATTAGCCAGGCATGGTGGCACACGCCTGTGGTCCCAGCTGCTCAGGAGGCTGAAGCAGAGGAATCGCTTGAACCCGGGAGGTGGAGGTTGCAGTGAGCTGAGATTGTGCCACTGCACTCCAGCCTGGGCGACAGAGCGTGACTCCATCTAAAAAAAAAAAAAAAAAAAAAAAAAGCTGGGCGTGGTGGCTTACGCCTGTGATCCTAGCACTTTGGGAGGCCAAGGTGTGCGGATCACGAGGTCAGGAGATCGAGACCATCCTGGCTAACATGGTGAAACCCCGTCTCTACTAAAAATACAAAAAATTAGCTGGGTGTGGTTGCAGACCCAGCTACTATAGTCCTAGCTACTCGAGAGGCTGAGGCAGGAGAATGGCGTGAACCCGGGAGGCTGAGCTTGCAGTGAGCCGAGATCGCGCCACTGCACTCCAGCCTGGGCAACAGAGCAAGACTCTATCTCAAAAAGAAAAAAAAAAAGAAAAAAAAGACTTTATATTCATTTGTTCACTCAATAAATATATATTATATATATTAATTTATAAAGAAAAGAGGTTTATTTAGCTCACAGTTCTGCAGGCTGTACAAGAAGCATGGTGCAAAAAGCTTCTACTCATGGCAGAAGGCAAGGGAGCTGGTGTGTCACATAGAGTCTATATATATATATATATATATATTTTTTTTTTTTTTTTTGAGACAGGTCTTGCTCTGTTGCCCAGACTAGAGTGCAGTGGCATGATCTTGGCTCACTGCAGTCTCAAACCCCCAGGCTCAAATGATCCTCCCACCTCAGCCTCCCAAGTAGCTGGGACCACTACCCACCAGGTGCATCACCATGCCCTGCTCATTTTTAAATTTATTTTCTGTAGAGATGGAGTCTCACTATGTTGCCCACGCTGGTCTCAAACTTGTGGCCTGAAGCAATCCTCCCACCTCAGCTTCCCAAAATGCTGGGATTATAGGTGTGAGCCACCGTGCCCGGGCTCAATAAAAATTTTTGATGTTCTTAATGCTGCTTATCGGGTGCTATCTACCCTCACACCATCCAATGTATTAAACATACATCATAGCTCTTGAGCCCCTGAAGTGTGGCTAGCATGATTTAAAATATTTATTTCATTTTAATTAGCTTAAATTTAAACACTGGTACTCCATTCAGTTATTGGGAAACTCTGAAGTATGTTTGGAACAAGCTGGGTATGAAAAGTTCTTTCCTTTAATATCTTTTTTTTTTTTTTTTTGAGATGGAGTTTCACTCTTGTCACCCAGGCTGAAGTACAGTGGTTCGAGCTCGGCTCACTGCAACCTCTGCCTCCCGGATTCAAGTGATTCTCCTTCCTCAGCCTCCCAAGTAGCTGGGATTACAGGTGCGTGCCACCACACCCAGCTAATTTTTGTATTTTTAGTAGAGACAGGGTTTCACCGTGTTGGCCAGGCTGGTCTCAAACTCCTGACCTCAGGTGATCCACCTGCCTCGGCCTCTTGAAGTGCTGGGATTACAGGTGTGAGCCACTGCCCCGGGCCTCCTTTAACATCTAATGAGACTTCTGCATCCAACTTGGAATGCGCTCAGTATAAAACGCCCAGCAGCTTTCAAAGACCTAGTCTGACAAAAGGAATGTCAAATATCTCATTAACAATTTTTTTCTTAACGATGTGTCAAAATGCTAATGTTTTGGATATATTGGGTTAAAGAAAATGGATCATTTCACTGTTTCTTTTTACCTTCTTGAAGAGGCTACTAGAAAATTTAAAATGGGCCGGACATGGTGGCTTACACCTGTAATTCCAGCACTTTGGGAAGCCAGGGCAGGCAGATCACCTGAGGTCAGAAGTTTGAGACCAGCCTGGCCAACACGGGGAAACTCCGTCTCTACTAAAAATACAAAAATTAGCTGGGCATGGTGGCACGCGTCTGTAATCCCAGCTAACTGGGAGGCTGAGGCAGGAGAATCACTTGAACCTGGGAAGTAGAGGTTGCAATGAGCCAAGATCGCGCCACTGCACTCCAGCCTGGGCGACAAGAGCAAGACTGTGTCTCCAGAAGAAAAAAAGAAAAGAAAAGAAAGAAAGAAAATTTAAAATGATAGAATAGATGTGGCTCATGTTACATAGCTCTACTTGATAGCTCAGGTTGGGACGATTTGCATGTGTTTCATCATTTAATTCTCAAACAGCCCTGTGAGATCAGCACAGTTTGTTGCTGTCACATGTAAACCTTTAATAAATGCTGGCTGCAAAAAACATTTGACTCTGATGAGGCCTTTCTCCCATCGTGCTCTCATTTTCCTGCCTGTGAAATGGAAGGACTGTCCCAGATGATTTTGAGTGCTCCTTTGAACTTGACCGTTCTGCAGTTATATTTATTTCATGTAAATTTTCCATTTCCTCTGTGTGTCGCCCTCTCCATGAGGCAGGCGTTCCTGTGAAGGACCTCCTCACACACATCCTTTCCCAGTCTTCATCGTCCACACTTACAATGCTCAACAGCGGAGGAAACCAAGGCACAAAGAAGTATGTCTGGGCTCGTAACAGCCCACAAAGGACAGCTCCAGGAACTAACCCAAAGCTGTTGAAATATAAGGCTTTCGTTGTTGTTGTTTGTAGAGATGGGGTCTTGCTATGTTGCCCAGGCTGGTCTTGAACTCCTGGGCTCAAGAGATCCTCCCACCTCGACCTCCCAAAGTACTGGGATTACAGGTGTGAGTCCCTGTGTCCAGCCAGGCCTGCCTTTTTAACCACAGCAGTCTCGGAAAGATTCCAGAAGAAATCATGGGGTTCCTATCTCAATAGCGCCCCCTGGAGTTCTGCAATGTGCAGTACAGCTAAACCCCCACGCCATGTCACTCAACATGTTAGATGAGCCTTGGAGGAATAGAGGGGTCCGGTGTGACTCTGCAGGACCTTTCCCACTCCCAAGCTCTGCAGCTCTGCTCTTCATGCTGTCGCCTCCAGGAACCTCATCCTCCACATCCAGCTCAGAACCCAGCTCCAGATCAAACTTTGAGCACAGAAATGAAAACAAATCAGGCCAGCCAGGCTCAACATTCATGCCTCTGCCCTGCCTATCTCACACTCGAGCCTCTGCTGCTCTGCCTAGCCTTACCTCCTGCTCTGAAAATGTGCCAAGATCGATTAGTCATGTCTGCCCTGGGCTTGGCAACAAACATGCAGACATGAGTGTTTCATACCTGCCATCTGGGGCCTCCTGAATGAGACAGTCCTACACGGATTAATGCAATACTTTATCATAGAGGCTGATAAGTTAAAAGGGCTGTATTCTATCCACCTGCAGTGTGAAAAGTGCACCTGAACATGTAAATCCTCCTTTAATGTCAGAAGGTAGTATTATTATGCTTTGTCCATGGCTTTGTGTAGCAAAGAAAGATACTTGGTGTTTTCCCCTGCTTCCTGGTGCAGAGTTCCTAAAACCCTTGGAATTTTCTTTTTTAGAAAAAAAAAATTTTTTTTTTGAGACAGGGTCTCTCTGTCACCCAGGCTGGTGTGCAGTGGTGTGATTGTAGCTCAATGCAGCCTCAGCCTCCCAGGCTAAAGCAATCCTCCTGCCTCAACTTCCTGAGTAGCTGGGACCATAGGCATGCACCACCACGCCTGGCTAATTTTTTCACTTTTTGTAGAGATGGGGTCTTGCTATGTTGCCCCGCCTGGGTCTCAAACTCCTAGACTCAAGCGATCTTCCTGCCTCAGCCTCCCAAAGTTCTGGGATTACAGGCGTGAGCCACCACACCTGGCCCATCTTTTGTAATACACCAGCAATTGTAAGTAAAGTGTGTTCCTGAGTTCTGTGAGCTATTCCAGTAAATTATTGAACATGAGGCGGAAGCTGTGGGAAACCCCAAACTATTGCCAGTCGGTCAGAAGCACCAGCGGCTAGGTAATTGCAACTCGTGTCTGAAGTGGGAGCAGTTTTTTGGGACTGAGCCCCTTTCACCTGTGGAATCTGATGTGAACTCCAGGTAGCCAGCGTCAGAATTGCTCAGAATTGTAGGACACCCAGCTAGTACCAGAGAGCTCGAGAAGCAGCGTTGGAAAAAACCACACACATTTGGTGTCAGGAGGAAAAAAATAATCCCATTTATGTGTCAGAAAGCAATCTGAAACATGAGTGATGCTTACCAAGTGGATCCAGAGACCCCTGCGAGGTACGTGACGGCATCCAACAGGCCCTGTTCTTTCATCTCACTCAGGACCCCAAGGCAGGCAATGTGAGCCCGCAGTCCTCCGCCTGAGCCCAGCACAGCAACAACTGGGGCCTAGGCATTGGGGAGAAAATCGATCAGAGGTTTAGAGCCTGAGGATGGAGGTGGGAACAAGAAGAAGGGTACCTGGGGCCGGGCACCGTGGCTCACGCCTGTAATCCCAGCACATTGGGAGGCCGAGGCAGGTGGATCACTTGAGGTCAGGAGTTCAAGACCAACCTGGTCAATGTGGTAAAACCCCATCTCTACTAAAAATACAAAAATTAGCTGGGTGTGGTGGCACACACCTGTAATCCCAGCTGCTCAGCAGGCTGATGCAGGGGAATAGCTTGAACCTGGGAGGTGGAGGTTGCAGTGAGCCAAGATCATGCCACTGCATTCCAGCCTGGGTGACAGAGCGAGACGTTGTCTCAAAAAAAAAAAAAAAAAAAAAAGAAAGAAAAGAAAAGAAAAAGAAAGGAGGAGGAGGAGAAGGAGGAGACCTAGGATCTCCCTTAGGCAGGGGCAATGCCTGTCCCATAGAAGTTCATATCCTTCTATTTCTATCCCATAGAAGTTCATATCCTTCGGTCCAGCTCTCCCTGGCTGAGTTGGGCCCTGGACACTGGGCACAGAGGGGGCGATTCTGGGATCTCTGGGGCCACCCTCCTCCCCTCACTTACCTCATCAGCCTCAATCCTTAGCTTCTTCAGAGCTTTCAGCACATGAAGTCTTCGTCTCTCCACGGCCGCCTTTTCTTCTTTCTGGAGCCCAGGAATTATGGAAACTTCAGAGCTTCCCAGGAGAAAACACAAAGAAGTCCAGAAAATTCACAGGGAAAAGGGATAAAACACAGAATTTGACCTAGAACTGGGCTGTCCAAGCAGGTAGCCACCAGCCCACGGGTACATGGTTTCCTTTTGGGGTGAGGAAAATATTCTGAAACTAGATAGAGGTGATGGTTGTACAACACTGTGAATGCATTGAATGCCAGTCAATTATTCACTTTTCAAAATGGTTAATTTTGGGGCCAGACGCGGTGGCTCACACCTGTAATCCCAGCACTTTGGGAGGGTGAGGTGGGTGGATCACTTGAGCCCAGGAGTTCAAGACCAGCCTGGCCAACATGGTGACATACCTCCCTCCCTCCCTCCCTCCCTCCCCTTCCCTCCCCTCCCTCCCTCCCTCCCTTCCTTCCATCCTTCCTTCCTTCCTCCTTCCTTCCTTCCCTCCTTCTTTCCCTCCCTCCCTCCCTCCCTCCCTCCCTCCCTCCCTCCCTCCCTCCCTCCCTCCCTCCCTTCTTTCTTTCTTTCTTTCTTTCTTTCTTTCTTTCTTTCTTTCTTTCTCTTTCTCTCTCTCTTTTTTGAGACAGAGTCTCGCTCTGTTGCCCAGGCTGGAGTGCAGTGGCGCAATCTCAGTTCACTGCAACCTCCACCTCCCCGGTTCAACAATAAGACAGGGTCTTGCTCTGTTGCCCACCACCAGTGCGGTGGTGCAATCATAGCTTACTGCAGCCTTGAACACCGGGACTCAAGTGATCCTCATGTCTCAGCCTCCTAAGTAGCTTGGACTACAGGTGTGTACCACTATGCTTGGCTAATTTTTAAAAATATTTTCTTTTATTGTAGAGATAGGGTTTCACCATGTTGCCCAGGCTAGTCTCGAACTCTGGGGCTCAAGAGATCTTCTTGCCTCGGCCACCAAAAGTGCTGGGGTTACAGGCATGGGCCACCATGCCCAACCTTCAGCTCTTTCCATCTATCTCCACCAAGCGAGAGGAACTGTCACAGCCCTCACCTCTTGACACTCACTATGCATTCCATTACACAAATGCTCTGCTTCCCCATAGTGGTCAGCTCTAAGAGGACTTACCTTCCCATGGTGCACTGCGGTCAGAAAATTCTCAGTCCTCCTGCCAAAGAAATGGCTCTTCTTAGTCCTGTGCCCACTGTTGGGCTTAGCAAAGACAGTGGGGGAGGGCTGGGACTGTCACGGGCTCATGGGTTCTCCTTGTCCACTGCCCAGACAAAACCAATGCGAACAGCAGGTGTTGCAGCAAAGAGAGAGAGTTTAATAATCTCAGGGGCGGCCAAGCGAGGAGAATGGGAGAAATATTTCAAGCGCGTCTCTCTGAAAATTTGGAGGCTAGGGTTTTTCCTCGCTCTTTCTCTTTCTCTGCCTCTGTCTCTGTCTCTGTCTGTCTCTCTCTCTTTAGATGAAGTTTCCCTCTTGTTGACCAGGCTGGAGTGCATTGGCATGATCTCGGCTCACTGCATCCTCCGCCTCCCGGGTTCAAGCGATTCTCCTGCCTCAGCCTCCTGAGTATCTGGGATTACAGGCATGCACCACCATGCCCGGCTAATTTTTGTATTTTTAGTAGAGATGGGGTTTCTCCATGTTGGCCAGGCTGGGCTTGAACTCCCGACCTCAGGTGATCCACCCGCCTTGGCCTCCCAAAGTGCTGGGATTACAGGCACGAGCCACCGCGTCCGACCTGAGACTAGGGTTTTTTAAGGAAACTTTGGTGGGCAAGGGGCTGAGGGAACAATTGATCGGCTATGGATGAAATCACAGGTGTGTCCAAAACTATCTTTGTATAGCTGAGTCAGTTCCTGGGAGCGGGTCTCAGGACCAGGTGGTAGCTCTTGGTCTGCCAAAATGCTCACTCTGAAAACTATCTCAAAGACAATTTCTTTTTTTTAAAACAAAAACAAAACGAAACATTATTGCCAGGAGCAGTGGCTCATGCCTGTAATCCCAGCACTTTGGGAGGCCGAGGCAGTCAGATCACTTGAGGTCAAGAGTGACCAGAAGACAAGTGTGAGCCCTCTGTCATGCCCGAATAGGGCCACTAGAGGGCCCCTTGGTCTTGGGGTAACGCCAGCGTCTGGGAAGATGCCCATTGCCTAGCGGACCTTGGTCTAGCGGTTGCGTCAGTGCCTAGAGACCAGGAAAGGGAGTCTCCCTTTCCCCGGGGGAGTTAGGGAAGACTCTGCTCCACCGCCTCCTGTGGAGGGCCTGAGTGATGTCAGGCCCGCCCGCAGTTATCCAGAGGCCTGACCATCTCCCTGTGATGCTGTGCTTCAGTGGTCACACTCCTGTTTCACTTTCCTGTTCCACTCTGTATACCTGGCTGCACCCTCTAGATAGCAGTAGCAGAATTAGTGAAAGTATTAAAATATTAAAGTCTTTGATCTTTCTGAAAAGAACATAAAAGAAATAATGACATAAGCTATCCTCTCTCTCTACGCCTTGGCTACCTAACATAGAAGGGCTCCCTGTCCAGTGGACACGTGACTCACATGACCTTATCAATCATTGGAGATGACTCACACTCCTTACTCTGCCCCTTATTATCCAATAAATAACAGCGCAGCCAGGCATTTGGGGCCACTATCGGTCTCTGCGTCTTGGTGGTAGTGGTCCCCCAGGCCCAGCTGTCTTTTCTTCTATCTCTTTGTCTTGTGTTTTTATTTCTACGATCTCTCGTCTCCGCACATGGGGAGAAAGACCCACAGACCCTGCAGGGCTGGTCCCTACAGTGGCGCAATCATAGCTCACTGCAGCCTCCAACTCTTGGGCTCAAGCAATCCTCCTGCCTTGGCCTCCTGGGTTGCTGGGACTACAGGCATGCACCACCACGTCTGGCAAAGTTTTAATTTTTTTGTAGAGATTGAGGTCTCACTATGTTGCCCAGGCTGGTCTCATTCTCCCGGGCTCATGCAATCCTCCTGCCTCAGCCTCCCAAGAAGTGGGGATTACAGGTGTTAGCTACCACACCCCACTAAAAAGCTGAGTTCTGTGTTTCACGACAGTGATATTATTTATAGAAGTAGCTGGGGAAGTTATAAATCATGCGACCCCTGGTTACGTGACTCTGGAGCACATATAGAAAAGGAAGCTAAGGGATGGCAGGTCATTCTTCAACCCACGACTGTTCTTTAGCAAAGTTCCAGCACCTTCATGATTCTAACCTTGTCTTATGAATGTGACTTCAGGCCAGGCACAGTGGCTCATGGCTGTAATCCCAGCACCTTAAGAGGCCGAGGTGGGAGGATCACTTGAGGTCAGGAGTTGGAGACCAGCCTGGCCAACATGGTGAAACCTTATCTCTACTAAAAGTACAAAAGTCACCTGGGCATGATGGCGGGCGCCTGTAATCCCAGCTACTCAGGAGGCTGAGGGAGGAGAATCACTTGAACTCAGGAGGTGGAGGTGCCAGTGAGCAGAGATCATGCCATTGCACTCCAGTCTGGGCAACAAGAGTGAAACTCTGTCTCAAAACTAAATAAATAAATAAAAAGTAAATGAATGTGGCTTCAATCTCTCAACAAGGACTGGGGGTCAGTTTTCTTTGTCTCAAAGTTTAACTATGAATTAAATTCCTCTCATGGTAATTTTGGCCTCTGCACTAGAATAAGAAAAAAAAATCTAGCCTGTGAGGTTAGAAACAAGATGGTCAGTCATGTTAGCTTTCTCTCATTACTTACATTTCTGCGAAGGCAGTTTCAAGACCCCCCTTATGAAATTAATCAGCTTCCCCCCACCACCTCCAAATTCATATGTTGGACTTGTAACCCCCAGAACCTCAGAATGTGACTGTATTTGGACATAGGATTCTTTTTCGTTGTTTGCTTTTTGAGACAGGGTCTTGCTTTGTCACCCAGGCTGGAGTGCAGTGGTGTGATCGTGGCTCACTGCAGCCTCAGCCTCCTGGGCTCAAGCGAGCCTCTCACCTCAGCCTCCCGAGTAGCTGGAAGTGCAGGTACATGCTACCATCTCCAGCTAAATTTTTTATGTTTTGTAGAGATCAGGTCTTGTTATGTCACCCAGGCTGGTCTTGAACTCCTAGGCTCAAGAGAGCTTTCCACCTTGGCTTCCCAAAACGCTGGGATTATAGGCATGAGTCATCGCACTCGGCCAGACATAGGCTCTTAAAGGGGTGACTAAGTTAAAGTGGGGTCCTGAGGGTGGCCTGGAATTTGGTTTGATTGGTTTATTTTATTTTATTTTTTTTTGAGATGGAGTCTCGCTTTGTGCCCTAGGCTGGAGTGCAGTGGCGCAGTCTCGGCTCACTGCAAGCTCCGCCTTCCGGGCTCACGCCATTCTCCTGCCTCAGCCTCCGGAGTAGCTGGGACTACAGGCGCCCGCCACCACGCCCAGCTAATTTTTTGTATTTTTAGTTGAGACGGGGTTTCACTGTGTTAGCCAGGATGATCTCGATCTCCTGACCTCAGGATCCGCCCGCCTCGTCTTCCCAAAGGGCTGGGATTACAGGCGTGAGCCACCGCGCCCAGCCTGATTGGTTTTATAAGGAGAGATTAGGGCCTCTGCAAGAGGCTTCAGGAGAAACCAACCCTGCCAACACCTTGATCTTGGACTTCTAGCTTCCAGAAGTGTTAGAAAATAAATTCCTAGCCGGGCGCGGTGGCTCACGCCTGTAATCCCAGCACTTTGGAAGGCCGAGTGGGGTGGATCACGAGTTCAGGAGTTTGAGACCAGCCTGGCCAACATGGTGAAACCCCATCTCTACTAAAAATACAAAAATTAGCCGGGTGTGGTGGTGTGCGCCTGTAATCCCAGCTACTCGGGAGGTTGAGGCAGGAGAATCGCTTGAACCCCGGAGGCGGAGCTTGCCGTGAGCCGAGATCGCGTCACTGCACTCCAGCCTAGGCGACAGAGCGAGATGCTGTCTCAAAAAAAAATAAATAAATAAATAAAATAAAATAAAATAAAAAAGAAAAAGAAATCCTGTTATTTAATTGCACCCAATCCCTGGTACTTGGTTATGGCCGCCCCAGCGGGATGAAACAGCCCTCCCTGCCCCCACGGCTTGCCTGAGCCTGGGTCTGGGGCGTGTGCGCATGCGCGGTGGAGCTTGTGCTCCGGAATCCGGTGCGGAGGCTTGGGCTCCCTGCGCTTAGCGGTGTAGTCGCTGGACAGCTCCTTCAGCCGGAATCTCCGCGGGTGAAGACTGCGGGGATCCTCGGTGCCAAAGCTTCTGTGGTCCTCCTGCTTTCCTTTTCCCCCTGTGGGAGGAGGTCGCGGGCTGGAGGTGTTTCCTCCTGGTCCTGAGCAGGGCCAACCTGGAGGTAAAATGGCCCCTGCGCCTTTAAACAGCCCTCCTCGGCTTGTAGGCCCTGCTTGGTTGCTCCAGCTTTTTCAGCTGTTCCAGAGCTCACCCGGAGCTATTTTCATCCGTGGGATCACGTGGAGGGCTGGGACTTTCCAGGCTTCCTTAGTGATGTCACCCTTCTGTCATTAGGCACCCGAGACCAGTATTCAAAAAAAGAATGTTGTCGTTATATAACTATATTGGAGATAAGTATTCCTCAAAACAGATTAGCTAATCCTCCTATGCATCTGGCTGTCTAATAACCATCATATATAATATCATACTCAAATACCCAGAAAAAGAAATATTGAGGCCAGGCGTGGTGGCTTACGCCTGTAATCCTAGCACTTTGGGAGGCTGAGGCAGGCGGATCATGTGAAGTCAGGAGTTCGAGACCAGCCTGGCCAACATGGTGAAACACCTTCTCTACTAAAAATACAAAAATTAGCTCGGTATGGTGGCGTGTGCCTGTAATCCCAGCTACTACTCGGGAGGCTGAGGCAGGTGCTTCATCCTGGGAGGTGGAGGTTGCAGTGAGCCAGATCCTTAGGGCCAACTCTGGTTCATTTAATGTCCATTTTTAGAAAACCTGTGAGCTCCATTCACAGTGAAGGTTTGAAGCCCAGAAGTGGCCTCCCAACAGGGTACCACATTTCCCAGCACCTTTGCAGCTAGGTGTGGTCATGTGAGCGAGTTATGTGGTCATGTGACCGAGTTCCAGTCAGTGCAATCGGGCATCTGTGGGGAGCACCGCTTCCAAGAGTGGCTCCTAGAAACCTCCCATACTACCCTCCTGCCTACTCTTCCTGAAGCCCAGCACTAAGCGTCATCCCAACTCGATGGGTTTTGAATTTTTTTTTTTTTTTTTTGAGATGGAGTCTTACTCTTTGTCGCCCAGGCTGGTGTGCAGTGGTGCAATCTCGGCTCACTGCAACCTCCGTCTCCTGGGTTCAAGCGATTCTCCTACCTCAGCCTCCCGAGTAGCTGGGAACATAGGCATCTGCCACCACGCCCGGCTAATTATTTTTGTATTTTTAGTAGAGACAGGGTTTCACCATGTTGGCCAGGCTGGCTCGAACTGCTGAACTCAAGTGATCCACCTGCCTCGGCTTCCCAAAGTGCTGGGATTACAGTTGCGAGCCACCGCACCCAGCTTGAATTCTTATTTTTTAAAAATAGATATGAGGCCATAATCCTAGCACTTTGGGAGGCCAAGGCAGGAGTATCACCAATTTTAGAACAGGATTTCACCAGGGGGAAGATGGTCTCCCCTGCTCCCCCTAACGCCAGGCTCACCTCTTCAGTGCCCGCAACTCCAACCATCGCAGGATCTTTTCACTCCTAGACCTGACCATGCCACTGCCCCGCCTGCGGGATAAGGTTCTACACCTCGCAGGAGCTCATGAGGCTCTCCACAGTATAGTTAGTAGTTATAGATGCAGGGTCAAGGAGCTGACAGCATGGACCAAACCCTGGCCCACCACTTCCTAGATAGTGGACCTAGGGAAGGTAACTTACATCCCTGTGCCCCTCAGTGTCCTCACCTGTTAAATGGGGAGAATAAAAGTACCTACCTGGTGGAGCCATCATGAGGGTCACTGAGGAGTGAGGATGACCCTGACTAGCTTCAGCAGAGGGACATGGCGGCCGTGTGTGGCAGATGTGTTCCTGGGGCCCTGCACTGGTGCAGGGAGGAAGAGCCAAGCCCAAAGGAACCATGGTCTCCACACAAAGCCAGTAATGTGGGGATCCCCTGACATACAACATTTACTTTTTTTTTTTGCCTTAAACATTTTATTTGAAATTGAAACACAAATGCACACTAATTTGCCAGTTCTTTAAGGCAGAGCTGTATCAGGAACTCTTAGCTATGAGAAACAAGTCTTTTTTTTTTTTTTTTTTTTTTTTGAGACGGAGTTTTGCTCTTGTTGCCCAGGCTGGAGTGCAATGGCTCGATCTCGGCTCACTGCAACCTCCTCCTCCCGGGTTCAAGCGATTCTCCTGCCTCAACCTCCTGAGTAGCTGGGAGTAACAGGCATGTGCCACTACGCCCGGCTAATTTTGTATTTTTAGTGGAGACGGGGTTTCTCCATGTTGGTCAGGCTGGTCTTGAACTCCCGACCTCAGGTGATCTGCCCGCCTCGGCCTCCCGAAGTGCTGGGATGACAGGCATGAGCCACTGTGCCCGGCTGAAAGCCATGTTTTAGAGTGGCATAATCGCCCTGGGGCTTATTCTTCCCCTACTCCCATGAACAAAAGCCCACAGTTAGGCAGCTGCTGCCCTAGGTTCGCCGGTTTAGGGTCGTCAGGAGAGTTTGTTACTCTTTTTCCTCATCATTACAAGGTGGTGACTTGGCTCCAGCCATCATCTCTAGTCAAGGCAGGAGGAGGGGAGGAGCTGCCACAACCAGGGCTGTCCTTTTTGGTCAGGAAAGATGTTTCTCCAGAAGTCCCCAGCAGCCCCTGTGCTTATGTCCCCTGGGTCTGCCCACACAGGGCTACAGGGCCACTGCTAGCCCCAAGGAGACTCGGAAGGCAATGTTGTCTTCTTGGGCTACAACAAATAGAAACAGAATGCCCAAGAGATTGTGTGCACAAGAGACCATGATGGAGACACAGGAAGAGAGACAGGGAGGCTGAGTCACAGTGACAGACAGCAAAGTAAGCCTGGCACAGACTTGCACGGCAGAGAGCAAAGCCTCGCAGATAGAGAAGGAAGGGGAGAGAGGGCGGGTGGGAGACAAGGGCAGAGGAACCTGATGAGAGAGAAGGGAAGGAGGGAGGGCAGATGTGAGAGGCAGAAACAGAGTGTGAGGGGCAGGGGACAGCTGGGAGCCCTGTGTCCCCCCTGCGGGAGTATCAGGACACCCTGACACTCTCATGCCCGGAAGCTCCTGTTCCACGCTGGGCCCCGGGGTTAGAGGCCTCCTGCTCTGGAAGACCCGAGCCTGGGCCCCGCTCCGCGTGCAGCCGTTTTCCCCAAGCCAGCCCCGTGGTGCCCAGGGCTGGGTGGGTGTTCCAGGCATCCTGCTTGCCTTGTCTGACCATTTCCCGATGGTTTTCCTCTAACATATCATCCCATGTGGGGTGGCTGCAATAATAACAGCCCCCATAGATATCCAGGTCTTAATCGCTGAAACCTTTGATGTGACCTATTTTTTTTTTTTTTTTGAGATGGAGTCTCGCTCTGTCGCCCAGGCTGGAATGCAGTGGCACGATCTCGGGTCACTGCAACCTGTCTCCCAGATTCAAGTGATCCTCCTGCCTCACCCCACTAGTAGCTGGGATTACAGGCACGCGCCACCATGCCCAGCTAATTTTTGTATTTTTAGTAGAGACGGGGTTTTGCCATGTTGGCCAGGCTGGTCTCGAACTCCTGACCTCAGGTGATCCACCTGCCTCAGCCTCCCAAAGTGCTGGGATTACATGCGTGAGCCACCGCGCCTGGCCCTTTTACATTTTTATTAATTTTATTAATAAAATTAGAGGAGATGAAGTCTGGCTGTGTTGGACAAGCTAGTCTTGAACTCCTGGCTTCAAGTGATCCTCCCACCTCAGCCTCCCCAAGTCCTCCCCAAGGCGTGAGCCACTGTGCCTGGCCTCTGTGAATGTGTGATCTTATGTGACTAAAGGGACTTTGGGATTGAGTTAGGATCCTGAAATGAGATTATCCTGGATCATCCAGGGGGCCCTAAATGTAACCACTTGAGTACTTGGAAGAGAGAAACAGAGATCTGATGGAGGAGAGGACGTGACCTGATGACCTCAGGAGAGAGATTTGCAGGTGCGATGCTGCTGGCTTTGAGGACGGAGGAAGAAGCCATGAGCCTAGGAACCAGGTGGCCTCTGGAAGCTGGAAAAAGGACACAGTTTCTCTCCTGGAGCTCCCAGAAGGAACCGGCCCTGCCACCACTTTGATGTTAGCCCAGTAAAACTGATTTTGAACTTCTGACCTCCGAAACTGTTTAGGGAATACATCTGTGTTATTTTAAGACACTGCATTTGTCTTCCTTAACAGGGCTCACGATGGTGCCTCCCTGTGGGATGGCTGGAAGGTTAAACAAGTTAAAAAATATATGTATGTAAAGATTTTAGACTACTGCTGTCCAATACAATTAAATAAAATATTTGGTATGGCTGGGTGTGGTGGCTCACGCCTGTAATCCCAGCACTTAGGGGGGCTGAGGAGGGTGGATCGCTTGAGGCCAAGAGTTCAAGATCAGCCTGGCCAACATGGCGAAACCCCATCTCTACTAAAAATACAAAAATTAGCCAGGCGTGGTGTCACATTCCTGTAATCCCAGCTACATGGGAGGCTGAGGCAAGAGAATCACTTGAACCCGGAAGGTGGAGGTTGCAGTGAGCTGAGATCTCATCATCGCACTCCAGCCTGGGCAACAGAGCGAGACTCTGTCTCAAAACAAAATCAAAACAAAACAAAACAAAACAAATTCGCATCCTCTGTCATGCTGGCCACCTGTCAAGGGCTCGGGCATTGCAGGTGGCCAGTGGCGGTCACACTGCACAGAGCAGATAGAGAAGACGCCCACCACTGCAGGCAGTTCCATGGCTGGCACTGGCTCTGGCAGTTCCTAGGCCATGGCTACATGGCTACATGCTATGCAGGTGACACCCATGACAGCTTTGCCCCCAGAGCCCAGCACAGACCCTGTCACAAAGTAGCTATCCAATAATTATTTATTGAAAGAAATGACGGGATGAATCCCAGACTCCGGAGTAAGCCACCCCCTCACACACACACCCCTCCCCTGACTCTCAAAATCCACAGCCTGCCACAGCAGATTTGCTAAAAAGCAAAGGCAATAATAACCCTGGGGTCCGTCCAACTCATGCCCTGTACCCAGGCCCTAGGAGGGCGAGGGCTTAGTAGGTATCTTCAGGGTCAGAGCCTGAGTCCTCGCCTTGTTGGTTCTGAATCTGACTTTGCTTCCGGTACAAACAGGCCACCTGCGGAGAGAGGGTGGGACGGGGTGGTCAGAAGCTCCCTGGCTGCTCCCACCTCCACAAGGTTCCAGAGAGGCCACCACGCTAAAAAGCTGGTAGGGCCAAGCAGCTGGGCGGCCCACCCCTGCTTCCCAGGACCTCACCTGAGCACTGGTGGTGGCCTGCTCCGGCTGCTTGTCTTCACGGACTCGAATAAACCGAGGGAAGCGAAGGGAGATGCCCTTGTCACTATCCACCTGCGGAAGCGGGATGGAGACTCCTGCGGTCCAGCCCCAGCGACCCCCTGCTCAGTCTCCTCCCTCCTCCACTCTGGACTGTTTCCTGATCCACATGACGGGGCCGAACGATGGGTTGTCATAAGGATTAAACAAGTTGACAAAGTGCTTGGAACAGTACCCGGGCACAGTAAGTGCTCAAGAAATGCTGCCTGTTGGCCGGGTGCGGTGGCTCACCCCTGTAATCCCAGCACTTTGGGAGGCCGAGGCGGGTGGATCACGAGGTCAGGAGATGGAGACTATCCTGGCTAACACGGTGAAACCCCGCCTCTACTAAAAATACAAAAAGAAATTAGCCAGGTGTGGTGGCGGGCGCCTGTAGTCCCAGCTACTCAGGAAGCTGAGGCAGGAGAATGGCGTGAATCCGGGAGGTGGGGAGCTTGCAGTGAGCTGAGATTGCGCCACTGTACTCCAGCCTGGGTGACAGAGCGAGACTCCAACTCAAAAAAAAAAAAAAAAAAATGCCACCTGCTACAGCCGTTACGATAATGACGGTAATTCGGGCTGAGAGGCTGAACTACGGCGCCAGGGTATGGGTTCTAGAATCTGACTGTGGGATTCCAATCCCAGCTCCCAACTCTCAGGAGCCGCGTGATGCAGGGGCAGTTACTCAGGCTCTCTAGGGCTCTACATCCTCACCGTAAAATGGAGATGTTTGTGTCACTACGTCTTACGGATTTTGAGAGGATTAAATGAGTGTCTATGAGTGACACGCTGATGACCACACAGTGCCCACTGCACAGCAAGGGCTGGATACACACCGGCTCCTGTGCCTTGTTACTAAGGGTCCCTGGCTGTCTAACGTGCAGCATGGTAAAACATTTTTAAAAATTAGATCAAAAATGTAAGTTCTTGGCTGGGCATGGTGGCCCACACCTGTAATCCCAGCACTTTGGGAGGCCGAGGTGGGCGGATTGAGGCCAGGTGTTTGTGACCAGCCTAGTCAACATGGTGAAACCCCGTCTCTACAGGCACGGGTCACCATACCCAGCTAATTTTTCTATTTTTTGGTAGAGGTGGGGTTTCACCGTGTTGGTCAGGCTGGTCTTGAACTCCTGACCTCAAGTGATCTGCCTGCCTCGGCCTCCCAAAGTGCTGGGATTACAGGCATGAGCCACTGTGCTTGCCCTGGGAATTCTTTTATTTAAGAAAAGAATTTTCTTTTCTTTTTTTGAGACAGAGTCTTGCTTTGTCACCCAGGATGGAGTACAGTGGTGTGATCTCGGCTCACTGCAACCTCCGCCTCCCAGGTTCAAGCGATTCTCCTGCCTCAGCCTCCTGGGTAGCTGGGACTACAGGCACCCGCCATCACACATGGCTAATTTTTGTATTTTTGGTAGAGATGGGGTTTCACCATGTTGGCCAGGCTGGCCTTGAACTCCTGACCTCAAGTGATCTGCCTGCCTCGGTCTCCCAAAGTGCTGGGATTACAGGCACGAGCCCCCATGCCCGGCCCATTTTTAAAGAAAAAATGTTTTGATCTTTTTATCTGACACTCAAATAAAATGCAAGCTCATCTTCCTGATCCTTACCTGGAAGAGCAGATGTGAGCCAAGGTCCCCTCCCTACTCTGCTCTCTGTGTGCCCGCCCAGAATCCCACACAGGGCCACGGCCAGGTCCTCTGCCACTCACCAGGCCCCGCGCAGCAGGGTAGATGGGAGAGAGGGAGAGGTCAGCGCACTTCACCTCCCACACAGCGCTGGGGTCCAGCCAGTGGTCGGGAATCACAGCGCCATCTATCCGCACGTAAGGGCGTGGGCTGGGCAGCACCAGCGCCTGCAGTGAGCAGAGGAAGAGAGGAACAGAGGGTCTGGAATCTCAAAGTCAAGGCCAAGTGTTGGAGGGCTGGGGAGAGGGAGGAAGGGAAAAAAACAGGCACCCCCTTGAAGTAAACAGAAATAGGAAGTGAAATAAGGGAAAAGAAACAAGACACCCCCTTGAAGTAAACAGAAATAGAAAGAGAAACAGAAAGTGAAAGAAGGGAAAAGAAACAAGACCCCCTTGAAGTAAAAAGTTGAGAAAGGTGGGAGTTGGGAGGAATGGGAGATGGAAAGAAATGAAAGGCCCTGGGGGCTGAGGCAGGACATTAAAGACAAAAAGAGGCAGAGAAAGGGCCAGAGACCTGGAGGAAGGAGACAGAGACACAGTGGGACAGGGACAGAGATGTAGAGAGAGAGGGCAATGGAGAGAGAGAACCAAAGAGTGGGACAGAGATGGTGTCAGGGTCCGTGTGTCCCCACCCACATCTTGTCTTGAATCATAGCTCCCAAAATCCCCATGTGTCGTGGAGGGACCTGGTGGGAGGTAACTGAACGATGGGGGCAGGTTTTTCCCGTGCTGTTCTCGTGATAGTGAGGAAGTCTCACGAGATCTGACGGCTTTATAAAGGGCAGTTCCCCTGCACACGCTCTCTTGCCTGGCGCCATGTAAGATGTGCCTTTGCTCCTCTTTCGCCTTCTGCCATGACTGTGAGGCCTCCCCAGCCGTGTGGAACTGTGAGTCCAGGAAACCTCTCTTTATAAATGATCCTTTTTTTTTTTTTTTTTTTTTTGAGACAGAGTCTCACTCTGTTTCCCAGGCTGGAGTGCAATGGCATGATTTCAGCTCACTGCAACCTCTGCATCCTGGGTTCAAGCAATTCTTCTGCCTCAGCCTCCCAAGTAGCTGGGACCACAGGCATGCGCCACCACGCCCGGCAAGTCTTGGGTTATTTCTTCATAGCAGTATGAGTATGAAAATAAACTAATACAGATCCAATATGTAGGACAGACACTCATGCCTGAAATGCCTGTGACCATGACAACATTCATTCACATTGATCAGGGCTCACAGGCACTTCACAAGGAGCAGCTATGGCACCTGCTGTGTCCTTTGGCTAACCCCTGGTGTGAATGAGGCACAGGGCTTGGGGAGGTGAGGCTGCTTGAGCAGGGTCACCAGCTAGTAGCCGGCAGTGCTGAGACATGAACCTGGAGATGCTGGACTCCAAAGCCAGCTCCACTGCCTGCTGCCCTCCTGCCCACACCTGGAGCCCCAAGATGGTGGAAGCCAAGAGCCCTGCATGGAAGGACTGTGCTGTCAGGGGCAGGGGGGAGAGGGGTGGAGGCTGAGGCGCAGCCGCCATGGCTCACCTTGAGGCTCTGGTGATGCTCCTCCAGCTCCTCATCACTGAAGCCAGTTCCAAGCTGCAGGGAGGAAGCGGGAGGTCAGAGGCTCAGCCAGCCACAGGCCCAGCACTTGCTCCTGCCATCTAAAGCTGTGTACACTCATGGCCCCCACCCCACTCTGGTCTACGCAGTATCCACAGAAAACCAGGGAAGTAGGGAGCTGGGGGTGCGGAGCATCCATCCAGAGACTCCCGGGTGGGAATGTTCTCCCAGCAGGCCTGCCGTGAACCACTCCCTGTCTTCTGCTTTATGGAGAAACTCTTGCTGCTTCCACTGTCTCCCTGGCCCCAGGAAGTCACTCCCTTATGCTCACCCACATCCTCACTGCCCAGTAACTGGCTGTCCTCACTTCCAGTCTTTTTTTTTTTTTTTTTTTTTTTTTTTGAGACAGGGTGTAGCTCTGTTATCCAGGCTGGAGTGCAGTGGTGCAATCTTGGCTCACTGCAACCTCCACCTCCTGGGCTCAAGCAATCCTCCTGCCTCAGCCTCCCAAGTAGCTGGGACCACAGGCATGCACCACCACGCCTGGCTAATTTTTTAAAAAAGTTTTTGTAGAGGTGGGGTCTCACTATGTTGCCCAGGCTGGTCCCGAACTCCTGGGCTCAAGTGATCCTCCCACCTCAGCCTCCCAAAGTGCTGGGATTACAGGCGTGAGTGGCCATGCCCAGCCCATCTCCAATGTTAACACTGCCAAGAGCTTCTTTCACCTACCAAAATAGGAAAGGCTAAAAATTAGCAGTAATGCTGGATGCTGGCAGATACGCAGCAAGTGGGCAATAATCACCAATATAAACGTCACCTGGAAAGCCCCTTTTGCATTGAGAGTCTTAAGGATTCTTTTTGCCTTTTGTCCTGACAATAGCTCATTTAAAAATCTATTCTAAATAATGCAAAATGGTGACAATGTAGATTGGTGGCCAAAACATTTGTGATTTATAAAAGTCACTTCTGTCACTGATCGTTTAGGTTAACGGACACTAAGTAATCACATTACCCATCAGAACAAAGCCGGCAACAACTTCCCCACACAGCCACGGGGAGCTGGTTCAGGACACAGCACTATGTGCTATGGGGCACAGCACTTGAAAACTCTTGTGCGGGCATTCAGGTCCTGTTGCCATATTGCTTAAGGGCATATACAACACTGAAAACAAAGTACTTCCAGGGTAAAAAGGCAGAAAAGAAAATTACTCATAGAGAAGGATCACAACTTTGCAAAAATGTAAATAAAACATTCCCTCAAATGTCACTACTGCGTGTCTCTGGGTGGTACGATTCTAGGTGATATTTTGTTCTGTTTCTGTGGCAAAAGACCCAAATTTGTTGGAGAGGGGAATATAGGAAATACGTAAGAAAATCTAGTCCAAAATGTGCACAGCTTTAAGAAAAACTTTAACTTGAAAAAAAGTAAATCACTTTACATTTCCCAGAATTCCTTGCAGCTAGGGGTGAGCCATGGAGCAAAGTGATGAGCAACAGAACTTGAGCAGAAGGTGTTCACTGGCTGAGGCTGACTCAGGGTCCAACCCCCTTTGCTCTTCCCTGGTGCGTGGAGCAGGCATGGCCATGAGGGCTGGAACTCCTGCAGCCACATTGTGATGATGAGGCCAGAGGCACATGGCAGAAAAAAAAAATGTGGGGACAAAAAAAAATGTGGGGAGAGGAGGAACCTGAATCCCTAATGGCATCAGACTGCCCCCTCCACACTTCTCATTTCATAACAAAAAAATTCTTTTCTTATGTGAGCCACCACTATTTGTAGCTAATCTCAATCTCTCACTGACACACATTCCTGACATCTTTCTATCCCAGCCTGTTTTTCTATATGAAGCAAGAGTTGCTCATAGAACCAGAAAAAGTAAATAAAAACTGGGGAGAACGGATCCTTCACAGGGGGATGTGAGCACCCCTCGGTCTGGGTTGTGCAATAGGAAATACCCCCGGGAGTCTAATCTCCTTCCCTCCTGCTTCTGCCATCAGCCCCAGTTCCCCAGGACCTTGCATATGGCCTGCAGCTCCTCACTGTCCTCGTCGTAGGAGGCCAGCAGGAAGCCCCCGTACCGGCCGGCCCGCTTCCCCCGGCCCAGGTAGGCGCCGATCACCACCAGGTCCAGGGTGTCACCCACGCCATCAAGGTAGTCCTTCTTCAGCTGGGAGAAGGGGAGGCAAGAGATGAGAAGGGGGAGCGCCCAAGGCGGGGCCCTCACTGCTGGGGAGGGGCTCCTCAGTGGACTGAGGAGGGACTAGAAGTAAGTCTGAAGGGAACTTCCAGAAGGAACCCCAAGGATGGCCCCTGGGAAGAGACTGGACATGGGAAGGGTTTCTAGGTTTAAATAAGAACAAATGGGGCCGGGCACGGTGGCTCATGCCTGTAATCCCAGCATTTTGGGAGGCCGAGGCGGGTGGATCACCTGAGGTCGGGAGTTCGAGACCAGTCTGACCAACATGGAGAAACCCCGTCTCTATTAAAAATACAAAATTAGCCGGGCGTGGTGGCGTGTGCCTGTAATCCCAGCTACTTGGGAGGCTGAGGCAGGGGAATCGCTTGAACCCGGGAGGCGGAGGTTGCAGTGAGCCAAGATCGTGCCATTGCACTCCAGCCTGGGCAATGAGAGTGAAACTCCGTCTTAAAATAAATAAATAAATAAATAAGAACAAATGGGAAACGCAGGCGGGATCGATGGGACCTCAGGAGTCAGCCTTGCCGCCGTCTTTCCCTCAGGACAGAGACGTGGCCAACTCACTCTGGCCACTCCTCCAAAGGGAGAGCATTTTCCCATTCGTTCAGAAACGTTCACTAAGTGCTAACCATGTGCCAGGCAGAAGCTCAGCCCTGGGGGCACAACAGTGCTATTTCCTGAGACAGGAAAGGTCTGTGCTGGAGGGAAACCAGCCACAGACAGACATAAGTACACAGGAAGAGCTAGTCAGCAGGCCTGGCCGGCTCAGTGCCACAATGCCTCCCGCTCCAGTCCCCTTGTCCACCCCTCACTGCCCCTCTCCACTCAAACATCCATCAACTCTTACTGATGACAGGCTCCTGCTCGCTGGCCCTCAACACACCCGTCCTCCACTCGAGGGGAAACCCCAGGAGCTTCGCACAATGACAACCTGTGACTCCCGGCACGGAACCCCCACTGACTTCCTGAAACCTTCAAGAGGAAGATCCAGTTTTATCTCACAGTGGCCCCAGGTGCTGCCTCATCTGGGGCCTGCTCCCCACTCTGAGCTCACCTCCCGCCTCGCCTGCCCTTGCTCCCTGCACACGCAGAGGCTGCTCCTCCCTCAGGGTCTCTGCACCGGGGGTTTTCCTCCCTAGTGCTCTGTCCCTCACTTTGGGAAAGACTCTTCCTGATCATCCGGGGCACTCCCAGCCCCGCCTTGCTGGCCCGGAGCTGACTTGCTTTTCTTCATGGCGCCCACTCCTGCCTGACTTTCTCTTATTCATGTCCTGGCTTAATTCCTGCCCAAGAGCCTGGCCCGACACGGGCGGCAGGCTCAGGAGAGAGACACCTCATCACGCTGCACCTCGTGGGATGTGCGGTGCTTGGGCTGGGGCTGTTCTCCATCAGAACTCGTGAGCAAGGGCTCGCAGCAGGGAGAAGGTCTGAACTCAGTTGCAGCAGGGGGCTGGGGTGGGATTGTGAAAAGGGGCCCTGAGCTCAGACAGGGTACACAGTGGAGGCTCGAAATCCACTGCCTAGCTGGGACAGACCTCCAGACCCGGGGTGGAGAAGGCCCAGTTGGGGGTCGAGAATCACCTTGAGCCAGTTGTGCGATCTCTTGGCGATCTCGTAGGTGGCATCAACATCCAGGGTCTTCACCATCAGCCCCTCGCAGGAGTCTGAGGGAGACACAGAAGCGTGGTCCTTGGGAAGCCCTGGCTCACAAGCGCCGGAGCAGGCAGGATTCTGGTCAAACGGTCCAGGACTGGGGACAGGCTGGGAGGCCGGGGTCAGCGCAAGCTGCAGACCTCAGGAGAGAAAAGTGAGCACCCTCACCTTTCACTGACTGCTCCAGGAACTCGGCGATCTGCTCGATGTCCTTGGTGTCCAGGGAGGTGGCGAAGACAAACTCGCCCTCTGTCTCCACAAAGTTCTCCCGGAGCAGCTGCCGGCGCCGGGAAAGGGGCTCACGTACCAGGGACTGCAGGGCCGGCAGGGAGAAGAGAGATGAGACATCTTTGTGAGAATAAAGACAATAAGCCCTAAATGTGAGGCGAACAGGACATGTGCGGGTCACAACTAGTGACAGGGTTCGTGGAAAGCCTTGAGAGGGAAGAACCCTGATGTCAGAAGGATTCTGAGAGCTTAAAGCATGGGGCTAGTCACTGGCAAGAGGGCCCGACACCATTTAGAGTCGGTGACTTCAGGAGCATCAGACGGGGGGCTGCGGCCTTGCTGGAGCTTGAATTAACACTTTACGGGCATCTCATCAGTTTTGTTTTTTGTTTTTGTTTTTTTGAGACGGAATCTCGCTCTGTCGCCCAGGCTGGAGTGCGGTGGTGCGATCTTGGCTGACTGCAGCCTCCGCCTCCTGAATTCAAGCGACTGTCTTGCGTCGGCCTCCCGAGTAGCTGGGACTACAGGTGCACATCACAAGAGATCCACCCACCTCAGCCTCCCAAAGTGTTGGGATTACAGGCGTGAGCCACTGCATCCAGCCTCATCCCCAAGATAATTAAAAAAAAAAAAAAAAGTCCTCCTTTCCTTAGAATTCCAAAAGTTTTCACTGAGTTTTTCCAGCACATTTACAGTTTTGTGTTTTGCTTTGAAATCAGTTCCAGCTGGACCTTGCAAGAGTGTGTGTCAGAGAGGAAGGAGGTGATCTGAGTGTTTTTAAACAAAGGACAAAGCAGTTGTCTCCACATGTCAACACTGACTAATCCGTCTTGTGGCTTTGAATTGCTTTTCTCTTTTGTTCGATCGGTCCCCACCCACGCGCAGTGTTTCTGGTCTGCCCTTTGCTCAGGGCTTCTCTGTGATGATGTTAAACTACCTTCACCACTTGCCCTCCAGGGGGACATTCACGTGTTTTCCATGGACAGCTTTTTTCTGTTGTAAAATTGTGCTCATGAACATTTTGTATGAAAAGATGAGAGAGAGGAGCCACAAGGGTTAAGCAGGTACAATTTATCTGGGGTCAGACCATTTCAGGTTTACATCCCAGCCACACGCTTCCTAGCTGGTGACTTCAGGCAAGCGTTTCCCTCTGTGTACCTCAGAGCTCCCATCTGTAAAATGCAGCAATACCTACTCAGGGCACGTCTGGGAAGATCAGCTGAGCCCGTGCTACCCAGTGTAGCCGCCACCAGCCATGTGTAGCAATTGAGCCCTTGAAATGTAGCAAGTTCAATCGGAGATGTGCCAAGGGCAAAACAGTCACTGGCTTTAGAAGACTTAATCCAAGAAAAGAGTGTAAAATTCCATGTTAATAATTTCTTATATTCATCACACATTGAAAGGATAATATCTTAGACATTGGATTAAAGAAAATATGATTTTATCTGTTTCTTCTTACCTTTTAATATGGCTACTAGAAGCTCTAAAATTAGAAATGTAGGCTACTGCAGTGGCTCATGCCTGTAATCTCAGCGCTTTGGAAAGCGGAGGTGGGTGGATCACCTGAGGTCAGGAGTTCAACATCAGCCTGGCCAACATGGTGAAACCCCGACTCTACTAAAAATGCACAAATTAGCTGGGTGTGGTGGTGGGTGCCTGTAATCCCAGCTACTTGGGAGGCTGACGCAGGAGAATCACTTGAACGCCAGAGGCGGAGGCTGCAGTGAGCCAAGATCACACCACTGCACTCCAGCCTGGGCGACAGAGACTGTGTCTCAAAAAAAAAAAAAAAATCATGGGGATGAGGACACATTAAACAGAAAAAAAATGATATACTTGACTACATAAAAATAGTTCATCCATGTTCAACTACTACTAATAAAAAAATTTGTAAAAGTAATAGCTCAAACAAGTCCTATACAACAAAATAGGCCATCAATAAATTTTAAAGAAGGAATATTTGAAGGAATGAGAAGAAATATTTGAAATGCTCATGGGAGACAAAGGAACCAGCTGAGCAGGGATGATCAAATCCTGCAGAAAAACCCACAAAGTATCCAGTGTTTGGAAAGCACCTGATACTTGACTTTCCTCTCCCCAGACATCACGGGAAACAAAAATCAGACTCTGACTGTCTTCCTACAGTAATTTCATGTAGTGAAACATCAGTCTGCATCATGAAATTGGGGGTTTGAGCATCAAAGGCATCTCTGCATTAGAACCACTACCAGCTCCACCTGTCCCGGCGAAGGACAGATGGGCCTAACGGAGAAAAAACGTTTACAGACCAGGAAGACATGAGTGAGAACCCACCAGACAGGCAGGCAAAAGACACGCGGAGGCAAGTCACGGAACAAATGCACGCGGCCAACAAACCTGAAAAGATGATTGATCATCAATATCCATTAATAAGACAGAAGTGACCAAGTTACCACAAGATCGTGGTTCATCTACCAGATGATCATCTGGGATGGGCCGGGCGTGGTGGCTCACGCCTGTAAATCCCAGCACTTTGGGAGGCTGAGGTGGGCAGATCACGATGTCAGGAGATCAAGACCATCCTGGCCAACATGGTGAAACACCGTCTCTACTAAAATACAAAAAATTCGCCAGGCGTGGTGGTGCACGCCTGTAATCCCAGCTACTCGGGAGGCTGAGGCAGGGGAATCGCTTGACCCCAGGAGGCGGAGGTTGCAGTGAGCTGAGATCATGCCACTGCACTCCAGCCTGGGCAACAGAGTGAGACTCCATCTCAAAAAAAAAAAAAAAAAAAGATTATCTGGGATATTGATGATTGCAGCTAATTTTTTTTGAGAGCTTCCATGTACTAACTACTGAGTTCCACACCCCTATCCCACTGTTTAGCCCTCACCCTAACAGATAAAGCACCTGCCACTGTTAGCTCCTTACTGTAGATCAAGAAACTGACACACAGAGAGGCTGAGTCATTCATCTGTAGCCATGCCGCTAGGAAGGTTAGGGCTGGGATATGACGGCATGTGGCCTGGCTCCAGATTCCTGACATCCTAAAGCAAGCTGTTCTCAAACTGTTGTCTTGAGGCCTCTTTAACACTCTTAAAAATTATTCAAGGCCAGGCGTGGTGGTTCACGCCTGTAATCCCAGCACTTCAGGAGGCCAAGGTGGGCAGATCACCTGAGGTCAAGAGTTCGAGACCAGCCTGGCCAACATGGTGAAACCCCGTCTCTACTAAAAATACAAAAATTAGCTGGACCTGGTGGTGCACATCTGTAATCCCAGCTACTTGGGAGGCTGAGGCAGGAGAATCACTTGAACCTGGGAGGAGGCAGTTGTAGTGAGCTGAGATCTCACCACTGCACTCCAGCCTGGGTGACTGAGCAAGACTCTTATCTCAAAAAAAAAAAAAAAAATTCAAGACTCACTCCATAGAGCTTGTTCATGTGGGTTACATAATATTATAGTTACACCTATTAGAAATTTAAAATGAGAAATTAAAAAAATAAATCCAATATGCTCACCCAAATAATATTAATTTTTTTTTTTTTTTTGAATAGACACAAGGTCTTTTCTATATTGCCCAGGCTGGTCTTGAACTACTGGGCTCAAGCGATCCTCCCACCTCCCAAAGTGCTCTGATTACAGGCGTGAACCACAGTGCCTGGCTCTAAATAACATATTTTGATGAAACATAACCCAAGTTTTGAGAAAGTGGTGAGACTAGAGGCATTATTTTACACTTTTGCAAATCCTCTAATATCTGGCTTAACAGAGGCTGGATTCTCCTGCGTGCTTCTACGACACACTCTTCTCGTTGCAGGACCTGAGGAAGATCCACCTCACGCCAATGTGGAGTTGGAAAGAGAGGGACCTTGAAGATGTCCTTGAAAGAATCTTAAGGAACCTCAGGGGTCCTCAGACCACACTTTGAGAACTGCTGCCCAAGTGTGGCTTCCTGGCCATGTGAAGTGGCAGAGTCGGAAATGGAAGTCAGAGGGGCAGCTGCCAGGCTCACACCCCACCCCGTCACCCCTCAGCTGCCCCTGGACAGGAAGCTGGAACTCACCTCTCCATTGAGGTAGATGAGGTCGAAGGCGTACAAACACACCTGCACCTGGATCTCAGACGCATCCACCTCCTGGGTTGGGGCACAACGGAGTTCGTGAGTGCAGGAAGGTGAGACGGGGCACTGTGCCTGAGGCCGACAGCATTCATCTACCGGTCTCCCTCTCGCCCCACCTAACTGGCTGCCCATCTGTGAGGGCGGCCATGCTGCTGGCTCCAGGTGCTGGATCGTTAACGGCTCTCAGCTAATTCCGACAACCTCATTCCCCTTCACCAGATATTTGCTCTCCTAGACTTTTCTGCAGCTAATGGCAGTGACATGGCACAGTTCTGGCCAATGAGATGGAAAAGGGGAAACCTGTGGGGTGCAGGTTGTGGGGTTTTCCAGAACAGATCTTCTTTCATAGTAAAACAACAGAGATGCCCGAAAAGGGCCCTTCCCCTCTTCCTACTTGGGATGCTGGGATGAGAATGCGATGGCTGGAGCTGTGGCAGCCATTCTGCAGAAGGCTGAGAGAAGTGCATCCAGACTGACACTCTGCCCTTCTGGGCACTGGGCAGGACCCACAGCCAGGACTGGGTGGAAGATGAGGAAGTACGGGGCCTTGGCAGGCAGTGGAGCGGGTGATGCTACCTTGCGTTTGCGGGTGGTGAGCACTTGGAATGGCTGGATCTGCTTCTTTTCCCGGTCCCAAGCCACGGCTTCGGTGTCCAGGATGAAGGATGTGACCGATGGGAGTTTAATCTGAAAAGTGAAGGGAGAGACCCAGGGCCTGAGAGAGGTGGAAGATGAGGTGGAAAGACAAACACGGGGAGATAAATTCCCTTTTCCTTCTGCAGCTCTCAAGATGCACTAACAAAGAGGCAGGTGCACACAGATGCTTTTCTTTTATTCCCCACCAAGAGGAGACAGAAACTAATGTCTCTGAGAATGTAATATTTGGTCTCACAAGCTGGAAACCTAGGAGCTCTTGTCATCTCCCTCCTCCTGTCACCCACATTCAGTTCCTCAGTGAACCTGATGATTTCCTAAGCCGTCCACTTCCCACCAACTCCCTGCTCAGCCTCGCCTACTGGGCTTCCCTGTCCTGCACCGATCCCCTCCAATCCAGCTTCCCCATAGCAGCCAGGGTGACACTGGCAAGCCCCAAATCCGATCACAGCACCTCCCTGCTAAAAACCATCCCCATGATTCCCCAAAGCTGGGGGGACTCTCCCGGGTCAGCCTGGGTCGTCCCTCGCCTCACCTGGCCCCCTGAGCCTCTCTTCACCCCAGCACGTGAGCCTCTCTGTTTCTCAAATAAGTGGGCAATGCCTCTTCCACTACTGGGCCTTTGCATGTGCCGTTCCCTCTAGAACCCCTGCCCCTGTCTGTCTCCTCCACTGGCAAGCCTTCTTTTCCCTCAAGGGAACACTGTTGCCCAAGCCGGGGGCAGCATTCATGTTGTATCCTGGAGCCAGGTAGCTTCCCTGACACCAAGTCTAAGCCACACCTATTTCTTTTTGAGTCAGAGTCTAGCTCTGTCGCCCAGGCTGCAGTGCAGTGGTGCGATCTTGGCTCACTGCAACCTCTGCCTCCCAGGCTCAAGCAATTCTCCTGCCTCAGCCTCCCGAGTAGCTGGGATTACAGGCACATGCCACCATGCCTGGATAAATTTTGTATTTTAGTAGAAACGGTTTCACCATGTTGGCCAGGCTGGTCTCGAACTCCTGACCGCAAGTGATCTGCCTGCTTTGGCCTCCCAAAGTGCTGGGATTATAGGCGTGAGCCACCACGCCTGGCCTCTTTTCTTTTTTGAGACAGTCTCCCACTGTTGTCCAGCCTGGCGTGCAGTGGTGCAATCTCCGCTCAGTGCAGCCTCTGCCTCCCACGTTCAAGTGATTCTCCTGCCTCAGCCTCCCAAGTAGCTGGGACTACAAGAGCACGCCACCACATCCAGCTAATTTCTGTATTTTTAGTAGTCAGGGTTTCACCATGTTGGCCAGGCTGGTCTCGAACTCCTAACCTCAAGTGATTCACCCGCCTTGCCCTCCCAAAGTGCTGGGATTACAGGAGCCACTGTCACCGGCCAGGCCTGTTTGTTACATAGGCTCACAGAATGCTGGTCCTTTCCTGTGGAGCCCGGATCTCCACATATAATTTACAGAGCCAGCTGCAGGACTCTCTGGTGAAGGTCTGCCTGCTCTGCTGGGCTGTGAGCTCAGTGAGGGCAGAGACCATGGCAGGCCTGTTACACTCCCAGCCTCCAGCATGGGGCCTAGCTCGGAGCAGATGCCCAGTAAATACTTGCTGAACGAATGAGCAAAAGCAGCCAGATGCAAGAGACTAGTGCCATATTATACCACCAACAGGAAGCTCTAGAACAGGTAAAACCAACCTGTGGCGACCAAAAAGCAGACCTGGGGTTGCCTCTGGTGGATGCATGGTGTTGGACAGAGGAGGGGGCCTTGCTTGGCCAGGGACACAAGGAAATATTTGATTTTTTATTTTTATTTTTTTGAGATGGAGTCTTACTGTCACCCAGGCTAGAGTACAGTGGCCCGATCTCAGCTCACTGCAACCTCCGCCTCCTGGGTACAAACGATTCTCGTGCCTCAGCCTCCCAAGTAGCTGGGACTACAGGTGCGTGCCACCACACCCAGCTAATTTTTGTATTTTTAGTAGAGATGGGATTTCACCATGTCAGCCAGGCTGGTCTTGAACTCCTGACCTCAGGTGATCCACCCGCCTCAGCCTCCCAAAGTGCTGGGATTACAGGCGTGGGCCACTGCGCCCAGCGGAAATATGTTAGAATGATGAGAATGTGGAAATATTTTATACATTCATTGGGGTGTCGGTTACTTGGGTGTATGAACTTTTCAAAACTCATCAAACAGCATAGTGCACACTGAAAATCACTAACTTTTAGGGAAATTACATCTTAAGAAAATTGATTTAAAGAACAGTGCTTGGCACGGAACAGGAGCTCCCCTAACACGTGCACTGAACTGTGCCTCTCTCTGTCACTGTCTCTAACAGGCAGAATGATGGGCACCGTGCCCCCTGCTTTCTTAAATAACTTATTTCCTATTTAATTAGGGGCAGGCAAAGAGAAAGGCTCTTTGATAGGGGACTCCTCGAACAGGCACGAGACCCCTACTGGGTGCAGAGAAGTCCCCAACTCTGGGGCCTGTGAGGCCCAGCCCTGTATGACTCTGAGCTGCTATTTCTGAGGCTTGGGGCCTATCCACAGGCTGGCCCCCTCCAAACTCGTCCTGACTCCTCCTCCCCGCGTTCCTGGCTGGAGAGGCTGCAGAGTTAGACTCTGGCTTTCCGAGGCTTTGTTGCACTAGGGTGGCCATGGAACCCAGTGCTGGACAGTGACTCCCAGCTGCAGTCCACGGCGGGGGAGGGGTTGTGGGTGGGAGGTGTCCAGGAAAGTGTTAACTCAAGCTAGAATCCCTTTTCCCTCTTTCTGTCTGGAAGAATGACATCTGTTTGGGAAACTCTAAGGGGACAAGCATTGGCACTAAAAGCCAACCAGCCAAGGACAGCAGGGGATAGAGGTAGCGATAAGCTTGGTTCAGGGGGACATCAGTGCTCAGCCAAGTCGGTGCTGGGGTGCCCACCTCTAGATGTGAGAAAAAATCATATGGGCTTACACCACGCAGGACTGAGTGCTCTGTCATTTGCAGCCAAACGCAACCTGATCTCCTCCCAATAAACCCCGCACTGTGCCACACTGGCCTAGATGGGCCTCAGGCCTTTGCACCCCTGACCACAGACCCTGGCAGAGTGCAAGTGTGTGGCAGACGCCCACCTTGGGGATGCGGCTGATGATGTCCGGGTACTTCCCAGTGTTGTCTTCCTGATTCCTGCTGAAGATCTTCACCTCCCCGCCTTCCAGGGCGTGGATCTGTCACGATGGGAGAAGGGAGGGGAAATCAGCTGAGTCCCCTCATGTGGCCTCAGCTTTCTCTTCTGACCCCACCTGCACTGGTAGAAGGTTCTGGAAGCTCTGGAGGAGGAACTGGTGCAGAGACTTGAGCGAATCATCTCCTCAGTTCCAACAGCACCTCCCAGCCCTGCTCTGGAAGGCCCTACCATCATTTTCTTCTTCATTTCCAATCCCTACACCTCTCCCCATGTAGGCACATGCACCTTGCTGCATGTGGGTGCTGATTTGTTTAAATGTCATTATGCTCTAGATCTCATTCTGATTTTTTTTTGAGGCGGAGTCTCGCCCAGGCTGGAGAGCAGTGGTGCAATCTCTGCTCAATGCAACCTCCACCTCCCGGGTTCAAGAGAGCCTTCCGCCTCAGCCTCCCAAGGAGCTGGGATTACAGGCGCCCACCACCACACCTGGCTAATTTTTGTATTTTTAGTAGAGCCAGGCTGGTCTTGAACTTTCGACCTCAGGTGATCCGCCCACCTTAGCCTCCCAAAGTGCTGGGATTACAGGCGTGAGCCACTGCGCCCAGCCTCTATGTCTATTTATTTTAAGACAGTCCGGTCACAGCCCTTGAGCAGGGCGGCATATATAGCATCTTATATGTTTGTTATTATTTCCAGGAACAGTTGTCAAGAAATCATTGTCACTATCGTAAATCATCTTGTGTCTTTTTTCTCAACACTATTTTGGAGATCCATCTCTGATCCTGTGTCTGTTGGATCCACCCTTTTTTTTTTTTTTTTTTTAAAAGATGGAGTCTCACTCTTATCGTGGAGGCTGTAGTGTAGTGGCACGATCTTGGCTCACTGCACCCTCTGCCTCCTGGGTTCAAGCAATTCTCCTGCCTCAGCCTCCCGAGTAGCTGGGACTACAGGCACACGCCACCACACTGGCTCATTTTTGTGGTTTTAGTAGAGATGGGGTTTCACCATGTTGGCCAGGCTGGTCTCCTCAGGGGTCCACTTCCTGTAACTGCCCCGAGCCCTGTGGCTCCCACCCACTTTGCCTGCTTACCTATCCCCAGGTGAGAAGGCCCCACACTTGCCAGGACAGAAGAGACACAACACATTCTTACAGACCCCAGGACCAAGGACGCCTGAGGCCCTGGATCACAGGACACACATGCACGTCACGGCATGAAGGGGTCATGTAGGCACCTCCCAGAACGGCTGTTAAAATGAACACACCCACCAGCAGCATCAGCGGAGCCCACGTTTCATGAGCTCCCACTATCATCGGTCAGGACTCTGGAGGATTGTAGCTTCGGATAAGCTGGTGAGGTAGTTAAGACCACACCCTAGAGGCCAGGCACGATGGTTCATGCCTGTAATCCCAGCACTTTGGGAGGCTGAGGTGGGTGGATCATGAGGTCAAGAGATCGAGACCATCTTGGCCAACATGGTGAAACCTCGTCTCTACTAAAAATACAAAAAATTAGCCGGGCACGGTAGCGGGCGCCTGTAGTCCCAGCTACTTGGGAGGCTGAGGCAGGAGAATCACTTGAAGCCAGGAGGTGGAGGTTACAGTGAGCCAAGATCATGCCAATGCACTCCAGCCTGGATGACAGAGTGAGACTCTGTCTCAAAAAAAAAAAAAAAAAAAAAAAAAAAGAACACACTCACTGCATGGAGGTGGATGCTGAAGCCCAGAGAGATGAGCGAGGGCTCGGCAGTCTGTGGCGCAGGCCGGCTTGAAGCTCAGGCCTCAGTGACCCCACACCCCTGCTCTTTGACGTTTTCCTGTCTGTGGAAGGGACATGTCCCACTCCCCATACCTGTGCCCTCTGCCCGTCATATTTGTATTCGCAGGTGAAAGCTGCCTCCTCAAAGCGTTTCAGGACCTCGCTGATGCCCCGGGTGGGATGGGCCAACATTGGTTTCAGGGGAATCCCTGGGAAAGGAGGAGAGTGAGTTAGAGGAGAGGGAAGGCAATGGATTAGAGGGGGAACATGGAGAGGAGAACTGCTAATGGGCCCCAGGACCATTCTGCTTTCTTGCTATTCAGTCACGAAGCCTCCCACGTTTTAGAAGGGGACCTAGCCTCCCACTGGGGACTACAGCCCCCGGCCTTCCTTCCAGGTGGGAAAGGCCATGTGATTGGAACCCACGCAGCATGTGCAATGTCTGGCTCACATCCTTGCAAGGAATCTGGTTGCCTCCCCTCCCTCCTCTGCGTCCCTCCTCCCACAATTAGAACAGGGAAGTGAGCCACATTTGATCACAGACATTGGGGTGACAACCTTTGGAGGGCAGAGGGACACAGGAACCTGGGTCCCCGGGTCATCCCTGGGACACAGCTGCACACCTGTACCTTCCCTGGCCACCTCCCTTGCTCTGGACACTTCTGTGTGACAGAAAGAAATTCTATCTGGCCTGACCCACTGCCTTCTGGCCCATTTTTATTTACTTATTTATTGTCTCACTCTGTCGCCCAGCTGGAGTGCAGTAGCGCGATGACGGCTCACTGCAGCCTTGAACTCCTGGGCTCAAGCGATCCTCCCACCTCAGCCTCCCGAGTAGCTGGGATCACAGGCACACGCCACCACGCCCGGCTCCTGTTTATCACAGCAGTGTCACCTACACCCTATCTACTCCACAAGGGGAAATTCCAAGGAGAAAAGCAGTGGGTTTCAGCACCAGGGAGGAGCATTTGGTTTTGGTGGGGGAGAGGACTCTGCAAGTTCTGAGAGGGGCGCCTACGATGGCCACCCTCACGCCGACTCAGGAGGGAGCAGGGCTGCTGCCAGGCTGGTGAGCGCCCCTGGGGCCTGTACCTGGGCTCAGCTTGCAGTGCTCCGGGAGACGTTCCAGGCCGTGCTCCAGCAGCACGGGGATAATTCGGTCCAGGTCGGGAACCTCGCTGGGGTGGCGGGTGAGAACAAGATAGGGGAAGCCTTTCTAGAACTCACACAGTTTGGAAAGAGAGCTCGGCCTGCTCCCAGAAGCCTGGGCTCCTGGATGCCTCTGCCCACTGAGTCACCACCTGCCAAGCTCCTCTTGCCACCCTGTCTCTGTGCTCTCCCTTCGTGTCACTATCTGTTGCTTTGTCTCCCTTAGTCTGGCCTTGCCCCTGTTCCCTATCTGTCACCACGAGACCAGCGATTCTCTACTCGGCTACACAGGAGACCACTCAAGAATACAGTTTTTAAAAAAAGGTTTTTGGCCGGGCATGGTGGCTCATGCCTACAGGCATGTAATCCCAGCACTTTGGGAGGCCGAGGTGGGTGCATCACTTGAGCCCAGGAGTTCAAGACCAGCCTAGCCAACATGGTGAAATCCCATCTTTACTAAAAATATAAAAGTTAGCTGGGGGTGGTGGCACGCGCCTGTAGTCCCAGCTACTCAGGAGACTGAGGCAGGAGAATCACTTGAACCCTGGAGGCGGAAGTTGCAGTGAGCTGAGATTGTGCTGCTGCACTCCAGCCTGGATGACAGGGCGAGACTCCGTCTCAAACAAAATAAAAATAGACAAAGGTTTTCAAGGCTAGGTTCCACCTACAAAGATTTTGATGTAGCTGGTGTGGGGTAGGCCTGAGGTCAGCAGCTGATAGAGCCCCACGTGCAGGCAGAGTTGAGCTTGCTGCCCGGGCCTGTTCACCACTCTCTGCTCAGCACCCAGTGGGGGGCCCTGGCCCAGAGCAGGTGCTCTGAGGCCATCTGTGGAACTGCCATCGGCCCTCCTGCCTCTGACATCCTCTCTGGGGCAGTCATGATCTTGGAGTCACCAGCCCTGGGTCAGCTGCTGGCCTAGGTCCCTCCACATGGCTCTCTCTGGAGCCCTCGTGGCCGCTCCACGGATGTCCTCTCCATGACTGTCAAGACCCTTCACCATGTGTCAGTCACCTGCTCCTCTCTGGGTCCCTTAAGGCCTTTCTGCATGCACAGCCCTGTCTGGCACTCAGAAACCTCATGTTGCCGGCTGCCCTCCCTTGCTGTCAGCGTCTTTCTTTTTTTTAAGACAGTCTCACTCTGTTGCCCAGGCTGGAACGCAGTGGCGTGATCTCAGCTCACTGCAGCCTCCAACTCCTGGGTTCAAATGATTCTTGTGCCTCAGTTTCCCAAGTAGCTGGGATTACAGGCTAATTTTTGTATTTTTAGTAGAGACAGGGTTTCACCATGTTGGCCAGGCTGGTCTCAAACTCCTGACCTCAAGTGATCTGCCTGCTTCAGGCTCCCAAGTGCTGGGATTACAGGCGTGAGCCACTGTGCCTGGCCGCTGCCAGCGTCTTTCTATACCTCTCCTGGGGTCACTGACCCTTCACTGTTTGCCACCTTCCTGATCTTTGTCACCATCCTTGTGTCAAGCACCAGCCTTGTCTAGATCACCACCTCTGCTCTCAGTCACCCCGTGACCGGCACTCGTGATGCCTGTCCGTCACTTCACTGGCCCCACCCACTGCTCCTCTGGCTCCACCCCCACCCTGGCACTCTGCCCACAGCCCCTGGCAACTCCACCCACTGCCCAGCTCTCACCAGAACGTCTGCTTCAGGATCATGCCTTGCTCCTCCAGCCACGTCTTTCTGGCCTCTGCTGTCTTGCCCTTCCCAGCATCCACCATGGCTGGTGGGAATTCTAAGAAAAGACCCACCAGAGGCTTTGGAAGGCACCCACATCCTTGGCTACACCAGGGTGCAGTGGGTGGTTTGCTGTATGGCAAGGAATGCAGATGCCGCGGCCCAAGACGCCCCCTCCCCCCCACCCAGGAGAGAGGAGCCTGGTATGGCAGGGGCCCGCTGGGGAAGGGGCGGGCATGGGCCTCTGAAGAGGAGGGGGGAAGCCTGAGGTAACTCCAGCGAGGGATGCAGAGACGGGCCACAGGAGCTCACCTTGGCCCGGGGGCGTGAGGCTCACTGCCTGGGAGAGGGCAGCCAGCACCGACTGCTCTGCCAGCCCAAGGCGCAGCCGTCCGCTCAGGGACCTGGGGAGAGAGCAGGCCAGGGAAGGGGGCTTGTCTGCACCTCCCCAATCTTGCCTCCTCCCTTCTCTGATCTCCTCGACCTTGATGTATGTAGACCCTCTCCTCAAAAACCAGAAGAATCTTCAGAGCCTGGAAGGGACCCCAGATATCACACAGCCCCATGTGACAGATGAGGAAACTGAGCCAGGCAGTAATGATCCTGCCCACTAGCATAGACTGGGGAGGGGCACAAGTAGGTGCACCAGCACCTCCCATCTCAGCTGCCCTGAGGGGTTGGCGAGGCTTGAGGAGGATGAGTCAGGGAGAGAACTGAGCCTGGCGCCCGCCCTGGTGACTGTAATGGTCAGGACCCCAGCATGGTCCTTGCTTTGAGCCAGTGGCAGGAGACAAGTGGCTTAGTTTGCCTCCCCATGTCTCCATTTCCCCTTCTATAAACTGGAGGTGAGGGTAACAAGACCAGTCTCACAGAGTTGCTGGTAGGAACTGATGAGGTAAGGCACGGGGCACAGGGCAGGGCTCCCAAGAAATGCTCCATGATGTGAGCCCTCAATGGATTTGCTCTCACTGTCATGGCAAACAAACCCTGGCTTCCTGCTGCAGGGCCCGCGCCCAAGCCGAGGCAGACCTCACCAATCAATCACAGCATGCTTCACCCACAGGGGCCCAGGGGCCTTCTCTAGACAGCACTACCAAGGGACAGAAGCTGGCCTGTGAAAGGAAATGGTGTCCCTTCCCACTCTTTAGGGGCTGGGCCTCCTGCTCATGCTTTTCTCATCCAAGGATGGTCAGGGCATTTGTGATGATTCCAGCTGCCAGTCCCTCCCTCCTTTCACCTCCGAGCCTGCAGTCCCCCTCTGTAGCCTCACAGGCCCACACGCTTACCTAGCGATGAACCGGGCTTCTGAGTGGCGGCAGGCCACAAAGAGGCCTTTGATGATGTCTATCTTCTTGGCTGTGGACTGGAGAGTCAGGGGAAGAGCCGTCAGTGCCTGGTGAAGGCAGGGACCACACCTCCACCCCACCAGCCGTGCTGCTGCCCTGCATTTTGGAATACCTGCCCTCCTTCCCTCACCCCATCCCCATGTCCCAGCTCCCATGGCCGCCCACTCTTAGGGCAGTAAGAACGAGCTAGCTCTCCTCCTTGCCTCCCTCTCCCTTTATCCAGGAAGTATTTACTGAGTCCTGTCATGTGGCAGCCATGGCATTAGGTCTGCTAGACTCTGAAGAGGAGACTCCCCTAGGATTGGGTGCAGGAAGGAGGAGAGGAAGCTGTGCACCCCATGAGAAGGACTGATGCGACCCAGCTGATGGTCTACCCAGAAGCCTTCCTGACACACGCGTGGCCTCAGGTCCCCAAGATGTCTGGGGTCCGGGATGAGCGGCCCGCCCCACTCACAGCACTGCCAGTGAGCCTGGCGATGTCGCGGAACTTGCTGAAGACCCCGGAGGCAGTGAGCGGAGGTGGTGGCAGCATGAGCCTCTGGGTGCTGCGGCTGTTCTCGGCCACCAGCCCCACGTCGCCTTTCTCGGCTGCCTCAGCCCGGACGGACTCCAGCTGCCGACCTTCAGGGGAGAGCGCGGGTGGGGGTGTCGAGGGTGACAGTTGTGGCTGCGTGTCTCCCTTCTCTCGCGGCCTGGATGAATTTTCTCCAGCTGTGTGTGCTTGTGGCGAGTCCCTGCACCTCCCTGTGTCTAACGCTCACCCACTTGGTAGAAATGGCTTGGGGAACGTGCCCCCAGCCACGCTGGCTGTAGGAAGTCAGCAAACATGCACGTGGAGCCAGGAAAGCGGTGGATGAACGAGCATGACCACACTCAGGGGAGACATCTGGGCCGGTGTCATCAGGGCGCGGATGGGATTTAAAGCCACAGGCGGGACAAGGTCACTAGGGAAGTGAGTGTGGACAGAGCAGAGAAGGCCAAGGGACCCTTTCCTCTGGCGGGTCATGAACATCTCTGGCAGTGACCAAAGACCCTTCGGCTTGTTTTGGAGCCACCAGCTTACACACGTGGGATGTGCTCTGGCCCCACTTACTGTCCAGAGCTGGGTCCCATGGGCGCCTGGGTGTAAGAGCTGGGGAGATGGAGCCTCAAGTCACGGTGACAGCTGTGACAAGCAGCTCTCAACCTATCAGAACCAACACACCCTTGTCACCAGATACTGTGTGTCACCTCTTTTCTGGTCTGAAATAAAATGTGGAGATAACATAACCTGCCTACACCTATCGAGATAACGCCCTAACCCTAACACAGAAAAGAATGAAAGGGAAAGCAATCCGTAATGAACGAACAAGTGCGCGTTTCAGTCCACAGATGCTCAGCCGCGGCACAGAGCACATGAAGGTGGGCCTCGCGCCTGAAGCGAAACTGCCACAAATGGGAGAGCCGACAGTGTGAGCCTCACCAATGGGATGTTATCGAATCACACATCAAAGGGGACGGGATTCTCCAAAGTGGCCAACAACTCACAACAAACCCGGGACTTGGACAGCCACGGGGGCCACAAGGCGGCACGGAGAGCAGTGTGAGTGTGAACACGACCCATCAAGGGTGGAGGCATGAGACAGTGGAAGAGGCCCCAGCTGCCATGGATTGTTGGGCAGGAAAGCCAGCATCTGCAACTTCTTTTGTGAGAAAAACAGATCCTTCTTTGTCCAAGCCAATGTAGTTGGGTTTTCTGTTACCTGCAGCTCAGAGTATTCTTAACCGACCCCGTGTGTGCTGGGTCTGGTATGACGTCAGTGCTCCCGAAACACATCTTGAGTGAATGAGTGAGAAAATCTTGAGTCTCATCTCCTCTGGCTCCCATAAGCCCGTAACTCTTTCCTGATCCAAGTCAACCTTTCTCAGTCCCTCTGTCCTCTCATGAAAGCCTGAAACCCCTGCCTTCCCTAAATGTTGGTGCCCATGGCCCTAAGCCAGCTCCAGTGCTCCCAGCACATCCTCTCCCCAGGCGGATGAGAACCCACCAGTGGGTGGTCATCCCTCCTACACTGACCAGCCCGAACCCTGGGCTCTGAGCCAGACCTGGTGAGCCTCAGACCCGTTTCCAAACTTCCTGGATGGCCCTGGGGGCCCACAGATAGAGGTTGCTCATGCCTGCCCCACGCTGGGGTGATTAATGCCCCCTGCAGGTGCCTGCCCCTCACCAGGGTCCCAAGCTGCCGACGGCTTTGTCATCCATCCAGTCACCCAGGGAGATCCTGGAGGCATTCCTCCTGCCTCCTCACCCTGACATCCACTGTCTGCCAGATCTCTCCTGCCCTCTTCTCTCTTCTCTACAGCTGGGGTCCAGCTCCTCTTCCCCCTGGATGCTGCCCCTTGCCTGCTCACAATCCTTCCATGGCTCCCCAGTGTCCTCATGATAAGCACCGAGCACTCCAGGCCCTTGGCAGGCGGGCCATCCGCATCACCAGCCTTTCCACCCAGCACTGGCGGCTGGGCCCCTTCAGGCTGCTGGCCCCCCACACACCATGTTCTTTCCTCCCACTCCTTCCAATCCCTCCAGTCAAAGTCCTTTCAGACCTCTCTAAGCCCCAACCTTCCATCTCAGCCCCCAAATCCTGCTGTCTCTGCCTCCAGCATCTTTCCCCAGCCCTCCCCTTCCCTGCACCCCACACCCCCTGTCCCAGCACATGCCTGGTCCTCCCTCACCTGAACTGCTGCCCCTGTGTTCTCTCCCACACCCCTGCAAATCTGTCCCCATCAGGCTCTCCTCCCTCTCAGCCTTCTCCTCAACCCTGTTTCACAGCCTCTCTCCACCATCTCTCCGATCCACCTGACCTCTGCATTTTCTCTGGCTGAGCTCCTGTCCTTCTGGTCCCTCCAACCACAGTCCCCCTTACCTGTGGCCTGGGCCACTGCCTTGAGAAGGACACCATCACCCACGCCAAGCTCCAGGCCCTGCTGGGGTGGCCCAAGGTGGTTGAGGCTGAGGTAGAGGACAGGGAGGAGGTCTGGAGGCGACAGGGCCACCACGGAGCGCAGCAAGTTGCTCAGCGTCTCCACCATCCGGAGCCTGGAGGAGGGGACGGGGGTATGAACACGTGGTTCCTCAAGGTCAAAGTGTGGTGTCGGGGTGGGGTGGGTTTAAGGGGGTGGACACTAGAAAGAAATGGAGAAAGAAGAGGAAAGGGCTCAGAACAGTCCCAGGCTCTGGGGCCTGGAGCCATGAGGACAATCACAGATTGCTGGAGGTGAAACCGCCTTTGCAAAACCGTAACTGAGGAAATTATGACAGTGGAAAGAAATCACACCTAACCGATTCCATCTTGCTTCTAACCTTTAAGCTGTCCTTGTTCAGTCCTGGGCATAGGCAGAACTAACTTTGGGAAGGAATTTGGTTCGTGGCTTGACTCTGAAACGAAATTGGTAATAGCCCTTTCTGGAAAAGACCCCTTTTTGCCTAAGGACCTGCCTTCGCAAGACTCACAAATTAGCTACAAGATTAGAAATTTAGGTTTAGGGGTCACGCAGCCTCTGGCTTCCCCGATTGCTCCTGGGGATAACATCACTACTGTAAAACCTAAGATGAGTGCTTAAGATAGTTTGCAGACCCTGCACTCAGTCTGACGCCACCCAGACTGTAATCTGGCTCAACAAGTTCTGCCATCCCACCCAGGAACAGAAGACAGCAAGAAAACCTCCCTTCGACCCCCTGTGAGTCCATCTTCAACCTGACCAATCAGCACTCCCCACTTACCAAGCCCCTACACGCCAAATTATCTTTAAAAACTCTGCTCCCCACATGCTCAGGGAGACTGATTTGAGTAAAAATGAAACTCCGGTCTCCCGCACAGCCAGCTCTGCGGGAATGACTCTTTCTCCACTGCAGTTCCCCCGTCTAGATAAATCGGCTCTGTCTAGGCAGCGGGCAAGGTGAACCCACCGGACGGTTACAGTGGGGGAGTAACTTGGTGTGACGGTAACAATGATGAAGATGGTGATGATCAGCCCAGAGAAACGACAGCTGATGCTACGGAGCATTTTCTAAATTCAGGAGCTGGCTTTGAGCACTTTGCACCTTTTTTTTGAGACGGAGTCTCGCTCCATCGCCCAAGGTAGAGTGCAGTGGCACGATCTCGGCTCGCTGCAACCTCCACCTTGTGGGTTCAGGTGATTCTCCTCCGGAGTAGCCGGGACTACCGGTGCGCACCACCATGCCCGGCTAATTTTTTTTAATTTTTAGTAGAGACGGGGTTTCAACGTGTTGGTCAGGCTGGTCTCGAACTCCTGACCTCAAATGATCCGCCCGCCTCGGCCTCCCAAAGTGCTGGGATTACAGGCGTGAGCCAACACGGCCAGCCCTTTGCACCTTTTAACTCATAGAATCTTCACAGCTCCCCTCTGAGGTAGGTACCATTATTATTTCCATTTTACGGATAAAGAAACAGAGGCACCGAAAGAGTCCGTGGCTTGCCCAAGGTCACAGAGCGAGTAAGTATGAAGCTGAGATGTACACCAAGGCCGTGTGCCTGAGGACTGTGCTCCCAGCCACCAAGCTGCACCACCTCTAAAACGAAAACCGTGTTTCTGTCTAAAACTTCAAAGCTGGAAAGAATGGCTTTGTTACTGAAAAACTTAGGGGGCCTCATTAGAAACAGAAGCTGGGTTTTTCCTACAGAAGTCTCATTACCGAGGTTTTTAAGGTGCAGAGAAGAAATACAAAAACCAACATCAGGGAAATCCCTCAGTAATCATTGTAGGCAAAAGCCACCATTGGATGGTGCAGTGGATGGAACAGCCCCCCCAAAATTCAGGTCCACTCAGAGCCTCACAACATGACCTCATTTGGAAAGAAGGTCTTTGCGGATGTACCTGTAGATTAAGATGAGAGCATAGTGAATGAAGGTAGGCTCTGAATCCAAAAAGCATCCTTACAAAATACAGAAGAGGGCCGGGTGTGGTGGCTCAGGCCTGTAATCCCAGCATTTTGGGAGGCCGAGGCGGGCCGATCACTTGAGGTCAGGAGTTCAAGACCAGCCTGGCCAACATAGTGAAACCCCATCTCTATTACAAATACAAAATTAGGGCCGGGCGCGGTGGCTCACACCTGTAATCCCAGCACTTTGGGAGGCGGAGGTGGGCGGATCACGAGGTCAGGAGATCAAGATCTTCCTGGCTAACACAGTGAAACCCCATCTCTACTAAAAACACACACACAAAAAATTAGTTGGGCATGGTGGCAGGTGCCTGTAGTCCCAGCTACTCGGGAGGCTGAGGCAGGAGAATGGTGTGAACCTGGGAGGCGGAGCTGCAAGTGAGCCGAGATTGCGCCACTGCACTCCAGCCTGGGCAACAGAGCAAGACTCCATCTCAAAAAAAAAAAAAAACAGAGTGCTGGGAACAGCCTGAAATGCTCCACTCATGTTGGGGAACTGAGAAATGGCATGTGCCATGTGAGAACGAAGGGACACTACAGAGCAGTCACAACAGGCTCGAACCACTCAACCAACATGGACACATGTGGAAACGGGTTTGATAGTGAAGGCAAGCAGAATGAGCCGTACCCATGATAATTTTGTTTGTTTGTTTTTGAGACAGAGTCTCACTCTGTCACCCAGGCTGGAGTGTAATAGCGTGATCTCGGCTCACTGCAATCTCTGCCTCCTGGGTTCAAGTGATTCTCGTACCTCAGCCTCCTGAGTAGCCGGGATTACAGGCACCCGCCACCATGCTGGGCTAATTTTGTGTTTTTAGTAGAGATGGGGTTTCACCATGTTGGCCAGGCTGGTCTTGAACTCCTGACCTCAGGTGATCCACCCACCTTGGCCTCCCGATGTGCTGGAATTAAGGCATGAGCCACTGCACCCAGCCTCCATGATAATATTTATATAAACTAAATACACAGGGGCGAGTGCTGGGGGTGAGGAGGACAAGGAGAGAAGAGGAAATGGGGACAGAGAAGGGGGCTGGCAGGGACCAGCGATGCTAACATGCTGCTGAGAAGGACCAGGGTGGGGCAGTGCTATGCACTGGGCATCACTGGGGTGGGACGCTCTGCAGGGAACCTCTGTGAATGAGTAGGGGGTCCTCGCTATAACTGAGACCTCACCTTCTTTTGTGAATATGGAGACATGTAAGCAAGACTGAAGTCACTTTTGATGACTCAGGGTGGACTAGAAGTAATCACGGACTGTGTGCAATGGTGCCAGTCATCCCGAGATGGAGCCTGTCTCCTTACCCTGCACATCTGGGCTCGCCCCTTGTGTCTTGCTCTGACCATGAGAATGAGGCAGAAAGTCAAGAGGACCTGCAGCCGCTTTTGTGACCATGTCTGACATCCATGATCATACGCCCGAGCGGGGTCAGAGGCCAAGTTGACAGGGTTTGGCGGAACAAGGCAGCACAGACCGCCATGCAGAGGACAGACCCAGAAGCGACCCCGCCCCCCACCCAGGCAGTCCTCATTAGTTACCGAGCAGACACCTCCTCGATCTTCTCAAACGTCCGGGCCACAGCCAGGTAAGGAACCCTAGGGAAGGAAAAGAGACGCAAGAGTGACAGTGGTGCAGGCTATACCATGCTGCCCGTCTGCACCCTTGCTTCCTCACGCCTCCTCGGGACACCCTTGCCAATACCCAAATGCATGAGCTCACTTCCCAGGGCTGTCTCTCTGTCCCTTTCAATGCTGCTGATTGTCGCCAAAACACAGGAGGGAGAGACTTGACCATTTCTCCCAACCAAGACTCTGCTTAGAGAGCCTCCGGTGGCAACAGGGACCGGAGGGGGACAGTCTGAAAAGGGAGAAACCTCACTTCTGGCCCGGTTTCCAGCAGGCATCTTCCACGGGATGATAGTTGTTCTTGGCAGGATTGTAACCAGATGGATCCAGGGGTCTACGGAGGCAAAACGGAGATTGAATTGCATAGAGCCCTGGGTCAAAGCAAAGTCATTCCTTCCAACTGTGATGTGCCAGGCTCTGTTCAAGGCACACGGTGCAGAGCTGGATGAAAACAAAGTTTGCTAACCTGGAGCTCACATTCCAGCAGGAGAGTCAGAGGAAAGTGGGCAAAAAGCCCCCACATAAACACATCATTAATTTTAGGTGTTAAAAAAATCTTTCAGAAAACAAAAGAAAGCCGAGTAGAGGAAGAGGATGAGATGAGGGTGCTGCTTCACAGGGTGGTCAGGGAAGGCCGGAGACATCTGGGCAGAATGAGGGAGGGGTTAGCACAGTGGGCAGCAGGGGACGAGCATTCCAGGCAGAGAGAATAGCGTGTGCAAAGGCGCTGAGGTGCAGACAAACTTGAGAAACAGAAAAGGGATTGCGTAGCTGAGCTGGGACAGAGGGAGGTGCGTATAGTCCCGGGTGTCGCAAAGTGCCAGGTGCCATGCTAACACCACATCGATTAACAATCAGACATGGGAGGAAGGGACCTTTCCTTTTTTCTTGAGACAGAGTCTCACTCTGTTGCCCAGGCTGGAGTGCAGTGGCATGATCTCGGCTCGCTGCAACCTCTGCCTCCTGGCTTCAAGTGATTCTTCTGCCTCAGCCTCCCAAGTAACTGGGATTACAGGCGTACACGACCACACCTGGCTGATTTTTTTGTATTTTCAGAAGAGACGAGGTTTCACCATGTTCGCTAGGCTGATTTTGAACTCCTGACCTCAAATGATCTGCCTGCCTTGGCCTCCCAAAGTGCTAGGATTATAGGCGTGAGCCACCGTGCCTGGCCAGAAGGGACCTTTCTAACTTCCTTTTCCGGATAAGGAAACTGGGGCACAGAGTGATTAACTCACCCATGGCCACACAGCTGGTAAGCAGCGCAGCTCTAGAGACAGTTCCCAACCTCTATTTTTTTTTGAGACAGGGTCTCACTGTCGCCCAGGCTAGAGTGCAGTGGAGCAATGCGCACTGCAGCCTCAACCTCCAGGGCTCAAGGGATTCTCCTACCTCAGCTTCTTGAGTAGCTAGGACTACAGGTGCAAGCAACCATGCCCGACTGATCTTTGTAGAGATGGGGTTTTGCCGTGTTGCACACGCTGGTGTCTCACTCCTGGACTTAAGCGATCCTCCCACCTCGACCTCCCAAAGTCCTGGGATTATAGGCATGAGCCACTGCGCCCGGCCTCAACCTTTATATCGTAAGTAGCTCACACTGACCCCAGCCAAACTCTGCATTCAGACTCATCTGGGTTCCAATCTGCTCTGCCCCGGCCAGCTGTACCTGCTGAGGAAGCAGCTTCCCCTCTCTGAACCACAGCATCTCCATCTGTCTGGGGAGCTAAGGGGTCCCTACTATGACAGGTTGTCCTGAAGGTTACATAAAAAATGACAGTGAGGGTTCCCACTCCTGGGTGCACTTCATGGAACAATGAGGACTCCCCAGCCCCAGGCCTACATCTGTACCAAAATGGGGACAAGGGTTGGGGGGGAGAAAGAGACCTCAGGATATTTTTCAGCTCTTCAGCTGATTCTGATGCTCACACAGGGCATGGATGGCCAAGACAGATAGTGCCACTGCAGGGCTGTGCATGGCCTTTGGTATGAACTTGGGGTTTAACAAGCGGTGGCCGGCATTACAATGAGGCAGCAGAGTGTGGTGGGCAGGGGAGTCTAGAGCCAGTCAGCCTGGCTAGAACCACAATGCTGCCACTCCCCACCTGTGTGGCCTGAGCATGGCATTAAAAACAAATAAGAATAGTAGCAGCAGTTACCGTGACAACATGCTGGTCATAATCAAGGCCAGACCCTGGGCTAAGTGTTTCACATCCTCAGAAGAGAGACACAGAAAGGCTAAGTCACTTCCTCAAGGTCACACAGCTGAGAGAGGTGGAGCTGGGATTCCTAGCCAGTCCTCAATACTGTCCCACCTCCCCGCTTTACTTTTCTCACCCAGGAAACCAGGATAACAACAGAATCTACTCCCAGCAGTGTTGTGAGGATTTGGAGCATTGCGTCAGGGAAAGCCCGTTGCTGAGTGCCTGGCACGTGGGGAAGAGTGGGTGGAAGAACATGCTTCCTCTCATCACTGTGCCCCCATCTGAGAGGTGAGGAAATTGGAGAGTGGGAAAGTTTGCCTGTCTCTTGGAGGCAGCCATTGGAGACAGAGGGGAAGTGACCAGGCTAGGAATGGTGCAAGAAAAGCAGTCATGCCTGGCGTGGTGGCTCACGCCTGTAATCCCAGCACTTTGGGAGGCCGAGGCAGGCAGATCACTGAGGTCGGGAGTTTGAGACCAACCTGGCCAACATGGAGAAATTAAAGGGGTTTGGAATAATCCCTGCTGTTCAGCAGAAAGGACAGGTGGGTTAAAAAGTATGACGCAGTGAGTCCAAAATCTCTTTGATGTCATGCCTCTACAAATGAAACAGATAACGACAAGAAATTCTTTCAGCTTTAACATTTCATGATTAAAGTTTAAGTCTAACAAAAAAGTGTCTGTCTCTATTAAAAATACAAAAGTAGCCGGGCATGGTGGCGCATGCCTGTAATCCCAGCTACCTGGGAGGCTGAGGCAGGAGAATCACTTGAACCCGGGAGGTGGAGGTCGCGGTGAGCTGAAATCGTGCCACTGCACTCCAGCCTGGGCAGCAAGAGCAAAACTCCGTCTCAAAAGAAAGAAAAGCAGTCGTAGTATCACTTGAAATAGAAAACAGAACTTTATATACAGTAGGACACTGATTTTATTTGGAAAACATATTTATAAATACACAAACACGGACACACACTCAGGAGGCACGATATGGCAATGGGGAAGAAATAACTGCTAGGAATCAAAAACATTCCTTAGGGTCCCAGGCCTGGCCCTACCCCCACCTCCCTGTGTGACCTGGCGAGGCCCGACCTAACCTCTCTGGGCTAATCATGTCAATGTGTGTAAAATGGCTAAAGTGCTCCCTTCCTCCACAGGAATACTGCAGAGAGGACGTTAACGTGCTATTTAACCTCCTTGATAAGGTCTCAATTGGGGGTACAAAATTGATGTCAAGAATCCTCCGAACACTTTTTTGTTAGACTTAAACTGTAATCATGAAATGTTAAAGCTGAAAGAATTTCTTGTCGTTATCTGTTTCATTTGTAGAGGCGTGACATCAAAGAGATTTTGGACTCACTGCGTCATACTTTTTAACCCACCTGTCCTTTCTGCTGAACAGCAGGGATTATTCCAAACCCCTTTTCCGTTAATTTTTTTTTAGCTTTCAGGACATCAAGAATTCAAGAGGGGATGAAGTCCACGCTGCTAACACCATCACATTGTATTTGAAAACACAATCTTTAGAGGAAAAAAATAACTTCAGATGGATATATGATTATGTAAGAAATCAGGCTGGCCGTGGTGGCTCATGCATGTAATTCCAGCATTCTGGGAGGCTGAGGTGGGAGGATCACTTGAGTCCAGGAGCTCGACCTGGGCAATGTAGTAGGACCCCATCTCTACAAAAAGTAAACAAAAATTAGCCCGGCATGGTGGTACATGCCTGTAGTTCCAGCTACTTGAGAGGCTGAGGTGGGAGGATCCCGAGCCCAGGAGCACCACTGCACTCCAGCCTGGGTAACAGAGCAAGACCCTGTCTTTAAAAAAAAAAACAAGAAACAAAAAACAAAAAACCCAAAAAACCTAAGTTCTATAAAGAGGAATTTTTGTCTGATTTGTTTCCTACCAGATCTCAGGCACCTAAAATCCAGTAGCTAACACGTAATCAGTCCTTTGTAAATACTTACTGAGTAAATAAATGAGTCCATGATTGACTAGTGAAAAAAAAAAATCTGAAAGTGCTCATTTAAATTTCTTTCATGGCAGATTTCCTGGGCTTCCTAGGGGCCAGCCCCAGTGCTGGGAGCTAGGCAAGAAGACTAAGAAGGCTGGGACCTCCCACAGCCCTGGCTCTGTGGGAAGGAGCTTATGTCTGGTTAGGGAGGCTCTTTACCATGTGACAAGACATAAAAGACAGTCTGACTCAAGTGCTGGGGACACGCACCTCCTCTCACACATGAAGGGAGAGGCACCCGGCTTCCCTAAGCAGGTGCAATAGGAGTTGGGGCCTGAGGGAAGCCTGCTGGGCAGGGTGGGTTAGGGACAGTGTTGTAGGCCGGGGTCAAGCATGTTCAGAAGCAGGGAGGAGGCTGGGTGTGGTGGCTCACGCCTGTAATCCCAGCACTTTGAGAGGCTGAGGCGGCCAGAACACCTGAGATTAGGAGTTCGAGACCAGCCTGGCCAACATGGTGAAACCCGGTCTCTACTAAAAATACAAAAATTAGCCAGGCTTGGTGGCGAGGCACCTGTAATTCTGGCTACTTGGGATGTGGAGGCAGAAGAATCGCTTGAACCTGGGAAGTTGAAGGTGCAATGAGCTGAGATCGTGCCACTGCACTCCAGCCTGGGCAACAGAGTGAGATTCCATCTCAAAAAAAAAAAAAAAAAGCAGGGAGGAATGACAGCACGTGGGGACATGGTGTGCAGAGGGAGCAGGAAAAGGCTGCAGATGCCAGGAGGCTGCAATGTAAGGTGGACAGGGCTGGCTCATGAGGGCACTGGGAAGCCCAGCATATCCTCTATGCTGGGGAGAATCGCAGATGGGTTTTGAGCATGGCAGAGATGGGGGGGTGACCTCATTACTTTATAGGATATTTATCCACCCACGCATCCAATCATCCATTCAGCCAGTCTTCAGTGCGGCCTCCTGTGTGCATGTTAGATGTCGTGGGAATCAGCCCAGACATCTCTTCAAATAATTAACAAAATTACAGTGAAGCAATTAATTGCTTAACAACCTATTCAGTGTCCCACAGCCCCAGCACACTAAGCACATCACGAGGGCTGGGGCAGGGCGGCCGGCTCTCTATGGTTCATCCTCGTGGGCCGCCCAGGGCTGGCAAAGAAGGGGTGTTCAGTGAATTTTAAGGCAGAGTAGACGCGCCTGCAGGCTTCCAGCACATACACTAAATCTGGTGAGTTCAGGCCAGGTGTACTGGCTCACGCCTGTAATCCCAGCACTTTGGGAGGCCGAGGTGGGTGGGTCACCTGAGGCTAGGAGTTCAAGACCAGCCTGACCAATACGGTGAAACTGTGTCTCTACTGAAAATACAAAAATTATCTGGGTGTGGTGGCATGCACCTGTAATCCCAGCTACCTGGGAGAATCGCTTGAACCTGGGAGGTGGAGGCTGTGGTGAGCTGAGACAGCACCACTGCACTGCAGGCTAGGCGACAGAGCAAGACTCTGTCTCAAAAATAAAAAATCTGGTGAGTTCAGAGCCAGAGGAACAGAGAGGTAGGAAGTGAGGCCAGAGAGGGAGGTGGCAGCCAGTGGCCAAATGGGCTTAGATTTTCTCCTGACGGCTCTGGGGAACCCTAGAGGGGCAGAGTCAACTCTGGGTGTTAGAAAGATCCCCCAGGCTCTACGGGGATCAGACTGAGGATGAAAGACTGGAGGCAGGGTCAGAGGGTGGCTGGGGCCACGGTCAGCAAACTCCGACCCTGGACCGTTTCTACAGGTTCTGGGATCTAAGAATGGTTTTGCAACAGGGGCCAAATGTGTCCCATAAAGCCTAAAATATTTACTCTCTGGCTCTTTATAGAAAAGGTTTGCCAAGTCCTGCAAGAGGAGGAAGCCTGAGCTGGGGGTGGGGCTGTCGGAATGCAGAGAAGGGAACACATCCCGAAGAACCTTTCCAGACCTGGACACTGACTCACCCCTCAGCAGCTCCCTCCTTTCCTGGAGCCCCTGGCTCCTCTTCCTTCACTTCTTTTTTGACTGCTGGCTTCCGGGGGGCTAGGAATGAAGACAGAAAACAGTGGGTCTTTTCTCCTTCCGGTAGCCCCCACCTCCCATCCATTCTGCACCCAGCACCACCCCAGTGCTCAGGGAGATGGGAGACAGGCTGGTAGAGACAAGGCCGACTTTCCAACCAGCAGGAAAGGAAGAAGGGTCTTCGCAGCATCTCAGGCCTCTGGAGAGAGGCTCACCAGCCTCCTGCCTGTACAACCCCGGGAGGTGGGGTGAGCAAGGGAAACTCACTGAAGAAGCTGCTGAGCGTCTTGGGAGCTCTGCGGGGAGGCTTGGTCTGCTCTTCCTCCTCCTGCAGTTCCTGCTTCGTGGCCACCTCAGGCTCTGAAACGCTTTCCGTCGGGGTCTCTGCTTCTGCGGTGAGAGAGCTCAGACGGTGATGCAAACTCTTTGACCCTGAGACTTTTTTTTTCTTTTTTTTTACCCCCAAGATCATTCTGACCCTGCAGATGGAAGATATAACTACACCTACCCTTTTCCTTTCTGTTAGCTTTGAGCTGAGATCTCAGGCCTGCTGTCTACTCCTCAGTGCTAACTAGCGGAATTCTAGCACTTGGCCTGAAATAGGAGACTTAGGAATAGTGGTAAAAAGAAATCTCATCGTCATGAGAAGAAAATATTCCCACTCCTCCCAGCAGCTGCAGAAAATCAGATACAACTCTGTATCCCTAAAATTCTCCCGGCAAGTGTTGTTTCTAACACAGGGGCCTCATGGACACTTGGACCACCCTGAGAGGGTAACTTCAGCCTCTAAAATCCTGTAACTCAGTTTGGTTGTCTAACTTAATTAATAACATTTAATTTACACCTATGACTTCTGAAAGCTATGAATACTTTTTATCTTTTACTTTGTCTGAGGCGGGGGAGTTCTTGCTCTGTGGCCAAGGCTGGAGTGCAGTGGTGCGACCATAGGTCACTGCAACCTCCACCTCCTGGGCTCAAGCGATCCTCCCACCTCAGCCTCCCAAGTAGCTGGAACTACAGGTACGTGCCACCACACCCAGGTCATTTTTGTATTTTTTTTGGTAGAAATGGGGTTTCGCCATGTTGCCCAGGCTGGTCTTGAACTCCTGGGCTCAAGTAGTCCACCCACCTCAGCCTCCCAAAGAGCTAGGATTACAGGTGTGAGGCACCGTACCCGGCCTAGGAAGATTTTTTAAAGAATGGCTGGCTCTTTCCTCCTTTCCCACATGCATGGGGAAAAATAATAATTAAAAAAAAAAACCCGAGTAATAAAAACTATTATTCTTCTAGATTCGGCATTTAAGCAATAAGTTTGAGAATCTATGCCTTGTTTAAATTAATCATCCTCCAAAGACTTCTGACCCCAAAATCAGGAGGTGGGGCAGGGCGGAGGAGAGGACCAGAAACTCACTGGAGGTCTTTAGGGGCTTGGGAGGCGTGGTGGGCTGGTCCCCGTCTTCTCCTTCCTTCTCTGTGGCCACTTCAGCCTCTGTGAGGCTTTCTTTCGGGGTCTCCTCTTCTGACGATAGACAGAACGGTCAGATGGCAAAAAAATCCCATTGAACCTACAAGGGCATTTTGACTCTGGAGACAGTCTGCCCTCATCTGTCATCTGTTCTTTTTTTTGAGACAGAGTTTCGTTCTTACCGCCCAGGCTGGAGTGCAATGGTGTGATCTTGGCTCACTGCAACCTCTGCCTCCTGGGTTCATGCGATTCTCCTGCCTCAGCCTCCCGAGTAGCTGGGATGACAGGCGCCCACCACCACATCCAGCTATTTTTTTGTATTTTTAGTAGAGATGGGATTTCACCATGTTGGCCAGGCTGGTCTTGAACTACTGACCTCAGGTGAGCCACCCGCCTTGGCCTCCCAAAGTGCAGGTCTTACAGTTCTATCTTGTGCCAATCCAATGTGCCTGTAAAGCAGTGGGCCACGTAAGACCCTGCTCCTTGTCAACCCCAAGCAAGGCAGCGACCTTGAGGGGGTCCAGCCCGTTTGCCTATGTAGCCGAGACATAAATGGTGTGTCTTTCCTTACCAATGATTCCTTTAGTGTTATTCACCCCAAAATAGAATCTGAAAGGGTTAAAAATGCAAATGACAGCCTGTTATAGACAAAAATAAAAATCTTCAAAGTTAAAAAAAAAATCTTACCTCTAGGGTCACAATACAAACTACAAAAACCAACTTGGGAAAAATCTGCCTTAGTAGAAAGAGGCCACCCCCGCCACCCCTCACTGGACACTGACAGTGGCTAAAAGTGTAGTTTACAATAAAATTTGTACTAAAAATTGTCAATAAGAAATCAAATCTTTTTTTTTTGAGACACAGTCTCCCTCTGTCGCCCAGGCTAGAGTGCAGTGGCACAATCTCGGCTCACTGCAACCTCCACCTCCCAGTTTCAAGGGATTCTCATGCCTCAGCCTCCTGAGTAGCTGGGACTACAGGCGCATGCCACCATACCCAGCTAATTTTTATAATTTTGGTAGGGATGGGGTTTCACCATGTTGGCCAGGCTGGTCTCCAACTCCCGACCTCAAGTGATCCACCCGCTTCGGCCTCCCAAACTGCTGGGAGTACAGGCGTGAGCCACTGCACCTGGCCAAGAAATCAGATCTTAACCAAATTTAAATCTGCCCTGGAAAATGGACCTTTTATTTGTTTGCAGAAACAAAAAACCAAATGACGTTAAAGGCTGCAATTGGTGTAATCTCATGCAGGCCCCAGATGATCAATCGATCAGATCTTTATGGCTGTTTTCGGTGGGTTCACCAACATGCAGGGAACTCACTGGGCGCTGCAAGATATTTTAGATTTTTCAAAGGAAACCCAGCGACACCTGCTGGCCAGTGTGTGAACTACTAGTTCGAGGTATTTCAGTTTTCAGTATTAAATCACATTCCTTGCAATGACATTGCATCTCTGCAAAGCTGGGTTTTCATAGGTTGCTGCTATAAAAATCAAGTACTGTACAAAAATCAACATAGAACAGGAAATGACGTTGGCAGTTTTCAATTGAATTCCACTGTTTAAGATGTTACAGAGTATCCAAGGCATTTCCCACAAGTAATTATGGTTATTTAAGAACAAAATACAGGCTGGGCGCAGTGGCTCACGCCTGTAATCCCAGGGCTTTGTGAGGCCGAGGTGGGCAGATCATGTGAGCTCAGGAGTTCGAGACCAGCTTGGTCAACATAGTGAAACCCTGTCTCTACTAAAAATACAAAAATTAGCTGGGCGTGGTGGTGTGTCTGTAATCCCAGCTACTCGGGAAGCTGAGGTGGGAGAATCGCTTGAGCCTGGGAGGTGGAGACTGCAGTGAGCCCAAACTGTGCCACTGCACTGTAGCCTGAGCGACACAGTGAGACTGTCTCAAAAAAAAAAAAAAAAAAAAAGCACAAATATTACTTTTTTTCCAATGTATGTATAGTATCTAATAGTTGTTTGGACATAACTACTTAATAGAACTGATAAGGTATTGGCCTAGGAGCATCATAAAAAAATTACTAAGACATCAAGGGTGCTGTGAACTAAGAATGTTTGGGAACTGCAACTTTATGGTAAAATTTACAAGGAAAAGGAAATCATTTAGAGGAAAAATAGTTTCCATTAAATAAATATAAAAATAGCAAATAAAAATGGGAAACTGTGCCTGAATTATTACTAAATTAAGATGTCCAAACAAATATATCCCACAATGTTTTCAGAACAAAAGTTCCCATATTGGTAGGTGGAATTCCTGGATGCCTGGACACAGGCATCAAATCGGCAGGGTCCAAACATCCTGAGCTCTCAGGCCCCTGCCCTTGCAGATCCAAAACACACACACACACACACACACACACACACACACACACACACACACACACACACCTCTCCTTCTGGGGGCTCACCTTCCTCCTCCTCCTTCCTCTTGGCTTCACACACACACACACACACACACACACACACACACCTCTCCTTCTGGGGGCTCACCTTCCTCCTCCTCCTTCCTCTTGGCTTCACACACACACACACACACACACACACACTTCTCTCCTTCTGGGGGCTCACCTTCCTCCTCCTTCTTCCTCTTGGCTTCTCTGTCCTCGTCCTCACTCTGCTCTTCCAGGACTTCCTGAATGGTCCGTTTCGGGAGCTGCTTCCGAGCTGGGGAGGCAAAGGGCTTGGTGTATCTGACCTCGCTGGCTCGTGTGCTCCCATCCCGGAGAGCTCACACCCACTGATGTAGCCTCTGGAAGGCTCTGGGCCCTCTCCCCTTCTCTGCCTGCACACAGTCACTGCCCCAGTGCAGGCCGCACCCTTCAATCCCTCCTGCTTCCTGGCTGTGTGACCTTGGGCAGGTTACTTAATTTCTCTGTGCTTTGCTCTCTCACGACTGCAGAATAGAAATAATCCCCACGAGTAAACAATGATGTAATGTACTTGGCACAGTACCGATTCCAGCAGGTCCCCTGAGCTCCCCACTGCTCCCCTCAGATCTTAACTGCCTCCAAGTGTTCCAGACAGCTTCCCCGGAACCTCAGAAGTCTGGAAGTGGCAGGGAATAAACTAGCCCCAGGAGAGGCCCTCACCCCACGATCGGCAGGAGTTGGTGTATAAATACCCCAGCTGCCTCGCATCTCGGGGGTCACTCTGGAGCATTTACACCGTTCCCCAGAGAATCCCACAAAACTAAGCTCCAGCTGCCCAACACATAGCAGACCCAACAGCACATCCTGTGTTGGCTGCTCCCCTGTCCTGAATCACCCTCTGTTCCCTGCACCTCCTAAACAAACCACTTGCACTTGAATCCCTGTTTCAGAGCTTCAGAACCTGCTTCTAAAAGCCTCTAAACTCAGATACTAACCCATGATGAAGAGCTCACACAAAGGCAGTTGTACCCATCTTCACTGTTATATCTCATGTTGGCCATTGCGCCACCTGGTCCCCGGTCTCCCGGCCCCCAGTGGCTCCTTCACGTGGCCCCAGAGGGACCTTCTATCAGCATGGCTGGCACTGTCTCTCCCTGCTCAAAACCCTTCCATGACTCCACATTCTCTGCTTTATCCAGGATAAAGTCTTTTGATGTCTACCCCGATCCTACCTAATCTCTCTCCATCTGACCTTCTAACCCTTCCCACACCACATACTCCACCTTCTTTTATATCACTGCTAAACTGGGGTGTTTCCAGACACACCAAGCTGTGTCACCCCTCCAGGCCTCAGCATGTGAGGTTTGGGACATAGCTCAATGTTGCTCCCTCTGAACAAGATCCCCTGACACACCCCCAGGGCCAACCTCAGCGTCCACCTGGAGCTCCCAGCATGCCCTCAGCCACACTGTGACTTCCTTATGGCCACCTTTCATTCAGGGATGAACCTGCCTCCCCACCTCACAGCCCTTCCATGGCTCCCAGGACCCACAGCACGAAGCCCAGGCTCCTTAGCTGGGAGTGCAAGACCTTTTGAGATCCAGCCCCCACTCTCCTCTCTAGCTCACCTCTCACCACGTGCTATCCTCAAACTCTCCCTGCTTCCCAGGTCGCATCCGATTCTCCAGAAACAAGGAAGTAGATGAGAGGCCCCAAACATCCCATGCTGTTCCCATCTCGAGGCCTCTGCACGTGCCCTTCTTGTCTGAAATGCATGCATCTGTCCTTTCTCAACATGGCCAACCCCAACCCATCTTCTAAGACTCGGCTCAGCCATCACCTCCCCTGGGCTGCTTGACTTCTGAGCTCCCAGAGTACCCTGCGTCACCCAGCATCGTCCGATGGAAAGATCTGGCAAGCCACGTATGTAACCTTAAACTTTCTTGCAGCCACGTTAATAAAAAGGGGGAAAAAACCAGGTTGAACTTGGTTTGAAGAGTCTATTTTGCTCAATACATCTAAAACAGTATGATTCCAACATTCTGTTTTCATGCTAGGTCTTCAAAATCCAATGAACTCACTGCACATCTCAAGTTGGACACCAGATTTTCATCGGCAACATGATCTGTGTAGGTTTCATAAAATGTACAGCTATTCACATACCAAAGCTGTTCCAAAATGATGTGGAAAAAGTGCAAAGTCTTTACGCACTGAATCACATATTAGCTTTCAAATGTAAATTCAACTGAAAGGATCTAACATGAAAGATTCAGCTCCCCTGTCACACTCACCACGCTAAAGCGCTCAATAGGCTAGACCGGACGGCAAGGGCTCACACTGCCCCGCATTACGAATGGGTCTCTCGCCCTGTTCTTACCCCACAGCAAACATTCCAAGTCCCCCTTAGGACAAAGACGCTGTTCCCCAAGCTGGTTTTCCAGGACCTTCTCACCTCATTGCTCACCATCCCCAATCCTGCGCTCTACACGCCAGCACACCAGGCCCTCAGCAGCCCCCAGGCCTTCTCAATTTCTATGTTCCCCTTGCCTAGCATGCTCCCCTCCTCCTTTGCTTGTTGCCTCTTCTTTGTCCTAAAGGGCTCAGCTTGGTTAGCCTCTCTTCTGGAAGTCTCCCTTGAGCCATGGCCCCGCGCTTGTGTTCCCACATGAGCTGTGAGGCCTCCATCTCAGCGCATAACTACAGTCACAATGACCCACAATGACTGAGCCCCGACTGAGGGCTGGGCCCAGTTCTGAGCAGCGTACACGTGTTATCTTCTAACTCAGATATTTCTGTGCGGTAGGTGCTATCATTATCATCATCTCTACAGATAAAGCAACCTAAGCTCAGAGAAGGTCAGTCATTTGTCCCAGGTCATACAGCCAGTGGATGGTGGACCCGTGCTCTTAACCACAACACTAAGACCAGAGCTGTTGTAAGGATGACTACCTTGGATGGGAATCCAAGTGGGGAGAAAGGCAGGCGACTGGCTGGGTGCGGTGGCTCACGCCTGTAATCCCAGCACTTTGGGAGGCTGAGGCAGGCGGATCACGAGGTCAGGAGTTTGAGACCAGCCTGGCCAACATAGTGAAACCCCGTCTCTACTAAAAATACAAAAATTAGCCAGGCATGGTGGCGGGCTCCTGTAGTCCCAGCTACTCAGGAGGCTAAGGCAGGAGAATCGTTTGAACCCGGGAGGCGGAGGTCAGTGAGCCGAGATCATGCCACTGCACTCCAGCCTAGGCAACAGAGCGAGACTATGTCTCAAAAAAAAAAAAAAAAAAAAAAAAGAGAAAAAGAAAGGCAGGCGACTGAAGGGGCAGGGGCCCGTGTGTTCTCACCTGTGCGACGCTTCGGAATCCCTGATGGGGAACTGTCCATGGGAGAGGTGTCAGAGAGGGAAGCATTGTTCTCAGGAGATGTGGCAGGACGGGGCGGGGAGACCTGTGAGCAGTCCAGGGCAGGCTTCTGGAAGAGGAAAGAACAGTTCTAGAGTGAGCGGGGGAAGGAGGGACTCCATTTTCCAAAAGTTGAGAGTAGAGGGGACTGAAACCTCTCTGTCTACCCTCCTTTCTGACCCTATGGTCTCAGCCCTAACTCAGGGGTGGCCTCTTCTCACCTGGGCCATCATCCCGCCCTCCAGTGCAGGATCATGGTCCCATCAAGGACCCCCATAGCTCTTCTGTTTTCTACAGTAACAGAATCTTCGATTCTCCTGCTTCAGCCTCCCAAGTAGCTGGGACTACAGGCCTGCACTACCATGCCTGGCTAATTTTTGTATTTTTAGTAGAGACGGGGTTTCACTATGTTGGCCAGCTCTACACAATGGGATGTCAGGGGAAATGATGTACACCTCTTCGTATAGTTTTATTTTTATTTATTTATTTATTGAGACAGGGTGTCATTCTGTCGCCCAGGCTGGAGTGCAGTGGCGCGATCTCGGCTCACTGCAACCTCTGCCTCCCAGGTTCAAGCAATTCTCCTGCCTCAGCCTCCCGAGCAACTGGGATAACAGGCGCCCGCCACCACGCCCAGCTAATTTTTGTATTTTTTTTATAGAGATGGGGCTTCACCACGTTGGCCAGGCTGGTCTCGAACTCCTGAGCTCAAGCGATCCTCCCGCCTTGGCCTCCAGAGCACTGAGAATACAGGCGTGAGCCCCCGTGCCCAGCCTTCTCTCCATACAGTTTAGATGTTTGTTCCCTCCAGATCGCATGTTGCAATTTGGTCTCCAATGTTGGAGGTATGACCTGGCGGGAGGCATTCAGGTCACGTGGGCAGATCCCTCATGAATGGCTTGTACCCTCCTTGTGGTAGGAACCGAGTTCTTCCTCTCCTGGTTCACATGAGAGCTGGTTGTTTAAAATTCCTCTCTTGCCATGTGACACACCTGCTCCTCCTTCACCTTCCACCATGACTGGAAGCATCCTGAGGCTCTCACCAGAAGCAGATGCTGGCACTATACTTCTTGTATAGCCTGCAGGACCGTGGGCCAAAATAAACCTCTTTTCTTTATAAATTAACTGGTCTGAAGTATTCCTTTATAGCAATGCAAAATGGACTAACATGCATTTCCTGGTTCAAATAACATCCACTTAATGTTGAGTGGGGTGCCCTCCTCTTCCTGTTGGCAGAATATGGATGTTCACAGGGACAAGGGCATCTACAGAGAGCAAACGACAGCACAGAGGAAGCCTGGGCCTCTGACCCTGTGAGACGGTCACATGAATCCCGGACTCTGCACTCAGGAGAGAGAAAAATAAGTTTGCGTCTTGCCTAAGCCACTGCTACCGTGTCTCGGTTTCAACCACTCACTTATCTTCTTACAGGGCCCTGTGCCAGTTATTAAGTGATTTTCTCTCAGCTCCAAACCTGTCACTGTCCAGTCTCCTTCATGCTGCCAGGACCGGGACTCCACAAATCTTCTTCTTGCTCTGGCGCCACCTGGGCATCAGGCAGTGCCAATGGAGGGAAGCAGAGGGCACTGCATGACTGGAGGCACAGCCGGCTTGCCGGGGGCAGCTGCTGGATCCCACTGACAGTTTTTTCTAACATTCACGGGGCTTGCCACGTGGTACCTGATCAGAGACCCTGGCATCTCCCACCCAGTGCTCCCTTCCTGAAAGATCAGAGTTGCAGGCTCTCGGGGCACCTTCTCTAAGCTCAGAGACCTGCCAGCAGTCCCACCACAGAGGTGTGAATTTCAGCTCAAAAGCCACAGGGATGGTCACTGCACCCCACAGTTGCTACCTCCATGATGCCTTAGAGTTAGTTCTCTTTTTAGCCCTTCAGTTACCTATTTAACAACTGCATACCTAGTGACCATCCTTTAAACTCCCTCTGTTCAAATCACTGGTATGGTTTCTGTCTCCCATTGAGACCCTGATGGAGATACAGGTCTCAGATAATTTTTTTTTTTTTTTGAGATGGAGTCTTGCCCTGTTGTTCAGGCTGGAGTGCAATGGCACGATCTCGGCTCACCACAACCTCCATCTCCCAGGTTCAAGCAATTCTCCTGCCTCAGCCTCCCAAGTAGCTGGGACTACAGGCCCGTGCCACCATGCCCGGCTAACTTTTGTAGCAGAGATGAGGTTTCACTATGTTGGCCTGGCTGCTCTCGAACTTCTGACCTCGTGATCCACCCGCCTTGGCCTCCCAAAGTGTTGGGATTACAGGCGTGAGCCATCATGCCTGGCCAGATGAATATTTTAAACACTGCCCAGGACTAAATGATCTCTGCCTCTCTTCTGCCCAAAACTCTTCCTAGCTCCCCAGAAGCCTCAGGGTAAAGTCTAAGCTCCAAAAGAGATCTCTATTCTAATACCTGGAACCTGGGAATATGTTAGGTTACATGGCAAAGGGTAATTGAGGTTGCTAATCAGCTGACCTTCCGATAGTGGGATTACCCTGGACTATCCAGGTGGGCCTGATATAGTCACAGGGGCCTTCAAAGTGGAAGAGGGTGGCAGGAGAGGAAAGTCAGGGTGAGATGTGGCCACAGAAGAAAGGCACAGAAGGAGGCAATGCCACTTGCTTATTTATTTATTTATTTATTTATTTTTTGAGACAGAGTCTTGCTCTGTCACCCAGGCTGGAGTGCAGTGGCACGATCTTGGCTCACTGCAAGCTCCGCCTCCCGGGTTCACGCCATTCTCCTGCCTCATCCTCCCGAGTAGCTGGGACTACAGGCGCCCGCCACCACGCCCAGCTAATTTTTTGTATTTTTGATAGAGACATGGTTTCACCATGTTAGCCAGGATGGTCTCAATCTCCGGACCTTGTGATCTGCCTGCCTCGGCCTCCCAAAGTGCTGGGATTACAGGCGTGAGCCACCACACCCAGCCACTTGCTTTGAAAACGGAGAAAAGGGGATCTCTAGCAGCTGGAAAAGGCAATTCCTGGATTCTCCCCCAGAGCCCCCAGAAATGAACGCAGACCTGCTGACACCTTGAGTTTAGCCCAGTGCAACCCATTTGAGACTCACGACTCCCAAACTGTAAGACAATAAACTGACACTGTTTTAAGCCACTGCGTTTGTGGTCAATTGTTATGGCAGCAAATGGGAAGCTAACATAGGTGGTGAGGAAAGTTTCGCTGAGGAAGTGATATCTGAGCAAAGCATGGAAGAAAGCAGGGGACTGAGCCAGGCGTGTATCTGGGAAAGAGAGTTTTAGGCTGGGAAAGAAGGTAGTGGCCCAGAGGTGGAAGTGCACCTGGTGGGTGTGGGAAGCCAGGATGGAGCGAGCTGAGGAGGAGCTGTGGATGCGGCTGCAGATGTGATGGGCGGGGGAAGAGAGGAGCAGCAGGAGGGGCCTGGGAGGTTTCCACAAGGCCTGGCTTTGGCCTGTGGTGGTAATACCAGGGGGTTTGGGCAGGGAGTCACAGGACCTGACCTCACCACTGACAGAATAAGCAGCACCACGCTTTGGACATCATCCACAAAGCAATGAACAAGCATTAAATGACTTAAACAGGGGAAGAGAGTGGTCCAATGTATTTGGAGAAGTTAAAAAGCCCTCTGACCACAGGAGAGGCTAGATATACTTTTGAACCCTTATTTTTTTGCTTTTTTTTTTTTGAAGCAAGGTCTTGCTCTGTCACCCCGGCTGGAGTACAGTGGTACAATCACAGTTCACTGCAGCCTTGAACACCCGGGCTCAAGCGATCCTCCTGCCTCAGCCTCTCAAGGAGATAGCACCACAGGCATGCACCACCACACCTGGCTAATTTTTAAAACATTTTTTTGTAGAGATGGGGTCTCGCTATGTTGCCCAGCCTGGTCTCGAACTCCTGGCCTCAAGTGATCCTCCCACGTTGGCCTCCCAACGTGCTGGGATTACAGACGTAAGCCATTGTGCTGGGCCTTGAGCCCTTGTTTTACCATCAGGCATTATTCTCAGATCTGTATGTAAATCGACTCATTTCATCTTCCCAGTCACCCTATGAGGAAGGTGTTACCAGGAGCTGCATGTTACAGTTGAGGCATCCAAGACCTAACGTGGTGAAGGAGCCCACCCGAGGTCCTAGGGCAGGGGCAATTAGGACCAGGTTGTGTCTGCCCCCGACACAACCAGGAAACACATCTACCTCTCCCGGGCAATTTCTCCAGAATTCTCCTGAACAGCTGCTGCACTCTGTTCCAAAGGTTAATGGGAATTAGTTTCTTCTGGTAAAAATGGGCAGGGTGATGGGGACCTACCTGGCCTTTAGCAGGGCTAAGGGCTTCATCCTCCTCTTCCCCTTCGCTGCCCAGGACCCGGGCCGCCTTCCTCCCTGGCCTCTTCACCGGAGAGTCACTCTCGGACACCACTCCATTCCACTCCTTCAGTGCCGCCCTGGAAGGTGGGGAAATGGGGGTGTAAAGGGGCGACTACAGCAGGCAGAGTGGGGGCACTGCCCGCAAACACTTTGGTTTCTTTGCTGTTTCCTTCCCTTCCTTTCAAGCATCCAATGAACATTTTCTGGTTGTCTCCTCAGCAAATCTCATCATTTCATCCATCAGTGCATTAATCCACCCGCCCACTCATCCACTCACCCACCCATCACACATCTCTGGAAGTCTCCAGAGTGCCTGCCCTGTGATGGGTGATGCTGAGGAGCAAATGGAGTCCCTGCCTAAGGTTGCCATTGGTCTCCAGCATCTATTGGGATGCCTTTTTTTTTTTTTTTTTGAGATGGAATCTTGCTCTGTCGCCCAGGCTGGAGTGCAGTGGGCCGAGATCACACCATTGCACTCCAGCCTGGGTGAGAGTGAGACTCCATTTCAAAAAAAAAAGAGTACTGTTGTCTTCTACTTAGATGAGACAGCATCAAGACGTGGCCAGTGGCCAGCGGCCAGCTTCTCTGCATTATGGAGAATGTCTGGTTCTAGAACGAGGCCAAGACCTGCAGAAACAGAGACGTACAGACAACTCCGAGGCCCTGGATCCAGCTGTGCCTGCAGCTGCTCTTGCTCTTGGACTTCTGGCCACCTGGCTGAAAAAGTTTTTTGGGCCCCAAGACATTTTGCATTAGGTTTGAACACTTGCAACCAAGACAATCCTGACTGCTAAAGGAAAAAATTCACCATATCCCAGCCCTGTGACATACTTTGGAGGGGGCTCCGTCTCTCTGCTGCTATTGGATGCCTCCTTCTCAGGCTTCTTTGCTTTACCCTCTTTCTTGGGGTGGAAAAATGACCTAGAGGAGCATAAAAGGGGGTAAAAAAAGGAGAATAACAGCACCAATACCCTGCCTATCTATGCTGTATCCTATAACTTCCTTTTTTTTTTTTTTTTTTGAGACAGAGTCTCGCTCTGTAGCCCAGGCTGGAGTGCAATGGCGCAATCTCAGCTCACTGCAAGCTCCGCCTCCTGGGTGCATGCCATTCTCCTGCCTCAGCCTCCCAAGTAGCTGGAACTACAGGCACCCGCCACCATGCCCAGCTAATTTTTTGTATTTTTAGTAGAGATGGGGTATCACCGTGTTAGCCAGGATGGTCTCGATCTCCTGACCTTGTGATCTGCTTGGCCTCCCAATGTGCTGGGATTACAGGCATAAGCCACCGCGCCCGGCCGCATCCTATAACTTCTAACACCATTTCCATCTCAGCACATAACAGAGAATTTCAAATAAGCCCTTTAACTTAACTGATAAGGAAACTCAGACTCAGACAAAGGAGGCAACACTAATTTTTCTGCCCTAACGCACCTGCAAGATATGATACATCCCAAGTTTTATTCAACAAATATTAACTATGCACTTTTTAAATCTTTTTTTTTTAGACAGACTCTCGCTCTGTTGCCCAGGCTAGAGTGCAATGGTGTGATCTCGGCTCACTGCAACTTCTGCCTCCCAGGTTCAAGCGATTCTCCTGCCTCAGCCTCCCGAGTAGCTGGGATTACAGGTGCCCACCACAACGCCCAGCTAATTTTTTTTGTATTTTTGGTAGACACGGGTTTTCTCCATGTTGGCCAGGCCAGTCTCAAACTCCTGACCTTAGGTGATCCACCCACCCTGGCCTCCCAAAGTGTTGGGATTACAGGCATGTGCCCCCGCGCCCAGCCTAAAAAAATTTTTTTTTTTGAGATGGAGTTTTCACTCTTGTTGCCCAAGGGTGGAGTGCAATGGTGCAATCTCGGCTCACTGCAACCTCGGCCTCCCAGTTTCAAGTGTTTCTCCTGCCTCAGCCTCCTGAGTAGCTGAGATTACAGGTGGCCGCCACCACGCCCGGCTAATTTTTTTCATTTAGTAGAGAAGGGGTTTCACCATGTTGGTCAGGCTGGTCTCGAACTCCTGATCTCAGGTGATCCTCCTGCCTCCCAAAGTGCTGGGATTACAGGTGTGAGCCACTGCGCCCGGCCTACCTAAGCACTTATTATGTGCCAGGGCCTGTTCTGGGCCTGAGGGGTTTGGCAGTGACCCAGACACACGAAGTTCCTGCCTTCAAGAAGCTAACACTCTGGTGAAGGGCAGAAATATTAAGCAAACAACTAAATATAAAATGTTGGGGCCTGGCATGGTGGCTCACACCTGTAATCCCAACACTTTGGGAGGCCGAGGTGGGCGGATCACGAGGTCAGGAGATCAAGACCATCCTGGCTAACACGGTGAAACCCTGCTTCTACTAAAAATACAAAAAAAATTAGCTGGGTGTGGTGGCAGGCGCCTGTAGTCCCAGCTACTCAGGAGGCTGAGGCAGGGGAATGGCCTGAACCTGGGAGGCAGAGCTTACAGTGAGCCAAGATCGCGCCACTGCACTCCAGCCTGGGCGACAGAGCAAGACTCTGTCTCAAAAAAAAAAAAAAAAAAAATGTTGGAAGGCGTGAACATTAAAAAAAAAATCTGGTGAAATCTGAATAATAAAGTATGGAGTTCAGTTAAGAGTAATGTACTGACATTAGTATCTCAGTGGTGAGAAACGGATCATAGTAATGTATGATATTGACAATGGAAACTGGCCAAGGGTATACAGGACCTCTCTGTACTGTCTTTGCAACTTTCCTGTACCTCTAAAATTATTCCAGAATAAGAGGTTTATTTAATCTTCAAAAAGAAAAGGAAAAATCATGCAAAAGCCAGTGGACAGAAAGCAATCGAAGGCACCATCAGCCCTGGAGAGACAATCCCCAGATTCCTCATCACGGGAGAAAAACGGAACCCAGCATTTGTGTAAGCCACTACCGCCCAGGTTTCTGGGATGGATGCCCTTGTCTGGGTCTCTCTACCATCCATTTTTTCCTCCTGGTAACAGCCCCTCCGTTTTCCTCTTGGGATGCTTCTTACCCCACATTCTCTCAGTACACACGATTTGAGTGGGCTGGCCCTTTTGCCTGTGACCAGGGGTGGACACGTGATCCAGGCTGCATCCCTGTGGCTGGTTCAGGGATAGGTATGTGGCCCAGGCTGGGCCAGTGAAACTGGGCTCTAACACCCTCTTTCCAAGGGGACCGCTAAGAGGGGAGAGCCCGCCTGAGGGTGAGGACAACCTCAAGGACAGTAGAGCTGAACAATGGAGAGAGACAGATTCCCAGGGAGGAAGTTTTGGCAACTGGATCGAACCAAGCCTGAGGCTGTTTACTCCAGCAGGTTTCAATGATATAAGTCAAGTCATGCCCTTTCTTGTCTTCCTGAAGCCGGACTGCATTAACACGAGGTTTCTCAACCTAGACACTATTGACATGTTGGGCCTGATGGTTCTGTGTTGTTGGGGGGGCTGTCCTATGAATTGAAGGATGTTTAGCAGCATGCCTGGCTTTTAGCCACTAGATGCCAATGGCAAACCCTCTGTCCCTAGGTTGTAACAACCAAAAATATCTCCAGACACTGGCCGGGCGCCGTGGCTCACGCCTGAAATCCCAGCACTCTGGGAGGCCGAGGTGGGCGGATCACGAGGTCAGGAGTTTGAGACCAGCCTGACCAACGTGGTGAAACCCCGTCTCTACTAAAAATACAAAAATTAGCCAGGCGTGGTGGCACGTGCCTATAATCCCAGCTACTCAGGAGGCTGAGGCAGGAGAATCACTTGAACTCATGAGGCGGAGGTTGCAGTGAGCCGAGATTGCGCCACTGTACTCCAGCCTGGGTGACAGAGCAAGACTCCAACTCAAAAAAAAAAAATCTCCAGACGCTGCCAGATGTTCCCTGGGGAGCAAAATTGCTGCTGACTGAGAACCACTGCGTTAGGGTTTCTGCTCCTTGCAACTAAAAACTGTTGTTCAATACACTGTCTTCCATATCCCACGGCTCATTTTCCATACTACTTGACTCCTGGAAATTCCAACTCAAAATCTAACGTAAGAGTTTTTGTTTGTTTGTTTGTTTTTTTAAGTACAGATTTAGAGAAAGAAACAGAGGACTTGGAGAAGGAAAGACTCAGGGGCAAGGGAGGGTGCTCACATGATACTTCGCTGCATGTTGGCGTCAGAATTCTCCCTTCCTGTCCAGCACTTTTCTTCGTCTGTCAGCTGCTCCTGGAACAGAAATCCAAACACTTGTTGAGGTGATTGGTTGTGCAGAGATCTAAACACACATAAAACCCTTTCTTTAAGAAAGAAAGAAAAAAAAAAACAGAAACATGAATTTCCCCTTCAAAAAGAAACTCCTGTTTTTATGAACCAAAATAATTTGCTGGTGAGATTTACTGGTGCAGAATAAAAGCTCCAAATCAGAGAAAAAGATAAGAGGCCTCCTTTACCATAAGAAGACTGTTTTTCATCTAATATGAGGAATAGACTGAGGACCTGAAATGGGTTTTTTTGGAGTTAAGTTTAAAGGTTAGTGAAAAATTGTTTTAAGGTGATGACATAATTCCGTGAAACAACTGTGGAAGCTTATAAAATTGTACCCGCTGGTCTACATAAATTAGCTCTTGGGCAGTTTCTAAGGTATGCTGTTATTTCAAACAAAGGGCAGAATATCACAGAGTGTGTGCTACTGAACTGTGTAAAAGAGAAAGGCTATAGGTCAGGCACAGTAGCTCACGCCTGTCATCCCAGCACTTTGGGAGGCCGAGGTGGGTGGATCACTTGAGGTCAGGAGTTCAAGACCAGCCTGGCTAACATGGCAAAACCCTGTCTCTACTAAAAATACAAAAATTAGCCAGGTGCGGTGGCACGCGCCTGTATTCCCAGCTACTCTGGAGGCTGAGGCAGGAGAATCGCTTGAACCCGGGAGGTAGAGGCTGCAGTGACCCGAGATTGTGCTACTGCACTCCAGCCTGGACAAGAGTGAAACTCCATCTCAAAAAACAAAAACAAAAGAAAGACTATAAATGTATCCACATATCTTGTATATGTACAGAACATCTCAGTTGGAAGACAAAAAACTGGTAATGCTGTCGCCTCAGGAGGGACAGACGCTGGAGGGAGATTTTTTAATATGCATGCTTTTGCAGGCAGAACAATTGGAATACGTTACCCCTTCACAATATATTTTTAAAAATTAAATACTTTTTTAAAAAGTCTGTTATTTAATGAAATCAATAACAGTCACTGGGGCTTCCACAGTTTAGAGTAACTCTAATGAAAGGGTTCCTAGGCCGGGCGTGGTGGCTGCTGCCCATAATCCCAGCATTTTGGGAGGCCGAAGCGGGTGGATCGCCTGAGGTCAGGAGTTCGAGACCAGCCTGGCCAGCATGGTGAAACCTCATCTCTACTAAAAATACAAAAATTAGCCAGGTATGGTGGTGCACACCTGTAATCCCAGCTAGTGGGGAGGCTGAGGCAGGAGAATCACTTGAACCCAGGAAGTGGAGGTTGCAGTGAGATCATGCACTCTAGCCTGGGCAACAGAGTAACACTCTGTCTCAAAAAAAAAAAAAAAGAAAGAAAAAGAAAGAAAAAGAAAAAGAAAAGAAAGGGTTCTTAATCTGGGGTCCACAAAACCCAGGAGTCCAAGAGCAGAACTCAAGTGGTCTATGAAATTTGACAGGAAAGAAATTACGACTTTATTCTTGTAAACTTCTAATTGGAACTGAGCCTTTCCTTCCATTATAAATATTAAAGATATAAAAAATTATAAATTTTCTATATCTTTAATATTTATAATGGAAGAAAATAAATTACACATTATAATTATGTAATTATAATTATTTACATTATATTTCCTTCCACTATGAATATATTTTTTAAAAAAGGACTAGCAGGACCTCTGCGTGGATTGCTTGAGTTGAGACCAGCTCAGACCAGCCTGGGCAACAGAAATGGTTTTCTTTGACTTTCCCTTCCTTTGCACAGAAATCTTCTTCAACCCATGGGGTCCCCTTTCGTTTTCTGGAATCAGTACTCTCTGTCCCGCACCACACGCCTCTAAGTCTCCACTACTCTCTACAGCCTTGGCCGCCACATGTTGGCACCACAACTCAAACTCAATTTTGGAATCAAAAAACTCAGTAGGCCGGCACTGTGGCTCACGCCTGTACTCCCAGCACTTTGGAAGGCTGAGACAGGCGGATCACGAGGTCAGGAGTTCAAGACCAGCCTGGCCCGCATGGTGAAACCCCATCTCTACTAAAAATGCAAAAAATTAGCCAGGCATGGTGGTGCCAGCCTGTAATCCCAACTACTCAGGAGGCTGAGGCAGGAGAATCACTTGATCCCAGGAGGCAGAGGTTGCAGTGAGCTGAGACTGCACCACTGGACTCCAGCCTGGGCGACAGAGCGAGACCCCGTCTTAAAAAAAAAAAAAAAAAAAAAAAAACAAACAAAAAAGAAACTCAGCAATTTCCAAACAGAGTTTCTCAGGGCCAGTTGGGGAGCAGGAAGTAAGCAATGCTTCAACCAAACAGTTCACACAGAAAGCAGGTTAGGGACTTAGCCACCAAAATCCTGAGGGCAAAGGAGAAAACTATTACGATCCCTCCTGAGTGCTCAACTGCCTAGGTACTTGACATTCTCAATTATACTGACTCTCCACAACAACTCTGTTACAGAAACTAAGGCACAGAGGGGTTTTCAAAGGAACTTAACCTGCATCTATAGTACGTTCCACCCCAGGTCGGCCTGCTCCACAGCTCACCTCTTAACCACCAGACTGAGTTGCAAGGGAAGGAGAAATACATAAGCGTTTACTGGGAAGCCTACTCTATGCCTGACAGGCTGATCACATTCTCAAATACCCTCAATCCTCAAGTCAGCCCTCCAAGACAGGTGAGATCATCCCCACTTTATAGATGAAGGTAATGAGGACAGAGGAACATAGCTGGGGTTCAGGCAAGGCTTCAAAACCCGGTGTGGCTGGCTCCAAAGCCCACGTTCCTTTCTCCTTACCACGGTACTCAAGGCTGGCTTCTCAACTCTGTGTACTGCTGAGTTGGGGGGAACAAACTGGTTGATGCCTCTGGAGGACCACCTGGCGTCTCTATCGGAACGGCAACCCCACTTCTGTGTATTTGGCCCACAGAGACCCTCACAGGTGGACCAAGTGAGGCACAAAGTTACCTGCTGCAGCACTAACTGTAATGAGAGAAGACTGGAAACTGGTGGAATGTCTACCCTTAGGGAACTGGTTCCCTCATTACTGGAATACCATATGGTAGAATATTGTTCAGGGTTAAAATTAAATGAATGATGGATAAAAGGTATAGGAGTTTTTTGGGGGGATGATAAAAATATCCTAAAATCGATTATGGTAATAACTGCACAACTCAGCGCATACACTGAAAACCACTGACTTGTACACTTTAAATGGGCACTTTAAATACACTGAAATACACTTTAAATACACTGAAAACCGCTGACTTGTACATTTTAAATGGGCAAAATTGTACACTTTAAATGGGCAAACTGTATAATTGTGAATTATATCTCAATAAAGCGGTTACCAAAATGAAGAGATAATGACAGGAAAAATATCAAGTAAGGATGAAACAGTACTCAGTAATAAAAAGAAACGAAGCACTGATACAAGCAACAACTTGGGTGGACCTCCAGGGCATTGTGCAGAGTAGAAAAAAGGTAACATCCTAATAATATATGATTCCATTTACATAACAATCTCCGAATGACAAAACTAGAGATGGTGAACACATTAGCGGTTGCCAGGGGCCTGGGGAGGAGTTCTTATGTGGAGAGGGAACTGTTCTATATCACAATTACGATGGGGGTTACACAAATCTATACAAGGAATCAAGCTGCACGGGCACACAGATGCACAATCACACTCACACCACACAAACTGGTGAAAACTGAACAAGGTCTGTAATCTAGTTAACAGAACTGTATTGATGTCAATTTCCTGGTTTCGATATTGGGACTACATAAGATGTCACCATTAGGGGAAGATGGATATACTCTTTTCACAACTTCCTTGAATCTATAATTATTTCAAAATAAAAAGTAAAAACAAGAGGTAAGCTCCATCCCTTTATCAAGCATACATTAGGCCAGACGTCTCCCCATTCAGATGATTCTCCATCTTTTACGAGCCCTTTACCTAGACCTGGACCTTACCACTGACCTCTCCCTGACACCACCCATCTCCCTCCAGTAGGGCCCACTCCTTCCAGGTGATGCTGCTGCCCGCGATTTACCTTCTTCTAGCCCCGCCCCCTCAGCACTTCCAGGTGGCCCCCGCCCCCTCAGCACTTCCGGTTCCCAGCCAGCCCCACCCTTGGCACCTCCCCCTTCCAGGTGGCCCCGCCCACACGCAATCTTTTCCCCGGCCCCGCCCCTTAGCTCCCTTCAGCCCCTCCCCCTCCCAGATAGCCCCGCCCCCTCGGGGGGCCTTCCGATTTCCAGCTGGCCCCGCCCACACAGTTTTCCCCCCCCCGGCCCCGCCCCTCAGTTCCATTTGGCCTCTCCCCTTTCCAGGTGAACTCGCACCTCAAGGCCTCTTCTCAGAGGACCTGTCCAACTGTCTCTGTCTCTCGTCTACCCTCTACCTGGCCCCCCTCCCTCTGGGAGACACCTCTCTGCACTCTCCGGCGGCCCGCAGCCCGCGCTCTTCCGTCTCCACCGCGCTCTCGGCAGCCTCAGCGTCCCCACGCCCACTCCTCTGCAGACACCCCGACATGGCGAAGCATAGGCCCCAAGCATTCGGCGCACCCGCCGCCCTCCGCCTCCCATCTGCTTGCGGACGGCCCCACTTGCCTTGCGTTGGTCCCGCGCGCCGCTGCCCGGGCAACACACTCAGATCCGCCAGGCGCGCCTCTGCAGTCCCAAGTTCGCGCCACGGCATTCGCGCGCAGACGTCTGCGGGCGGGGGCGGGGCAGAGCCTAGGGGCGGGACCTGGGCACCGTCCGCACCGCCGCCGTCGCGCGGAGGACACTGGGAGTCGTAGTCTCCCGAATGGGAGGAGGGCGGGAAAAGGGGTGAAGTGGGGCGAGCCCTCCCGCAGAGCACACTGGGAAAATGCCCGCGCTTTCCCTCGCCCTGGATGAGCGGGTGTGGCTGAGGGTCTGAGGAGTGACTGGCAGGGAAAGAGGAGGAATCGGTGGAAGCGCCCCCGCGAGGCACGGCGGGAAGAGAGGCGGGAGACCGCGCGGGGCATCCCGGGAGCAAGGGCCGGGCCAGGCCTGGGCGCGGGGCATTGTGGGAGGTGGACGCCGCTCCGGGGCGGGTAGGTGAGTGGGGAGGGGCGGGAAGGGTGCACATCTTGGGGAGGGGAGAGGCACAGCTAGGTGGGACGGCGGGGCTGGAAGGTGCCGCAGCGGGCGGGGAGGGGGGGAGTAGGAGGGTCGGGAGCGGGCTGGATGGGGCTGCTCGAGGGGAGACGCGCAGCTGGACGTGGGGGGAGCATCTGGGGTGAAGGAGCCCATCCGAGGACGAGGGGCCATGTCTAGAACGAAGATGCATATTGCGGGGGATGGTGGATGTAACTGGGAGGAGGGGCCCACAGCTGGACTGGGGGCCGCATCTGAGGAGGAGGGGACCACAGGTGAATACTGGTGACACTTCCGAGGAGAACTAGCCACAAGTGGGGCACACACCTGTAGGCGAAGCGTGGATAACTGCATGTGGGGAGTACATCTGGAGATGAGAGTGTCTCAGGGAAGCCCCAGCTACAGCTGCATGTGGCGAGCCATAGGGTCATAATCGGGGGAAGGGGCAACAGCTGCACGCCAGAGGCACATCTGGGGAGTGCGGAGCCACAGGTGCATGAAGCATGTGACCGGGTGAGGGGTCCGTGGCCTGGATGTGGGAGCACATCTGGAGATGGAGCGTCTTTGGAGGGGTTACAGCCAACTGTTGGCACATGGAAGGAGGAGTTCCAGATGAATACGAGAGTTAGAAGTTACTCTTGGGTGAGAGACACAGCTGGAAGGGGAGGAGGTTTTAGCTGGAATTTGAGAACACATTTGAGGAGATGTCCTTAAGGGACATCTGAGCTTAAGGGTCGTATTTTGGGAGGAGAGATTCCAACTGTACCTAAGGGTCACATCTGCGGAGGAGGAGACGAGTTGGAATTAGGAATCAAGATGACAGGCTCCAAGTGAACCAGGGATAAGGCGGTGGGAGGAGGCCAAAGATAGGATGGAGGTTGATATTTATATATTTGGAGAAAAACAGGCACGTCCGACCCCGGGCTACCCACCTCGATAGAGGCACCAGCAACCGACGGGGCAGGCCAAGAATGGAGTAGATGAGATACCCCGGGTGGGAATGGGTCTGATATCCACCTGTTCTCCCCTCCTCCACGCAGGCCCCCAGGATGGAGCGGCCGGAGCCCCCACCCGGCACGGCTGCGGGGCAGGAGGAGCAGGAGCTGCGGGAGCGGGCCTTCTTCTCGTGGGCCGAGTTCAGCCGCTTCTTCGACGCGTGGTGCCAGCAGCGGCTGGCGCTCTTCTTCGTCAAGAGCTCCATGCACCTGGCGCGCTGCCGCTGGGCCAGTGCGCCCCCGCTCTACACGCTCATCGACGTGCTCAAGTACAGCTACGTGCGGCTTGTGTGCAAGGACGTGCGTGCGCCCAGCCGGCCCGCCGTGGGGTGCGTGAACCTGAGCCGCTGTCCTGCTGGGGGGAAGGGGAGCACCGGGGGTGGGTGTGGGTGGGAGACGGGCAGAGAACACCCCACCCAGAGATGCAGAGGGGGAGAGGCCAACTGAGGCAGCCAAATACACCTTGCAGAGAGGCGGGAGTCAAGGAGGGACATGTACTGAGAGAAGAAGAGGAGCTAGAGAGACAAAGATACTCACGGAGCAAGAGATGGTGTGGGCCCGACTTACAGACTTTTTTTTTTTTTTCGAGATGGAGTCTCGCTCTGTCGCCCAGGCTTGAGTGCAGTGGTGCCATCTGCAGCCTCCACCTCCTAGGTTCAAGTGATTCTCCCGCCTCAGCCTCCCGAGTAGCTAGGACTACAGGCACCTGCCATCATGCCCGGCTAATTTTTGTGTGGTTTTTTGTTTTTGTTTTTGTTTTGTTTTGCTTTGTGTTGTTTTTTTGAGACAGAGTCTTGCTCTGTCACTCAGGCTGGAGTGCAATGGCACAATCTCGGCTCACTGCAACCTCCACCTCCCGAGTTCAAGCGTTGTTTCTCCTGCCTCAACCTCCTGAGTAGCTGGGATTACAGGCACGCGCCACCACGCCTGGCCAATTTTTGGATTTTTGTAGAGATGGGGTTTCACCATGTTGGCCAGGCTGGTCTCAAACTCATGACCTCAGGTGATCTGCCCGTCTTGCCTCCCAAAGTGCTGGGATTACAGCCGCGAGCCACTGTGCCCGGCCTGACTTACAGAATGTAATAGAGACTTCGAGAGGCAGAGCGTAAAACACACACACCCCAAGAGGAGAAAATAGTCACGGAAAATTCCAGAAACATGGAGACATGGAGGCAGAGACACCAGAGACAGCCAGGGAAACAGAAGAGCCAGGTTTTGTACACGTGACAAAGACTGGGAGACAGAGACTGGGAGACTGAACTGCAGAGAAGCCGCAGGATAAAGAAAAGGATCCATCTATTCAGTGAATAAGGGGCCAGGTCCCATGCTGTGGGCTGGGGATATTCTAGTTGGAGCGATGGAGTTGGGCAAGAGACAAAAATCCCTGCCCTTCTGGTACTTTCTGACTGGACAGAAAGATTGACGTTAAAAGAACAAGCTCACAGGTAGTTCCCTACAACTGTGCAAAGAGGGGCAGGTGAGAAATCCAGGAGAGCCAGAATCACACCCAGGTGGCCAGGGGTATTTTAATGGACCCCAATTGTATTTTATTTAGTCTTTATTTTTTTGAGACAGGGTCTTACTCTGTTGCCCAGGCTGGAGAGCAGTAGTGCGATCTTGGCTCCCTGCAACCTCCAACTCCTGGGTTCAAGAGATTCCCCCACCTCAGCCTCCCAAGTAGCTGGGACTACAGGTGTGTGCCACTATGCCCACCTAATTTTTGTATTTGTAGTAGAGATGGGGTGTCACCATGTTGGCCAGGCTGGTCTCGAACTCCTGACCTCAAGGAGGCTGAGGTGATCTGCCCACCTCGGCCTCCCAGAATGCTGGGATTACAGGCATGAGCCACCACACCCAGCCAAATTGACCCCAATTTTATTTTACTTTATTTTATTTTATTTTATTTGAGACGGAGTCTTGCTCTGCCATCCACACTGGAGTGCAGTGGCACAATCTCCACTCACTGCAACCTCAGCCTCCTGGGCTCAAGCAATTCTCCTGCCTTAGCCTCCCCAGTAGCTGGGATTACAGGCATGCGCCACCATGCCCAGCTAATTTTTGTATTTTTAGGGTTTCACCATGTTGGCCAGGCTGGTCTTGAACTCCCGACCTCAGGTGATCTGCCTGCCTTGGCCTCCCAAAGTGCTGGGATTACAGGTGTGAGCCACGGTGCCTGGTCTGACCCCAGTTTTAAACAGGGGTTGTTCCCCACACAGTTAGGTTTCCAGCTTCCACTGGAACACCGGAAGAGGTGAGCCCATGTTTCCATTGGCAGACGGCCACCCCTCTTGGATGGGGCTTTGCTGCCCAGGTTTGCCCCAAACCCTGCCACTCTCTGCTGCCTCATCCCTAGCACTGTCTTTTGCTTGTTTTGCCTGCCTGGTCCCAGTAGGTGTGTGAGTTTGAGACCCTTGGTTGGGGAGCTGTAGACAAGAACAGAGTGCTTAAGAACACAGGCTCTGCCTTTAGGCTGCCTGAGACATGCTCCACGACTTCCTGGATGGGTGACTTTGGGCAATGGACTTCACATCTCCAAGCCTCAGTTTTCTCATCCTTTGAAATGGGGTTATCACGATACCCGCCTCATGGGGCCATTGTGAGGATACTGTGAGATCATACATGAGAAAAACACATAACCCTGGTGCCTGGAACATGGGGTGGCTGGTTAAGTGATAGCTGTTACAGGATTCGAGAGCATGGACTCTGGGCCATTGTGCTGCTGATGCTTGGTGGATGCTGTTGAGTGAGTGACTTCACCTTTCTGTGGCCTCAGTTTCCTCATGTGGAAAATGGGAGACATAATAGTGTCTATCTCATAGGTAAATTATTCAGAAAGGCATCCAGCACAGAGTAAGCACACTCTTAACAGCTCTTTCACCGGTAGTTATTTAAACATGTATTGTGAAATACATTCTTGCAACTTCTTTCTCACTACTTATTCTAGAAACAGAGACTCGGAGATCTGAAAGTGGAACAGCATCAAACACACACATCACCCAGAAACCTAGAACGTTAGAGCTTGCAAGAAGCTCAAAGAAGCTCAGGCCTAATCTGAAACCTATTAACAGAACCCAGTTCCAATGTAACAAATGCTTATTGAGCACCTACTATGTGCATGCCCTTCACTGGACGTTTAGAATCCGAGACTGATCTCGGCTCTTGAACAGTTCAGAACTTAATGGGGTAGACAAAGACCAAAAAACAAAAAAAAATTATAGATAGTGGCCCATAGTAGTGAGAGTGAGATTGAGGGGGAGATGAGAGGAGGATACAAAGGGAGTGGTCAGCTCCACCTGAAAGCTTACTGGGTGGTTCTGGAAGGCTTCCTGGAAGAGGTAACCAGTAAGCAGAACCTTGAAGAATTTTGTTGATATGTTTATGTATGTATAGTATGTGAGCTAACAGACACACTAGGTTTACTATGTGCAGGTACTGTCCCAAGTGCTCTACAAATATCAGAGACAGCCAAGGAGCAGGAGAGACAGGACTATGGAGGGGGCGAGGACAGGGCCCTGGGTACACTCCTGGGACTGGGTAGATGATGAGATGGTCTCTGAATGGGGAGTGCGGGAGCAGGTGGTTGATGAGCCGGTTCAGGAACGATATCTTGGAGCCGTCATGTCTAGCTCCCTCACTCTCTCGAGCTGCTCAAAGCAGAGCCTCTCCAGTGCCACAGCCCAGGGACAGCCCATGGGCCGAGGTCAGGCTGGAGAAGTTAGTGTGTAAGGAAAGGCAGGACATGAGGCTGCAGTGGTGTCAAGGGCTGGATCTGGCAGGGCTGAGTACAGGAGTTGGGACTTTATCTGGGGGTGGTGGGAGCCCTAGAAGGCTGTGAGTAGGGTCAGTTCTGGGTGGAGGAAGATCCCTCTGGGGCCGTGTGGGAGACGATGTGGGGGAGAGAGAAGGGATATGAAGGAGGAGGCTGGGGCTGAGGGTGCAAGGAACCAGACAAGAACTTTCTTCCTGTCCACTCCTTCCCCCTTGCCAGAGGTTACACAGTGACTCTCTTGAAGTCACCACTGCTGCAGCTTCAGCTCTCCAGCTCCAGTTCCTCCCCCATCCCTCTCTCTCAGCACTTCCCTCCCTGGAACAGAATTGCTCAGCCTTTCTCAATACACACCGGCCGTTGAAAACATAAAGATCTTGAAAACCTGAACGATCAAGAATAAATGGGTAGTCGGGTGCGGTGGCTCTCGCCTGTAATCCCAACACTTTGGGAGGCCGAGGCGGGCAGATCACTTGAAGTCAGGAGTTTGAGACCAGCCTGGCCAACAGGGTGAAACCCTGTCTGTACTAAAAATACAAAAATTAGCCGGGCCTGGTGGCAGGTGCCTGTAATCCCAGCTACTCGGGAAGCTGAGGCAGGAGAATCACTTGAACCCAGGAGGCGAAGGTTGCAGTGAGCTAAGATTGTGCCACTGCATTCCAGCCTGGGCAACAGAGCGAGACTCTATCTCAAAAAAATGAATAAATGGGTAAGTGGAAGGCAAATCAAAGCAAAGCAACGGGTCCTTGAAAAAAAGTTTAAAAAAATAGCAGGTACTATTTCTGCATTGTTTACTATGCACTAGCCCATTTCTAACCACTTTACATAATTTAATCCTCTTATTTAGCCCTCTCTACAAGCCTGAGAGACTAGTATTACTATTGGCCCCACTTTCCAGGTGAGAAAACTGAGGCACAGAATGCTTAAAGATTGTTCCCAGGATAACACAGCAGCTAAGAGGGAAAACCAGGGTCTGGACCCTCATTCTGGTTACTAAGCCCATGATTTTAATTACCACCCTCCCGCCTTTCTTTCTCACTTTCTCTTTCTCTCTCCTTCCCTCATCTTTATTTCAATCATTCAACCCTCAGTGTGAGGGTTGACCGTGCCATGGATCCCCTAAAGATGTGTTGTTTCTGGGCACCAGCCTATCCATCCCTTCACCCAAGAGGTTTTTGGGAGCCCCTGCAATGTGCAAGGTGGTGGTTTTAGATGCTGGGATTTCTGTGGGGAGCGTACATTACAGATGGACATAAATAAAAATCCCAGCCGGGTGCGGTGGCTCACACCTGTAATCCTAGCACTTTGGGAGGCCGAGGTGGGTGGATTGCCTGAGCTCAGGAGTTTGAGACCAGCCTGGGCAACATGGTGAAACTCCGTCTCTACTAAAATAAAAATTAAAAAAAAAAAATTAGCTGGGTGTGGCGGCGTGTACCTGTAATCTCAGCTATTCAGGAGGCTGAGGCAGGAGAATTGCTTGATCCTGGGAGGCGGAGGTTGCAGTGAGCCAAGATTGTGCCACTGGGGACAGAGTGAGACTCCGTCTCCAAAAAAATAAATAAATAAAAATTAAAAAAAAATAAAATTCCCTACATGTGATGGACCATGCCCTAGCCAGGATATGGTCAGGGAAGACTTCCTGGAGGAGGCGATGCTGGCTGTGAGGCCTGAAAGATGAGTAGGAGTTGACTAGGTGAAAAGGGAGAGGAATGTTTTATGAAGGAGGGAAGAACTTACGATAGGTTGTGGCAATGGAAAAAATGTGGATGGGTAGGACGTGGTGATGGATGGTTTTGGTGGAATGGAGACCATATCCCAGAGTAGGTGTGCCAGGGTTTGTAGGTTACATCGTGGGATTTAGTCACTGAATCATCACACACTTACTGAATACCTCCAGACGCCAGGTACTATTCTAGGTGCTGAGGATACAGAGATAAACAAAATAGACAAAAATTCCTATCCATGTGGAATTTACATTTAGCGGGGGGATGACATTATTCCTCCAGACAGGTGGAGAGAAATTGGAAAAATGGCGTGTTGAAGCACCAGTAGGTGGTTATGTGAGATTCTGGGCCCCTGCAGAGGAGATGCCCTATTCTCTGGCAAGATTCATGGCTTCACAGAAGAGGTGACCTACCCGGAGCAAGGGGCTGTCCTAGGGCCTGAAACACCTAGGCTGAAGGAAGTCAGACAAGGGTTTCACAAAAGCCCACGAATTATTCTAGAAAAATGTACGGGGTGGCATACCGTGAACTTGCAATCTTGATAAATCAAACATGGCTGCACGCGGGGATTTCCTTTGCTTCCACCTGATACCACATGGTGGCTGTATGTTTATTTTATTCATATTTATTTGTACATTGAATAATTTTCTAAATGTGCATTATTTTTGTATTTTTTGAGATGGAGCTTCGCTCTTGTCGCCCAGGCTGGAGTGCAATGGTGTAGTCTCAGCTCACTACAACCTCCATCTCCCAGGTTCAAGCGATTCTCCTGGCTCAGCCTCCTGAGTAGCTGGGATTACAGGTGCCCGCCACCACGCTCAGCTAATTTTTGTATTTTTAGTAGAGATGGGGTTTGCCTATGTTGGCCAGGCTGGTCTCGAACTCCTGACCTCAAGTGATCCGCCCGCCTTGGCCTCCCAAAGTGCTGGGATTATAGGCGTGAGCCACCGTGCCCGGCCTTGTTACTTTAAATGAGGCATAAAGTCTCAAACTCTGTATGTTGATTCTTAAAATCTAGCAGGCTCCTGCGTTTTTCTTCACCTCGTGCATGTAGGAAAAAAGGGGTGTGTCAAGGATGCCCTTCTGGTTTAACAAAGAAAATTTTTAAGCATTTATACTGGTGGATTTAAGCATTTCTCTGGGTGGATCCTGGGGAGAATCACCCAGTTGGGGGGCCATTTGGAAAAAGCATAGGAGGGCTTTTAGGGGGTGTGTTACTGGGGTATTTACTACCTGGGAGCCAGGGTTTCTTAACTACATACCAGGCCCCGGGCAGTCTGTGTTACAAGGGTCAGCAAACTAGGAAGCCCTTGGACCAATCCCAACCTGCAGCCTACTTTTTTTTTTCTTCTTCTTGAGACAGAGTCTCGCTCTGTCGCCCAGGCTGGAGTGCAGTGGCGCGATCTCGGCTCACTGCAACCTCCACCTCCTGGGTTCAAGCGATCTCCTGCCTCAGCCTCCTGAGTAGCTGGGACTATGGGCGTGTGCCACCGCACCTGGCTAATTTTTGTATTTTTAGTAGAGACAGGGTTTCCCCACGTTGGTCAGACTGGTCTCGAACTCTTGACCTCGTGATCTGGCCACCTCAGCCTCCCAAAGTGCTAGAATTACAGGCGTCAGCCACCACGCCCAGCCTGTAGCCTATTTTTATAAATGAAGTTTTATTGGAACATAGCCATGCCTGGTCATTTACATACGTCTATGGCTTCGTTTGCAATATAGCAACAGAATATATTAAACATTTACTACCTGGCCCTTTGCAGAAAATGTTTGACAGCTCCTGCTGTATAAACATAAAATCTGCCAAAAAATGCTGATATTACCCCACATGGAGAAACACTGAACCCCTCTTCAGAAATCAGATGCCAATTTAAATATTACTATCAGAGAAATACACTCTGATTTTTTTTTCCTATTCCCTTTCTTTTATTTTCTTTTTTGAGACAAGGTCTTGCTCCGTTGCCCAGGCTGGAATATGATGGTGCCATCATAGCTCACTATAACCTCGGATTCCTGGGCTCAAGTGATCCTCTTGCCTCAGCCTCCCAGAATAGCTAGGACTATGGGTGTGTGCCACAATGCCTGACTACTTTTTTATGTTTTAATTTTTTGTAGAGAAGGGCTCTTGCTATGTTGCCCAGGCTGGTCTTGAACTCCTGGACTCAGGTGAAGTGATCCTCCTGCCTCAGCCTCCCAAAGTGCTGGGATGACAGGTGCTAGCCACTGCACCCGGCCCTATTTCATTTTCTACAGTGTTGGTTGCAACTCTCTACATTAATTTCATGTAATGGGCTATGCTGTGCAGTCTGAGAACCGCTGTCCTAGACAAACTCTTGCTCACACACATAAAGAGATGTATAAGAGAGTGTTGTATCACACGTTGGGGTGATTGAAGCATCATTCGTAACAGAGGAGAACTGGAAACACCATCATAGATGGCAGAGCCGTGGAGTGGAACATTCGGCAGCAGTAAAAGGAATGAAACTGAACAGTTTTGAAAATCCGAGTGAAAAGCCAGCTGCAAAGGCATCTGTAAGGTGGGATGATTGTCTTAGTCTCAATTGATGTAACAAACTACCACAAATATGGTGGCTTAAAACAATACCAATTTATTTATCTCACAGTTCTGGAGGTCAGGCGGCCAATATGGGTCTCAGGGCTAAAATCAAGACATTGGCAGTGCTGTGTTCTGGAGGCTCTAAGGAGAATCTGCTTCCTTATCCTTCCAGCTTCTAGAGACCACCCATGCTCTTTGGCTTGGAGCCTCTTCCTCCATTTGTTTTATTTATTTATTCTAGACGGAGTTTTGCTCCTGTTGCCCAGGCTGGAGTGCAGTGGTGCGATCTCGGCTCACCGCAACGTCCGCCTCCTGGGTTCAAGCGATTCTCCTGCCTCAGCCTCCCAAGTAGCTGGGATTACAGGCATGCACCACCACGCCTGGCTAATTTTGTATTTTTAGTAGAGACCGCGTTTCTCCATGTTGGTCAGGCTGGTCTTGAATTCCCAACCTCAGGTGATCCGCCCACCTCGGCCTCCCAGAGTTCTGGGATTACAGGCATGAGCCACCGCGCCAGGCCATTCTTCCAATTTTTTTTTTTTTTTTGAGAGGTAGGGGTCTCACTAGTCTCACTATGTTGCCCAGGCTGAACTCAAATGATCCTCCCAGCTCAGCCTCCTGAGTAACTGGGACTATAAGCAAGTGCCACTGTGCCTGGCTCTTCCTCCATCTTTAAAGCTAGAAGGTAGCATCTTTCAATCTCTCTCTGACTTTGATCCTCTTACTTCCCTCTTTCCCTTATAAGAACCTTTGTGATGACATTTGGGCCTACCTGGGTAATCCAGACTCTCCCCATCTCAAGACCCTTAATTTCATCACACCCGCAAAGGTCCTCTTGCCATGGAAGGCAGCATATGCACAGTTTCAGTGACTATGATGTGAATATTTTGGGGAACCATGATTCTTGCTACCGCAATGCTCGGAAACAAAGAGTTTTCTTTTTCTTTTTTTCTTTTTTCTTTTTTTTTTTTTTTGCTTTGAGACAGGGTCTCGCTCTGTCACCCCAGGCTGGAGTGCAGTAGTGCGATCTCGGCTCACTGCAATCTCTGCCTCCCGGGTTAAAGCCATTCTCCTTCCTCAGCCTCCCAAGTAGCTGGAATTACAGGTGTAATCCCATTAGCCTATTATTAGCCAGCACGCCTGGCTAATATATATATATATATATTTTTTTAGTAGAGACAGGGTTTCACCATGTTGGCCAGGCTGGTCTCAAACTCCTGATCTCAGGTGATCCGTCCCCCCTCAGCCTCCCAAAGTGCTGGGATTACAGGCGTGAGCCACCATGCCTGGCCAAAAACAAAGTTTTTTCGAAGTAGACTTTTAAAAAATGTAACACACATCCAGAAAAGTACACACATCATATGTGTGAAACTGAATGAATTTTCCCAAAAAAAAAATCAGAGGTAACCAGCACCCAGAACAAGAAACAGAATATGTCCAGTCCCAAGAAACCTCCTGGTGCCCCCTCACAGGGTTAACCACTTAAGGGTAACCACTATCTAGCCTCCTAACGATAGAGGTTAACTTTGCCTGCTGTTGAACTTTATATAAATGGGAATTATATCAGTTTCTCTTTCATGTCTGGCTTCTTTCACTTGGTAGGTTTGTGAGATTCATCCGTGTTGTTGGAGGTTGTAATGGTGTGTTCATTCTTGGTGCTGATTAGTGTTTTATTTTAGGAATATACCACAACTTATTTTCTCACTCTATTGTTGGATATTTAGGTTTCAAGTATTTGGCGAATACACATAGTGCTGCTATGAACATTCTCGTACACAGCTTTAGATGCCCATTTGTCTTGAGTGGCACCACTGGGTCACAGGAGAGACATAAAATTTGCTTTAGTAGATACTGCCATGAAGTTTTCCAAAGTGCTTGTGCCATTTCACGTTCCCATCAGTGATGGGTGAGAGTTCCAGTTGCTCCACGTCCTCATCAACACTTGATGTTATCAGTCTCTTTTGTTTGACCATTCTGCTGATGTGTAGTGGCATTTCCTTAGGGTTTTAATTTGTTATGTCTTTGATGACTAATGAGTTTGAGTCCTTTTTCACGTATACAATGCTTTTAACACACAGAAACATACCTCCCATTGTTTATGGGTGCATAAAAATATACATGGAATGCTAATAGATAATTTTGATAGTGGCTGCCTCTGGGGACAGAGGGAAGGAAGATAATCTGTTAGGGCAGCGTTCACAGAAGGCCTCAACTTTTGATGTTATTGCTAAACCAGAAGCAGATACAGGACTATCTGAAATTTTTTATTTCTAAAAAAAGTTAAGGTAAATACAATAAAACATTCACTCACTTTTGACAGAACTAAGGGTGGTAGGTATAGAATTTTAGTGAACACTTACTGCTTGCCATATTCCAGACACTGTGTAGGTGCTTTACCTATATTAACTCTTTTCATGCTCATGACGATCCTATGAGGAAGGTATGATGAGTAGGACCTTCCTTGTAACCTATGAGGAAACTGAGGCATAGAGACTTGAAGTGACTTGCCCCAGGTCACACAGCTGGCATATTCTTAGGGCCCTCTACTCTTCTCTATGCCTGAAACAATTCTTAGTTTAAAAAAAAAAAAAAGGTGAGTGGAAAGGAAGAAGAGGGCAGCAGAGTGATGTGACCAGGGCGGTGGTGGTTCCTCCCACAGGCCTCCCCAGCCCGGCTGCCCCGCCTTCATCATCGTCAAGCTGAGCCCGCTGCGGGACCGCCTCGTGGTGACGGAGTGCCAGCTGACCCACTCACACCCGGCCTGCCCGCTGGAGTTCGCCTACTACTTCCGCCCGGGCCACCTGCTGGCCAACGCCTGCCTGCCGGTGCGCACCACCAACAAGATCTCCAAGCAGTTCGTGGCCCCAGCCGACGTGCGCCGCCTGCTGTCCTACTGCAAGGGCCGCGACCACGGCGTCCTGGACGCCCTGCACGTGCTCGAGGGCCTCTTCCGCACCGACCCCGAGGCCAAGGTGGGGTCTCGAGAGAGGCAGGCCGGGGGAGGGGGCGGGGGAAAGCCGCGCTGAAGACTCGTGGGTCATTCATGCCTTCATCCGCCCTCTCATCCCTTCACTCCTTTCCTCCATTCATCCGTTCATTCATTCAATAAGTACTTACCGAGGCATTGGGGATGCAGCAGCAAACCAGACCCACGTGGTCTCTGTCCGCAGAGAGCTTACCTTCTAGGGTAGTGCTGCCCAGTAGAACTTTCTTCCAGGATGGAAACGTTCTGTGATTCTGCACCCCCAGCCACAAGTGGCTACTGAGCACTTGAAATGTGTCCAGTACACTGAGGAACTGAATTAATTAATTAATTAATTAATTTTTTTGAGACGGAGTCTCACTCTGTCACCCAGGCTGGAGTGCTCTATCACCCAGGCTGGAGTGCAGTGGTGCGATCTGGGTTCACTGCAACCTCCGCCTCCCGGGTTCAAGCGATTCTCCTGTCTCAGCCTTCCGAGTACCTGGGACTACAGGGCGTGCCACCACGCCGGCTAATTTTTTTGTATTTTTAGTAGAGACGGGGTTTCACCATGTTAGCCAGGATGGTCTCGATCTCCTGACCTTGTGATCCGCCCGCCTCGGCCTCCCAAAGTGCTAGGATTACAGGCGAGAGCCACCACGCCCGGCCTGAATTTATTCTAATTAATTGAAATTTAAATAGCCACCTATGGCTATTGGCTGCCTTGCAGAGGTAACTGCCAGAACGCCCCTGCAGTTCTGGCGGGAAAAACCAACAACTGACAAACATGTCCAAATATGATGTAACATCACTAGGGGCTGGCTGGGTGCTAGCAAGAAGGGGAGCCACAGTGATGACAAATGCTATGTAAGTTTTTTTTTTTTAATCTTTTTTTTTTTTGAGACAGGATCTCACTGTCACCCAGGCTGAGTGCAGTGGTGCAGTCATGGCTCACTGCACCCTCGATGTCCCAGGCTCAAGCAATCCTCCCACCTCATTCTCCCGAGCAGCTGGGACAACAGGCGTGCACCACCACACCCAGCTAATTTTTTAGTTTTTGTAGAGATGTTTGGCGGGGGGGGGTCTCCCTATGTTGCCCAGGCTAGTCTTGAACTCCCAGACTGAAGCAGTCCTGCTTCGGCCTCCCAAAGTGCTGGGATTACAGGCATGAGCCACCACGCCAGGCCTACTTAAATTTTTTTTTTTTTAATTGAACTGCACAAACAGAAAATGCACAAATGATAAATACTTAGTTTGATGAATGTTCTCAAGGGGAGAACACACCTGAACCCACCATGCAGATGGAGAATTAGGAGAAGGAAGAGTGCTATGTCCTGTAATGTGATGGAGCGATAAGTTATCATCAAGGAGAAAAAGGCCGGGGCCTGGAGCGGGACAGTTCTAAGGGTGCTGTTTGAATTGGTCAGGGAAGGTCTCTTTAGCAAATGATGGTGAAGCAGAGGAGATGGAACAGAGGCAAGGGACCCTCATTCTGTCATCAGAGGGAAGAGAATTCTAGGCAGAAGGAACAGCCAGTGCAAAGGCCCAGAGGCACGAGCAAGCTTGTGTTGGAGGAACAGTGAGGATGGCTGCTGCTCCATAAGGAATCTCTGCGGCTTTAATCCAACTTCAAGTTTGGGGTGAACTTGAAGTTTAAAGAGGAAAGAAAGATGAGAAAGTAGGGGAAGAACTGGTTTCTCCTCCTGGCTGTGCCTTTGTCTCCCTTGTGTGTGGAAGAGGTCCCAAGGCAGGGTAAAGTCGAGATTCAGCTCTGGCACACTCTTCCTGTCTTCATCTCATGCCCAGTAAGAAGCCCTGATTCAAGCCACCAGCCCAAGCCCAGGCCTCTGTCCCGACATAATAATAATTTTAGCTAATGTTTATCAAGCACTTACTATATGCCAGGCACTACCCTAAGTGCTTTACATACTATAACTCATTTTCATCTCACCTGAGCCCTATGAGGAAATAGTCCACCATTCTCATCCCCATTTTACAGACAAGGAAACTGAAGCACAGAGAAGTCAAGTAACTGGCTCAAAGTCACACAGCTATTTAGTGACAGAGCTGGGCTTCGGACCCACACAGCCTGGATCCAGACCCATGACCTTCACCATGGGGACAAACACACATGCACTTCCTACTCCACTGGTCTTTGCTGATCTAGTAACTCTCCTCCACTACCCACCATGACATAAATAAGCCTCAGCTGTTCTTCCCTGAACCCACCCTCTGCAGGATTGTCCCTGTGCAGAACAGCTCATTCATAGATCAGAGCCTTCCCTGGAAGGGGAGTTGTCTTTTCATTTTGAAGGCTGTCTTGGAATCTCGGCTAAACCACGGTTGGCTCCTGCGTCTGTGTTTTGACCTGCTTTCATACTTTTTTTTTTTTTTTTTTTGAGACGGAGTTTCGCTCTTGTCACCCAGGCTGGAGTGCAATGGCGGAATCTTGGCTCACCGCAACCTCCGCCTCCCGGGTTCAAACGATTCTCCTGCCTCAGCCTCCTGAGTAGCTGGGATTACAGGCATGCGCCACCATGCTAATTTTTGTGTTTTTAGAAGAGACGGGGTTTCTCCATGTTGGTCAGGCTGGTCTTGAACTCCTGACCTCAGGTGATCCCCCCGCCTTGGCCTCCCAAAGTGCTGGGATTACAGGCATGAGCCACCGTGCCCAGCCCCTTAATGCTCTTGAAAGAAAGGAGGAAGAAGTTCTAGGACAGGAGAGACAGATTAGTGAAGCAACATTTAAATATTTACTTTTTGAATATGTCATACATTCACATGGTTCTAAAAAAGGTATGTGGTGAAAAGTCTTATCACATCCTGTCCCCCAGGTCCCCTCCCCTGCAGAGTTATTAGCAGCTTATAAATCATATCTCGCTTTCTATCCTATGGACCAGCACTGCCCGGTGGAACTTTCTACAATGATAGAAATGTTCCTTATCCAGGCTAGGCATGGTTACTCACACCTGTAATCCCAGCACTTTGGGACTCTGAGGCAGATGGATCACCTGATGGCAGGAGTTCGAGACCAGCATGGCCAACATGGCAAAACCTGATCTCTACTAAAAATTCAAAATTAGCCAGGCATGGTGGCAGGTGCCTGTAATCTCAGCTACTCGGGAGGCTGAGGCACAAGAATCGCTTGAACCCAGGAGGCAGAGGTTGCAGTGAGCTGAGATTATGCCACTGTACTCTGGCCTAGGTAACAGAGTGACACTCTTGTCTAAAAAAATAAAAAGAAAGAAAATGGTTCTTATCTGTACTGTCCAATCCAGAGGCCACTGGCCACACATGGCTACAGAATGCTTAATGAGGCCAGTATGACTGAGGAACTGAATTTGTCATTTAATTTATCGAAATGTAAACAACCTAATGTAGCTAGTGGCTTCTGGATTGGACAGCGCAGCTCTGCACATATACAGGTCAATTTGCATGTCTGTATGTTTAACTTTAATTTTTAACTTTATTTCCTCTTTCTGCCCCGCCACCCCCCACCCCCAGCAAGCAGGGCAGCCTAGTGTACACGCTGTTTTTGTTTGTTTGTTTGTTTGTTCTTTGAGACAGGGTTTCACTCCTGTCACCCAGGCTGGAGTGCAGTGGCACGCTGTTGGCTCACTATAACCTCCACCTCCTGGGCTCAAGTGATTCTCCTGCCTCAGCCTCCTGAGTAACTGGGACTATAGGCATGCACCACCATGCCTGGCTAATTTTTGTATTTTTAGTAGAGACGAGGTTTCACCATGTTGGCCAAGCTGGTCTCAAACTCCTGACCTCAAGTGATCCACTCACCTTGGCCTCCTGAAGTGCTGGGATTACAGGTCGGGGCCACCACACCCGGCCTGTACATGCTGTTTTGCATCTTGCTTTATACGTTGGGGAGTGCCAGATGTCACCATCTTTCGTTCTTCCTCTGGGGCTGGTCAAATCCCCCTGAGAAAACTCCTCTGGCCTCCTGGCGGGGGGTGAAGGCCAGGCTGCCAGGGCCAGGCTGCCAGCTTCTGGGAGCTGCAGGGGCAGAGGCAGGGAGCTGTCAGGCATTCAGCCAGCAAGACGCACTCAGTACCCACTTGGGGTTCAGAATCCCCCTCCCTCATCTTCAGATGGGCCAGATGTCCCCAAAGCCAGCGGCCCCTTTCTGTTTCACCCTGTCTACAGAATAAACCCCCAGTCACTGGGGGTGGGGGAAGAGTAAGGGGAGAGGGGAAACGAGATTTGGAGGTCTAGCTGCTGCTGAAACAGCCCTCAGTTCGTCTTTATTTTGCCTTCTGCAAAACTGGCCTGGTGTTGCCAGCTCCTTTTGAGGACTTTGCTACCGGTTCTCAGCATCCCTCAATTGCTGGCTTAGGATTCATGGGTTTTTAGGGGTGGGGTGGGATTAGCATGTCCAGCTGCTTTCCAGTTTCCAAAGTTCTGTCCCTATCATATTGCCTCTGATTTAAAAAAAAAAAAAAGCCATTTTAAAAAAAAGATGTAATTGAGGTTCAAGAGAGAGTGAAACTAGAGAGGTGTTCAATCCATCACTTTTACACAGAAATTTCACCTTTTTTTCACTTATAAAATCTAATGAAAGAGTTCTATATTATTATGTTAATAATACAGTAGTAATATAACAGTATAATGTAATAATTAATATATTATATTAATTATATATTATAATTATATATTATATTATATTATATATATTATATATTATATATTAATTATATATATTATATATATTATATATTATATTATAATATATTATATTATATTATATATATTATATATTATATTATTATTATATTATATTATATATATTATATATAATATTATATATATTATATATTATATAATATAATATTATATATTATATTAATATTATAATATGTAACGCATAACATGTAATATTGATAATATAATAGGTGCGATGGCTCACACCTGTAATCTCAGCACTTTGGGAGGCCGAAGCGAGAGGATCACTTGAGCCCAGGAGTTCAAGACCAGCCTGGCCAACATAACGAGCACCTGTCTCTACAAAAAATTAAAAAAAAAAAAATTAGGCATGGTGGCATGCATCTGTAGTCCCAGCTACTCAAGAGGCTGAGGCACGAGGGTTGCTTGAGCCCAGGAGCTTCAGGCTGCAGTAAGCTATGATCACACCACTGTACTCCAGCCTTGACAACAGAGTGAGACCCTTTAAATAGATAGATAGATAGATAGATAGATAGATAGATAGATAGATAGATAGACAGACAGACAGCAAGCTTTAAATTTTCATCCCAAGCCTAGGTCAAGCAACAATCAGTCTTTCCACTTCCCAGCAGTCTTCCAAAGGAAGGATTATTTGTAAAAAGTGCCTGCACTTCCTGAGTTGGGTTGCTCTCTTGATCTTTGGAGGGGATCAGACAAGAAGGATGCGCCCAAAGCCACAAGGCATGATTTAAGGGCAAGACTGGGGGGCGACTTCACCCAGGGAGGTGTTAATACCTTTTTTTTTTTTTGAGATGGAGTCTCGCTCTGTCTCCCAGGCTGGAGTGCAGTGGCGCAATCTTGGCTCAGCACGACCTCCATCTCCCAGGTTCAGGTGATTCTTGTGCCTCAGCCTCTTGAGTAGCTGGGACTACAGGCGTGCGCCACCAGGCCTGGCTAATTTTGTGTGTGTGTGTTTTAGTAGAGATGGGGTTTCATCATGTTGGCCAGAATGGTCTCGATCTCCTGGCCTGGTGATCTGCCTGCCTCGGCCTCCCAAAGTGCTGGGATTACAGGCGTGAGCCACCGCACCCAACCTTTAACACCTTTTATCACCTGCCCTGCCTGATGATGATGGGCTTTGGGGTCCAGTCACATCTCCATTCCCTCACTTGTGGCAGGCACCAGGGTAACCAGCAAGCAAGCCCTGAAAAGAGAGACCTTGCCCGGAAACGTTGCAGCGTTCTCTTACGTGTATGCTTTGCCTTCTGAGAATGGCGAGCATTGATGCAAGTGTATCCCTTTTAAGAATACTCAATGGGGCCAGGCGTGATGGCTCACACCTGTAAGCCCAGCACTTTGGGAGGCTGAGGCGGGTGGATCACGAGGTCAGGAGATCGAGACCAGCCTGGCTAACATGGTGAAACCCCGTCTCTACTAAAAATACAAAAAATTAGCCAGGTGTGGTGGCAGGCGCCTGTAGTCCCAGCTACTTGGGAGGCTGAGGCAGGAGAATGGCGTGAACCCGGAAGGCGGAGCTTGCAGTGAGCTGAGCTCACACCACTGTACTCCAGCCTGGGTGACAGAGCGAGACTCCATCTCAAAAAAAAAGAATACTCCATGGGAAGCTGGTATGATCTCAGTGGAGGGCAATTTAGCAATATCTATCAAAATGACAAGAACACTCACCCTTAGGCTCACAATCCCACTACTGGTGATTTATCCTGCAGATGTAGTTGCACAGCTGTGGAAGGACTTACTTACAAGGTTAATCATTGTTGTTTGTGAAAGCAGCAGATTAGAAACAACCCAGACTCCACCAACGGGTAATGGTTACATAACTTGTGGTATATCCATCCATGGATTACTACACAGCACTAAAAAAGAATGAGAACTTTGGGAAGCCGAGGCGGGCAGATCACAAGGTCAGGAGATCAAGACCATCCTGGCTCACATGGTGAAACCCTGTCACTACTAAAAATACAAAAAATTAGCCAGGCATGGTGGCAGGCACCTGTAGTCCCAGCTACTCGGGAGGCTGAGGCAGGAGAATGGTGTGAACTCAGGAGGCGTAGCTTGCAGCGAGCCAAGATCGTGCTACTGCACTCCAGCCTGGGCGACAGAGTGAGACTCCATCCTAAACAAACAAAAAAAAAAGAATAAGAACAAGTCTAGGAACTATTTTGAAAGATCTCTCAAACACATTTTTAAGTTAAAAAAGCAAAATGCAAAACTGTACATAATATGCTGTATTATCTATAAAATAGAGCAAATAAGAATTATAGGTATGCTTACTTGTACTCATATAAAGAAACTCTAGAAGAATACCAAGAACTGTGGATGAGGGTAGAATAGTGAATGGAAACTGACTGATTAGACTAAAGAGGTGGGAGTAAGACCTTTTATGTATCGCTTTACATTATTTGACTTTAGGACCATGTGGATGTTTGCATATTCAAATAATTAATTCTTAAAAAGAAGATGAAAATAGAAGGTGGGCGCAGTGGCTCACACCTGTAATCCCAGCACTTCGAGAGGCTGAGGTGGGTGGATCACTTGAGGTCAAGAGTTTGAGACCAGCTTGGCCAACATGGTGAAACCCCGTCTCTACTAAAAATACATAAATTAGCCAGGCATGCTCGTGGGTGCCTGTAGTCCCAGCTACTCGGGAGACTGAGGCAGAAGAATCACTTAAACCTGGGGTGGCGGAGGTCGCAGTGAGCCGAGATCATGCCACTGTACTCCAGCCTGGGTGACAGATTGAGACTCCATCTCAAAAAAAAAAAAAAGAAAGAAAATTAAGCAATAGTCCCAACATACTAAACGCATTTGTTTCTCTCCTCAAAGGAAAAATTAGAGGGCGAGTTATAGAGGGTCTTGAGGTTGTGTGAGTCAGGATGGCCTAGGTTTTGCTGTAATAATGAACAGCCCTCAAATCTCAGTGGCTGAACTCATTGAATTTTATTTCTTGCTCACTTACACAGCCACCACGGGATGTTGGGGGAGTACTGTTTATCTGAGTCATTCTGGGACCCAGGAGGATGGGCATTCAGCCCAACGTAATTACCATATCTGGCAGCGGTGGCTGCGAAGGCTTCTCCTTGGATGCGATGCCGCAGCTCCCTCCCACTCACACTTGATTGGCCAAAGCAAGTCACATGACACTGCTTACCTGCAAGGGGGCAGGGAGGTGCAACGCTACTAAGTGCCCGGGAGAGGGAGAACTGCAATTTCTTGGCAAGCGGCAAAAGATAACCACAGGGTACTGTTTCATCAAGGGCCGCCCAAAGCCCTGTCTGAATATGGGGCTCGTGTTTCCCCTGCTATGTAGTTACACAGGCCTCCTGCAGCTTAGTTTCAGCTTTTCTAGTTTTTCATGGCTCCCAGAGGGAATATTTTCTATGCCGTATAGCCTGTTTTCACATGAAGCCATTTTGGGGTGTTATAGTAACAGCTGGTGACTTGATTTTATTTATGTTGCTATGTGCTGAAAGCTTTATGAATGTTCTGGCTGTGCCAGTTACTAGCTGTGGGACATGGAACAAGTTATGAACAACCTATTTACCTTCTCCAACCCTTAGTTCATTTATCTGTAAAATGGGGATAATACTATCTTATAGGGCTGTTGGGGTTGTTGTGTGAGAAAGTGCAGTGTGTATGTGTATGTGTGTGTGTGTGTGTGTGTGTGTGTGTGTGTGCAGAATGGGTAGAACCGTGCCCAGAAGTAGGAAGCCCTGCATATGTTCAATATTTAGCTATTATTTTGTTGTTGTTGTTTGTTTGTTTGTTTTTTTGAGATGGAGTCTCTCTCTGTCGCCCAGGCTGGAGTACAGTGGCACAATCTCGGCTCACTGCAGCCTCCGCCTCCCGGGTTCAAGCAATTCTCCTGTCTCAGCCTCCCAAGTAGCTGAGATTACAGGCGCGCACCACCACGCCCAGCTAATTTTTGTATTTTTAATAGAGGTGGGGTTTCACCATGTTGGTCAGGCTGGTCTTGAACTCCTGACCTCAGGTGATCCACCTGCCTCGGCTTCCCAAAGTGCTGGGATTACAGGCGTAAGCCACTGTGCCCAGCCTTAGCTATTATTTTTATTCCTTCAATTTTTTCTTTGGGGCAGTCTGGAGAACAGTTTCATGTGAACATTCTGATCACATGGAAAAGGGAAGGTTTACTCACGTGTCGGAAGAGGTGTGAATGGAAAGTAGTAAAGGCATGGTTTCTGATGTTCATGTTTGTGGAATCTGTCGTCTATGGCAGATGCTTCCCCGTGCTACCAATTTGTGTGTCTGAAAGGACACCCGTACATTCATCTGCATCCTCAAAATCTGTTCCTCCGTGGGTTTCTCCATCTCTGCAAAATGCACTGCTGTCCACTGTGTGCCTAAGCCAGCCCTGTTTGGTCAATTTTTTGAAGGCTGTAGGGTAGAGTGGTCAGGAACAAGAAGCCCTGGACCCAAGCTGTCAGGGTTCAAATCCCAGCTCACCTGGTATTGCAAATCGCATGGGTGACTCCAGGCAAGCAACTGAAGCCGTGTGTGCCTCGGTGTCCTCATCTGAAAAAGGGGAATGAGAATCATAGTATCTATCTTACAGGGATATTGTAAGGATGAAAGATTAGCTGTTGGAACTGTGCCTGGTGCAGAGAAACTACTTCATGTGTGCTTTGCACACCCGAAACCTTCTTTTTTATATTTATTTATCCTTGGCCTGGGGGCTGTCTCCTCTCACTCAGTGGTGTGTCTCATTTGTTCTCCTCTGTGCCTGAGCCAGCACATGGCACATCATATTTTCTCAGTAAATATCTGGCAGAAAAATGTATTCATCAGCCTGGCCAACATGGTGAAACCCCATCTCTACTAATAATACAAAAATTAGCCAGGCGTGGTGGCGGGCACCTGTAATCCCAACTACTTGGGAGGCTGAGGAGGAAGAATCGCTTGAACCCGGGAGGCAGAGGTTGCAGTGAGCCAAGATCACGCCACTGCACTCCAGCCAGGGCGACAGAGTGAGACTCTGTCTCAAAAAAAAAAAAAAAAAAAAAAAAAAAAAAAATATATATATATATATATACACACACACACACACACACATTTACATAGCCCCGCCTTCATCAAATGTCACCCTGCCCCTTAAAATGCCGCCCATGCATGTTCTCCCACCTACTGCTTTTGTTTCCAATCATTCCTAATGGCCCGGATCTATTGGATCCCAGCATCACTGCTTGTTAGCGCAGTGGCCTTGGGCAAGTCACTCCTCTGGTGCAGATGGGGGTCCCTAAGACCACCCTCAGTTTCCATGATTCACTAGAAGGAATCACAGAACTGAGAAAAATTGTTATAGTCAAGGCTACAGTTTATTACAGCAAAAGGATACAGAGTAAAATCAGCAAAGGCAAGAGCCACACAAGGCGACCCCATCAGTCTCTCTGATTCCTTAATTATCTAACAGCAGCACATAGGGCAGAGGCCAAGAGAGACCAGCATGAGCTGCCAGATGTCGTCTCTCAGTGAAGTCCCATGGACAGTGCTCAGTTCTCCCAGCAATGACATGTGACAACAATGATGTATTGCTAGCCAGGGACACTTACTTGGGCCTTGGTGTCCAGGGTTGTTATTGGGGTCAGCCATGTAGACTTGTGCTGAATACTGCTGAGAGATCGAGACAGACGGTAAGAACGGCTGAGAGCTGATGCACGCCAGGTGTCCTTCCATGCGTTGGCCAGGAGTGATCTCATTTTAGCCCATCCATGACCCTGTTAAATAGACATCTCCATTTTTCCAGACAAGGAACCAAGGCTCATTGAGGAGAGGTCACTTGCCTGAAGTCCCACGGCTAATAGGCAAATCCAGGAGTCTGATCCTTAAACCTCCACCCTTACAGATGTGGCCTTGGACATGGCTGCACACCCTCGCGTGAGTTCACTCACTCAGGATGTATTGAGCCATTGTTCCAGGGCAGGTAGCATTCAAAGCATCAGGGGTGCTGTTATAGCCAAGGCTACAGTTTATTACAGCAGAAGGACACGGAATAAAATCAGCAAAGGGAAGAGCCACATAGGGCAGAGGCCAGGAGAGACCATCCCGAAGGGGAACATCCCTGTGCTTGTGGGGCTTCCATCTTAAGGAGGGCAAGCAGGCAATGGGCAGATCAGGAAACGAAGATATGACTTGCCAAAGGGTGGTAAGTGCCATGGCCAAAAGGAGGCAGAGAGAGATGGGGTGTCTGCTTAGTTGGGAAGTCACAGAAGAGCGGGACGTGATGTTTGAACAGAGACGATAATTATAATGGCCACTTTCAGAACACTTACTATTTGTTGGATAAGTAATAACAGTAATATATGTACCAGGCAATGTTCTAAATGCTTGAATGCATCTCATCTTTCCAATCACAGAGATGCTCTTATTATCATCACTTTACAAATGAAAGGGAGGTTAGGGAAGTTGGCAGAAGGCACACAGCCAGGAAGCAGGGGCTCCAGGATCTCAGCCCAGGGATCTTGGCCTCAGAGGCTATGCTTTTCACCACTGTCCTGCCTCTCAGTGCATGGAGAAATGAATGTTCAGTGCCTAGAAGGGATAATCAGGGAATATGGAGGTTAAGGAGGCAACTGAGGCACAGAGAGGTTAAATCGCAGGGTTCAGAAGTGTTGGGGGTGGGACTCAAAGCTAAATGATCTGCCTCCACAATCTAAGCTCATTACCACCAGACCAGTCATCCTTAAGCATGCATAGGAGTCCCCTGGAGGGCTTGTCAAACTAGATTGCTGGGGCCCGCCCCCAGAGTTTCAGACTCAGTGGGTCTGAGGTGGCCCCGAGAAGGTGCATTTCTGTCCAGGTCCCAAGAACCGATGGTGATGCTGCTGGTCCAGGGCCCACATTTTGAGACCCACTGCCCTAGACTGCCTCTCAGCACACGGAGGAATGAATAGCCAGCTTCCGGCGGAGGAAACTGAGGCTCAGAGAAGCTAAAAGTGTCATGTGGAAAAAATCACATAGCCGTTAGACTGTGGTACCTGGATCTCAAACCCAGGCAATCCGGCTCCAGAGTGTTTTTAACCATTTCCCTGCACTGCCTCCTGCCGGTCAAAAGAATAAATGCATATGCAGGCAAGAATGAATGGGTGGTCCCATTTCCGTAGAAGGGGAAACCGAGGTCGGGGAGCTGGGCGGGGAGACCCCAGCATCCTCTGACCTCTTTCCTTGCCTCCCTGCCCCCGCCCGCAGGTGAAGCTGGTGTTCGTGGAGGACCAGGCTGTGGTGGAGACGGTGTTCTTCCTGACGTCGCGCACCAGGGCGCTGCTGCGGCGCTTCCCTCGCATGCTGCTGGTGGACCGGCTGCCGGGGCTGCAGGGCGCGCTGGATCTGCTGGCCGTGCTGTGCGTGGACGGCTCGGGCCGTGCGCGCCAGGCTGCCTGCTGCGTGGCGCGCCCGGGCACACCGAGCCTGCTGCGCTTCGCGCTCGCGTCGCTGCTGCAGAGCGCGCCAGACGTCAAGGGCCGCGTGCGCTGCCTCACCGCCGGGCCCGAGGTGGCGGCGCAGTTGCCTGCAGTGCGCCAGCTGCTGCCCTGCGCGCGCGTGCAGATCTGCCGCGCGCAGGGCCTGGAGACGCTCTTCAGCAAGGCGCAGGAGCTGGGCGGCGCCGGCCGCGAGGACCCGGGCCTGTGGTCGCGCCTGTGCCGCCTGGCTGGCGCGTCGTCGCCCGCAGCCTACGACGAGGCGCTGGCCGAGCTCCACGCCCACGGCCCAGCCGCCTTCGTGGACTACTTCGAGCGCAACTGGGAGCCCCGCCGCGACATGTGGGTCCGCTTCCGCGCCTTCGAGGCGGCCAGAGACCTGGACGCGTGTGCCCTGGTGCGAGGCCACCGCCGGCGACTGCTGCGTCGTCTCAGCCCCTCGCGTGGCGTGGCGCAGTGCCTTCGCGACCTGGTGGCCATGCAGTGGGCCGACGCGGCCGGGGAGGCGGTGCCCGAGGGGCCCGATGGCGGGGGGCCTTGGCTGGAGGATGAGCCAGGGAGGGGAGCCCAGGGGGAGAACGAGAGGGTGAGGGGCCTGGAGACAGGCGACTGGGGAGGGGCTCCGAAAGAAGGAAGTATTTGGAGGGGAGCCCAGATGGAGAAGGAGTGGGCAAGGGCACTGGAAACCAGAGACTGGGGCGGGGCTCAGTTCGAAGGTGAGAAGGGGAGGGCACTGCAGATCAGAGATTGGAGAGGGGGTCGGTTGGAGAATCAGAAGCCGAGGGGACTGGAAGGGGGTGTCTTGAGAGGGTCGAAGTTAGAGAAAGGGCACCTGAGAGGGCCAGAGATTAGAGACTGGAGGGGGCCCCAGTTGGAGGGTGAGAAAGATTGGGGACTGGAAGGTTATGTCTGGAGGGGGTCCCAGTTGGAGGACCAGGCGCTAAGAGGATTGGAAGGGTATACCTGGAGGGTGGCCCAGCTGGAAGATCGCAGGAGTACCACCGACCTGAGGGGGACCCAGTTTGACTATGAGAGGGTCAGGAGTCTTGAAGGAAGCCCCTGGAGGGGGGCGCAGCTGCACGATGAAAGGGCAGGGGGACTGAGAACTGCAGAATGGAAGGGGCCACAGTCAGAAGTAGAGAAGGGGAGGGGGCTGGAGGTCAGAAACTTGAGGGGGATCCCCTTGGAGAAGTCCCTGGAGTTGGCCCCTGAGAACGGAGACCAAAGGGGACCCCAGTGGGAAGATGAGAGGAGGAGAGGGCCAGAGATTGCAGAGGAGAGGGGAGCGAGGGTGGGGGTCAAAAGAAGAAGGGGCCTGGAGGATATAGTTCTGGTCCAGCTGGGAGACACGAGGGTCACAGGCATGGAGAATGGAGATGGAGGGGGAGCCCGGTCCGTGGGCCCCAAGAGCCGAGCCGGACGAGGGATGGAGTGGGGAGACGCAGGAGGGCGGTGTCTAGGGCTGGGGAATGGAGTCGTGTCTGGCACCCCGGTGGGGACTGTATTGGAAGGCAGCCCAGAATGGGCAGCGGCGAGGAGTGAACACCTGGCTGCAGGTGACGGCCTGCAGGAAGGAGGCGAAGATGGCCCCAGGGAACCAAAGAGGCTTTGCCGACCCCCGGGAGAGGAGGAGGTGGACTGGGAACCCCTGGCCAAATTCCGAGCAGCCTGCGGGCCAGAGCTGGCAGACCTGGTGGCTGAGGAGTTGGCCTTTGCTAGGCAGCATGGGACCCGGGGTTTCCACTGGACCGGAGCTGGCTTTGCCCTTAAGGACGGCACCTCGGACTTCTTCCTGGATGGGGCCCTGACACGCTGCAGCTGCTCAATTCACGCCGCCCGCCGTCTGCCCTGCAGACACCTCTTTGCAGCGCGCCTCCTCACTGGGGCTGCCTTATTCCACATGGACCTGCTCAGGGATTGCTGGGGGAGAGCCCCAGAGCCCTGACCCTTCATGCCTCTGCCCACCACCCTCCACCAGGAGGGTCGGAGGGCATTCTTCGATCCCAAAGATAATAGGGCTGAGGCCAAGGAGACCGTTGCAGTCCCCCTGGCCACCTTCTGGGTCATCCAGGGACCTCCTCATGGCAGTTTGCCTCTCTGGGTCCAAGGGCAAGCTGTAAGTGGTCTCTGAGGTCCTGGAGCCACAGCTTGGGAAGGTGTTGATGGGCAGGGTGGATTCTGAGGGCTTCCCTCTGGAGAGGAAGCATGTGATGAGAGGTGTAGACAGGGTCAGGCTGGGACAGAAGGAAGGAAAGGGGCAGAGCTGGGGGGAGGGGGAGGAAGCGATCATATGGGGAGTGTCTGGCAAGAGTAGACTGGCCAGTCTAGGGAGTGCAGCGGGGAGAGGGGAAAGGGAGAAAGTACAGAAGACAGATGAAGGAGAGGAGGTAAGCGAGAAAAAATGGAAAGGGGAGCCGGAAATGGAGGAGAGAGGACAAGCAAAGAGACAGAAATGAAGACATGAGGAAAAGCTGGGGGAAGCAGGAGAGGAAGGGACGGGATGTAGGAGGGGGAAGAAAAATCGGAGATGAGACAAAAGAAATGTGTGGGAGACGGGTAGAGACGAAATGCAAGGGGCGTGGTTTTGGTTTTTCTCCAAGACCTGGAGACATCGACCCCCATCGCCTTCTGAAGAGAGAGGGAGGGCGGGCACTGGGGGTCAGGAGAGTCTCCAGCAGGGGAGGGGAATTGTTTGGACTATTGTTCTTCAGGATTGGAATAAAACAATCTTATTTTGGTTTCCGTGATGAGTTCTTGGCTTCTGGGGTTGGTTGGGAGTCCCAGATCCAGGGAACAGTTGAGATGGTCCAGCGTTCCTTCATTCTTTCTACCGACAAGGCCTCCTGGGGCCAGATGGATAGAGGAGCCACAATGAATTCATCTCCATAGCAACTCAAGCTTCCTCCTCCATCATCTGGACCAGTGCGTCCCAGTGGCAACTTCTTGACATGAGTCGATTCTACCTTCAAATGACTGACTCATGCCAAATGTCCTGGCCACAGAATGGGCCTGTGACCCAGTCCTGGTCAACGAGTCTGCTCAGGTTGAGGTGGGAGGCTTTTTTATTTTTATATTTTTGTAGAAACAGGGTCTTGCTATGTTACTCAGGCTGGTCTTGGACTCCTCGGCTTAAGCAATCCTCCTGCCACAGCCTCCCAAAGTGCTGGGATTACAGGTGTGAGCCACTGTGCTCAGAACTAGGAAGCTTTTTTTTTTTTTTTTTTGAGTCTTGCTCTGTTACCCAGGCTGGAATGCAATGGCACGTTCCCGGCTCACTGCAACCTCCACCTCCCAGGTTCAAGTGATTTTCATACCTCAGTCACCTGAGTAGCTGGGATTACAGGTGTGCGCCATCACACCTGGCAAATTTTTGTATTTTTAGTAGAGACGGGGTTTCACCATGTTGGCCAGGCTGGTCTCAAACTCCTGACCTCAGGTGACCTGCTCGCCTCAGCCTCCTAAAGTGCTGGGATCACAAGCGTAAGCCACTGCGCCCGGCCTAGGAGGCTTCTAATAAAGATTCTATCACTCCTAAGAAGGCCTAGAGACATGATCAGGCCTAGACCTGCTGATGATTACCTTGGTATGGTGTGATAATGAAGTCCACACTGAGGATGACAGAGCTGAGATGAAGAAAATCTGGATCTTTGCTTGGCTCAGTTGAGTCTCTCGAGTCTGCTCTACCATGGGGCTTCTTAAGTAAAATATATCCTTTTTTGTTAGAGACAGTGTCTCGCTCTGGCCCAGGCTGGAGTGCAGTGGTGCAAACATAGCTCACTGCAGCCTTCCAGCTCTTGGGCCCAAGGGATCCTCCAGCTCAGCCTCCTGAGTAGCTAGGACTATAGGCTCGTGCTACCACCTAGCTAATTTCTTTTTCTTTTCTTTTCTTTTCTTTTTTTTAACTTTTTGTAAAGATGAGGTCTCTTGCTACGTTACTTGGGCTGTTCTCAAACTCCTGGCCTCAAGCGATGCCCCTGCTTCAGCCTCCCAAAGTGCTAGAATTACAGATGTGGGCCATTGCACCTGGCCAATCAAAGATACCCTAATGATTTAGGGAAGTTTGAGTTGGGGTTTCTGTTGTCGCAACTGATGAAGGGGATTTAATTCTATTATAGGTGACAAAGTCCAGGTTGAAGTAGCTCAGCATTTTTCAAACTTTAGCGTGGACGTGAGTCACGTGGGCACCTTCTTAAAATACAGAGTCTGACTCAGTAGGTCTAAGATAGGGCCCAACATTCTAGCAAGCTCTCCGATGATGTGGCTGTGCTGGGTTGTGGAGCACACTTTGAGTAGCAATGAAGGAACTTGAGATAAAAGACAATTCAGGCCGGGTGTGGTGGCTCACACCTGTAATTCCAGCACTTTGGGAGGCTGAGGTAGGTGGATCACTTAAGGCCAGGAGTTCAAGACCAGCCTGGCCAGCAAGGCAAAATCCTGTCTCTACTAAAAATACAAAAATTAGCCAGATGTGGTGGCGGGTGCCTGTAGTCCCAGCTACTTGGGAGGCTGAAGCATGAGAATTGCTTGAACCCAAGAGGCGCAGGTTGCAGTGAGCCAAGATCGTGCCACTGCACTCCAGCCTGGGTGACAGAGCGAGACTCTGTCAAAAAAAAAAAAAAAGAAAAAAAATGATTCAGTGGTTCAAGTCATGCGAAGTCAAAGGCTTTGATGGCAGCTGACTGCAGGGGCTCAAACAATGTCAGGTTTCCCCTCTCTCGCCTGCTTTTCGTGCGATGGATTTCTTCAAAAGACAGCTCTCTCCTGAGAAAGGGGGGGACTAGAAGTTCCCATATCACACCCTCCTATCTTGATCCAAAAATACCATTCTATCAGCATTCGTATATTAAGTCTCAAGGAAGCAGCAGGTTGGATTTATGGAGGTTATCAGTTATCCATGGCTACATAAATGCTGTGTTAACAACTATAAAACTTCCTAAGTATATAACAATAAACATGTATTTGGAATCAACCTAAATGCCCATCAATAATCATAAGCTAGATAAAGAAAATATGGTACATATACACCATGGAATACTATAGAGCCATTAAACAACTAGATCATGTTCTTTGCAGGGACATGGATGGAGCTGGAGGTCATTATCCTTAATGAACTAACACAGGAACAGAAAACCAAATACTGCATGCTCTCACTTATAAGTGGGAGCTAAATGATGAGAAGAAATGACACAGAGAGAGGGGCAACACACATGGAGACCTACTAGGGGGTGGAGGATGGGAGGAGGGAGAGGATCGGGAAAAATAACTAATGGGTACTAGGCTTAATACCTGGGTGACAAAATAATCTGTACAACAAACCCCCATGATAAAAGTTTACCTATACAACAAACCTGCACATGTACCCCTGACTTTAAAAGTTAAAACAATAATAAAAATGAACACGTATTGCTTATGAGTCTTGGGTCACCTGAGGGGTTGGCTAGACCCTTGCTTTTCAGTGTGGTGCATGCAACAGTGTCATGAACATTCCCTAGGAGCTTGTTAGAAATGCAGATTCTCGGCTGGGCACGGTGGCTCACACCTGTAATCCCAGCACTTTGGGAGGCTGAGGTGGGCGGATCACCTGAGGTCAGGAGATCGAGACCATGCTGGCCAACATGGTGAAACCCTGCCTCTACTAAAAATACAAAAATTAGCTGGGCGTGGTGGCGCACCTGTAGTCCCAGCTACTCGGGAGGCTGAGGCAGGAGAATCTCTTGAACCCAGGAGGCGGAGGTTGCAGTGAGCCGAGATCGCTCCACTGCACTCCAGCCTGTGCGACAAAGTAAAACTCCATCTCAAGAAAAAGAAAGAAAGAAAAAAGAAAGAAATGCAGATTCTCAAACCCATTCCAAAACTACAGAATCAGAATCTCATTCTAACAAGATCCTAGTATGCATGTTATACTTTGAAAAGCAAAGCAACTGATCATAAACCTACAATTATCGGAAATAGGCTTATTTAAAAAAAATGAAAGCAGCTAATCTTGATAAAGTAGCTGATCTTCGTTGGGCTTGCCCACATATCGGGAGTCATCTGGCTTTTGGGTGAACTAAAAAGGCCTTGGCAGGGCTTGGTGGCTCATGTCTGAAATCCCAGCACTTTGGGGGGCCAAAGTGGGAGGACCGCTTGAGCCCAGGAGTTCAAGACGAACCTGGGCAACATAGGAAGACCCCGTTTCTACAAAAATAGAAACAAAATTAGCCTGGTATGATGGTGCACGTCTGTGATCTCAGCTACTCAAGAGGCTAAGGTGGGAGGATCTCCTGAGCCTGGGAGGTCGAAGCTGCAGTGAGCCATGATTGTTCCACTGCACTCCAGCCTGGGTGACAGAGTGAGACTCTGTCTCAAAAAATGCCTTGGCCGGGAGGACTAGGGTAACTCGTTCAGCACGTAGACCCCTCCAGTACAACCCTATGAAACTTCCCTGCAGCCCCTGCCTTTGCAGACAGCTCTTCGTCTGCTGTGCTGCCCATTGCTTTCTTGCAATGTACTATCTGTCTAATAAATCTGCCTTTCTTTCCCTACGACTGTCTTGATAAATGCCTTTACCTCCCATGATACTGGCCCCAGCTAGTCACACCCGTGATGCCCATCTCTTTTTTTTTTTTGAGATGGAGTCTCGCTCTGTCGCCCAGGCTGGAATGCAGCAGCACGATCTCGGCTCTCTGCAAGCTCTGCCTCCCGGGTTCACGCCATTCTCCTGCCTCAGCCTCCCGAGTAGCTGGGACTACAGGTGGCCGGCACCACACCCGGCTAATTTTTTCTATTTTTTAGTAGAGACGGGGTTTCACCGTGTTAGCCAGGATGGTCTCGATCTCCTGACCTCATGATTCGCCCACCTCGGCCTCCCAAAGTGCTGGGATTACAGGCGTGAGCCACTGCGCCCGGAGATGCCCATCTCTTAAAATAAAAAATAAAAAAAAAAAAAGAAAGAGAGAAAGGAAAGGAGGCAGGAGGGATCCTGGGAAGGCAAACAACAGCTATTGAGCGCAAACCAAATCCAAAACTTCTCCACTTGCCTGTTTTATCATTAGATTCTTAGATGTGGGCTATCTGGTTAGTGACGGGAAGCTGAATTAATTCATTAATTGATTCACCAAATAACACACAGAACCCTGGGGTGGAAAAGAGCTCAGCCCATAAGGTAAAGAGAAGATGGGCCAGTGTAGATGGGTCAGAGTGTGAAAGAGGGAGAGATTTGGACAGTGAAATCCGCAAGCCCTTAAAGATAGAAGATGAGGTGAGTCTTTATCCTGGGAGGTATGGGAAGCCTTCAAAAGGTTTTAAACAGAGAGTGGCTTGATTGGATGTACATTAGAATAACCACCTCCCCTACCCCAGAAGCTTTACTGTGACAAATGGATTGGATGAGTCCAGACCAGGAAGAGACGTATGTGACCATAAACAAACAAATAAAAATAAATTTTAAAAAACAGGCAGAAGGATCTTCACAGAACTGGACCTTGAAGAATGTGTTTGCCAGGAAAAGAGAATGAAGAAGTACGTTCCTATTGGAGGGAACTGCACGTATTACAGTATTTGGCCCTTCAGGAAGGCAAGAGGAAACTAAAGGTTAGTAAACCTTAACCCTCTATATGCCCCACATATATAGCTCACAGTGTTAAATCAAGTTTAGCCTAAAGCTGCCTCCTTACATATTTTAAGTTCGGCCTGAAGGTTTTTCTGTACGTCGTGAACTATAACAAGTGGAGGTGTAAACAGAAGGTGGCCTACGCTTGTGCCAATCACCGAGTTTTGGGCAATCAAATGTAGCCAACTGTTCGAACTGTGTACAGCAAACGCCGAGCTGTAATCAATCCAGCTGTTTCTGTACCTCACTTACGTTTTCTGTATGTCACTTTCCTTTTTCTGTCCATAAATCTTCCACCACATGGCTGTGCTGGAGTTTCAGCCTACTCTGGCCCGAGGCTACCTGATTCGTGGATCCTTCATTGCTCAATTAAACTCTATTTATTTATTTATTTAGAGATGGAGTCTCGCTCTGTTGCACAGGCTGGAGCACAGTGGTGCGATCTCAGCTCACTACAACCTCCACCTTCTGCGTTCAAGCAATTCTTGTGCCTCAGCCTCCCGAGTAGCTGGGACTACAGGTGCCCACCACCATGCCTAGCTAATTTTTGTATTTGTAGTAGAGACAGGGTTTTGCCATGTTGACCAGGCTGGTCTCAAGCTCCTGACTTGAAGCCATCCGCCCTCCTCGGCCTCCCAAAGTGCTGGGATTACAGGCATGAACCACAGTGCCTAGCCAATTAAACTTCTTTAAATTTAATTCGTCTGAAGTTTTTCTTTTATCACAAGTCACATCAATCCCTCGGGCCCCTGCTCAAATGCCACCTCTTCCTGAAAGCCATCCCTAAGTAGTCTCTCTAAAGAGCCATCCCTGCCCCTTTCTTTGCTTTATCCTTCACAGCACTTATCACTACCTGAAATTATGCCACACAGCTATTTACCACTTTGGCATTGTGATTAAGCTTATCAAGTATGAAGCCAGACTGCCTGGGTTCAAATCCCAGCTCCACTACTTCCTTGTCATGTGACCTTCCAGCCTATGTTACAGTTGAGGGGTCATAATAGTACCTGTCTATAGGGCTTTGTGAGGATGAATGAATTAGTGTGTGTACCAGTGTTCTAACATCGCCTGCATTTCCATTTTTCCCAAAGCAGCCCAGTTACTTATTAACATACTGCTTTTTCCAGTGACACGTGTTCACAGTTATTAAGTCGATCTCCCGCCAAAATAGAAGCTCTATTTTGTTTTCCATTGTATCCCCAGTGCCTAGAACAGTGCCTGTTGCAAAGTAAGCTTTGAGTTAAAAAAAAAGATGAAAGAATGAAAATGGCAGACTGCCTAGCAGAACTAGCCCTTCCCGATGTTTCATTGTTGCTATAGTGACGATCCAGTCTGCACGAAGATCCCAGCTTCCTTAACCTTGTTCCTACCTCCAGCCAGCTCACCCATTGGCCACCTGTATCTCCTGCTGTAGCAGCCAGAAAGCTACAACTCCCAGCCGGCTGAGCGCCACCAGCGCTTTCGCGTCCAAGTCCCTTTGCTGAGTGTGAGGGCCTGCGCAGTAGAACCCGCGGGCCCAGAGCTCCATCTGAGCATGTGCAGGCTGCGGGGTGTTTCCTTCGTCTGCTGGCGGGAGAGGAGTGGGGAGGAGCTCTTTACCCGCTGAGCATTGTGGGGCCCGCTTGGATCTCCTTGTCCAAAGGGTCTGGGCGCCGGGGCTGCAGTCTCTGGGTGAGGAGGCGGACGCGGGAAACCTGCTTCGGTCTCCATGGTTACGAGCCGCTCAGCGCGCAGGAGGGGGATTCAAAGGTTGGCGTTGCCACAGTAACCCTGGAGTGGAAGGAGACGGGGATTAGAGACCTCGCGGGAGAAATTAGACTAACAGCCTGGGAACTGGAGGGATGGAGGGTGTGCCGGAGGAATCAGTCTGCAGTAAGGGGAGTTGGGGTGATATTAGGGGAAATGGGATGTTTTCAAGGACAGGGAGTGTTTTGGTGAATTCCTATGTAATAAGGAGATTTGGGGAGATCATTGAAATCGACAAGTTACTAGATACTTGGGATGCTCAAGGGGAAGTGGAAACGCAGTAGGATCCGCCCGCCTCAGCCTCCCAAAGCAGTAGGGAAAATTGGGGTATTAAGCTCTTTTGCCATTCTGCAGTTATTATAGAGCTCCTGCTGGAAGCCAGGCACAGTTGACAGTACTGGTAAACAGGACAGATGTGACTATAGACGGAATTGGGGTTTCATGGAGAAGGGGAGGTATAAGAAAAGGGGACTGTTGTCCTCTATGGGAGGGACTGGGAGGCGATTGGGAAGAACTGGCGCTGTAAAGAGAAGCTGGAAGTTTTATAAGGGAATTGAGGTATTATATAAGTTAATTCTGTTGTTATTTATAGAAGGCCAACTCAGTAGCAGCCTCTAGGAAGCACTGAGGATTCCTCAGTATGCAAAGGCATTTAGTGATAGAGTTACCAGATTTAGGGGGAAAGCAATGGCCAGTTAAATTCTAATTTCGGAAAATGCATAATATTGTAGTTACTCTCTGTTGTTTATCTGAAATTCAAATTTAGCTGGGCATCCTGTATTTTATTTGGCAGCTCTCATTATGGTTAATTTAAGTGTTTGTGAAGAGTGGGTTATTATAGGGGAAACAGGTATTATAGAGTAATTGGGTTGTAGGAGGAGCTGGGGATAGTCAGGAAAAGTCGGAGTGTTGAAGCTAACGCCAAGATCAGCACTGACTGTGTGCCAGAGACTATGCTAAGTACTCTTATTTTTAAAAACGTTTTATTATGGAAAGTTTCGGCCATATACAATTGTTTGCTTGTTTTTGAGATGGAGTCTTACGCTGTCGCCCAGGCTGGAGTGCAGTGGCATGATCTCTGCTCATTTCAACCTCTGCTTCCCGGGTTCAAGCGATTCTCCTGCCTCAGCCTCCCGAGTAGCTGGGATTACAGGTGCGCACCACCACGCCCGGCTAATTTTTGTAATTTTAGTAGAGAAGGGGTTTCACCATGTTGGCCAGGCTGGTCTTGAACTCCTGACCTCAAGAGATTCACCCACCTCAGTCTCCCAAAGTGCTGGGATTATAGGCGTGAGCCACTGCGCCTGGCCCATATACAATTGTTAAACAGATAATATATAATAAAGCTACTTGTACCCATCTCTGCTTTACATGAGTGCTGTTGAGGCATCCCAACATTCCTATGAGGTAGCGTTACTGTCACACCCCCATTTTACAGATGAGGAAACTGCACCACAGAGAGGTTAAATAACTTGGCCAGAGGTGTTAGAACCAGAATTTGGACCCACACAATCGGGCCCCAGAGTCTGGGCTCTCAGCTGCCATATCACATGTAACCTCCGTCTGGGAAATGTGAGTAGGGAGTGAGGCATGATGGGAGCAACAAGAGAGTAGTAGTAAGGTATAAAAGGAAAGGTAGGGAATTGGGCCGTTTGAGCATTGTGCAGTTGTTATAGGATTTTTATTTTTATTTTTTGAGACAGAGTCTCACTCTGTCACCCAGGCTGGAGTGCAGTGGTGCAATTTTGGCTCACTGCAACCTCCACCTTCTGAGTTCAAGCAATTCTCCTGCCTCAGCCTCCCAAGTAGCTGGGATTACGGGTGTGCGCCACCATGCCTGGCTAATTTTTGTATTTTCAGTAGAGACGAGGTTTCACCACGTTGGCCAGGCTGGTCTCGAACTCCTAACCTCAAGTGATCCACCCGCCTCAGCCTCCCAGAGTGCTGGGATTACAGCCGTGAGCCATCGCCCCCAGCCAGTTGTTCTAGGATTTTTATAAGATGTTTTGGGAGACTGGGGGAGTTACAGAAGAGTTTGGTGTTTTGAAACATTATGGGAAGTTGTATAGTTGCATTTCAATAGAACAGTAGCAGCTAGCCACATGTGGGTGCATTACATTAATTATAATGAAATAAAACTCAGCACATTTCAGGAAGCGCCTACCGTATTGGATAGTGAAGATCTAGAGCAGTCCCAATGAGTCTGGATAACAGGGATTTAGGGTAACCAAGGGTTAAGGCACAAGCAGGTGCAGCCAGTTCTAGGCAAGATTGGGCAGCATCCAGGCCACATCCTCACTCCTGTGATAACAAGACAGAAGTCTCCACTTCAGCCTCTTGATTGGTCACGGGCCAATCCTTCATAGGGTGTAACCAACTGGAGGCCTCTAAAGGGCACCTAGGGGTGTTACCAAATTCTTTTAGCTTAATGAAAACTCTAAAGAGCACTGCAGTCAGGGGCTCTTGAGCTACTTGCTCAAGCCCACTCCGACTCTGGAGTGTACTTTCACTTCCATAAATCTGTGCTTTCGTTACTCCGCTCTTTTGTTGCTTTGTTTGTGCATTTTGTTCAATTCTTTGTTCCACACACCAAGAACCCTAACAACTCACAGTCAGGACCTTCCATAGGGTAACACCATCACTGCAGAAAGTTCTGTTGGACAGCCCTGATGTGTGGGGTGACAAGTGTGGAGGCTTTCCTGGCTCCTAAAGTTCGACCTTATCTCTTAGCGATTGCTCTCGTACTTCCTCTGACTCACCCCTAACCTTCTCCTCTCTGTTCTACTAAAAATACAAAAATTAGCTGGGCGTGGTGGTGGGCACCTGTAATCCCAGCTACTCAGGAGGCTGAGGCAGGAGAATCACTTGAACCCGGGAGGCGGAGGTTGCAGTGGGCCGAGATCACGCCACTGCACTCCAACCTGGGCGACAGAGAGACTCTGTCTCAAAAAAAAAAAAAGAAAAGAAAAGAAAAAAAAAACCATGCTGAATTGGCCAAATATTTATCTAGGACTTCCCAGCCTGAGAACTGTAAGAAATAAAATTTTACTCTTTAAGCCACTGAGTCCATGGTATTTTGTTATGGCAACCTGAGCAGGATAAGGTAGTATACATACCTTTAACTTCACTGTGTAACTTCAGATTAATTTCCAAAATCAAGCATTACCTAACCAACAGCAGAACTTACATTTGTGCTCCATATACTCACCAGTAGTAGGCATTACTGACTTCTTAATAAATGGAAGTTTGATGAATATAAAATGTAGTATTTTTATGGCTTTTAATGAGGTTTCTGATAACTAGACGTATGAAATTCTACTTTTGTTCATTGTCCATTGCGATTTACAAACTGTAACATTTTACTCATAACGTTTGCCCATTTTTCACAAGGAGTTTTCTGTTTGTTTACTCATGTTGAATCATTTTTATGTATTATAAATATCACCTGATATTTACATCTTCTTCTTAGTAGCTTCATTCTAATGAACTTCTTCTTTTTTATTGTTGTTTTTCTGTTTTTTTTTTTTTTTTTTTGAGACAGAATGAGACTCTGTCAGCCAGGCTGGAGTGCAGTGGTGTGATCTTGGCTCACTGCAACCCCTGCCTCCCAGGCTCAAGTGATTCTCATGCCTTAGCCTCCCGAGCAGCTGGGATTACAGACATGCACCACCATGCCCGGCTAATTTTTGTAATTTTAGTAGAGACGGGGTTTCACCATGTTGGCCAGGCTGGTCTCGAGCTCCTGGCCTCATCTGATTCACCCACCTCGGCCTCCCAAAGTGTTGGGATTACAGGCGTGAGCCACTGCATCCGGCCTTCTATTTTTAATTTAGCATCCTCAAATAAATCAATTTAACTTCTAAAAATGTGTGCCTTTTTGTTTTAATAACATTAACCTATTTTTTTATTTTTGTAAATTTATGAAGTACATTCTTCAAATGTAACAATTTAGTTCTACTTCAAGATAAGGTATAGACAACTGCAAAATTCCACTGTCCTTACGATCACAATCATGAAGAGGATGGAGCTGCAGAATCTGAGCATATAAAGACTTTTATGAATTCTAACGCCCAACCCCAACTTGAGCATTCATTGCGCTGGTCCTAATTCACATTCAAACGCCCTGAGAATGGAGCTAACAGGATACACTGCACCCAATCTCATAGGCACACACAGGATAGATCCGAATACCACTGCAAAGACTTTTAAAATGAGCTGATATTAAGACCTCAGTTCACAGAAAGCCAAATAAATAATAAACATCTTCTGTTGGATACAAATAAAACAGAGTCTCATAAGATAACATTCACATTTCGAGGGTACATATCGGAACTACTGAGAATACAAGGATGAGCTGCAAAAATCTCCACTTGTCTGGCAAATGACAACTCAGTGGACACCAAACACTGAATAACATGTACAGTGAAATTATCTGACAAAGACTTTAAAAGAGACATTATAAAAATACTCAAATGAGGCCAGGCACGGTGGCTCATGCCTGTAATCCCAGCACTTTGGAAGGCCGAGGCGGGTGGATCATGAGGTCAGGAGATCAAGACCATCCTGGCCAAAATGGTGAAACCCTGTCTCTACTAAAAATATTTTTAAAAAAAAATTAGCCGGGCGTGTTGGCATGCACCTGTAGTCCTAGCTACTCAGGAGGCTGAGGCAAGAGAATCGCTTGAGCCCGGGAGACAGAGGCTGCAGTGAGCTGAGATCACACCACTGCACTCCAGCCTAGATGACAGAGCGAGACTCCATCTCAAAAAAAAAAAAAAAAAAAAAAAAATACTCAAATGTGCCAGGTGTAGTGGCCTGTAATCCCAGCACTTTGGGAGGCTGAGGTGGGTGGATCACTTGAGGCCAGGAGTTCAAAACCAGCCTGGCCAACATAGCAAAACTCTGTCTCTACTAAAAATACAAAAAATTAGCTGGGCTGTGGTGGTGCATGCCTGTAATCCCAGCTACTCTGGAGGCTGAGGCACAATAATCGCTTGAACCAGGAGGCAGAGGTTGCAGTGAGCTGAGATCGCACCACTGCACTCCAGCCTGGGTAACAGAGTTGAGACCCTGTCTTGAAAAAAAAAAAGCTCAAACAAGCAAATGCTGACACATTTGCAGGAAAATAGAATATAAGGCAAGAAATTTAAAATATAGAGAACAAAATGGAAATTTTAGAACTGATACATACAGTGACCAAAATTTAAAAGGTGGTGAATGCACTCAGTGGGACGACACAGATAACAACAGGTGAACACTCCAGCAAATTTGAAAATAGACAAATTAAAATTACCCAATCAGAATAATGGAAAAAATGAAAAGATGTTCTAAATAAGTAGAATATCAGGGACATTTAGGAAAACATAAAAGTCTAACATTTCCACAATAAGAGTCTCAGAAGAGGAGGAAAAAAACAAAATATAATATTGATTGATTCAACATAAATACTATGGTTTATTTCTAGATGGCAAGGAAAATCACATGTAAGAGGTTTCCATTTAAAAGAATTCCACTATTCATCAAAATTTTCATCTATTCTCAAGACTGTTGATTTCAAACTAGGTTTAGAGTAGCAAAGCATATGAATTTTACAGTAGAAGACATGAGAAGGATATAAAAGTTTGTTTTCTGTATTCTTTCAAAATTCTTATTTTGAAGGCCTTCTGGGCATATAAGCTATTGGAACTTGTCATCACTTAAACTATTTCCTATAAAGATGAAAATCAGGCTAATAAAAAGTATTTTTAGAAATTAGGCTGAAAACCTCTAAGTTTGGTAAAAGACATAAAACTGCAAATTTATGAATTGGAGCAAATTCCAAAGGGAATAAAACAAGGAAACTCATCCCCAACATAATGAAATGGCTAAAAACTAAAGATAAATACCTTGAAATCTGACAGAAAAATGACACACTACATACAGGGAAACAACAATTTGAATGACTGCAGATTTCTCATCAGGAAATACGGAAGCTAAAAGGAAACTGCTGAACAGAAAACAATGTCAACTAAAAATACTACAAGCAAAAAACATCACTGAGAATGAAGGTGAGAAAAAGATGTCCTCAGAGGAAGCAAAAAATAAGAGAATCTGTACCTATCAGAACCACTCTAAAAGAACTAAAAAACGTCTATCAGAGGAAGTGGAAATTTGCAGAACGAAATTTGGAAAATAATGAAGGAAGAGCAACAGAAATGGTAAATATCTGGAAAAACATAACAGATTACTCTTCTCATGAGTTTTTTAAATCTTCTGAGTGATTAAAAGTAGAAAATATATAATAATTTATTGATGGGTTTTAAGATACAGAAAGATTATGTAGAAGATAACTATATCCTAGATGAGAAAAGGTAATAGGATCTAAATGGTGATAAAGTGCCTAGATTCCACTTTAAGTGGTACAAATGTGATAACAGTAGAATAGAAAAGACATAACAAACTGGCTGACTGAGGATAAATCCTAACATATTAATAATTACATTAACGTAAGTAATTGAAATCTTCCAGTTAAAAGAGACTATCAGAATGGGTTCAAAATACACCATAAAAAAAACTGACTCAACCAGATGGTGTCTACTAGGAACTTGTTTTAAACAGATTAAACATAAAAGGATGGAAATATGTGTGCCACGAAAACATTAATCAAAAGACAGCTGAAATGGCTACAAAATGACAGAGTCTATGGTAGAATCCAAATGTCAGAGTTGGCTTATTTTTTGTATGGTACATTGCCAGGAATGTCTGTCTCAGAATAAGCTGAATTACCCTCATTTTCTTTTTGGTGGTTCTGTGGAGTTGATTTACCACATTTCATCTCAGTATTCCTTGGAGTTGACCATGAACATTTAACCCAACAACTCCTTGTAGCAGGCTACACACCAGTGGGAAAATATTTTCTGCTCATGTTTGCATTTTCTCCCATTTTTGTGCTCTCTTTCAGCAAATACATTTACATTGTTCTAATAACAGTAGCCATAGATAAAGTGTTAAAGTCCTAACATACAAAAAAAAAAAAGACTGTCATCATGTATGCCTTGAGTGTCCTCAGCTGAGAAGCTTTTGTTAGCTTTTCTGCTTTTAGTTATGAGAAGGTGATACTTCAAACGGAGTGTCCATAGGAATTATTTTTCACATTAATCAGGAAAAGTTGCCTTTCCAGGCCCCATCCTTCATAAACACACCTATCCGGATGTCCTTTATCCTGGGTCTTCAAGAATCATGTCAATGGATAAAATAGTGATATATCAAGCAATGGTTGGAAAAAATTTAAAAGGAATATTACTACCTTCTTCAGACATTCTTGAGGAAAATGCATGAGGATACAGTCAATAGGTACATGCCAGGTTACAAGTCTGTCCTGAAAGCCTGTGTGATAGATGTTACCCAGTCTTCTTCTGTCTTGAACACTGAAATCAATGATCACATTTCTGTTTATCCATTTCCAATGAGAACGCTGGATTCTCTCTTCCAGACTACCTAACTGACTCATTTTACAAATTCTGCTGTCTAAGATAGGACACGAGGTAAGGGTCCCTTTCACTAATGCTTCTGAAGAGCACGTCCAGGGCCAGGTCCCCTTTCTTCTCCACCATGCTCAGCAAGGCCTCATTCTTGCTCTGCCGTGTCTTTTCCTGCTCCACCAGCTCCTTCTCATTCTCAGTAAGAACCTCATTGTCTTGGAGATCATCGAGCACCCCTTTCAGGTCCCCCATCCTGGCTTGGAGTTGCCGGTGGTTCTCCTTCACAAAGGCTGCACCTGGATGAAAGGGGGAGTTTCAGACTTTGAGAATCGTTCACTTACAGGATTCAGGATCTATACCAAGCTTAGAGTCAAAATTCAGGGGTGGGAGATTGCTCCTTGTGTCTGTAGCTTAATTTGTGGACATACAAAATCACACACATTCACAGAGCAAATATACCCTTTGCAGTATCAAATGCATTGAGGTGTCTCAAATAATGTATCTTCCTCAGTCCTACTCCTCTCATCCATTTCTTGAAGCCTGTTTCTTCCTAGTTGGTGTTTTTCATTGAAATCCTAGACAGAGCTCTATCTTGCTGTACATACATTTATATATAAATCCCTCTAACAACGAAACACAAATCTTCTAGTTCATACATTGTCAGAAACTGTGCATGATGCTAGAGGTATGGAGAAGGATTCAGCTGGATCCCCAAAGCTTAGCTGGCAGAGCTATGAAAGAAGAGATTTAACTGGAGACATACAATGCATAGAAAAGGAAGAACAGGGGAAAAGATACAGACTTTTTTCCATCATGTAGACTCAGGGTTTACGTTGTGCCCCATATAATGTCTGTATAAACTTGGCCAAATCATATTACTTCCATATCACGTGGTTTAGAATGCATGGAGGTTGAGGTGTGATTTTGACTCAAGACATGTTCTGGACCAGCTTCCTGTAGACTGAGCTACTAAGCTTTGATTTCAACGTGCAGGCAACAGGTGCTATATTTTGCTCCACATCCTAAACATTATATTTAGGAAGGGTAGAAGCCTTTTGTTGGTGCTGCTCAGCCTGCAGTCACCACCTACAGAGATGTTCTTTGATTTATTTTAGGACGTCACCTTTATCTGATTCTTAACCAAGCTCCTTAGCTGATCCTCATTGCACCTCCAGATGTGAGGCATGATTTCTTTTTATTTAATCTGCCTCAATGGCCTTCCAGGCAACAACAGCTAGGAAATGGCATGATTGCCATCTCAGAAGGTGCTCTCTTTTTTCTCCCAGTGGTCTGTTTTGAGACATGAGTTCGGAAACTTACACTGTGTGGAGCCTGACAATGAAGCCAACAATATGGAAGGCGGGACGAAGACATGGAGAAACATTCCTCCCTTGTGATGTTGTTTGAGCCCATGAATCAGCCTCCCTGGAGTCAGTCCCACATCTCTTCCTTGAACTCGCCTGAGCCATGACACTCTTGATAATTTCACTCCATTTAAGTTGGACTTTCTGTCATTTGCCACACAAGACTTTACACAGATCCAGAGGACATTGCAGATTGCTGCCTTGGGTGATTTTTAAAATTAACGTGGACATGAAGTCATCAGGAGACAAGGAGTTCCAAACCTGGATTTATTGCTTACTAGATGATGGAAACTTGGTCCTCTCAGTGTTAACTCTATTTTATTTATTTACTTATTTATTTATTTATTTTGAGACAAAGTCTCACTCTTGTCCCCAGGCTGGAGTGCGATGGCACGATCTCGGCTTACTGCAATCTCCGCCCCTGGGTTCAAGCGATTCTCCTGCCTCAGCCCCCCGAGTAGCTGGGATCACAGGCATGTGCCACCACGCCCAGCTAGTTTTTGTATTTTTAGTAGAGGCAGGGTTTCACCATGTTGGCCAGGCTGGTCTCAAACTCCTGACCTCAGGTGATCCACCTGCCTCGGCCTCCCAAAGTGTTGGGATTACAAGTGTGAGCCACTGCACCCAGCCAACTCTTTATATTAAATAATGTAAATAATTTTTTCTCTGCTATATACTAATTCCAGTGTCCTTAACAGATCCTTGGCTGATATCTGCTCTTCACTTTTACAACAGCCCCACCGTTCCCCACTTCCTATTCATTCCCAACCCACACTCAATCATCCACGCTGTTTTGAAGAGCCAACACATTGTTATCCATCCTTTAATAGTTACTCTTGCCTTTCCGTCTAAAGTCCAAAATATTTCAACTTTTATTCTTGGACTTTCAACTGCCAGCTCTTGACTATCCTTCTCATGTCACCTTTACTCTGTCCCTCTAACAGTTTAATTCACAGCCATATCAAACTACTTTAACTTAGAGTTCCCCAGACGCAAGATATTAAATATTTACCCCCAATAATTTGCTGTTGTATGCTCTTTTGTGTCTACATGATGTCCTCACGCCCTTCTGGGACTAAATCATACTCATTGTCTGTATTTATGACATCAGTCATTCTTGGCAGATGACAAGGATGGAAGGAATGGAGCCTTGCTGAGAGATGCTGTTACAGCAGGCAGCTCGTCAGATATGAGCAGGGCAGGAGAGGACTCCTCACCCCACCAGAAATGTCAGGCAACCATCAGGTGATGGTCAGGCAGTTGTTACACCGTCTCTCTAAAATAATAATTGGTTGCAGCCGGCACCAGGGAAAGGCCGTCTCCTGACAGAGAGAAAACACCTGAAACTGGTGATCAGCAGCTTCCCAATAAGATCTCGGGAACTGGGCCAGTGGGCTCAAGAATGTGCATTAAGAGCAGAGTTTAACTGGCCTATAACCTCTTACGGAGGTTGAGCTGGTAAGGGAAGAATGCCTCAAGTGAGCATGCGTATGACTCCAAGAAACACACTGCGCATGCTCCCCTTCCAAGCCCCTGCGGGCCACTATGCAGGCGACCAGCCCACCCCAGGGGAAGAATCAGGGAAGAAGGGATGCAAGACCCCGGAAGTGTGCCAACATATTAAACCCCAAGTCAAAAGGTCAAACCGTGCACTTGTCTTTCAAGTCACCCCCTCGGCCGTCTTCCAAGTGTACTTTCCTCCTTCCTTTCATTCCTGCTATAAAGCTTTTTTTTTTTTTTTTTTTTTTTTTTTTTTTTTTGTAGACCGAGAGTCTTGCTCTGTCGCCCAGGCTGGAGTGCAGTGGTGCGATCTCAGCTCACTGCAACCTCTGCCTCCCGGGTTCAAGCCATTCTCCTGCCTCAGCCTCCCGAGTAGCTGGGACCACAGGTGCCCACCACCACGCCCGGCTAATTTTTTGTATTTAAGTAGAGATGGGGATTTCACTGTGTTGCCCAGGCTGGTCTCGAACTCCTGAGCTCAAGCAATCCACCTGCCTCGGCCTCCCAGAGTGCTAGGATTACAGGCGTGAGCCACTGCGCCTGGCCTCTTGCTGTAAAGCTTTTTAATAAACTTTCTCTCCTGCTCTAAAACTTGCCTCGGTCTCTCCTTCTGCCTTATGCCCCTCAGTCAAATTCTGTCTTCTAAGGAGGCAAGAATTGAGGTTGCTGCAGACCTATACGGATTTGCTGCCAGTAACGTTCTGGTGCCATGTCACTTGGATACCTTCCACTGTCACTCAAAGACCCCTTGATGTCTCATACATACCCTTGGCTTTAATGTAAACATTTCACTTACCTGAGAAAGGAGGAGGGGCTGATGCAGCTACAAGCTGGAGATCCACTACAAAAGAGGGAAAAATTATATGATGAGATGAGATAAATCATGTACCCTTATTTAGCTTTTCTAGTCTTTGATGCAACCAACTGAAATAATTTAATTCTACATATGTCATAAGGCTCTTGTTTTGCACACTAATACACTGAGGAAACCCCATTAAGTTGTGGGTCACTCACTGACAATTCAGAAAAGGCATCGGAGGAAGAAACACATTTTTCCAATTTCTTTCAACTTGCAGGCCAATATCTTAGGAACTATGGGGCTACAAAAACATATCATACAGTGCTACATAAATTACAGTCAAAGTGTTTTAGACATGAAATAACAACATTACATGAGTTAATTAAAACACGTGTTTTTTGGATGTGATTGTACCAAGACTGTTGATGGTGCAGAAATTTGGGTACCCTTATAAGTTGATAGAAGATTTGCTAATTGGAGCTACCATTTTGGAAAATAATTAAAAAAATTTCCCATGATGCCTTCAATGTGGTTTTGCACTTTCATCTAGACTCCTTGATGTTTTCAAAGTTCAGATGAATTTTGCAACATGCCCCCCCCACCCCACCTTTGGCAGCAGCTCAGTCACCATGTCACCAAGACAGAATAAATATGAGCTTCCCATCTCCTGTGAGGTCTCACAATTGAGTTTCTGGTCATTTGACTTCTGGGCAGAACATGAGCTGCCTTGAACCAGCATACTCATCCAAGACCCAGCCATCCACAATCTCCCCCATTTCATCTAGAATTTGCTATCAAAAAAAAAAAAGCATGATTGTGACACCTGGAAAAAATCTTTTTTAAATAAAAAAGTAAACAATGTAAAAATATTCTGATGTTTACAGAGAAATGGAGAGTGTGGTGGCATTTGCTTACTCAAAATATGTATTGCATGTTGGCTGTGAACTAGATTGCATTCTAGCCACTGATAATGCAGGCAATGGGGAATCCGACATCTGCACGGCTTCTTCGCATATTAAACATCACAAGGAGAGCTAAGAAGTTGCACAAACAAAACTCTGACAATCTGAGATGCTAAGACATTTTACCGACTGGAGGGAGGAGGCGGGGAGGGTGCATGTGGAGGTGCACTCATGAGATGCTACTCATGTGGAGATGAGGCCTGGGTCGGCTGAGCATCATCCAACCCTGCAATGTGCCTGGAAACTCCAAGTGCAGTCCCAGCTCATGTGCACCGCCTCAACAAGAGGGCAGTTTGCCCAGAGAAGGGGAGGCACAGCCATGAAGCTGATCTTGAACTCTAGACACCATTGCAGGGAAAGGAAGGTGATGGGATTGTGAGGATTCAGTGGAGGAAGGAAGATCAGTGACTGAGGACCACAAAGAGCAGACAGTCTACACCAGTGGTCCCCAACCTTTTTGGCACCTGGGACCGGTTTAGTGGAAGACAATTTTTTCCACGGACTGGAGAGGGAGGGGATGGTCTCAGGATGATTCAAGTGCAATACATTTATTGTGCACCTAAGTTCTATTATTACATTGTAATGTATAATGAAATAACTATACAAACAACTCACCATAATGTAGAATCAGTGGGAGCCCTGAGCTTGTTTTCCTGCAACTAGGTGGTCCCATCTCGGGGTGATGGGAGACAGTGACAGATCATCAGGTGTTAGATTCTCCTAAGGAGCATGCACCCTAGATCCCTCGCCTGCACAGTTCACAATAGGGTTCGCGCTCCTACGAGAATGTAATGCCACCACTGATCCGACAGGAGGCAGAGCGCAGGCGGTAATGCAAGCAATGGGGAGCAGCTGTAAACACAGATGAAGCTTCGCCTGCTCACCGTCCACTCACCTCCTCTGTGCAACCCGGTTTCTAACGGGCCACAGACCGGTACCAGTCCCTAGCCCGGGGGTTGGGGACTCCTGGTCTACACAGTCAACACTGTGACAATATTGCCCCAAACTACTAAAATACAACAGCAGCAACAGGCAAAACTCAGTTGAAATTGTTGAAAACCATTCCACAACATGTACTCACACATTTGTTCAACTATGTCCTTCTTCCTGGGCATTCAGTTTGGTTTCATTTTTTTCCCACCACAGACAATGCCTCAAATAATATCACTGCATACAACTTATCTTCATATGGGTGCTTTTATGTTATAGTATGGAATTCTAAAAGTGACTTTTTGTTCAAGAGACTTGTTTTAAAATTAATCTGTGCCCATACAACTACATAAAAGGTTAAAGCGATTTATAGCTCCTATGCAAATGTTAATATCCTTCCCTTCATAGAGCTTCATTGAAATTTTTCATGCTGTGTTACCCAAGACAAGGATCTGCTACTATTGAAGATACTGATTTCTGCATCATTGTAGTTATTCAAACAGAGCATGGCATTTTACAAATGTATTGGAGATATAAATGTATCTCCAGAGATTCAAGGAACTATCAGGAGATCTTTGGCAAATTGTCTGGGAGTTTCTAAACTTTAAAAAATTGTGTTTATGATGTTGAGCTTCTGTGAATGGATAAAACATTTTCCAGAACTTTTTAACAGATTACCTCAGGGAATATGACACCCCGAAAATGAAAAGCATGAGTATGGAAGAAATGATTAAATTGTGAAGAAAGTGGAACTAAATAGTCCTTATGTTTCTTCTGACTCTTAGAATCTTCTGTTCTTTACCCCCTAGGTTCGAGGGTTTCCACCCCTCTCCCAGGCCCCTTGAGCATTTCACTTCCTAGAGATGAACAAATGCCACCATTGTTGTGTTATCACACTGATAATACACTGACAATAGATTTCTCTTTTTTTTTTCTTTTTTGGCAAGAACATTTTATTTTATTCAAACTATTTTTTTTAATTTAATTTAAGTTCTGGGATACATGTGGAGGACATGCAGGTTTGTTACAAAGGTAAACATGTGCCATGGTGGTTTGCTGCACCTATCAAATCATCACCTAGATATTAAGCCCTGCACGCATTAGCTATTTATCTTCTTCTTTTTTTTTTTTTTTTTTTTTCAGATGGAGTTTCGCTCTTATTGCCCAGGCTGGACTGCTGTGGCACAATCTTGGCTCACTGCAACCCCCTCCTGGGTTCAGGTGATTCTCCTGCCTCAGCCTCCCACGTAGCCAGGACTACAGGCATGTACCACCACACCTGGCTAATTTTGTATGTTTAGTAGAGACAGGGTTTCACCATGTTGAGCAGGCTGGTCTCGAACTCCCGACCTTAGGTGATCCTCCCCCCTCGGCCTCCCAAAGTTCTGGGTTTACAGGCATGAGGCACCGTATCTGGCCTTTTAGCTATTTATCTAGATGTTCTCCCTTCCCACATCACCCAAAAGGCCCCAGTGTGTGTTGTTCCCCTCCCTGTGTCCATGTGTTTTAACACTGACAATAGATTTCTTTTCTTCTCTGGGAAAGAACCATAAACAAGATTTCTTCTTTGAAATCCAAGGATAGAGGTACATGATGGATCCCTGTCTAAAAATGCCAGCCTCGCCCACTCACCTACCTGGCTTCACCTCAGTATCCCACACCAAAGTCCCATGTCTTTTTTCAGTAATCTCAAGTTGAATGGGTTCCTTCATCTGCCCAGCATAGAATTTTGAGAAGTGCTGAATTTCTCCAGGGCTCCTGTAGGACAATTTCAACTCCTAGAGGAAACACATCAGTTGACTTGAAGCAGTGGAGGGTGGAAAGGCCCGGCTCCCTACAGTGAACTGGCCAATGGAACTTAACCCGTTTCCTGTGCAATGTCATGGCTGGTTGAGTGGGAAACAGAGGGAGAGAGGTAAACAGCTCTTTACATTTACAATGTTAGGAAATGCTTTTATACCAGGAAGGGAAGAATAACCTAGCTGTCAACACCACATGAGTCAGAGAAAAACTATCTGAGCTACCAACTGAATACAAACGTCTTAGATTTTGAGGGTTTTGAGGCCCCTCATTAATGATGCGACCAGCTCAGAATCCGAGATTCTATAGAGAAGCAAGAAAGCTTCCAAAGCAGCCCCATCAGGTCTCTCTGAGCCTCGCTGGGAAGCCGGGGTCAGATAAGCCATTTCAGGTCCCTCTCTGTTTTGCACCCAGTCTCCCCAGGATTCCTAAAAAAAGCTGCCCTGGGGAGCAAGAAAGCCCCTTATGCAGGACAGAATTAGGAAAAGCTTAGCTCATGCAAATCTCTAGTTTCTTCAGAAAACAAGCCCCCCGACCCAGCTCTTGGAAAATAGGGATTTAAAAAATTACAAAGGGTGAGATTGTTGGCTGGAATCTTTTTAAATGGAAGATGACTCTGAGGAGAGTTTACCTCGCTCAAGATCATCACCTCTAGGGCGGGCGCGGTGACTCACACCTGTAGTCCCAGCACTTTGGGAGACTGAGGTGACCGATTGCTTGAGGTCAGGAGCTCAAGACCAGCCTGGCCAATATGTTGAAACCCCCATCTCTACTAAAAATACAACAATTAGCCAGGCGTGGTGGCAGGTGCCTGTAGTCCCAGCTACTCAGGAGGCTGAGGCAGGAGAATCGCTTGAACCCAGGGAAAGAAGGTTGCAGTGAGCAGACATTGCGCCACTGCACTCCAGCCTGGGCGACAGAGTAAGACTCTGTCTCAAAAAAAGATTATCACCTCAGGTTGCAATTGCCACTTCTTATCTCACATTTACTATGTTGTATCATTCTGGATGAAATACCCTGCATTTTATTTATTTATTTCTATATCAGCAATGTTTATGGAAGGTTCTGCAACAGCCAAGAATGTATCTTGCCTGAAGGACAACCAAACTTCTGGGGAAGGCAGTCCCTGCTTCATATTAATTGCTGTGGAGTTTATCAAGGAAACTGGGAACTAAAATCAGAGCAAGGTTGGGCACTTTATTAAATTCTTATGCTCTAGTATACTTAGAAAAAGATCACTGAACTGATGTCTGCAATAAGCTTCACATCTTGTTGTCTATATGGCTGGAAAAATCATTTTTCCTATTTTAGCCTTAGTGTCCAAAAAGGAGACATGTAAATACTGACACCTAACCCTCTTGTTTCTCACCTCTTCCAAGGTCCGCAAACAGGAAAAAGCCATCTACGCCAAAACAATAACATTGGTCCGTCCCATTCTGAATTAAAGACCTTGAAATCACTGGGATGTGTTTTCCCATTAAAACTGGAAAACAATTAAATCTTGATACTTTGTTCTAGAGATGGTATATTGTGCTGGACAACCTCATCTTTATTTTAGAGAACATATGCTGTGAGACATCTTTGAAAATCTATTTGGGGCCAGGTGTGGTGGCTCGAGCCTGTAATCTCAGCACTTTGGGAGGCCAAGGTGGGCAGATCACGAGGTCAGGAGTTCGAGACCAGCCTGGCCAACATGGTGAAACCCCGTCTCTACTAAAAATAAAAAATCAGCCGGGAGTGGTGGTGCATGCCTGTAATCCCAGTTACTCAGGAGGCTGAGGCAGGAGAATCACTTGAACCTGGGAGGCGGCGGTTGTAGTGGGCCAAGACCACACCACTGCACTCCAGCTTGGGCAACAGAGCGAGACTCCATCAAAAAAGAAGGAAAGAAAGAGAGAAAGAGGGAAAGAAAGGAAAGGAAAGGAAGGAAGGAAGGAAGGAAGGAAGGAAGGAAGGAAGGAAAGAAAGAAAGAAAAAGAAAGAAAGAAAGAGAGAAAGAGGGAAAAAAGAAAGAGGAAGGAAGGAAGGAAGGAAATCTATTTGGAAATATACTAGCTTTAAGTTGGTTAATACTCTTTGAATCAGTAATTTCATTTAGGACACTCTAGCCCTGCAGGAAAAATGTAAAACCATATGAATGGAAAGACTTCTTGCCAGGGCACTTCTTGGGAGAAATTACATGCGACTAAATGTTGAATAATCATGAAATAATGAAAAAAGCTCTAGGGATTTCGCTACATGGCATATCATGTCCCAGTAAATCTGTATGTAGGAATAATTTAAATTGCACAGAATTATATAGTAATCTCCATTTAAAAATATATAAAATGAAATATATAACATAAAATCAGCTCTTCCTTCAACTACCTTAACAAATACATATTAAGTGCGTTAGTTAGGCAAGACATCAGGACTGAAGATAATTATAACAGGGAAATGGAAATTTCAGTTTGGGAAACTCAATGTGTAGTTTTAACCTAACATAAGTATGTCAAATACTAAAATGTTACCTCTGCCTTAGGGTCTTGGAAATATGCAATATGATTAATACTATTTTTCTATAATTTCAATTTTTTTAAAGGGCATATTTGTGATTAATAAAAGAAAAATGTTGCATTTTGCTAAGATTCTTCCATTTGTTTCAGAAATATAAAACACTCTGAAACCTGCTGAGTTGGGTTTGAATTCTACTAACCTTGGGCATTACTTTCAGGTTAGCAGAATTAGACACAATATAACTGGAACCAAAGTTCAGGGGTTCCATTGGGGGCGAAGTCTGCAGGCGCACACCATGGAAGCGATCTTCCTCATCATCTATCGCCTAAGGAAGAAGGGGCAGAAACATTAGAGAGCACAAAAAATAGTAAAGCAAGTAGTGGCATAAAAAGTTATTTATATGGTATATTAAGTAGCACGTAGGCTATGATTCAATTGATATAAAGATTAAGGTATTCAACTGATATAAAGATTGTGATAGGTAGATACACAGATATGAATGAATATGTCTCTATGCACAAAGAGACATATTGATGAAATTTTACTGAAAGATATCTCAGGGCCAAAGGATTTCTTGTGAATGTGAACTTATAAATTCTTGTATAGTTTGCTTTTATTTTTACACTGTGGAAAGATTGGCTGCGTACTTATGAAAGCACAGGACAGAAGGACTTCTTTTTGGTGCCTCAGCAGAGAACTGGTAGCTCAGCTGTGTCTGTGAACACGTCTATGATGGACAAGGGTAGAGATGTTACTTCTCTCCGTCACAGGGCTGCTGTGAGATGCTCAATCACCTGACCACCAGCGAGCAGAAACAGTCACCTCTGCGAGGCCCAGCAGCCACAGCAGAAAGCGAGACCTCAAAACTATCTCTAAGCAGCCAGGCACGGTGGTTCACACCTGTAATCCTAGCGCTTTGGGAGGCCGAGGTGGGCAGATCACAAGGTCAGGAGTTTGAGACCAGCGTGGCCAGCATGGCGAAACCCCGTCTCTACTAAAAATATAAAAATTAGCCGGGCGTGGTGGCGGGCGCCTGTAATCCCAGCTACTCTGGAGGCTGAGGCAGGAGAATCACTTGAACCCAGGAGGCAGAGATTGCAGTGAGCCGAGATTGCGCCACTGCATTCCAGCCTGGGCGACAGAGCGAGACTCTGTCTCACCAAAAAAAAAAAAAATCTATCTGAGCAGCCATCAAAGACACAGAATGGAATTCAAACAAAACCTTTCTACCTTTGGGAAGTCTCAGGTACAACTCAATAGAGACTTTGTAGAATTAATGAGCAAGGAATTTATGCTAAAAACAATGACTGTCAGTGATATTATTAGTCCAGCTGATCGACTCCCTTGCAGGATAATGACCAAGAGGGACACAAGGGGACTTTGGGGAAGCTGGTGATGTCTTGTTGCCTGTTCTAGGTGCTGCATATGTGAGTGTGTCAACTATGAAAATTATGAAGCAATAAATTATGTACATATTTCATTAAAAGTAGAGGCCAGGTGCAGTGGCTTATGCCTGTAATCCCAGCACTTTGGGAGGCCGAGGCAGGCAGATCACCTGAGGTCAGGAGTTCGAGACCAGACTGGACAACATGGTGAAACCCCATGTCTACTAAAAATACAAAAATTAGCTGGGCGTGGTGGTGAGTGCCTATAATACCAGCTACTCGGGAGGCTGAGGCAGGAGAATCGCATGAACCTGGGAGGCAGAGTTTGCAGTGAGTCGGGATCGCACCACTGTACTCCAGCCTGAGCGACAGAGCAAGACTCTGTCTCAAAAAAAAAAAAAGAAATAAAGAAATGTCAGCAGATCTCTATGAAGAAAAGGATGGCCCATGGAGAAAACCTGAATTGGGCCTGGGAAATCAAATAAAAGAAAAATTTCATATTGTATTGAGCAAAGAGATGAAACTATGATGGGGGTAAGGCAGAGAAGGGATGTGGAGAACTATCCAGGAGGCATCACATATATGTTTAGAAAAAGAACCAGTTTCCGAAGGGTCAAAAGAAACTGATGGGGGAAAGAAATAACATATCATACCATCTCTGATGAACAATTCTTTTACATGAACAGATATGTTTAAATTAAATTATAGTAATAACAGATTAGAACTAAATCACCAAATAAATCCATATCACATTGCTAGGGTTATGATTACGGACAGATTTCTGTAGGTGTTGAGAGACATACCACTGGATTAATTTTCTTAACCTTCTTTATTTGTTATAGTTCTTATCATATGCACATATATTTTTCCTATAGCATTCCATGTAATATCTTTGGTTGTCATGTTTTTGCCTCTTTTGTTCACTGATGTATCCTCAGCCTCTAAAATAGTGTCTGGAATATATAAGGCACACAACAAATATTTATTGGATGAATAAATGGGTTTCCCTGGAACAGTACTGTTGAATAGAAATGTACTGCAACCCCCAAATGCAATTTTTTTTTGAGATGGAGTCTCGCTCTGTCACCCAGGCTGGAGTATAGTGGTGTGATCTCAGCTCACTGCAACCTCTGCCTCCCAGGTTCAAGCGATTCTCCTGCCTCAGCCTCCTGAGTAGCTGGGATTACAGGCGCATGCCAGCACGCCCGGCTAATTTTTGTATTTTTAGTAGAGACGGAGTTTCACCATGTTGGTCAGGCTGGTCTCGAACTCCTGACCTCAAGATCCGCCCACCTCGGCCTCCCAAAGTGCTGGGATTACAGGCGTGACCAAATGCAATTTTTAATTTCATAGCAGCCACATTTTTTAAAAACAGCAAAGAGAGGCAGATGAAATGGCTTTTAGTAATGTATTTCATTTAACTCACAATATCATTTAGGCATGTAACCAACACAAAAAATAATTGCTATTTATGTGCTTCCCTTCATATTGTCTTCCAAATCTGTGTATGTGTATTAATATGTGTATTAAAACTTAAATACTTAAGTTTTAGAGTACATCTCAACTCACATACTCAATAGCCACATGCTATTGCCGGCCATTCAAGCCTATAGCTGGCCAGTGGTTATAGAGTTGAACTGTGCTGCTCTTGAAATAGGGCAGGGAAGTTCTCAGTGCAACAATAGATATTTAGAGTTTGATTATGGTTTGAAGTGAAGAAGAGGTTTCTCCTCTCTTCTTCCCTTATCCTACCCTGAATAGGGAAGAAGCAGACAGACCACTTTTCATTCAATGGGTCAACAAAATTTCAAGAGGTACCTACAACAGGCCTCACCTTGTGCTTTTTTTTTTTTTTTTTGAGATGGAGTCTCGCTCTGTCGCCCAGGCTGGAGTGCAGTGGTGCGATCTCGGCTCACTGAAGCTCCACCTCCCAGGTTCAGCCATTCTCCCACCTCAGCCTCCCGAGTAGCTGGGACTACAGGCACCTGCCACCGTGCCCGGCTAATTGTTTGTATTGTTAGTAGAGACGGGGTTTCACCGTGTTAGCCAGGATGGTCTCGATCTCCTGCCCTCGTGATCCGCCCACCTCGGCCTCCCAAAGTCCTGGGATTACAGGTGTGAGCCACCGCACCCGGCCCTCCTTGTGCTTTTAACTAATTTATGATTAAACAGAAATGGTCCTGCCCATGATATAGAGTACACAATTTACAGAGAAGCAGATCATAAATAAATAGACATGTGACCACAACAGAGGGAAAGAAGAGGGTACAGTGATCAAGAACAATGGGAGAACTGGAGGGCACGGTGGCTCACACCTGTAATCTCAGCACTTTGGGAGGCTGAGGTGGGCAGATCATTTGAGGTCAGGAGTTTGAGACCAGCCTGGCCAACATGGTGAAACCCCATTTCTACTAAAAATACAAGAATTAGTGGGGTGTGGTGGCGCATGCCTGTAGTCTCAGCTACTCGGGACGCTGAGGCAGGAGAATCGCTTGAACCCGGTAGGCAGAGGTTGCAGTGAGCTGCGACTGTGGCACTGCACTCCAGCCTGGGCGACAGGGCAAGACCCCTTCTCAAAAATAAATAAATAAAGGGAGGGATGGACCAGACTAGAGGGCCTACTAAAGGCTTTCGGAAGCAGAAATCTTTAGGCAAAGACTAGAAAGAGACTAGAAAGATGAGCAGGAGCCAGTCTTGCAAGGGAAACACAAAGGGTAAGAGCCCAGAAGCAGGAATTCTTGGAGTATTTGAGGGATGAAAATTCAGGACAGAAGTGCTGGAACATAATGAGTGAGAAGAGAGTGATAGGAGATGGATAACTGAGATGTTCTAGGGTCACAAGAAGTCATGGCTTCAGCTGGGCACAGTGGCTCACACCTGTAATCTCAGCACTTTGGGAGGCTGAGGCGGGTGGATCACCTGAGGTCAGGAGTTCAAGACCAGCCTGACCAATATGGTGAAACCGTGTCTCTACTAAAAATACGAAAATTAGCCGGGCATGGTGGCGTGCGCCTATAGTCCCAGCTACTCAGGAGGCTGAGACAGGAGAATTGTTTGAACCTGGGAGACGGAGGTTGCAGTGAGCTGAGATCACGCCCACTGCACTCCAGCCTGGGGGACACAGCAAGACTCCGTCTCAAAAAAAAAAAAAAAAAAAGCCATGGCCTCTAGGCCATAGTAAATTATTTGATTCATGTTCTAAGTGTAACGTGAATCCATTAAAGAATCTTTGGCCAAAGTGTGATGTAGTAATGTATTTTTTAAGTGTATTAGAATTAAAAAATTTTAATTTTTTTTCTTTCCAACATTTATTTTATTTATTGATTTATTTAAGACAGAGTTTCGTTCTGTTGCCTGGAGTGCAGTGGCAAAATCTTGGCTCACTGCAACCTCTGCCTCCTGGGTTCAAGCAATTCTCATGCCTCCACCTCCCAAGTAGCTGGGATTACAGGCATGTGCCATCACATCCAGCTAATTTTTTGTATTTTTAGTACAGATGGGGTTTCACCATATTGGCCAGGCTGGTCTCGAACTCCTGGCCTCAAGTGATCTGCTTGCCTCGGCCTCCCAAAGTGCTGAGATTATAGGCATGAGCCACCATGCCCAGCCCCATCATTTATTTTAGGTTCAAGAAGTACATGTGCAGATTTGTTGTATGGGCCAATTGCATGTAATGGGGGTATTACTTATTTTGCAAAAAATCTCCCTGTTCCTAGATTTTAAAAATAGGTGGTAAATGAAAAACAATGGAACCAGTGAGATAAGCTTGAAGACTTTATCCATATTTCTAGCAAAAATGGCAGTGGATGGCACTAAAGCTGGCAGTGAAGCTGAACGGAGTAAAACTGGTTCAAGTTATGCTATGAAAATGAAAAGAATCAAAATTGATGAGATGCTGGATGTGGGAAAGAAAAGAAATCGAGGCCGAGGGGGGCAGATCACTTGAGGTCAAGAGTTCAAGACCAGCCTGGCAAACACGGTGAACCCTGTCTCTACTAAAAAATAAATACATAAATAAAATAAAAAAATACAAATAGCTGGGCGTGGTGGCAGACACCATAATCCCGGTGAGGCATGAGAATCACTTCACTTGAACCTGGGAGGCAGAGGTTGCAGTGAGCTGAGATTGCACCACTGCACTCCAGCCTGGTGACACAGCAAGACTCCGTCTCAAAAAAAAAAAAAAAGAAAGAAAAGAAAATAAGTGGAGGAATTAAAGATGAACACTAGAGTATGGCTTGAATGACTCAATGAAATTTAGTCTCTACCCTGAATGGGGAAGAGAGTTGAATAAATCGCTTAAAGGGAGAAAGTTGAGTCAATATATACAATTAGATATGCCAAATAAACACTCATATGGAGAGGGGAGGTTGGCGGTTCCAAGTTGGAGCTCTGGAGAATGTTCAGGACTGGAGATATAGACTGAGAAATCCTCTGCTTGTGGGGAATTCAGTTACGAGACGAAGAATTCATCAAGTCCGTCAGTGAAGACAGAAAAGAGAAAGGAGAGTCCAAGATTCAGCCCTGGAAACTCAATATTCAGAGAAGGTTTCAGAGCAAGAACCTGCAGAGGCGATTTGAGGAGAGACTCAGAAAAGTCACGGAGATGCCAGGAGCAGTGGTCCATGCTTGTAATCCCAACACTTTGGGAGGCCAAGGCGGGCAGATCACAAGGTCAGGAGTTCAAGACCAGCCTGTCCAACACTGTGAAACCCCATCTCTATTAAAAATACAAGAATTAGCCAGGTGTGGTGGTGTGTGCCTGTAATCCCAACTACTCAGGAGACTGAGGCAGGAGAATCACTTGAACCCAGGAAGCAGAGGTTGCAGTGGGCCGAGATCACACCACTGCACTCCAGCCTGGGTGAGAGGGCTAGACTCCATCACAAAAAAAAAAAAAAGGAAAGAAAAGAAAAGTCACAGGGAAATTGGGATAATATGGTGTCGCAGGATCATATAGAGCAGAGATCCCCAACACCCGGGCCGCAGACCAGTACCAGTGTGTGAGCTGTTAGGAATCGGGCTGCACAGCAGGAGAGGAGCAGTGAGGGAGCAAACCTTCATCTGTATTTACAGCCACTCCCCATCACTCACATTACCGCCTGAGCTCCTCCTGTCAGATCAGCAGTGGCATCAGATTCTCATACGAGCGTGAACCCTGCTGTGAACTGCCCATGCAAGGGATCTAGGTTGCACGCCCTTTATGAGAATCTAATGCCTGATGATCTGTAAGTGTCTCCCATTACCCCCAGATGGAACCATCTAGCTGCAGAAAAAGAAGCTCAGGGCTCCCACTGATTTTACATTATGGTGAGTTGTGTAATTATTTCATCATATATTACAATGTAATAATAATCGAAATAAAGTGCACAATAACTTTAATGTGCTTGAATCATCCCAAAACCATTCACCACCCTGGTCTGTGGAAAAATGGTCTTCTGCAAAACTACTTCCTGGTGCCTAAAAGGTTGGGAACTGCTGTTATAGAAGAGTGTTTCCAAGGAAGAGCGTGGTCAGTGGAATAGCATTCCACTGAGACCCCAGGTAAGAATGAGTTGACACAAAGTCACTGACTGGGTGACGCTAAACAGAGCCATTCTAAGGAAGGGTGGCAAGGTCATCCACACAGAGAGATCTGGGAACAGAGTGAGAACTGAGGAATATGGAGACTTCGGGTACATGGAGCTGTTGATCCATTCATTGAGAAGCATAAGGGAAAAATTGGAAGTATGACTGCAGGAGGGAGAGCAGTCAAGGACAGCATTTCCAATGTGGGGGCCATTCTAGATTTTGGCGGGTGGAAGGGAGTGATGCCCTAGGGTAGGAGAGATTGACGGTGGAGGGGAAAGAGGATGCCTCGGGTGTGGCTCCCACATAAGGGAAGAGGGAAAGGGACCCAAGACTCATGTTAAGTAGTGTCCTTGTGTACGAAGAGGGAGGCGGCCGGGCGCGGTGGCTCATGCCTGTAATCCCAGAACTTCGGGAGGCTGAGGTGGGTGCATCACTTTAGGTCAGGAGTTCAAGGCTAGCCTGGCCAACATGGTGAAACCTCACCTCTACTGAAAATACAAAAATTACCAGGACGTGGTGGCACACATCCGTAATCCCAGCTACTCGGGAGGCTGAGGCAGGAGAATCGCTTGAACCCGGGAGGCGGAGGTTTCAGTGAGCCGCAATTGCCACTGCATTCTAGCCTGGGCAACAGAACAAGACTCTGTCTCAAAAAAGAAAAAAAGAAAAGAAAAGAAAAAGAACAAGGAGGCTTCTTGGGTTTCAGAGGAAAGAAATAGGTGAAGACGGGCCAGAAACAGGCTCACAGAGCTGACAGTGAAACAATGAGGTTTTTCCATCCCATTTTGTTTCTAGTATATCAATAAGGTATGAAGCAAGTAAGCATATGAGATTTGGGAATGATGAAAGAAGAGGCACTAAGTGAAGGATAGGAAAAGGGTGGGCTCAGAATGAAAACAGAAGTTATGCAAGAATTCACTGGAATGTATGTATTTCTGGCCCACTCTAGGAATAGTCATCTTTATCATTCAGATTAAAATGTTTTCTCCTGTATTTAAGTACCCACAGTTACTCACCACCCTAAGTCCTGACAGGCAGGCACCTGCCTCTCATTCTTGGGATGTTGGAGCATTAGACGGGGGGACGATACAATTTAATGTAATCTTTCTGGCATAATCGCCCCACCTAGGCTGGAAGGACAGAAGTGGGACTTTATCCAGGTGCACAGCAGCTACAGCAACCAGCACGTCTGCTTCATCACTAACTCAGAAGAGAGTGTGGGAATATGAGCCTTTAATAAGTGCATTAGAGGGAGATGCTACTGAACAGGAGGAGGGTTACTCCAGAGATGTGAGTGTGCCTGTCAGTGTAATTCACATATTATCCATTTAAAATTTGGTGAGAGGCCAGGGGTGGTGGCTCACGCCTGTAATCCCAACACTTCGGGAGGCCAAGGCAGGTGGATCACCTGAGGTCAGGAGTTCAAAACCAGCCTGGCCAACATGGTGAAACCCCGTCTCTACTACAAATACAAAAATTAGCCAGGCATAGTGGCGGGCACCTGCAATCCCAGCTACTCAAGAGGCTGAGGCAGGAGAATCGCTTGAACCCGAGAAGTGGATGTTGCAGTGAGCCAAGATTGCGCCAGTTCACTCCAGCCTGGGTGACAGAGTAAGACTCTGTCTCTAAAAAAAGAAAAAAACAACCTGGTGAAAAAATCTCTGCATCTTCTCTGTCAGCTGGTCCCCCAAAATCACTAACTTTCTCCTTCTTGAGAGCCAGAAAAGGGAATTTCCTTTTTCAGTAGCACTGAATCACTACTGAAGATGGTTAGGGAAGCACATAGCTCCAGAGTCAGCACCTTGGATGAACCTCAGGAAGGGTGACTCCTGCTTCTGTCCATGAAAACCATGCCTTGCCCTTTCTGTTCCACGAGGAACTGGAGGGGCCAAGGGGATAACCTGGAAATATAATCGTCATCTTCTCTGGTCTCCTAAATCACTCAGCTTACCTTTGTTAGCAAGGCGTCGCTGGGGACAAGGTACAAGTGGAACTTAATATCTTCGGGGTGGGGGTGATAATAGATCAATGTGTTGGAAGTGATGGGGATGGAGAGGCGAGTCCCACTGGCGATCCGCAGCAGGATGCCCATCAGAGAGAAGCTGGGGCTTTCCAGGACAGCATAGAAAGGCTCCACCCGGGCTGGATGCTCCAGGACCATCCCTTCATTCTTAAAATGGGCAACGAGAAACCAGGAGACGTCCACCTCACCTGCTGCAGGAGAACCACAACAGCAGTGAGACGGCACGCACCCCAGCGGCCCCCACAGCCTCCGCTCACCCCACATTACCTTGGAGGGAGATGAAGTGGGGGAGGTGGATTTCGGCGACAGCCTCCTCTGGCTCTGCAGTGACATCAAACAAGGGGCCGCCCACCAGCCACTGTTCATGGTGCTGCAGGTCCAGGGCCAGGTGCTGACTCCAGGAACCAAACGCAATCGTCACTGTGACCTCATCCCTTACCAGGAAGCCGAGGCCTGTGGCTGACCACAGATACCAGCCAGCAGTGGGGAACCAAACGCTGAAAGGAGCCAGAGTGATGTCATGACGGGAGAACCCCAGGACTTGGATTTAAGCAGCGATGTGCAGAGGGAGGTGGGATTTGAAGTGAGGCAAGGTTCAGGACCCATCTGCGACTTTCACTACATTAGAAAACGCTGGGGAGTTCATTAACCTCTCTGGGCCCCAATTTCTCTGCATTCTATATATGTTGAAATTAAAATACCAACTTCACAGTGCATGAAATAAACATATTATTGATGAAATTTTAGCTATCATAAGGGATGGAACCGATACGCTTCCTTTTGTATTTATATTTTTATTTATTTATTTATTTTGAGACAAAGTCTCGCTCTGTCTCCTAGGCTGCAGTGCAGTGGCGAGATCTCATCTCACTGCAACCTCTGCCCCCTGGGTTCAAGAGATTCTCCTTTCTCAGCCTCCTGATTAGCTGGGACTACACGCGGGTGCCACCACGCCTGACTAATTTTTGTATTTTTAGTAGAGACAGGGTTTCGTCATGTTGGCCAGGCTGGTCTCGAACTCCTGACCTTGTGATCCGCCCTCCTCCACCTCCCAAAGTGCCGAGATTACAGGCCTGAGCCACCACGCCTGGCCTACACACTTCCTTTATATCAGAGTGGTTTTCAAATCATCAGCATCTTCCATTCTTACCTGTATCTGTTTGTGCTCTTATCAATCAACTCAACATCCACATTTCCTTCAGGCCCCAGAAACTGACGATTTTTATAATCTTCTTCGATCTCAAAACAGACTTTAGAAGCATAAGAGGAAACTATTTGATTCTCTTCTGAGCAAATGTCTCCTGAAAAGAAAATACTAGACATGTAAGAGGTAAAGGGTTGGAAGAGGCATGGCCTGAAGGACTCCTGGAGGCTGAATTGCACAGGTGCTGTTGGGATACAGATATCGAATGAGAGCTGAGAGTGACCAGAATATGCAGTTTCGCTTCTTTGAATCCAGACAAAGAAAGGCACAAGAATGTTCCTTGTCATGACTAAACGTATACACCAAATTCCATAAGACTTTCTGGGAAGCCAGGCTGGACAGCTTTGGTGGGAGGCACCATTTGCTGAGGACTGGAACCAATGCACCTACATTTCTACTGGTCCGAAATAGCAGAAGACACTTTCTGCTGGTGAGGAAAGTCCAGGTCAGAAAAGTATCGAACTCCAAAGATGCAGAGGCGAAAGAGCGTGCATCCTTCCTAGGCCCTGCTGCTGTCCCCAGCCACCAGGACCACCCACTGACTCCCCTGAGCATTTCCATGCCCCAGCAGTGACAGGCTTACATGTCCCCATTTAAACTGCACAGTGCACTGTGGCAAAGGTAAGGGAAAGCACTCCTGATCTGCACAAAAGACTCTAAATTGTCTTCTTCACATAAAATCACAGAACATTTCCATCAATCCACACGCCCTTCACTCCTCTCCCTATTAGCCCATTACCTGAATCTTGTCCCTCTGAAGATTCCTGCTCTTCTGATACACTGGAGGTTGGGATCCCCATGTTACAAAAAGATGAAAAACATCAAGAATCAGTTGATGAAGATGAAGACGATGTTATTGAAAACTAGAGCTGCACTGTCCCGTAGAGTAGCCGCTACCCGGATATGCTATTTAAATTTGTATGAATTAAACTTAGGTAAACTTTAGTTTCTCAGTTGCACTATCCATATTTCAAGTGCTCAACAGCTACATATCACTCACGGCTATAACACTGTGTAGCAGAGAATGGAACACTCCCGTCATCACAGAAAGTTCTCTTAGACTGGGCGGATCTAGACTATCAAGAAATAGAAGACATTTTGAATGAAGATATTTTTATCCACATTTATAAATAATAGAGATAACACACTCCCTTGAGCCAAATGTGTCTTGACATCTCTCCTTCTTCTCTTTGTATTATGCCCACGTTCAATGTGGACACAGCCAGATTCTCTGGCTTAAATTGATTGCTCCGATTGGTATCATACGATGTCGGAATCAAAGACTGAAGCAGTAATTCACCAATGCGTAAAATGTATGCATTTATATTCCAAGGTAATTCCAAACTTGACCACACCTGGGAAGCTTTAAAAACCACCCAATACCAGGTCACAGCCCACATCAATTGAATCAGAAGTCTGGAGGTGGCACCAAAGCATCGGCGCTTTCAAAGCCTCACAGGTGATTCCAATATTAGCCAATATGGGTTCTATGACATACAGCGTGAGCCAATGGTTCGTCATGCCTCTGGAGAGAAACCTGCCCTAACACAGGTGATACCTTCTGGAGCAAGGCAACCAACTCCATCAAATTCTCTGCCTTTGATCCATTCCTTGAGATATCTGTTTATTTCGACGTGAAAGAGACCAGCAGAGAAACTGACACGTGGATTAGGTTTAAAAAGAACAGGTACCTAGAGAAGTGGGATGAAGAGAAAGGCTTTACAGCGCTTTTCTCGGAAGGATTCTGTGGGCAAGCCAAGCATGGAGAGACCCCTGGGCTGACATCCTAAGACTGGTTGCTGTCTGCGGCTACACATTTTGCTATGGATTCGGGTAGCTACAGGCAAAGCAGCAAGAGTAAACATGCCATTTTATATTCTCTTTCCTGGTGCATGTGCATGCTGGAGTCTGCCTGCTGAGGAGGGGTTTAGAAAGTGGGAGGAACCCAGCGCTGAACTGCAGACAGCGCATCCCAGATCATGAGAGCTGACGGTTCCATTTTCAGGGCTTTTGCAACCAAGTTGTTCAACACAACCATTAGTCTAAATTAAATGATACAAGCTAACATTTAAATAAATCATATTAAAAACAAAAGTAATACATATTAAAACATACCAATTTCCAGTCATTTTTCTACACTTTTCAGCAGTCTATGCCCTTGAGGTTATTTATGTCTCTTGTATCTGTGTGGTGAAAGCAGGATGACAGACTTCTGCATGTGTTCTTTCAACTCCCTCATCAGGGGCTTCACGTTGGTAGTTTGAAATCTGCCATGATGGGGATATTCAACCCTTGGAAATTGGCATACCCTACAAATAGACGCATTCTCCCCTCCCCGGTGTTAAACCTCAGGACCCCACTGTGGCCTTCAGCCTCATCATCAGCCAGTTTCCTAGAGAATTAGGTTGGTTTTATGTATTGAGTAACAGCTTAACCAATAACCCACTGGTCTTCGATTGCATTGCTCATTGCCTTTTTGTGTATAGGTTCTCTAGACACCTCCATGGAAGAAAACCTCATTGCTTAAGGTTTGTTTCAAAAATTTCTGGATTCATTGCTAGTATTGCATAAGCTCATTCATTCTCCCCTGAGTTCGATGAAAAACACCCAAATTCCTCTAATTCTCATGTTCCTCTGTGATATTGAGACACAGCGTCCAATAGTTTTCCAACGGAATAGCTTTTCTTACCTGGGAATGTCCCCCCCAGATAGTTGACACTCAGGAACAGCACGGAACAATAATGGCTCTGCCTCTGTCTCATCATCTTCTTGGAAAAAATGTGAGATGTCACAAAGGGTCTCAGAAACACAGGGTAGCTCCCTGTATACCCTGGAAAACAACAACAGAATTTTTACTATGAATATAAGGTAGGTGCCTGATGATAGCATAGGCTGTGCAGGAAGATTTTATGTTAATAGCCATAGACTCAATATTTTATCTTAGGGAAGTCATTCCTCAGGCCCCTACGACTCCATCTCACCTCTCAGACTCCCATGACTCTTTCTTACATCTCATTATGTTAAATTTAACTGGCTCTCTGTTTCCCACTATATGCTGCTCTTTCCATCCTAGGAAGCAGACGTCAGTCAGTTCTCAACATCTAGCATTTGCCACAAACATTGGTTTCATAATAGGTCAACAAGTATGTTGACCTATATAACCTTGCTAAGAATTTTAGGGAAAGGATGAGATTCCTAATTTGTAGTCTCCCTTCATCCATAATTGGTGCCCGAGAGAATAGGACCCTAAAATGATTGGGATTGCAGGGCATTAGTGAGATTGGGCATGTTTTATAAGAACCCATGGAACAGTTATCTCCTCTTCTCCCTTCTGCCTGCAAATGGTGAGAGGGGTTGCATAAAGCAACAAAAATGCTCACAGAAAAAGAAAATTATGGATATTGTACACACTTTCTTTTCCCATCAAGGATCCTTATTCAGATATGGAACATGAGAGTCCTATGCTAGATCCTTTTCTCTTCTTCATTTTTGAAGGCTTGGTGCTGTCCTCCTATGGCTGGCAGGAATCAAGATTGAGGTTAGGAGTGATGGAGTGTCCTTTATGCCAAGATATTCAATGGCCAATATGACAGCCACTAGCCACACCTGCCTATTTACATTTAGTTTTAAATTGTTAAATGTGAAAATCAGTTCCTCCTTTGAAGTAGCCATATTTCAAGTGCTCAAAAGCCACACGTGGCTCTTGCCTGCCACCATGTAAGACATGCCTTTGCTCCTCCTTTGACTTCTGCCATGATGGTGAGGCCTCCCCAGCCACGTGAAACTAAAAGAATTTTTCTGGGTAATGGACATAGGCATAGGACGTCTGGCAACAAAATCTGCTTTGAAGAGGACTCCAGGGAATAGAGATGAGGTCTCAGGCTGGTCTTGAATTCCCGGCCCCAAGAAATCCTTCCACCTTGGCATCCCAAAGCACTGGGATTACAGTCATGAGCCACCGCACCCAGCCTGAGCATTACTGTTTGATAGATATTCCCAAATCACTCTCCACAAAAGGTTACAACAGTGAACACTTCCATCAGCTGAATATCTGTGAAAGCAATTGTTGAGAGATTTTGAAGTAAGTTCAAAACCAAACTGTAGAAAAAAATCATTGACAAAAAAGGAAAGCAAAAAAAAAGAAAGAAAATAACTGAGGAATTATTACTGAAGACAACTTTTGTCTAAAAAAAAAAAAGAACATTTGTTTGCAATGTAAAATCGGGTTTCAGCTGGAAAATTAAGCCTGTTAAAAACATCAACAACAAGAGCAAAAATCCTGAATATTTTTTCAGCAATTCTGATTAAAGTATGTATGTTAAAAAAAGAAAAAGCCATGTGAGGCCAGTGGCTTTCACACTGGACACCACAGACAGGGAACATTTCCATCCTGGGTGAGAACTCTATTGGACAGCATTGACTTTAGAACCTCTGCTGTAGTCCAGTTGACCAGAGGGTCCTGCCTTGGGCTATCTGCCATTGGTTTCATTTCTATTTTTATTTTTATTTTTTAAATTGAGACAGAGTCTGGCTCTGTTGCCCAGGCTGGAGTGCAGTGGCATGATCTTGGCTCACTGCAACCTCTGCCTCCCGGGTTCAAGCTATTCTCCTGCCTCAGCGTCCCCAATAGCTGGGATTACAGGCATGCACCAGCACACCCGGTTAATTTTTTATATTTTTGGTAGAGACAGGGTTTCATCATGTTGGCCAGGCTGGTCTCCAACTCCTGACCTCAAGTGAACCACCCGCCCTGGCCTCCCAAAGTCCTGGGATTACACCTGTGAGCCACCGCACCCAGTCTGGGATAGGTTTTATTAAACAAAGTAGTTCTTTAAGCTCTACCATCCATGGTCCCCGGCGTGCAGCACTGCTTTTAAAATATCCCATGTTAAATGGGTGCATGGACCAAGCAAGACTGAGGAATTCCTGTCCTCATTAGCAGTGCTTTTCAGCCTGTGAAATATCACCCTGAAATAAAATCTATACCTGAGTTAACAGTACTGTATCAACATCAGTTTCCTGGTATTAGCAATGACTGTTTGTATTGGGTCATTCTGGTTTTTTTGTTTTTTGTTTTTTTGATGGAGTTTTGCTCTTGTTGCCCAGGCTAGAGTGCAATGGCGTGATCTTGGCTCACTGCAACCTCTGCCTCCCGAGTTCAAGCAATTATCCTGCCTCAAGCCTCCTGAGTAGCTGGGATTACAGGCATGCGCCACCAAGCCCGGCTAATTCTGTATTTTTAGTAGAGATGGGGGTTCCTCCATGTTGGTCAGGCTGGTTTCAAACTCCCGACATCAGGTGGTCCGCCCCTCTCAGCCTCCCAAAGTGCTGGGATTACAGGAGTGAGACACCGCGCCTGGCCTGTATTGGGTCATTCTTGCATTGCTATAGAGGACTGTCTGAGACTAGGCAATTTACAAAGAAAAGAGGTTTAATTGGCTCATGGTGCTGCAGGATGTACATCATGGGACCAGCTTCTGCTTGGTTTCTGGGAGGCCTCAGGGACGTTTAACTCATGGTGGAAGGTGAAGTGGAACAGGCCTGTCATATGATGTCAGCAGGAGCAAGACAGTGAAGGGGGAGGTGCCACACACTTTTAAAGAACCAGATCTTGCATGAACTCAGAGTAAGAAGCCACTTATCACCAAAGGAATGGTGCTAAACCATTTATGAGGGATATGCCCCCTTGATCCATTCACCTCCCTCCAGGCCCCACCTCCAACACTCCATCACATTTCAGCATGAGATTTGGAAGGGACAAACATCCAAATCATATCGCTATTGTTACAGGAAGTATTATCGGCTGGGTGCAGCGACTCACGCCTGTAATCCCAGCACTTTGGGAGGCTGAGGCAGGAGGATCACTTGAGGTCAGGAGTTTGAGACCAGCCTGGCCAACATGGTGAAACCCCGTATCTACTAAAAATACAAAAATTAGCCAGGTGTGGTAGTGGGCACCTGTAATTCCAGCTACTTGGGAGGCTGAGGCAAAAGAATCGCTTGAACCCCAGAAGCAGAGGTTGTAGTGAGCCAAGATCGTGCCACTGCACTCCAGCCTGGGCAACAGAGCAAGACTTCGTCTCAAAAAAAAAAGAAAAAAAGTATTATCGTGAGGGGAAACTTGGTGAAGGCTACATGGGAACTCTGCCCTTCTCTCCCAACTACTTTATCATTAATATTGTTATTATTTTTTTTGAGACAAAGCCTCACTCTGTCTCCCAGGCTGGAGTGCAGTTGCACGATCTCGGCTCACTGCAACCTCCGCCTCCCAGGTTTGAGCAATTCTCCTGCCTCAGCCTCCTGAGTAGCTGGGATTACAGGTGTGGGCCACTATGCCCAGCTGATTTTTGTATTTTTAGTAGAGATGGGGTTTCACCATGTAGGCCAGGCTGGTCTCAAACTTTTGACCTCAGGCGATCCACCTGCCCTCGCCTCCCAGTGTGCTGAGATTACAGGTGTGAGCCACTGGGCTCAGACCTTTTTTCCCTACTTCTTATGAGATACAAACTCTTTTGAAATAAAAACTTAAGATAACAAAGAAGAAAAGTAACATATATACTAATTTTTATGCAAATAACCTGCATGTCTTTGCTTCTTATGAATGTACATAAACCAATGGAGCAAAATTCCAAATCTTTAATTTTTTCCCAACAAATAGATGTCCCTTACGTATCATTTGTCACACAGGCCTCAGCCTGAAAAAAAATTCCAGTTTTTGTGTATTGCAGTTCCCGTATGCTATTGTCAACCAACAGTTTCCGTGATCCTTGTAGTCTAATGAGTTTGGATGCATCTATGTTCCTACTGGATCCACTGTCCCTGGGAAAACACAAATGGAATTGGAATGTGAGCATGTCAGAGGAGCTCGATGGTGGGACAATCTCCTCACTGTGATGTAGCGAAAGTAGCCCGATCCTTAGAGATATCCATCCTTAGACATGCCCATCCATAGAGATGCCATCCTTAGAGATATCCATCCTTAGACATGCCCATCCATAGAGATGCCATCCTTAGAGACATCCATCCTTAGACATGCCCATCCATAGAGATGCCATCCTTAGAGATACTATCCTTAGAGATGCCATCCTCAGAGATGTCTTAGAGATGCCCATTCTTAGAGACACCTTCTTCGATGCCCATGCTAGAATAAAATACCATTCCTCCACATTTTTATTGAACTAACTGCATTGCTGTTACCACTTCGTAGACAATGATCTTATCTCAGGAGGCATGCCTCCTTTGATTCTCAATCCCTGATGTTCATCACGGTCTGTCACACTTGGTGATGCTCGCTACTGGCTTCTGAAAGGATACTGTGTTTTTGTAAACTATAGGAGCATAACAAGGGCCCCACTCTTCTATCCTTCGTTGGTCCTAAACAGGAGGGAATGTTAACCAGATGAAGTTGTTTGCACAACACTGAATGGACTGAGCTTATTTGAAGGTAGGATCTCTTTATTTAGTGTGAGCGTGTCAGGGATGATGGACACTAGAGTGATCTGCATTCACTGCCTTTCACAGACATCACTCAGCAGTGACAGACCTGTCAAAGTTGTTGCTTAACCTCTCTGAGTATCAGCTTTCTAATTTGTAAAATAAGGATACAGTACTCTCGTCACAAATCCTTGTGGTGATTAATCATAGAAGGCTAAAATTACTTAGCGCAAGAGTTGGAAACACTGGGTTCCCAAAGCAAACAATTCGTCCTAGTCCGTGGTCTTTTATGCATGCCAGATCATCTGTCTCAGTCATTTCAGACTTTTTTTTTTTTTTTTTTTTGAGACAGAGTTTCACTGTTGTCGCCCAGGCTGGAGTGCAATGGAGCGATCTTGGCTCACTGCAACCTCCACCTCCCAGGTTCAAGCGATTCTCGTGCCTCAGCCTCCCGAGTAGCTGGGATTACAAGTGCCCGCCACCATGCCCAGCTAATTTTTATATTTGTAGTAGAGATGGGGTTTCACCATGTTGGCCAGACTGGTCTCGAACTCCTGACATCAGGTGATCTGCCCGCCTCCGCCTCCCAAAGTGCTCGGATTACAGGCGTGAGTCACCATGCCTGGCCAAGGTTGCTATTTTTAAAACCTATGGACTGAGAAGCTTGTGAACAATATAAATGTATTTGTCACAGCTCTGGATGCTGGAAAGCCCAGGATCAAGGTGCTGGTAGATCAGTGTCTGCTCCTGATTCATAGAGGGCAGACTTCTTGTTCTGTCCAAGCATGGGGAAAGAGAAAGGAGCTCTCCAGGGTTCCTTCATGAGGGAACTAATTCCATTCATGAGGGCGCTACCTTTATCACCTGACACCTCTCAAAGGCCCCATCTCCTAACAACATCACATTGGAAGTTAGGATTTCAACATATTAATATTGGAAGAACACAAACATTCATTCTGCAGCAGTGTCTGAATTGCATACATGAAATATTTGGTCAGATTAATTTGTTTTGAGTTCCAAGACAATGTAAAACAGTGCATTCATTTTCTACAAATGAGACATAAACCTGGTGCTGATGAGGAGCCACTGAAACACACAGAGGGAGGGCTTAGTGAGTCAGGCTGCTTGGTTCTGCTCTGATCTGGGCGCCATGCTATGGGATTGTCAAGAGCGTGGTCAAGGCCATAGGCCCATGCATCAAGGAAAGAGCTGGAAGAACAGCCCTAGACTCGCTTTTGCTCAGGTATGAAGTTGCCATGGTCAGAATCAAGGAAGGAGAGAGAAGGTCTAAAAAGGTCAGAAACAGGGAAGGAGAGAGAAGGTCTAAAAAGTACACCTGGGCCAGGCGCAGTGGCTCACTCCTGTAATCCCAGCACTTTGGGAGGCCGAGGTGGGTGGATCACCTGAGGTCAGGAGGTCCAGACCAGCCTGGTCAACATGATGAAACCCCGTCTCTACTAAAAATACAAAAAGTAGCCAGGCGTGGTGGTGCATGCCTGTAATCCCAGCTACTTGGGAGGCTGAGGCAGAAGAATCGCTTGAACCCAGGAGGCAGAGGTTGTAGTGAGCTGAGATGGTACCAGCGCACTCTGGCCTGGGCAACAAAACAAGACTCTGTGTCAAAAAAAAAAAAAAAGTACACCTGGGTGCCCATGGGAGTTTTCCCTTCATTCATGCAGAGATGGGTGAATGAATAAAATGTGAGCAGAACCTTTCTTCCAGAAAACATCCATGGTCCTCTGTATCTCATGAACTATAACGAAACACAGAAGAATCAGCCATCAGGAGCCCTCACAGAGCGCAAAGTCACTCACCGTCTCGGCAGCTCTTCCTCACTGCTGCTACTCTTTTCTGGACACTCCTTTTTTTCCATTTGTCAAATGTGGTATTTATGTCTTTACTGTATCTTTTTTACCCTGAAAAAATAAAAGGAGGTTGTATTTAGGTACTTGGGAAGAACCATCAGATAAATCTTAGCTTCTGTGTCTCTCAAAGGTTGACAAAAGCGCTTATTGCTCATTCACAAGAGATGCATCAGTGGAATTGCTCCTAGTAGTGGTAGGTACTTGGGACAGAGGCCGAAACAGGAGAGTTGTAAAACAGAAACTAGAAACTTCCTTTTTTTTTAGATGGAGTCTAGCTCTGTCACCCAGGCTGGAGTGCAATGGCGAGATCTTGACTCACAGCAACCTCCACCTCCCGGGTTCAAGCGATTCTCCTGCCTCAGCCTCCTGAGTAGCTGGGATTACAGGCATGCGCCACCATACCCGGCTAATTTTTCTATTTTTAGTATAGACAGGGTTTCTCCATGTTGGTCAGGCTGGTCTCAAACTCCCAACCTCAGGTGATCGGCCCGTCTCGGCCTCCCAAAGTGCCGGATTGCAGGCGTGAGCCACCGTGCCCTGCCGGATTTTTCAAATTCTTTTATTTTTGATGTGGCCCTGGGTCTGCAAGTTAAGTTATGCAGAACAGGAACTTCTAAAGATTCCAACCTGACAGAGGCAAAAGTGTGATTATTTTCCTTGCCTTCCATTCTTCTCTCGTACAACTCTAATCGTTTTTCTTGCCTAAATTGTCACCTTGATTTCTTTAAAATACTTGGGTTTAGGAACCGTTGTCTAATCCATTACCTTCACCGGCTCTGCTATGACATTTTTTAAAGATTAGATTTTTAAAATAATGGCTTTATGGATATATAGTTCACAAACCACACAATTCACCCACATAAGTCTACAATTCAATGTTGTATATATAGTAATGAAGTTGTACAACCACCACCACAATCAGTTTTAGGACAGCGTCATCACCTCAAAAAGAAACTCATTAAGCGGCACTCCCCATTCCCCACAGGCACGCACACCCAGCCACAGGCACCCACGCATCCACCTTCTGTCTCCATAGGTTGACTCATTCTGGACATTTGATTTAATAGGAGTTGTTATGGACCGAATGTATGTGTCCACCCTCAAGTTCATGTGTTGAAATCCTAACTCCAAATGTGATGATAGGAGGAGATGGGGCCTTCGGGAGGTGATGAGGTCATGAGGGTGGAATCCTCATGAATGGTCTCAACGCCCTTAGCAAAGAGACCCCAGAGACCTCGCTCCCGCTTTCTACCGTGGGAGGGCGCAGCAAGAAGTCAGCCGTCTATGAACAAGGAAGCAGGTCCTCTCCAGGCACTGAATGTACCAGTGCCTTGATCGTGGACTTCCCAGCCTCCAGAACTGTGAGAAATAAATTCTGTTGTTTAAGCCACATAGTCTATGATACTTTTGTTAAAGAAGCCCAAAGTGACTAAGACAGGCATCAAACAATATATTGTCCTTTGTGATGGATTCTTTCACTTCCCGTATGTTTTCAAGGTCCATCCATATTATACCGCATAACAGCACCTCCTTTGCTTTCATGGCTGAATAATATTCCACCGTATGGAGACATCACATATTCTCTTATCCATTCAGCAGACGATAGACATTTGGGTGAGTTCCACTTTGGGGCTGTTATGAAAAATGATACTGTGAATATTCAGGTACGAATTTCCATGTGGACAGATTATTTCCTTCTCTTGGGTACATACTTAGGAGTGGAGTTGCTGGGTCATATGGTAACTCTATGTTTACCCTTCAAGGAACTGCCAGACTGTTTTCCAAAGCGCCAATTTCCGTGCTCGCTTCGGCAGCACATATACCAAAGCGCCAATCTCCATTCCCACCAGCAGTGTAGGAGGGGGCCAGCTTCTCCATATCCTCACCTATAATTGTTATTATGGGCCTTTTGAAAATGGCCATTCTAGTACATGTAAAGTGATAAGTTATTGTGATTTTTGAAGATTAACTTTTATATAATAATAAAAATACATATTATTAATAGCATTTCAGAGACTCTGGATAACAGAAAAGATAATTAGTGAAATACAAATCATTAATTTGTAATTAGTCACCAGGCTGCTCCACCTCCCAGGTTCAAGCGATTTTCCTGCCTCAGCCTCCTGAGCAGCTGGGACTACATGCGTGAGCCATGACGCCTGGCTAATTTTTTTGTATTTTTAGTAGAGACGGGGTTTCACCGTGTTAGCCAGGATGGTCTCGATCTCCTGACCTGGTGATCCTCCCGCCTCAGCCTCTCAAAGTGCTGGGATTACAGACGTGAGCCATTGCCCCTGGCCCAGAGAAATAATCTAAAGATTTGAATTCCAAAACCCTATACAAATGTTTTATTTTACCACCACTGAATTTATCTGCAATAACTGAATGTCTATTTATATGCATAATAATCACTCACAGGTTCCAACTAAACAAATATTTCTATCCAATTTTCAATAAAAATATTAAAATCTGCATATTTAATTTATTCATGTTTAATTATTATGCTTCTCACAGCCTGCGAAAAATTTAATTTAGCTATCCTCTGAACTACAAGCTTTTCCTTTGTTATAACGAACACTTTTCTTTTACTTAAGTATCGTTATTCCAGAGTTAATATAGTATGCATTCAAATTACTTCTTATTTAGTATTATTTTACCTAGTACCATTATATATTTAATTTTTTCTCATGAAGCCAGGCACAGTGGTTTGTGCCTGTAGTCCCAGCTACTCAGGAGGCTGAAGTGACAGGATCCCTTGATCCCAGGAGATTAAGGTCGCAGTGAGCTATGATGGCGCCGCTGCATTCCAGTCTGGGCGACAAAGCAATACCTCATTTCAAGAAACGAAATGGAATTTTTTCCTTATAAGAATCTTAAAGAAGGTGTACATTATCTTGGCTAACTTTCTATAGGATTAAGTAGAAGTTATTGAGACTTGGTCTACAGTCTTCTTTTTTTCATGAGTCAAAAAGCATCTCTCACTTTAGTTACACCTGTATTAGGAGAGTTATGATCAATTACAGCAGTTGTAGTTTCTGAGAACTTGGATAAATACAAACCTGAATTACACAGAATTTATGTAAATCCAGATATTCAAAAATGAGAAATAATGTAATATATGACCAAAGTAATATCAAGACAACATACAATTAAATCACTCAACAATTACTGGGAATATGTATCAAGGCAAGAATTGTAAAATTCTACCTGGTACTTCTGAAATGAACAAGGCAATGAGAAATAACAGTTTATCTTGTCTATTACTGAGTATCAATGAAAGCAATAAGGTGAACGGAAAAGTCCATGAAAACTCCATTTTCAGAATAATGAGGAGACAGATTTAATTCACAGATCCAAATGTTTCTCACCGGCTGACAAAACTGTGTTAAGTCAGGGTGAAGCATGGCGGAGGAACAGGGAGGAAGTGCAGAGTGAGAAAACATAAAGAAGTCAGGAAGTGCCAGAGGAGTAATTTCCTGTGAGTAAAGCCTCATACTCGGTGATTTATCTATAGAGTTTGAATACAAGAGCTGTGAGGTCTGGGCAGGTAGAGTGGAGGCTGAGCAGGAGATAAATGTGGTAGAGGCGGTGTGGATCCTTGAAAACAGAGAAATGCCCTAATGTGACAGAGTACAGAAATACTACAAAAACACACTTGTAGAAAGAACATTCTGCATATAATCAGGCATGGAACGGTCCCATGCATTCCATAATAATTAAGAAAAAGATATTACCAGAGCATTGCTTAAAGGCACTACAAGAAAATAGGTGAGAAGACCAGGAAGTTGTTGTTTTTTGTTTTGTTTTGTTTTAGATAAAGAACAATCAAAGGAAAATGATGGACCCAAGTTAACAATCACTCTTGGGGGGAAAAAAACTCCACCCACAATTCCTAAGTAAAAAGGATTACACACATTCTCGGCATAATATGTCTCTCTCAGGCCAAAGGATAACCTTGTGCTTCATGTGGACACTATGAAATCATTCCAGCTGAAGTCAGGAAAATACCAAGACCTTCCCTATTTAAGTTAAAATATCGGAAGCTTATTCCAAAATATTGGACAAATTCCAAATACAGTGATTGAAAGGAAGGAGATTAAACTATAACTCACTACACGTTATTTTCCTCTATAGAGAAACATAACGAATCACCTGAAATAAGCTACAAAAGTAAGATAAACCAGTAAGTTAGAGAAAGAATCTTTTTTTTTCTTTGAGACGGGGCCTCCCTCTGTCGCTCAGGCTGTAGAGAAGTGGCACAATCTCGGCTCACTGCAACCTCTGCATCCTGGGTTCAAGTGATTCTCCTGCCTTAGCCTCCCAAGTAGCTGCGATTACAGACATGCACCACCATGCCTGGCTAATTTTTTTTGTATTTTTAGTAGAGATGGGGTTTCACCATGTTGGATAGGCTGGTCTCAAACTTCTGACCTCAGGTGATCCGCCCACCTCAGCCTCCCAAAGTGCTGGGATTACAGGTGTCAGCCACCGCACCAGCCAGAAGAATCTTAATATACAAAAGTGAATAGCTTCTTAATATAACAGACTATCCCAATTCCATGAAAGAAGAAAATACACTCATTAAAATAGCAACTATGGTACCTAGAACTAAACTATACAAAAAAACTACATGACCCATATAATGCTTTTATTTTGAAATAATTTTAAACATTGAAAAATAGCAAAGATTCACATAAATCCTCAACCAGCTTATCTGAATGTTAGCTATATATAATTGTATTATATATAAAATAATTGTTATATATAAAATAACTAATTTATTGTATTGTATATTGTATTATATATACATTTATTGTATTATATATAAATAATTGCATATCTACATTTAATATATTATATATAATATACAATTGTATATGCAATTGTAATATGATAATTACATATATAATAGTATATATAATACAATTATCCAACCAGGAAATTGATGTTAGCATATCATACCATTACTTAATGTGCAGACCTTATTTGAATTTTATCAACATTTGTCTGAATGTCCTCTTTGTTCTCCAAGATCTAATCGAGGATCTCACATTGCACTTACTTGTTATCCCTCCTTAGATTCCTCCAGTCTGTGACCGTTTCTTATTCTTCCCTTGTCTTTTGTGATTGTGACATTTTTGCGGAACATGGTCAACTATTTTACAGAATGTTTATCAATTTGGATTTCTTTGATGTTTTCTCACGATTAGGCTGAGGTCATGCATGTTTGTCTTCTGTGTTCAGTCAACATGCCCCGTCCTTTTTGGAATATTTCTTCATGTTCTGGAGTCACAATTTGTTCCAATGTTATCCTATATACTCCTGCCCCAGCCCTGGAAGTAACCACTTCTCCACGGATCCTTGGCTCCCTTGTATTCAAAAACAGTATTTAGAAACCAAGATCTGGAAACTATGTGTGTTTACAGCTACTAAGATATCTTTGTCCTAATCTCTCTCAGTGGAAAGACCTGGGGAATCCATGCATGTATACCGAACTGTGCCTACACATGCCTGTATTTACTTCTCGATAGATAGACTGACAAACAGATAGACAAATAGAGCAGAGCAAAGAGCTATTCTGATACATGAAATAGAAAATCAATAATAAAAAAAAACATTGCTCTAGAAATAGGTAGACAAAGGATATGAACATGAAATTCACAGAAATGGAAAAATAAATGGTTCCCAAGCACGTGCTGAATGAAAAAACACCATGCTGAATGAAGATTAAAGCTACTCTTGAATATTTTTTCTCCATGAATTTGGAAATCATGCGAAAGTCTGAAAACTCATCTACTGACAAGGCTGTGGGAAATCTGACATTCTGATATTGCTGATGGGAGTGTCACCTGCTATTCATTATATGGATGGCAACTTTATGGACATCTTTGAACGCATAAATGACATCCCATTTGGAATGGTAAATCAATTTTGAGGAATTGATATACTCCTATACAAATATACTTACCTATGTATGAACTCATGCTCACATGTTTACTCACTGTGGCACTCTTCATAAATACAATTGAGGCCAGGCGCTATGGCTCAAGCCTGTAATCACCACACCTTGAGAGGCCAAGCCGGGTAGATCACTTGAGGTCAGGAGTTCGAGACCAGCCTGGCCAACAAGGTGAAACCCCGTCTCTACGAAAAATACAAAAATTACCTGGGTGTGGTGGCATGGGCCTGTAATTTCAGCTACTCGGGAGGGTGAGGCAGGAGAATCGCTTGAACCAAGAAGTCATAGGTTGCAGTGAGCCAAAATGGTGCCACTGCACTCCAGCCTGGGTGACACAGCAAGACTCCATCTCAAAAATTAAAAGTAAAATAAAATAAACTAAAATTTGAAACAACTGAAATGTTTTTCAATAGGGGAATGAATAAAGACATCATGATACATCCGATGATGAAATAATATGCAATTTTAAAAGAATGTCAAAGTTCACTAAAAACTGATACTGAATTATCACTAAGATCTATTGTTAATGAAGAAAGGCATAGTAAACAACATGTAAACTTTCTACTCTTCAAGTAAAGAGTAAAAATTTGTATATGCATAAAGAAACTCTGGATATATATATATACAGTAACACCACAGTACATATTCAACTGTGTTTGGGGAGCAGACTATGTGAATTTATTACCCTTTATAAAGTAAACAAATGGTTTAAAAACCTCCACCTAAAATTTTCACACGCAAAATTTTATATATATATACTATACTTTCATGACACTATGTTATTGTATATATATATATATATATATACACACACACACAATGCTTCCATTTGTTTTGATGTCACACAAGCAAAATTAAATTACACTAAATTTTAAATTTTAACATTAAAATACACATGATTTTTACCATTTGTGATACACATTGTATCATATGTATTCTCAATTGAAATTTCAATTAAAATTCAGTTACCACTCATCAAATTTTACTATGACTATTTCAACTGAAAACATTTTCATATTGCATTTAAAAAGTTTTGACGGTTTACTTTTATTTTAGAAATCAAATTATTTCATGAAAACCAAATACTCTTCACCTTAAATTGTCTTTTTTACTCCCATGAAAATCTGTATTCATCTTCACAAGAAAAAAATGCAAAATTACATTCTTTAAAGTTCAAATACTAAAATTCTTGTATAGTATTTTATGTGACATTGGAAATTTTAAAAAACATGTAATAAAAATCCCAGTCACGCATGAAGTTATAGCCTTGCCTGCACGTATTGCCTGTAGCCCCAGCCACCCGGAGGCCGAGGTGGGAGGATCACTTGGGTCCAAATGGCTGAGACCAGTCTGTGCCACACAGCGAAGCCCTGTCATTTAAAAAAAATTCCTAAACTTCCAAAAATTGGAATAAAATTCATTATTCCTTGACATATTGAAGAAACAAACAACAGAGAAATGAATTAATGATATAAATAAGGAATCAAAAGGATAAAACACAAATGTCCTGAAAAGATGTTAAAATTCACTAGTAATCAGGGGAATGTGCATGACAACCACTATCAGTTATCATTCTCACCCACAATACTGATGGAAATAAGAAAAGCTGACAAAATCAAGTGTGAATATGAATGTGTAGCAATGGAAACTCGTAAACCAGTAGTGGAGATGACTGAAAACACAGCCGCTTTGGAGAATAAACTGGCTGTATCTAGACTTCAAGACACACCTACCCTTGAAATTATGTGTGGACAAGAAAATGCATATAAAAAGTCCATTGTATTATGGTTTGCTATCAGAAAACAGGGTAACAAACTGAATGTCCATCATCAAAGAATGGATACATTGATTATAATATCATCATTGCATTAATACTGTAGCGCAGTTAACATAAATTATTAAAACCACATGTAAACATGGATAAATATTTAAAATGTACTATTGGGCCGGGCACGGTGGCTCACGCCTGTAATCCCAACACTTTGGGAGGCCGAGGCGGGCGGATCACCTGAGATCAGGAGTTCGAAGCCAGACTGGCAACATAGTGAAACTCCGTCTCTACTAAAAATACAAAAATTAGTCGTGCGTGGTGGCGGGCGCCTGTCACCCCAGCTACTCGGGAGGCTGAGGCAGAAGAATCGCTTGAACCCGAGAGGTGGAGGTTGCAGTGAGCCGAGATCACACCACTGGACTCCAGCCTGGATGACAGAACGAGACTCCGTCTCAAAAAAAAAAAAAAGTAATATTGATTAAAAATCAAATTGCATGAGACTGCACAGCACGATACCAAGCAAATACAAGTTTTAAATATTACAGAAAATAATATTTAAAATACAAACCAAATACATAAATCATGCAGGGGGATTAAGACGTTTCTGGATAGTGGCAACAGCCGAGAGTGGCTGGATGAATTTCAGAGAAATTTCATATATTGCTTCAATTTTATTTAAAATATATTATTACCTATGTTTTAGATATTTTATTGTAAATAATGGGCAAGGATATTATAAACTCTGCAGAAGTAAGTGTAGTCGTGTTTTTTCCTACTCACATTGAAGATGGCCCAGATGCTTGCACTAACCGCGTTTACCGCCCACAGCCATCATGGCGACCGGAAGTCCTGAGAGCTTGTTTCCCTCGAATCTCAGACAGCCCTCCTTCTCTATGAACATTATTTCAAAAGAAGTTGAGAACTAGAGAAACCGAAGCTTAAGGGGATTCTCCCATTTGGCCTGTCCTCCCCTAAAGTCACCACCTGCTGCGTTTCTGCAGCGCTTACCATGTGAGTTTCAGGAGCCCCAGGGTGCAGGAAGGAGGAGCGGAGGCTTGTTGCTTGGACACTGCCAGGCTGCTCTGTGTTCTGTTCCTCTTGGTCACTTGAGAAGAAAGGGAGAAGTTCCTATGAGGCTGTCGGAAAGGGAAATGGGGCCCTCCGCTTGTTGAAAACAAAACAAAACCCTCAGGAAGCTTTGCATCCTGTTAGTCATAGCTTAAATTTATGACTTCAATGACTTGGCTGGGACAGTCTTAATCTCTCCATACTCAAGTTGTTTTAATTTCTGTAATAATAATTTTTATACCAATGTTTGTGTTGTTAATACTAATAATTTTACATTGTAACTGTAATCCTTTAATTATTACAAGTGTTAACCTAAATAACAAACATATGAAAGCTTCCTAAAGGAAACAGTGTTTATTTGGGAATAGAGCATTGCAATTGGGAATAGATATGCCATATTAAACTATGTATATATTCAGGAAGATAAAGGAAGACAGAAATGGGGAGGATTGCATATTGTTTTGACAGGATTTTCCTTGGCCACAGGATCAGGCACAAAGGTGACATTAGTCTGAGGTTGGACAGGCAGTTGCTGGGCAGCATTCCTTGCAGAAATATTTTTTGTTTAAGGTTGCAATGACCTTTATGCAAGGTTGTGGGTTTTGTAGAGTCTTTTTCATTTTCAAGCATACAAGGATAAGACCCCCCCTCTTCATGGCTTTCCTGGCTTTATTTGTCAGGGTCATCTTAACATTAGTGGCTCCATTTTGTTCTGACAACTTTCAGATTTCTCCTTGTGATCAAGAACTTTCTCTAAAAGCATTATTGATCAATCATTCTGTAATTAAGATTTGATGTCCCCTGATGCCAGCATGGACCTCTCCCAGTTTGCTGGTCTCATCCCATGTTGTGGGGAGTGACTGGTGACTAGGAATCGATGTCAAAAGCACATTTGAGCAACAAAAGAGATTTGAAGGATGTGGCTCTCAGGCTAAGTCTCCCTGGAGTCCATTAGTAAGTTCAATTTTGTCTGTTCTACAGTCTTTTGCTATCCCTTTAAAGTGCTGATTCAGTATTATTTTGTTAGGAGCTGCACCTCTGAAAAAATTTAACAAGTAACACATACAAAGTTTAAAAAGGAGAAATACAAAGTAAGGGGAAATACAAATTAAGAGCAATATGAGATTTTCAGTTTGCATATGGTTTTGAGCCATAAACCTAGGTTTAAAGACAACTAATTGAAGAACTCAAACAGTTATTCGAGACAGCAGGGAGTTAGGTGAGACCTGGGGTAACCACATGGCCTGCTTTCTTATTTTGTGTATAGGAGCCTCAACTTTTCTCAGAGGAATTTATTCAGGTATAGCATGTCGTATTAGCAACATCACAGACAATTTCTTGCTTAACCAATGGATACTAAAGAATTTTGTAGGTTGGGTTCTGTTAAGTTATAAGCAGAAGGAATTGATCATAAAATTTAAGTTACACCATTATTCTGCTAAGTAGAAAAGGTCGAATTAAGTGAGATGAAAGTCTCATTATGATATAGAGTCTTGTTTCAGCATCTTGCAGAAAGTTATACAGTGTGAAAACACCAACTTTTTCTCCTGGTTTGTAGTGTGAACGTCTCTGGTTATGATATTGGGCAGTTTGGTAAACTATTGTGTGATCCGCATATCAGCCTTGAGGTTTGTTCCCTCTTTCATTTTCCTCTGGATCACCAACATGCTAATCTACGTTCACATCACTGAAACCGTAGAGGCCAATACCAATTTCACCATTTCTGGTCCTGGATATTTGCAAGACTGTTGTCAAACTAGGCCATACATACAATAATTTAATATACATTTGGGGCTTGGATTATATTTCTGTTAAATTGCACTGCTCTATGGGACTTATTTTATTCATTCCACAAATATATTTTGCACATGTTCCTTATTCTTGGTACTATTTAATGGATTTGGCATACATCCGTGATCTAAACAGATAAAACTCCCCCAAGGATCATTTATAAATGTCATGGTGATTCGCCATGTCCTGTTTGTGTTCCTCATGGTCTGGACCAGCATCAACATGGCCAGTCTCCTCTGCAGACACCGGCGGAGAGCCCAGCGTCTGCACAGCCCTAGCCTCTCTTCCCAGCCATCTCCTGAACACAGAGCCACCCATACCATCCTCCTGCTGCTTGGTTGCTTTGTGTGCTTTTATTGCTCAAACAACTTCATCACTCTTTATTTCTTTTATAAATCTGAGAAAAAATCAAGACTAGAGATGATCACTGGAATTATTTCATCATGCTACCCAACCATCTGCCCTTTTGTGCTAATAAAAAATAATAAAATTATTTCCTAATTTACCTCTTCCTCTCTAAGACAAGAATGATCAGCTCTCAGGGAGCATTCAATGGCTGATCTCAAACCCCATACTTTCTTCTGCAGCTGGGAAGTCTCCATGATGACTTTTGTGGAGAAAAAGTCATGCAGTTATTGAGCAATTGAATTAGGGCTAGTTTGAATTGAGGTGTATCATAAATTTAAAAAGCATTCAGGTTTTGAAGTCAATATAAATAACAGTATATAAATATTATCTTAATAACTTTCACATTGCTGACAAGTTTAAATTATGACATTTTGGGTAAAACGTATGTATATGTTTTGTTATGTTTACATATATATGCATATTTAAATAAAATACATATACACAAATATGTAAGTAAAACATATGTAAGAATATATATAATATATATAATTTTTTTTTTTTGAGACAGAGTCTTGCTCTGTCACCCAGGCTGGAGTATGCAGTGGTGTGATCTCAGCTCACTGCGGCCCCCACCTCCTGGATTCAAGCAATCCTCCCACTTCAGCCTTCCGAGTAGCTAGGATTATAGGTGTGCACCACCATGCCTGGCTAATTTTTTTGTATTTTTTAGTAGAGACAGAGTTTCCCCACGTTGGCCAGGCTGGTCTAGAACTCCTGACCTCAAGTGAACCGCCTGTGTCAGCCTCCAAAAGTGCTAGGATTGTAGGTGTGAGCCACCGCACTGGCCTTATCAGTATATACACACACACACACACACACACACACACATATGTGTATACATATACAACTACATAGGTATTTTTAAACTAACTGTATCTGCTTGTTTTTGCTTTTTTAAATGCAGTTGCTAGAAAATTTAATATACATTTGGGGCTTGGATTATATTTCTGTTAAACTGCACTGCTCTATGGCACTTCTTGTATTCATTCCACAAATACATTTTGCACATGTTCCTTATTCTTGGTACTATTTAATGGGTTGGACATACATCCATGATCTAAACAGATAAAACATAATAGCACAAGAGATTATACAGAATGTTTGTGGTACAGGAAAACGTATATGTACACATGATAGGAGCTAAAAAGAATAGGACTGGTTAAGAGAATGTGGTGTGTGAGAGTACAGGTGCAGGGAGCTGCAGTGACTGGGATTACAGGTATGCATCACCATGCCTGGCTAATTTTTGTATTTTTGTAGAGACGGGGTTTCACCAATTTGGCCAGGCTGGTCTCGAACTCCTGGCCTCACGTGATCCACCTGCCTCAGCCTCCCAAAGTGCTGTAATTACAGGTGTGAGCCACCGTGCCTGGCCAACATTTATCATTTTAAATACTCATCTGCAAAAATGTTTCCAAGTGGGGCCACTTCCCCACCCCTCATATGACAGTGGCAGTGATATACCATATACATGGTTATTAAAAAGAATCTGGAGCAACAATATGAATGTCAGACAAATTAGGCTTCAAGAGCATTTCCCTCCATCTTACAGGGGATAAACCCAAAGAAGTTATATTAAGATTCCAATAAAAGAATGCAAGATGACTATCTGTGTAAAAATGTAATCAATGGGGAGCAGGTGCACCTCCAATAATATTAGACAAAATATATTTTACCTAAACAGCATTACTAAGTATAAAGTAGATCACTTCAATAAGAATAACAATTTTAATTTTGTGTATACATATTCACACTTTCAATATGTATATAGTATACACGGGTAGAATGATAAACAGATATAGAATAATCCTCCACTCTTGTGGGAAATCTGTTCAATAGTCTTTCAGCAATTAACAGAATAACAGAGTATCAGTAAAGATATAAAAAATTGACCAAAGCAATTCATATTCTTGACTTAAGTGCCCTAGAATAACAACTCACACAGCCATTGAAGAATCCCCATCATCCTATCTCAAGCATAGAGGAAACACATAGCATACATATGTAGCCACATAGCAAACACAGAAATGACTATCAACAAAGTGGAAGAGTTTAATGCACAGATTAAGTTATCTGAATATATGTACAATGAGTTATAAATAATAAATAATTGAGCCAGGTGAAGTAGTACATGCCTGTAATCCCACCTACTTGGGAGGCTGAGGTAGGAGTTTGAGCCCAGGAGTTTGAGTCTGGTCTGGGCAGCATTGCAAGATCCCATCCCCCAAATAATAAATAAACTAACTAAGTAATCAATAATTGAATGAGAAAAGTTAGCTCATATTTCAATATGTTCAATCTTAGGATATATACTTCTAGGCAACCACTTAGTGACAAAAATTCTGTAGAAATCCATCATTGAAAGTTCATTATGTAAATAAATGTGAAGACTAGATAAGAACCACAGAACACAATGACATTGGAAAAAATGCCACAGTAATTCTTTGAAAAAAGAAATGCAGGCCTGGTGCGGTGGCTCATCCCTGTAATCCCAGCACTTTGGGAGGCCGAAGTGGGCAGATCACAAGTCAGGGGTTCGAGACCAGCCTGGCCAACATAGTGAAACCCCGTCTCTACTAAAAACACAAAAACAATTAGCTGGGTGTGGTGGTGGGCACCTGTAGTCGCAGCTACTCGGGAGGCTGAGGCAGGAGAGTGCTTTCAGAGAAACTTCTTGATCACAAGGGGAAATCTGAAAGTTGTCAGAACAAAATGGAGTCACTTATGTTAAGATAACCCTGACAAATAGAGCCAGGAAGGCCATGAAGAGAGGGCTCTTATCCTTGCATGCCTGAAGATGAAAAAGACTCTACAAAACCCACAACCTTACATAAAGGTCTTCACAACCTTAAAAAAATATATATTTCTGCAAGGAATGCTGCCCAGCAACTGCTGGTCCAACCTAGGACTAATGTCACCCTTGTTACTGATCTTTGTAGCCAAGGAAAATTCTGTTAAAACAATATGCAATCCTCCCCATTTCTGTCTTCCTTTATCTCCCTGAATATACACATAGTTTAATACGGCATGTCTATTCCCAATTGCAATGCTCTATTCCCAAATAAACATTGTTTCCGGCTGGGCGCAGTGGCTCACGCCTGTAATCCCAACACTTTGGGAGGCCAAGGCGGGCTGATCTCGAGGTCAAGAGACGGAGACCATCCTGGCCAACATGGTGAAACCCCGTCTCTACTAAAAAATAAAAAATTAGCTGGATGTGGTGGTGCACGCCTGTAGTCCCAGCTACTTGGGAGACTGAGGCACGAGAATCGCTTGAACCTGGGAGGCAGAGGTTGCAGTGAGCCAAGATCATGCCACTGTACTCCAGCCTAGCCACAGAGCGAGACTCCATCTCAAAAAGAAAAAAAAATTGTTTCCCTTAGGAAGCTTTCATATGTTTGTTAGTTAGGTTAACACTTCTAATAATTAAAGTTATACAGTTACAGTGTAAAATTATTAGTATTAACAACATAAACATTGGTATAAAAATTATTATTACAGAAATTAAAACAAATTGAGTGTGAGAGAGATTATTAAGACTGTCCAAGCCAAGTCACTGAAGTCATAAATTTAAGTTATGACAGGATGCCGAGCTTCCAGAGGGTTTTGTTTTTAACAAGGGAGGGGCCCTATTTCCCCTTCTGACACGCTCATATGAACTTCTCACTTTGTCGTACTCCTTCCTTGCTGACTAAGAGGAACAGAACACAGAGCAGCCTGGCGGTGTCCTACCAACAAGCCTCCGTTTCTCCTTCCTGTACACTAGGGCTCCTGAAACTCACCTGGTAAGCGCTCCAGAAAAGCAGCAGGTGGTGACTTTAGGGTAGGACGGGCCAAATGGGAGAATCCCCTTAGGTCGGTTTCTCTGGTTCTCAACTTCTTTTGAAATAACGCTCGCAGAGGAGGTGGGCTTTCTGAGAACTGAGGGAAGTAAGCTCTCAGGACTTCCGGTCGCCATGATGGCTGTGGGCAGTCAATGGGGTCAGTGCAAGCATCTGGGCCATCTTTAATGTGGGCAGGAAAAAAACACGATTACACTTACTTCTGCAGAGTTTATAATATCCTTGTTCATTATTTAAAATAAAATATCTAAGACATAGGTAATAGTATATTTTAAATAAAATTGAAGCAATATATGAAATTTCTCTGGAATTCATCCAGCCACTCTCAGCTGTTACCACTATCCAGAAACGTCTTAATCCGCCTGCATGATTTATGTATTTGGTTTGTATTTTAAATATCATTTTCTGTAATATTTAAAAGTTGTATTTGCTTGGTATCCTGCTATGCATTCTCATGCAATTTGATTTTTAATCAATATTACTTTTTTTTTTTTTTGAGATGAAGTCTCCGTCTGTCACCCAGGCTGGAGTGTAATGGAGCAATCTCGGCTCACTGCAACCTCTGCCTCCCAGGTTCAAGCGATTCTCTTGCCTCAGCCTCCCGAGTAGCTGGAATTATAGGTGCATGCCACCACGCTCGGCTAATTTTTTGTATTTTTAGTAAAGACGGAGTTTCACCATGTTGGTCAGGATGGTCTCCGTCTCTTGACCTCGAGATCAGCCCGCCTCGGCCTCCCAAAGTGCTGGGATTACAGGCGTGAGCCACTGTGCCCGGCCTTGGTTTCTAAATACTATTTTGAAGTATCTGTGGAGAAATGGTTACTTCGAGGGCTGGGGCAGGAATATATAAGATAACATTGGAACAAATTCTGACGCCAGAACATGAAGAAATATTTGAAAAAGGATGGGGCATATTGACTGAACACAGAAGACAAACATGCATGACCTCAGCCTAATCGTGAGAAAACATCAAAGAAATCCAAATTGATAAACATTCTGTAAAATAATTGGCCATGCTCAGCAAAAGTGTCACAATCACAAAAGACAAGGGAAGAATAAGAAACGGTCACAGCCTGGAGGAATCTAAGGACATAACAACTGAGTGCAATGTGAGATCCTCGATTCGATCTTGGAGAAGAAAGAGGACGTTAAGAGAAATATTGACAAAATTCAAATAAGGTCTGCACATTAGGTAATGGTAAGATACGTTGACATCAATTTCCTGGTTGGATACTTGTATTACATATACTATTATGTATATAATTATTATATTACAATTACATATACAGTTGTATATTATATATAATACAATAAATGTATATATATGATTATAATACAATAAATGTATATATACAGTTTTATATATAACAACTATTATACATATAATACAATTATATATATAGCTAACATCAGGATAGGCTGGTTGAGGATTTATATGAATCTTTGCTAATTTTGCATGTTTAAAATTATTTCAACATAAAAAAATTATATGGGTCATGTAGTTTTTTGTGCAGTTTAATTCTAGGCACCATAGTTTCTGTTTTAATGGGTGTATTTTCTTCTTTCAAGGAATTGGGATAGTCTGTTGTATTAAAAACCTATTCATTTTTGTACATTAAGATTCTTCTGGCCAGGCGCAATGGCTCAAGCCTATAATCCCAGCACTTGGGAACCTGAGGCAGGCAGATCACCTGAGGTCAGGAGTTCAAGACCAGCATGTCCAACATGGTGAAACCCCATCTCTACTAAAAATACAAAAAAAATTAGCCAGGCATGGTGGCACATGCCTGTAATCCCAGCTACTTGGGAGGCTGAGGAGGAGACTCACTAGAACTCAGGAAGCAGAGGTTGCAGTGAGCCAAGACTGCGCCACTGCACTCTGGCCTAAGCAACAGAGGGAGACTCCATCTCAAAAAAAAAAAAAGATTATTTCTCTAACTTACTGGTTTATCTTTTATAGCTTATTTCAGGTGATTTGTTGTGTTTGTCTATAGAGTAAAATAACATGTCTAATGAGTTATAATTTAATGTCCTTCCATTCAATCACTGTATTTCAAATTTATTCCAATATTTTGGAATAAGCTTCCAATATTTTAACTTAAATAGGGAAGGTCATACTTGGTATTTTCCTGACCTCAGCTGGAATGCCTTCATAGTGTTCACATGAACACATTTGGCCTGAGAGAGACTTATTATGCCGAGAATGTGTGTAACCCTTTTTACTTAGGAATTGTGGGTGGAGTTTTTCCCCCCGCCCAAGAATGATTGTTAATTTCCGTCCATCATTTTCCTTTGATTGTTCTTCATCTCGAAAACAAATAATAAAATAATAAAATAAATAAATAAAACTTACTGGTCTTCTCACCTATTTTCTTGCAGTGCCTTTAAGCAATGCTCTGCCAATATCTTTTTCTTAATTATTATGGAATGCATGGGACCGTTCCATGCCTGATTATATGCAGAATGTTCTTTCTACAAGTGAGTTTTTGTAGTATTTCTGTACTCTGCCATACTAGGGCATTTCTCTGTTTTCAAGGATCTCCCAACCACACCGCCTCTACCACATTTATCTCCTGCTCAGCCTCCACTCCAACTGCCCAGACCTCACAGCTCTTGTATTCAAACTCTATCGATAAATCACCGAGTATGAGGCTTTACTCACAGGAAATTACTCTTCTGGCACTTCCTGACTTCTTTATGTTTTCTCACTCTGCACTTCCTCCCTGTTCCTCCGCTATGCTTCACCCTGACTTAACACAGTTTTGTCAGCCAGTGAGAAACATGTGGATCTGTGAATTCTATCTGTCTCCTCGTTATTCTGAAAATGGAGTTTGCATGGACTTTTCCGTTCACCTTATTGCTTTCATTGATACTCAGTAATAGACAAGATAAACTGTTATTTCTCATTGCCTTGTTCATTTCAGAAGTACCAGGTAGAATTTTACAATTCTTGCCTTGATACATATTCCCAGTAATTGTTGAGTGATTTAATTGTATGTTGTCTTGATATTACTTTGGTCATATATTACATTATTTCTCATTTTTGAATATCTGGATTTACATAAATTCTGTGTAATTCAGGTTTGTATTTATCCAAGTTCTCAGAAACTACAACTGCTGTAATTGATCATAACTCTCCTAATACAGGTGTAACTAAAGTGAGAGATGCTTTTTGACTCATGAAAAAAAGAAGACTGTAGACCAAGTCTCAATAACTTCCACTTAATCCTATAGAAAGTTAGCCAAGATAATGTACACCTTCTTTAAGATTCTTATAAGGAAAAGATTCCATTTTGTTTCTTGAAATGAGGTATTGCTTTGTCGCCCAGACTGGAATGCAGCGGTGCCATCATAGCTCACTGCGACCTTAAACTCCTGGGCTCAAGGGATCCTCTCACTTCAGCCTCCCGAGTAGCTGGGACTACAGGCACAAACCACTGTGCCTGGCTTCATGAGAAAAAATTAAATATATAATGGTACTAGGTAAAATAATACTAAATAAGAAGTAATTTGAATGCATACTATATTAACTCTGGAATAACGATACTTAAGTAAAAGAAAAGTGTTCGTTACAACAAAGGGAAGCTTGTAGTTCAGAGGATAGCTAAATTAAATTTGTTGCAGGCTGTGAGAGACATAACAAACATAAACACATGAAATATGTAGATTTTTATATTTTTATTGAAAATTGGATAGAAATATTTGGTTTGTTCAGTTGGAACATGTGAGTTGATTATTATGCATATAAATAAACAGACATTCAGTGTAGGGGCCAGCCCTACAGGGTCTGTGGGTCTTTCTCCCGTTGTGCGGAGACGAGAGATCGTAGAAATAAAGACACAAGACAGAGAAATAGAAGAAAAGACAACTGGGCCCGGGGGACCACTACCACCAAGATGCGGAGACCAGCAGTGGCCCCGAATGCCTGGCTGTGCTGATATTTATTGGATACAAGGCAAAAGGGGCAGGGTAAGGAGTGTGAGTCATCTCTAATGATTGATAAGGTCACATGAGTCACGTTTCCACCGGACAGGGGGCCCCTCCCTGTTTGGCAGCCCTGGTGGAGAGAGAGAGGAGACAGCTTATGCCATTATTTCTGCATTTCAGAGACTTTTAGTACTTTTACTAATTCTGCTACTGCTATCTAGAGGGCGGAGCCAGGTGTACAGAGTGGAACATGAAAGTGAAACAGGAGCGTGACCGCTGAAGCACAGCATCACAGGGAGCCGGTTAGGCCTCCGGATAACTGCGGGCGGGCCTGACTGATGTCAGGCCTTCCACAAGAGACGGTGGAGCAGAGTCTTCTCTAACTCCCCCGGGGAAAGAGAGACTCCCTTTCCTGGCCCACTAAGTAACGGGTGCCTTTTCTAGGCACTGACGCTACCGCTAGACCAAGGTCCGCTAAGTAACAGGTGCCTTCCCAGACGCCGGCATTACCGCTAGACCAGGGAGCCCTCTAGTGGCCATGTCTGGGTGTGACAGAAGGCTCGCACTCTCGTCTTCTAGTCACTTCTCACCGTGCCCCTTCAGCTCCTATCTCTGTATGGCCTGGTTTTTCCTAGGTTATGATTGTAGAGCGAGGATTATTATAACATTGGAATAAAGGGTAATTGCTACAAACTAATGATTAATGATATTCATATATAATCATATCTATGATCTAGATCTAGTATAACTATTCTTATTTTCTATATTTTCTTTATTATACTGGAACAGCTCGTGCCCTCGGTCTCTCGCCTCGGCACCTGGGTGGCTTTCCGCCCCACAACTCAGGTGTTGCAGATAAATTCATTGGTGGTAAAATAAAACGTTTGTATAGGGTTTTGGAATTCAAATCTTTAAAATCACTTCTCTGAATTTCCATTAGATGATTATTGCTACCAATAAAATTTTAGTAGGTAAACACAACCACCTTCTAAGAACTTAGAACTCTCAGACTGGGCACGATGGCTCACGTCTGTAATCCCAGAACTTTGGGAGGCCAAGGCAGGCAGATCACCTGAGGTCGGGAGTTCAAGACCAGCCTGAGCAACATGGAGAAACCCTGTCTCTACTAAAAATACAAAATTAGCCAGGTGTGGTGGCGCATGCCTGTAATCCCAGCTACTCAGGAGGCTGAGACGGGAGAATTGCTTGAACCTGAGATCGCGCCATTGCACTCCAGCTTGGCAACAAGAGAGAAACTCCGTCTAAAAAAAACAAAAAAGAACTTAGAACTCTCCAATATTAAATGGCCAGTTCCCTCAGAATAAAAACAAACCAAAATATTGCAACCAAAGTGAACTTTGAATAATTAATTCAATTGTTACACTTTCTTCTTAAGTTGTGAAGAACTTCAAAATGACGTGACTATATAACAATAGTGAGATGCAAACAAAGAACAAAAACTACCACAAAAGAAATTGTGAATTTCATTCAGCAGCTTTACTGTTAGTCTTAATATGGTGCTTATTAGGAGTTGGTTTTGCATTGCTCAGTAGCAGAGATATAATTACAGCTTGTTTTATGTGGTAATATAATATAAAAGTATACCCTCTCTAGCCTTGTCTACTGACAGAATTACGTGCAATGTCACAGCAAGAGCCTGATGTATCTGCCCAGAATTCTTGTTTTGATCTGTAAATCTCTAATAGTAATTGTGAAGAGCTCAACTCAGTATGGAAACTGATCTGGTCACGCATTTTTTTTCAGCATCTTAAATAAACAGCACAGAGTCTGAGGCCACACTATGCTGGACACACTGTAATCGCACAAACAAAATTGTAGGGCTTTGTTCCAAGATGGTGTTAAGACTTGATCTATGGATAAGATCAACTTGTGGGTGATTCAGAGGTGCACCCACTAGTTCCCTGCAACCAGAAATGGTAAACCTACTTGTCTGTTTAAAGATGCTTGAAACAATATTGCAGAGAGAGGATGGTGAGACAGTGGAGTGCTGTATGATGGTGAGTGTTAAACACAATTTGATTTATTAAAATTAAGTTGCATTCCTTGGATACAAATAGTTCGTTTTAAAAAATAGGCAGAGTATTACACTATTTTTTTTATTTATTTTTTGTTCTGAAGACAGAGTCTCACTCTGTCACCCAGGCTGGAGTGCAGTGGCAAGATCTCAGCTCACTGCAACCTCCGCCTCCTGGGTTCAAGCAATTCTCCTATCTCAGCCTCTGGAGTAGCTGGAATTACAGGCGTGCACCACCATGCCCGGCTAATTTTTGTATTTTTAGTAGAGATGGGGTTTCGCCATGCTGACCAGGCAAGTCTGGAACTCCCGGGCTCAGGCTATCCACCTGCCTCAGCCTCCCAACATGCTGAGATTACAGGCCTGAGCCACCGTGCCCGGTCACCCCATTTTAATATATTTAATAAAACCAAATAGTCAAAAAGTTAAGATGGATTATTTATGGGTGTTTGGATTTTGAGCAATTTGTAATTCACTAATTTTCTTTTCTGTTATCCAAAGTGTCTACAATGCTATTAATAATATCTATTTTTACCACTATATAAAAATTAATCTTCAAAAATTACAATAAGATATCACTTTACACGTACTAGAATGGCCATTTTTAAAAGGCCCATAATAACAATTATAGGTGAGGATATGGAGAAGCTGGCCCCCTCCTACACTGCTGGTGGGAATGGAAATTGGCGCTTTGGAAAACAGTCTGGCAGTTCCTTGAAGGGTAAACATAGAGTTACCATATGACCCAGCAACTCCACTCCTAAGTATGCACCCAAGAGAAGGAAATAATCTGTCCACATGGAAATTCGTACCTGAATATTCACAGTATCATTTTTCATAACAGCCCCAAAGTGGAACTCACCCAAATGTCTATCGTCTGCTGAATGGACAGAGAATACGTGGTGTCTCCATACGGTGGAATATTATTCAGCCATGAAAGCAAAGGAGGTGCTGTTATGTGGTATAAAATGGATAGACCTTGAAAACATTATGCAAAGTGAAAGGATCCATCACAAAGGACAATATATTGTTTGATGCCTGTCTTAGTCACTTTGGGCTTCTTTAACAAAAGTATCATAGACCATGTAGCTTAAACAACAGAATTTATTGTCATAGTTCTGGAGGCTGGGAAGTCCAAGATCAAGGCACTGGTACATTCAGTGCCTGGAGAGGACCTGCTTCCTTGTTCATAGACGGCTGACTTCTTGCTGCATTCTCCCACAGTAGAAAGCGGGAGCGAGGTCTCTGGGGTCTCTTTTCTAAGGGCGTTGAGACCATTCATGAGGATTCCACCCTCATGACCTCATCACCTCCCGAAGGCCCCATCTCCTCCTATCATCATATTTGGAGTTAGGATTTCAACACGTGAACCTGAGGGTGGACACATACATTCAGTCCATAACAACTCCTATTAAATCAAACGTCAGAATGAGTAAACCTATGGAGACAGAAGGTGGATGCGTGGGTGCCTGTGGCTGGGTGTGCGTGCCTGTGGGGAACGGGGAGTGCCACTTAATGAGTTTCTTTTTGAGGTGATGACGCTGTCCTAAAACTGAGTGTGGTGGTGGTTGTACAACTTCATAACTATACTATATATACAACATTGAATTGTATAGTTTAAGTGGGTGAATTGTGTGGTTTGTGAACTATATATCCATAAAGCCATTATTTTAAAAATCTAATCTTTAAAAAATGTCATAGCAGAGCCGGTGAAGGTAATGGATTAGACAACGGTCCCTAAACCCAAGTATTTTAAAGAAATCAAGGTGACAATTTAGGCAAGAAAAATGATTAGAGTTGTACGAGAGAAGAATGGAAGGCAAGGAAAATAATCACCATTTCACTTCCAAAAGTCCTTTTCGGAAGATAGCCTTTTAATTAATTTTAACACAAAGTGTACAAAATATATTAGTTTACTAACTCTAGTTTTGTCTTATATTGACAAACTCTTTAATATCTAGATACTAGATATTATAAAATTAGGACCCATTTGTCCAGTACCTACACAACATATACAGTGTAGCAAAGTTAAATGAAATGCAGGCTGGGCACGGTGGCTCATGCCTATAATCCCAATACTTTGGGAGGCTGAGGCTGGCGGATAACCTGAGGTTGGGAGTACGAGACCAGCCTGACCAATATGGAGAAACCCCGTCTCTACTAAAAATACAAAATTAGCCGGGCGTGGTGGCCCATGCCTGTAATCCCAGCTACTTGGAAAGCTGAGGCACGAGAATTGGTTGAACCCAGGTAGCGGAGGTTGCAGTGAGCCGAGATCGTGCCTCTGCACTCCAGCCTGGAAGACAGAGTGAGACTCTGTCTCAAAAAAAAAAAAAAAAAAAAGTAAATTTCCATTAACTGGCAAGTAATGGATCCAGGTCTACAATGCTCTATCTCCTAATGTCATCTCCAGATTAATTTTTTAAATCACCCAGGGCAGCAATCTGCAATGTCCTCTGGATCTGTGTAAACTCTTGTGTGGCAAATGACTGAAAGTTCAACTTCAATGCAGTAAAAATATAAAGAGAGTGTCCTGGCTCCGTTGAATGCAAGGACAGAAGGTAGGACTGACCCTAGGGAGGCTGATCCATGAGCTCCAAAAACACCACAGGGAAGGAACGTTTCTCCAGGTGTCCACCTTGCCTTCCATGGTGTTGGCTCCACACAATATTCACATGAAGCTTCACATCTCACAAGAGACAAAAGGGAGAAGAGCAAGGGCAGCCTCTGATCCCTCCCAATGAGGAGAAGTCTCCTCGGGATGTCACAATGTCTCGCAAGCCCATTTCCCAGCCAGCTTATGTTTCCAGGAAGTCAGGGAACAGATTAAATTTTCAAAATCATGCCTAGAGGAGGGTCAAGATGCCTGACTGGACACAGCCCAGAAGCACCACTCCCACCAAGAGAAACCAAGATATTGGATAAACCAACAGACTTAGAGAAGATCTTCGTAGGAAAAACACCAAGAGTTGATACAGAGGCATGCAGACAACAGGGCTGAAGAGCTAGGAACCTGGGAATGTGGTGTGGGGTAGCTGAACGCTAGGGCCAGTTCCCAGCACTGAAAGGCTCCTAGGGGAGGGGTTAGTGAAGGGACAGAGGGATGACAGGCTGTCACCACAGACCGCTGATGTCCCAGCTATGGGAGACTGCCCACCTCCCATAGACATTTTTTTTTCTTTTGAGATGGAGTTTCGCTCTTGTTGCCCAGGCTGGAATGCAATGGCATGATCTCAGCTCACTGCAACCTCTGCCTCTCAGGTTCTAATGATTCTCTTGCCTCAGTCTCCTGAGTAGCTGGGATTACAGGTGCCCACCGCCACGCTCAGCTAATTTTTGTATTTTTAGTAGAGATGGGGGTTTCACCATGTTGGCCAGGCTGGTCTTGAACTCCTGTCCTCATGACCCACTCGCCTCAACCTCCAAAAGTGCTGGGGTTACAGGCATGAGCCACCGCGCCCGGCCTCCGTAGACATTTTGTCAGAGGCATTTGAACCAGAGCAACTCCATCTTGAGTAGGAGGTGGAGAAAATGAGGCTGAGACCTACCGGGCTGCATTCCCAAATGATGAAGGCATTCTAAGTCACAGGATGAGATAGGAGGTCGGCACAAGATACAGGTCATAAAGACCTTGCTGATAAAACAGGTTGCAGTAAAGGAGCCGGCCAAAACCCACCAAAACCAGGATGGCGACGAGAGTGACCTCTGGTGGTCCTCATTGCTACACTCCCACCAGCTCCATCACAGTTTACAGATGCCATGGCAACGTCAGGAAGTTACCCTATGTGGACCAAAAAGGGAAGGCATGAATAATCCACCCCTTGGTTACCATATCATGAAGAAATAACCATAAAAACAGGCAACCAAGGCCGGGCACAGTGGCTCACGCTGGTAATCCCAGCACTTTGGGACGCTGAGGCGGGCAGATCACCTGAGGTCAGGAGTTCGAGATCACCCTGGCCAGTATGGTGAAACCACGTCTCTACTGAAAATACAAAAAAAATTAGCAGGGCCTGGTGGTGGGCACCTGTAATCCCAGCTACTCGGGAGGCTGAGGCAGGAGAATGGTGTGAACCCAGGAGGCGGAGGTTGCAGTTTGCCGAGATCACGCCATTGCACTCCAACCTAGGCAACAGGAGCGAAACTCCGTCTCAAAAAAGAAAGAAAGAAAGAAAGAAAAACATGTTAAATGACAACACAAGGATCTAATTGGCAAAACTGAAACCAAAGAAAATTTTACAGAAAAAATGACCTACTTTCTACAACAATAGCAATGTTTGAATGGGGGGATGGAATTAAATAAGTGGCAACTTAGATTAACAAAGAATTAACACACACACACAAAAACCTATTATAGTGGATGATTTGTATCTCTATGCAAAGCAATAAAGTAAAAATAAGAACCAGGGAAATGACAACATTAACGGGATATTTTATGATGTCCTGAATGATGATTACTTTTCATTGTAAGGGAGTATTCATGTAAGACAGTAAAGCATTTTTTAACTCTTCATCTTTTAAACATACATAGTGATATTTTTATTTTTTATTTTTTATTTATTGATACAGAGTCTCACTCTGTCACCCAGAGTGGAGTGCAGTGGCAAGATCTCAGCTCACTACAACCTCCACCTCCTGAGCTCAAGTGATCCTCCCGCCTCAGCCTCCCAAGTAGCTGAAGTAGCTGGGACTACGTGCACCACACGCCTGACTAATTTTTTTTTTTTTTTTTTTAGAGACAGGGTTTTGCCATTTTGCCCAGGGTGGTCTCGAACTCCTGAGCTCAGGCAATCCACCCACTTCGGCCTCTCAAAGCATGAACCACTGTACCTGGCCATCGTAGTGATATTTTTACAGGTGAAATAATATAATGTTCCCAATTTTCTTTAAAAAGATCCACCTAGCAGTGAAGGCATAGGTGAAACGGGATATTGAGGATACCAGAAAAGAAGCAGGTTTTTTTGTGGTTTTTTGTGGGTTTTTTTTTTTTTTTTTTTTTTGAGACAGAGTCTCGCTCTGTCACCCAGGCTGGAGTGCAGTGGCGCAATCTTGGCTCACTGCAACCTCCGCCTCCTGGCTTCCAGCGATTCTCCTGCCTCAGCCTCCCAAGTAGCTGGGATTACAGGCGTCCACCACACCCAGCTAATTTTTGTATTTTTAGTAGAGACTGGGTTTCACCATGTTGGCCAAGCTGGTCTCGAACTCCTGATCTCGTGATCCGCCCGCCTCAGGCTCCCAAAGTGCTGGGATTACAGGCGTGAGCCACCGCCCCTGGCCAAGAAGCAGGTTTTTGAAGGGAGAGGATGAGAAAACAAGGGAAGGGAAGCACTGCTGGAGATGAAGACCCAGAGAAAATAGAAGGGAATTGGACACCTACAACCACTAGAGGTCGCAAGAGGAATATCCTTTAGTGCCCTGAGCCCAGACCTGAACCAAGGTTTAACAGGGTTCTTCTCAAGTCCTTGGACTCCTTCGGTCATAATTTGGGAGCCTCCAAAAAGGAGAGCCTGAAATGAGGGCTTACGTGCAGGTAGTTTATTTGGGGAAGAGGTCAGAAATTTTCTTTTTTTTTTTTATGGAGTTCCGCTCTTGTTGCCCAGGCTGGAGTGCAATGGCACACTCGGCTCACCGCAACCTCCGCCTCCCAGGTTCAAGCGATTCTCCTGCCTCAGCCTCCCGAGTAGCTGGAATTACAGGCATGCGCCACCACGCCCGGCTAATTTTGTATTTTTAGTAGAGACGGGGTATCTCCATTTTGGTCAGGCTGGTCTTGAACTCCTGACCTCAGGTGATCCGCCCACCTCAGCCTCCCAAAGTGCTGAGATTACAGGTGTGAGCCAACGCCCCCAGCCCGAGGTCAGAAATTTTCTTATGTCACATTGTACTTTTTTTTTTTTTTTTTTTTTTTTGAGACAGAGTCTCACTCTGTTGCCCAGGCTGGAGTGCAGTGGCACGATCTCGGCTCACTGCAACCTCTCCCCGTCAGGTTCAAACAATTCTCCCGCCTCAGCCTCCCGAGTACCTGGGACTACAGGCATGCACTACCATGCCTGGCTCATTTTTGTATTTTTAGTAGAGACGGGGTTTCACCATGTTGGCCAGGCTGGTGTTGAACTCCTGACCGCAGGTGATCCGCCCGCCTCAGCTTCCCAAAGTGCTGGGATTACAGGTGTGAGCCACCATGCCCAGCCATACATTTTACTTTTGAACACTACATACCGTGGAATACTTTTCAGACTTTAAAAGGAATGAAATACTGATACATGCTTCACCGTAGGTGAACTTGGAAAACATTGTGCAAAATTAAATACGTCAGACACAAAAAGGCAAAGGCCGAGTGATTCCACTTCTAGGAGATTCCTAGAACAGTCAAATTCCTGGACACAGAAAGTAGAACAGAGCTTACCAGGGACTGAGAGAAAAAGGGAATGGGGTGTGATTATTTAACGGGTACGGAGTTTTAATTGGGAAAGATGACAAAGTTCTGGAGATGAATCGTGATGATGGTTACACAGCGATGTGGCTGTACTTAATGCCACTGAAGTGTACACTTTAAAATGGTTCACATGGAGGCCGGGCACGGTGGCTCATGTCTGTAATCCCAGCACTTTGGGAGGCCGAGGTGGGTGGATCACGAGGTCAGGAGATCGAGACCATCCTGGCTAACATGGTGAAACCCCATCTCTACTAAAAATACAAAAAAAATAGCTGGGCGTGGCAGATGCCTGTAGTCCCAGCTACTCAGGAGGCTGAGGCAGGAGAATGGCGTGAACCCGGGAGGCAGAGCTTGCAGTGAGCCAAGATCGTGCCACTGCACCTCAGCCTGGGTGACAGAGGGAGAGTCCGTCACAAAAAAAAAAAAAAAAATGGTTCACATGGAAATGTTTGTGATGTATATTTTATCACCGTAAAAAAATGTAACTGGGGTAAGTATGATCAATATTTGGCAATTTAAGCTTTATGGTAGAATTTCATTACTAGAGTGAAGAAAGACAGTCCATAAAAAATAAATTATTTAGGCCGGGGTGCAGTGGCTCATGCCTGTAATCCCAGCACTTCGGGAGGCCGAGGCAGGTGGATCACCTGAGGTTGCGAGTTCGAGGCCAGCCTGACCAACATGGAGAAACCCCGTCTCTACTAAAGACACAAAACTTAGCCAGGCATGGTGACGTGTGCCTGTAATCCCAGCTACTCGGGAGGCTGAGGTGGGAGAATTGCTTGAACCCGGGAGGCAGAGGTTGTGGTGAGCTGAGATTGCGCCATCGCACTCCAGCCTGGGCAACAAGAGCGAAACTCCGTCTCAAAATAAATAAATAAATAAATTATTTAATTGACCAGATAGGGACTCCCAGCCCTTCCTTCCTGGGGAGCTCCAGGAGCTGGCTGGGCTGGGCTTAATCTTTCCTCCCAAAGAACCAAAAGAAAAAGAGATGCACATCAAGGTTTGCTGGGGACCCTCAAAGGAAAAGAAACGATGTAACTCGAGTAGAGGATAAACGCTTTGTTCAGCTGATTTGCATCAGGGGCACCTGAAGATCAAGCGACTCCCCAGTTAAGCAGAGTCAGGGTGGGAAACTGAGTCTGTGTCCTAGAGGTCTGGGTTTAGGCAGTCATTTTGGGTTTTGTTTTGTTTTGTTTGTTTTGAAACGGAGTCTTGCTCTGTCACCCAGGCTGGAGTGCAATGGCGCTATCTCAGCTCACTGCAACCTCCTCCTCCCAGGTTCAAACGATTCTCCTGCCTCAGCCTCCCGAGCAGCTGGGATTACAGGTATGCACCACCATGCCCAGCTCGTTTTTGTATTTTTAGTAGAGACAGGGTTTCGCCATGTTGGCCTTGAACTCCTCGCCTCAGGTGATCTGCCCACCTCAGCCTCCCAAGGCCAGAGGATCACTTTAAGCCCAGTGTCAGGCCTCTGAGCCGAAGCTCAGCCATTGTAACCCCTGTGACCTACACATATACGTCCAGATGGCCTGCAGGAGCCAAGAAGTCTGGAGCAGCCGAAAAACCACAAAAGAAGTGAAACAGCCAGTTCCTGCCTTAACTGATTAACCCACCTTATGACATTCCACCATTATGACTTGTTCCTGCCCTGCCCCAACTGATCAGTCGACCCTGTGACATTCTTCTCCTGGACAATGAGTCCCATGATCTCTCCACAATGCACCTTGTGAGCCCCTCCCCTGCTGACAACAAATAACCACCTTTAACTGTAACTTTCCACTGCCTACCCCAGCCCTATAAAGCTGCCCCTCTCCTATCTCCCTTCGCTGACTCTCTTTTCCAACTCAGCCCACTTGCACCCAAGTGAATAAACAGCCTTTGTTGCTTACACAAAGCCTGTTTAGGTGGTCTTCTATACGGACACGCGTGACACCCAGGAGTTCGAGACGAGTCTGGGCAGCATAGTGAGTTTTCATCTCTAAAAAAAAAAAAAATTAAAATTAGCCAGGCATGCCTTGTACGTGCCTGTGGTCCCAGCTACTTGGGAGACTGAAGTGGTAGGATCGCTTGAGGCTGCAGTGAGCCAAGATTGCGCCACTGCACTCCAGCCTGAAGGACAGAGCAAGAACTTGTCTCAGAAAAAAAAAAAGAAAAAAAGAATAAGAAAAGGAAAAAAATAAAAAAGGAAGGAAGGGAGGGAGGGAGGGGCAGAGAGGGAGAGAGGAAGGGGGGAAGGAAGGAAAGAAAGAAAGAAAGAGAAAGGGAGGGAGAGAGAGAAAGGAAAGAAGGGAGGGAGGGAAGAAAGAGAAAGAAAAAAGAAAGAAGAAAGAAAGAAAGAGAAGAAAGAAGGGAGGGAGGAAGGGAGGGAGGGAGAAAAGGAGGAAGGGAGAGAGAGAAAGAAAAAGAAGAAAGAAAGAGAAAAAAGGAAGGAAGGAGGGAGGGAGAGGAAAAGAAAGAAAGAGAAGAAAGAAAGAGAAAAAAGGGAAAGAAAGAAAAGAGAAAAAAGAGAAAGAAAGAAAGAAAGAAAGAAAAGAAAAGAAGGGCCGGGCGCGGTGGCTCACGCCTGTAATCTCAGCACTTTGGGAGGCCGAGGCGGGCGGATCACGAGGTCAGGAGATCGCTGAAACCCTGTCTTTACTAAAAATACAAAAACTTAGCCAGGGTGGTGGCGGGCGCCTGTAGTCCCAGCTACTCGGAGGCTGAGGCGAGAGAATGGCATGAACCCGGGAGGCGGAGGTTGCAGTGAACCGAGATCGCGCCACTGCACTCCAGCCTGGGCGACAGAGCGAGACTCCGTCTCAAAAAAAAAAAAGAAAGAAAGAAAAGAAAGGAAGGAAGGAAGAAAAAAATCATTTCAAGGGTAGGCGACGGGAGCCTTGCGGTTTAGCCGCTAGTCAACGGATGGGGGGGAGTGGTAGCAAAAACATAAAAATGGGGACAAGAGAGAAACTGGAGACTCCCCAACCTGTCTGTTTCCGCCCTTTTACAGTACTGAGGGGAAAAAAAAGCCTTCTTTCCTTGGGAAATGCAGGAAGCCAGCAAGCGGCCGGAGTCTCCGGAGCCCGCAAGGAGGCGCGTTGGCTGCGCAGAGAGCGCGCTTCCCAGCTGGAGAGCCTAGGAACGGTGGCGCGGGCGGAGGCGACAGCGAGGACCCAAGGCTGGGGTTTCCTGCTTGGATCAGGAGTGCCTGGGGAGTAAGTTCTACAGGAAATGTCAATCTACTGGTCGTGGGGGTCAGACTCTGGGGTCGGGTCGATCGGGTCCCGGGGGCGGGGGGTGGGACGGGGGTGGGCAGGCAGGAGTGCGGGCGCTGGGATCCCCTGCCTGCTCGGCTCCCCTCTCCTCCCCCTGGTCCCTTACACCGTCCATTTTGAGGAAGGGGTCAAGAAGCGAGTACAAAATGTCTGGGCAGGACGAATCTCTGTAGTCGGTCCTTCCTGGCGGCCTCGTTAGGTTGATTTATTTCAACAGTTTGATCCCCATCCTGGTGCAGCTCCGAGACGCTCCTGGGCTGCGCGCGCTTTTGGGCTGCGCCACCGACAGAGACATCTGGAAGCCGGAGCTAGTGGAAGAGTAAGTGTGCCTGAGTGTCCGTACTAAGGGCGGGACCGGGCCGGGGCCCAGGGACTTGAGAGTTGCTGTCTGCAAAAGCCTCATTGTCTCTACCCTTCCGGGAGGAAAGGGGAAGGCACGAATGACCCACGTGTTCAGACCCCGAGCGCGCCCTTCACCTTGGCCCAGGGAGAAGGGCGCTTCCCCCATACCGTGCTGCAGCGTTGCGAAAGCGCCTGTCCCCGGGCTTGGGCAGCAGAGATGCCCGCATGCAGCGGTTGCAGGGGTTGTGTTCTTTGCATCCATGAAAGTATTGGAGCTGGCCGGGCGCGGTGGCTCACGCCTGTAATCCCAGCATTTTCGAAGGCCGAGGTGGGCGGATCACCTGAGGTCAGGAGTTCGAGACCAGCCTGGCCAACATGGTGAAACCCCCATCTCCACTAAAAATACCAAAATTAGCTGGCCGTGGTGGCATGCGCCTGTAATCCCAGCTACTCAGGAGGCTGAGGCAGTAGAATCGCTTGAACCCGGGAGGTGGAGGTTGCAGTGAGCCGAAATCGAGCCATTGCACTCCAGCCTGGGCGACAGAGGGAGACTCTGTCTCAAAAAAAAAAATAAATAATAATAATAATAATAATTAGCCGGGCATGGTGGCGGGCGCCTGTGATCCTAGCTACACGGGAGGCTGAGGCAGGAGAATCGCTTGAACCTGGGAGGTGGAGATTGCAGTGAGCCGAGCGCCTGTAATCCTAGCTACTTGGGAGGCTGAGGCAGGAGAATCGCTTCTACCTGGGAGGTGAAGGTTGCAGTGAGCCGAGATCGTGCCACTGCACTCTAGCCTGGGCGACAGAGCAAGACTCTCTCTCAAAAAAAAAAAAAAAAAAAAAAAAAGTATTGGATTGGAGCCTGTTGTGATGAGGGTGAACTGAAAAGTCCTGGGCAGGGCCAGACGTGCAGGATGCACTGGTTTCTTACGAGAAAGAGCTTTTTTTTTTTTTTTTTTTTTGAGAGGGAGTCTCGCTCTGTCACCCAGGCTGGAGCGCTGTGGCGCGATCTCTGCTCACTGCAAGCTCCGCCTCCCGGGTTCACGCCATTCTCCTGCCTCAGCCTCTCAAGTAGCTGGGACTACAGGCGCCCGCCACCGCGCCCGGCTAATTTTTTGTATTTTTAGTAGAGACGGGGTTTCACCGCGTTAGCCAGGATGGTCTCGAGCTCCTGACCTCGTGATCTGCCCGCCTCGGCCTCCCAAAGGGCTGGGATTACAGGCGTGAGCCACAGCGCCTGGCCAGATAAAGAGCTTTGAGGGTTTGAGTTCCGTGTGCTGAACATGGTCTTTTATGGGAACTGAGACCTCAGCAGAGGAAATATATAAAAAGGACAAGCTGCAAGGAGAGTGGTGTGAAGGTGTCAGGATCAAACCCCACGGTCGGAACAAGATGCATTTTTATCACTAATCCGCTCCGGTGAGGTCTGATTTACTGGAACTCAGGGCAAAGGTGGGAATGTGTTTCATCAGCCAGGTATATCTTCGTCATGGACAATCAGGCAAAAGCCAACCTCAGCCTGCTCACCTGAGCTGACTCACAATGATGCGTTGTTTTTCTTTTTCTTTTCTTTTCTGTTTTTTTTTTTTTTAAACTACTGTCCTGAGCTGATGTGTCTGAGGTTACTAGGGTCAGAACCGGCGCTCCAATTGTATTGGGGAAAGGACGGAATTCAGGGAAACTTAAATTGAAATAGGCGGTTTTATCTTCTTAGGTAGGCTTACAGCTGAGATGCGTGTAATGGGGTTATCATCAGGTGTGGCTGTTTCCTTGGGAACTATAAGGTCAAGATAGACGTGGAATGTTGTGTCTCAAAAACTCTTATTTACAGCTCAGCCCCTGAGTTGCACAGGCTTGCTTCTGTGTCAAAGTGACTTGGATCCCCCAGGCAACAGTGGGGCTTTTCTTTTTTTTTTTTTTTTTTGAGACGGAGTCTCGCTCTGTCGCCCAGGCTGGAGTGCAGTGGCGTTATCTCGGCTCACTGCAAGCTCCTCCTCCCGGGTTCTCGCCATTCTCCTGCCTCAGGCTCCCGAGTAGCTGGGACTACAGGCGCCCGCCACCACGCCCGGCTAATTTTTTGTATTTTTAGTAGAGACGGGGTTTCACCGTGTTAGCCGGGATGATCTTGATCTCTTGACCTCGTGATCCGCCCACCTCGGCCTCCCAAGGTGCTGGGATTACAGGCGTGAGCCACCGTGCCTGGCCAATATATATGTATATATATTTTTATACATGTATATATATAAATGCATACACACACACATATATATAAATATATACACACATATATTTATGTGTGAGTGTCTATATATAAATTCAGCTTTTTCTCATATGATTAATTTAATTTTTAAATTATTAATGGTTTAGAAAAGTTTTGAGTCCGCAATTCATTGCTGACAGTGTCATGTAAACGTTTAGATTTGTCCTCAAATTGAGGGAACTTGCCATCAAGTTTCTTCCAAATATCATGTAAGTTGTAGATTTTATGGCATTCTAACATTTTATGAACAAATGACTCATCTTATACTATTTAAGTTGACCACAGTCATTAAACGGTCATCAGATGTCACATTTGGAGCAGGAAGAGTTTTGGGGGTTTGTTTTTGTTTTGTTTTAATAGAAAAAAACTTTTATATATATATATATATATATATATTTTTTTTTTTTTTTTTGAGACAGAGTTTTTCTCTTGTTATCCAGGCTGGAGTGCAGTGGTGCAATCTCGTCTCACCGCAACCTCTGCCTTCCAGGTTCAAGTAATTCTCCTGCCTCAACCTCTCTAGTAGCTGGGATTACAGGCATGTGCCACCATGCCGGGCTAATTTTGCATTTTTAGTAGTGATGGGGTTTCTCCATGTTGGTCAGGCTGACCTCGAACTCCCAACCTCAGGTGATCTGCCCGCCTCGGCCTCCCAAAGTGCTGGGATTACAGGCGTGAGCCACCACGCCTGGCCTAGAGTTATGTTTCTTTAGGCAGGATGCAAACACATTGTGTGCGTTTCTCTTCCAGGGCTCACACCCTCGAACTTGCCTCCCTTTGTTCATGACATTTACTAGTTGGAGTCCCTGGGTAGTCAGAATGGCAGAACGTCCACGCCTGTGCATTTGTGTGGTTGTTCCTTGTGTCGTTGAAAGTTAGACCTGGCCAGGCACGGTGACTCACGCCTGTGATCCCAGCACTTTGGGAGGCTGAGGTGGGAGGACTGCTTGACCCCAGGAGGTCAAGGCTACAGTGAGCTCTGATCACACCACTGCACTCCAGCCAGGGCAGCAGAGTGAGACCCTGTCTCAAAAAAGAAAGAAAGAGAGAAAGAGAGAGAGGAAGAGAGAAAGAGAGAGAGAAAAAGAGAGAGGAAGAGAGAAAGAGAGAGGGAAGGAAGGAAGGGAGGGAGGGAGGGAGGGAAAAAGAGAGAGGAAGGGAGGGAGGGAGGGAGACAGAAACATCCTAGGTTGGTCAGGCTTCGTGGCTTTAATCCCAGCACTTTGGGAGGCTGAGGCAGGATGATCGCCTGAGGTCAGGAGTTCAAGACCAGCCTGGCCAACATGATGAAGTCCTGTCTCTACTAAAACACACACACACACACACACACACACACACACACACACAAAATAGCCAGGCGTGGTGGTGGTCGCCTGTACTCCCAGCTACTTGGGAGGCTAAGACAGGAGAATCTCTTGAACCCAGAAAGCAGAGGTTGCAGTGAGCCAAGCTAGTGCCACTGCACTCCAGCCTGGGTGATAGAGCGAGACCTTGTCTTGAAACATATATAATAACAAAGAAAAATTTAAACAAAATAAAAATGAAAGATACATCGTAGGTGGTGTGTTCATCACATCAGTGTAACTATAATGGCTGTTTGTTGCCGGGCGCGGTGGCTCACTCCTGTAATCCCAGCCCTTTGGGAGGCCGAGGCAGGCAGATCACGAGGTCAGGAGATCGAGACCACGGTGAAACCCCGTCTCTACTAAAAATACAAAAAATTAGCAGGGCGCAGTGGCGGGCGCCTGTAGTCCCAGCTACTGGGGAGGCTGAGGCAGGAGAATGGGGTGAACCCGGGAGGCAGAGCTTGCAGTGAGCTGAGATCGCACCACTGCACTCCAGCCCGGGTGACAGAGTGAGACTCCATCTCAAAAAAAAAAAAGCTATAATGGCTGTTTGTCCCTGTACAAGTCAAGCTAACATTGGTGGGGTAGTTTCTGGAGGTGAGAGAGCCTCTTACCTCTTTTTTTTTTTTTTTTTTTTTTGAGATGGAGTTTCGCTCTTGTTGCCCAGGCTGGAGTGCAGTGGTGCAATCTCGGCTCACCGCAACCTCCGCCTCCCAGGTTCAAGTGATTCTCCTGCTTCAGCCTCCCGAGTAGCTGGGATTACAGGCGTGTGCCACCACACCCGGCTAATTTTGTATTTTTAGTAGAGACGGGGTTTCTCCATGTTGGTCAGGCTGGTCTCAAACTCCCTACCTCAGGTGATCTGCCTGCCTCAGCCTCCCAGAATACTGGGATTACAGCCTTAGGCCACTGCACCTGCAGAGCCTTACCTCTGAAAGTTGCATTCCTTTACGCCCAGCAAGTCCTGAGTGATGCCTCCGTACCCTGCTAATGACTGCCTCCCCTTTCTGTGTCCACCGACGTGTCTTATTTCCTGAATCAGTTGTTTTATTAAGGTTGCAAAATGATGATTTTTTTTTGTTGAGATAGGGCCTCATTCTGTCACCCAAGTTGGAGTGCAGTAGTGCAATCATAGTTCACTGCAGCATCAACCTCCTGGGCTCAAATGATCTTCCCACCCCACAACCTCCTGAGTAGCTGAGACTAGAGGCGCACGCCAGCGTGCCCACCTAATTTTTAAATTTTTTGTAGAGATGGGGCCTCGCTATGTTGCCCAGGGTGGTATCAAAATCCTGGGCTCAAGTGATCCTCCTGCCTCAGCCTCCCAACATGCTGGGATTATAGGTGTGAACCACCCAGCCCAGCCCAAAATGGTGATTTTTAAAAATATTCAATTGTCCCAACTAAACATGTAGCTGGGACTGGGCGTGGTGGCTCACGCCTGTAATCCCAGCACTTTGAGAGGTCGAGGCAGGCGGATCACCTGAGGTCAGAAGTTGAGACAAGCCTGGCCAACATAGTGAAACCCCGTCTCTACTAAAAATACAAAAATTAGCTGGGCGTGGTGGCCCAAGCCTGTAATCTCAGCTACTCAGGAGGCTGCTGAGGCAGGAGAATTGCTTGAACCCAGGAGGTGGAAGTTGCAGCGAGCTGAGATCGTGCCACTGCACTCCGGCCTGGGCGACAGAATGAGACCCTGTCTCAAAAAAAAATTTTTTTTAATATATATATTTTTGTTATATTAGCTGGGCGTGGTGGCAGGCGCTTGTGGTCCCAGCTACTTGGGAAGCTGAGGCAGGAGAATCACTTGAACTCAGGAGGCAGAGGCTGCTGTGAGCCGAGATCTCCCCACTGCACTCCAACCTGGATGACAGAATGAGACCTTGTGTCAAAAAATAAAAATAAAAAAATGAATATGTAGCTGGAATTCTGTAGTTTTCCGTCATCCGTAAGGCTATTCCGTTTCTTTTCTTATTGGAAAGGCAAAGTAAAGGCTTAATTTTTCCTCTTTATTAACCAAGGCTTGTGTTTTTTTCCCCCTCTGGTTTTCTCTGTCTGGGTATCATTATGAGCGCAGGTATTTTTAGTGTTCAGTGTGTTTCCATCAATTGCAATGATTCACTTTGTAGTTCAAATCCGGCCGCTGGGAGACGTTTCCAGCCGCTGTGCATCCTCCTAACGCGGTCTAGGGCAGCTCCCCTGCCATCTGGCACCGCAAGGCTCACACTGGGAATTTTCTGTTCCCAGATCAGCCATGTTTCCGAGGGTGTTCATTGCCTCCTGCTTCTTAATTCTTCTAAGCATTTTCTATGAATAGACTGACCAGGGAGGCATTGGGTGTGTGTGTGTGTGTGTGTGTGTGTGTGTGTGTGTGTGTTCGTGACGATATGAAGCCTTTTCATCTTATATTTGAAACTTTTTCCTCTTACACTAAAAATCTGACTTCCCAGTAACATGAACACTTTTCATCTTATATTTGAAATTTTTTTTTTTGAGACAGAGTCTCGCTCTGTTGCCCATGCTGGGGTGTGCAGTGGTGCGATCTCAGCTCACTGCAACCTCCACCTCCCAGATTCAAGTGATTCTCCTGCCTTCAGCCTCCCAAGTAGCTGGGATTACAGGTGTGCGCCACCACGCCCGGTTAATTTTTGTATTTTTAGTAGAGACAGGGTTTCGCCATGTTGGCCAGGATGGTCTCAAACTCCTGACCTCAAGTGATCCACCTGCCTCGGCCTCCCAGAGTCTTGGGATTACAGGCTTGAGCCAACGCGCCCGGCCCAATTCACCTTCTTAAAGGGTGCAATTCAATGGCTTTTAGTATATTCACAGACGTGTACGTCCCTCAAATTTAGAACATTTCCATCACCCCTGAAAGAAGCCCTGTATCCTTCAGTGGTCATCTCCCAGTCCCTCATCTCCCCCAGCCCTGGACAACCTCTGATCTGCTTTCTGTCTCTATAGATTCGCCTATTCTGGACATTTCATTTTCAATGGGGTCATACACTGTGGTCTTTTGTGTCTGGCTTCGTTCACTCAGCATCCTGTTTTCAGAGCTCACTGGGTTGTAGTGTGTGTCAGTGCCTCAGTCCGTTTTATGGCTGGGTAATATTCCATGGTGCGGATAGACCACGTTTGCTTTCTTTGTTCATGCATTGATCAGTATTGGGTTGTCTCTACTTTGGGCTGTAATGAATACCGCTATGGGCCAGGTGCGGTGCTCACACCCCTAATTCCAGCACTTTGGGAGGGCGAGGCGGGCGGATCACTTGAGGTCAGGAGTTCGAGACCAGCCTGGCCAGCATGGCGAAATCCCATCTCTACTAAAAGTACAAAAAATTAGCCAGGTGTGATGGCAGGCACCTGTAATGGCATCTAATCGGGAGGCTGAGACAGGAGAATCACTTGAACCAGGGAGGCGGAAGCTGCAGTGAGCTGAGATCGTGCTACTGCACTCCAGCCTGGGCAACAGAGTGAGACTCCGTCTCAAAAAAAAAAATTGCAATTAGATTAGCGGCTGCCAGCAGCTGGGTGAAGGGGAGAATGGGAAGTGACTGCTAAGGGGGATGGGGTTTTATTTTGCGGTGATGAAAAGTATTTGGAACTAGGTAGAGGTGACGTTTGTACAACATTGCAAATGCACTAAATGCCACTGCATTGTTCACTTAAAATGGTTAACTTCATGATATGCAAATTTCACCTCGATTAAAAAAAAATGCTGCTTGAGGCCAGGAATTTGAGACCAGCCTAGGCAACATAGTGAGACCCCATCTCTATGAAAATAAATATGAAAAATTAGGAGGCATGGGGGCCCATGCCTGTACCTTCAGCTACTCAGGAGGCTGAGGCAGGAGGATCACTTGAGCCCAGAAGTTTGAGGCTGTAGTGAGCCATGATTGCACTACTGCACTCCAGCCTGGGCAACAGGACAAGTCTCTGTCTCTAAAAAATTAAATTAAAATATAGGTGTGTGTGTGGGTGTCTGTGTGGGGGGCGGGGGTGGGGGGATGGGGGTGTGTGGGTGTGTGTGTGAGTGTGTGTGTGGGTGGGGGGATGGGGTGTGTGGGTGGGTGGGCGTAAGGGGGTTGGAGTGAGGGGATGGGGGTGTGTGGGTGTGTGGGTGGGTGGGTGTAGAGGGGGTGGGGGTTGTGGGCTGTGGTGGGGAAGTGTGTGCACACGTGCATTTATATGCTGAGATTAATGTCAGGCAGGATCCACATACGAGTGTGGGGAAGGCAGGGTGCCTGGATTCTCATAGCTCCATTCTTCTCCCAAGCTCTGCCTCACCTGCCTCCTTGAAGGAAACACGGGGAAGCCAGGACTGGCCGTCACGTTGGTGACAAATATGTCCCAGGTAAGTTGGCAGCTCACCCTCTCCCAGAAGCGTGTTGTCGTTCCCACGAGTCAATGTGCCTCTGCCTGTGGCTGGGAGTCAGGTAAAGCACATGGAGCCAGGCAGGGCCCCCCGCCAGCCGTGCTGCCCTAGGTCTCTGCACCTCTGCTTGGAGAGAGATGCTGCCCTGGGGATTCTCCTGGGACCACCCCCACCCCAGTACTGACTGGTCCTTTCCACACCTCATCCTGGCTGCCAGTGGGCTTCACGTTCTGCTGCAAAGCACACTAAGAAAGGAGCTGAAAGTGTCTTTGGTGGGGTGCAGTGGCTCAAGCCTGTAATTCCAGGACTTTGGGAGGGTGAGACAGGAGAATCATTTGAGGCCAGGAGTTCAAAACCAGCCTGGGCAATGTAGCAAGACCACCGTCTCTATAAATATAAAACAAATTTGCCTGGTGTGGTGGTGCACGGCTGTCGTCCCAGCTACTTAAGAGGCTGAGGTGAGAGAATCGCTTGAGCCCAGGAGGTTGAGGCCACAATGAGGAGTGATCACTCCACTGCATTCCAGCCTGGGTGACAGAGTAAGACTGTCTCTAAAAATAATAATAAAGTAAAATAAAAAGAAAGTGTTTTTGTCTTAAGGAACTCAGGGTCTCACAGGGGACACTAGGCGTTTATGGAGCGGGCAGTGGCAGCATCTCCCGCAACTGTCATGACCTGCAGATGACAAGCAGTGGACTGAGACGTGCCCCACTCCAAATTTTTTTTTTTTTTTTTTTTTTGAGACGGAGTTTCACTCTTGTTGCCCAGGCTGGAGTGCAATGGCATGATCTCGGCTCACTGCAACCTCCGCCTTCCAGGTTCAAGTGATTCTCCTGCCTCAGCATCCCGAGTAGCTGGGATTACAGGCACCTGCCAGCACGCCCGGCTAATTTTTGTATTTTTAGTTGAGATGGGGTTTCTCCATGTTGGCCAGGCTGGTCTCGAACTCCTGACCTTAGGTGATCCGCCCACCTCGGCCTCCCAAAGTGCTGGGATTACAGGCACGAGCCACCATGCCCGGCCAGGGTTTAAGGAGTAGCCACCCCTCTGTGATAGTTTGTTATAACAGCCTGAACAGGCTAATGCATGAGAAAGACACACAGTTGGTCAACTGGTAGAGATTGAAGTCCGGTCGCGTGACTCAGGTACTCTTTTTCCTGAGACAGGGCCACAGGTGATGGTGTGTGCTGGCTGTCCCAGCTACTTGGGAGGCTGAGGTGGGAGGATCGCTTGAGCCCAGCAGTTCGAAGCTGCCGTGAGCTGCATTTGCACCACTGCACTCCAGCCTGGGTGACAGAGCAAGACCCTGTCTCAGAAGAAAGAGCACCTGAGTCATACGACCGGACGTCAGTCTCTACCAATCGACTGTACCTCTTCCTGTTGCATTAGGCTGTTCAGGCTGATGAAACTATCACAGATGGGGTGGCTTAAACAACAGACATTGATTTTCTCACAGTTCTGCAGGCTGGAAGTCCGAGATCAAAATAGCGGCAGAGTTGCTTCCTTCTGGAGGCTCCAAAAAAGAATTTGTTCCATGCTCTTACCTAGCTGCTGGTAGTCACTGGCGTCCTTGGCATTCCCTGGCTTGTGGACCCATCACTCCAGTCTCTGCCTCCCTCACCAAATGACATTCTTCCCTCTGTTTCCCTCCCTCTGTCCACATTTCCCCTTCTTTTTTTTTTTTTTTTTTTAATTTATATTTTGTTTGTTTTTTTGAGACAGGGTCTTGCTCTGTTGCCCAGGCTGGACTGCAGTGGGAGGATCATAGCTTATTGCAACCTCCACCTCCCAGGCTCAGGCAATCCTCCCTCCTCAGCCTCCCGGGTAGCTGAGACTACAGGCACCCGCCCACACTCACGGGTAATTTTTTTATTTTTTGTAGACGGGTTGTCACTGTGTTGCCCAAGCTGGTCTTGAACTCCTGGCCTCAAGCGATCGTCCCACCTCAACCTCCCAAAGTGCTGGGATTACAGGCATACGCCACTGCAGCTGGCCAGATTTCCTCTTCTTATAAGGACACCAGTCACTGGATTAGGGCCCACCCAACCCCCAGTACAACCTCATCTTTTTTTTTTTTTTTTTTTTTTGAGACAGTCTCACTTTGTAGCCCAGGCTGGAGTGCAGTGGTGTGATCTCGGCTCACTGCAACCTCCACCTCCCAGGTTCAAGCAGTTCTCTGCCTCAGCCTCCTGAGTAGCTGGGACTAAAGGCACCCGCCACCACCATGCCCAGCTAATTTTTTGTATTTTTAGTAGAGACGGGGTTTCACCATGCTGGCCAGGCTGGTCTCGAACTCCTGACCTTGTGATCCACCTGCCTCAGCCTCCCAAAGTGCTGGGATTACAGGTGTGAGCCACCGCGCCCGGCCACAACCTCATCTTAATTCATTGACATCTGCAAAGACTCTAGTTCACAAATCAGGTCACCTTTGCAGGTACCAAGGGTTAAGACCTCAACCTACCTTTTTCTGTGGAGAAAGGGGTCACAGTTCAAACTGATAACAGGACACCCCTCCGAGCCAAACTGCATGTGTTATTTTAGGACTCGGTGACCTTCGCAGACGTGGCTGTGAACTTCACCAAAGAGGAGTGGACCCTGCTGGACCCAGCTCAGAGGAATCTCTACAGAGACGTGATGCTGGAAAATTCTAGGAACTTGGCATTCATAGGTAAGGAGGCCCCCTTCCTGCACTTAGTCCGTGATGGGACCAGTGCTGGTTTGGAACCGTGTTCTGGGAAGTGCATTGGAAAATGGGAACTGGGTTAAATTCCAGAGACACAGCTGCTGCCCCCCAGGTAGTAGGTGTAGGGTTCACCATGAAACTGGAAGTCAGTTTGTTGCATTACTTTATTTATTTTATTTTATATTTTATTTTATTTTATTTTATTTTATTTATTTTTTGAGACAGGGTCTCACTCTATCTCCCAGGCTGGAGTGCAGCGGCATCATCTCAGCTCACTGCAACTTCCACCCCCCAGGTTCATGCAATTCTTCTGCCTTAGCCTCCCTAGTAGCTGGGAATACAGGTGCACACCACCACACCTGGCTAATTTTTGTTTGTATTTTTAGTAGAGGCAGATTTCACCACGTTGGCTAGGCTTGTCTTGAACTCCTGACCTCAAGTGATCCTCCCACCTCGGCCTCCGGAAGTGCTGGGATTACAGGCGTGAGCCACCACACCCAGCCTTTATTTTTCTTTTCATTAAGATGGGGTCTCACCCTGTCACCCAGGCTGGAGTGAAGTGGCACCATCTCGGCTCACTGCAACTTCCGCCTCCTGGGCTCAAGCAATTCTCCTGCCTCAGCCTCCTGAGTATCTGGGATTACAGGCATGCTCTACCACCCCCAGCTAATGCATTACATTTTTATTCTCTTCGTGATTGAACAGAATTTGGGGGATCCTTATGTAGGTGAACATGGTGCACAGGAAAAGGGTCGTTTTGAGCCCTTTTGGCAGAGTTTTAGTGCATTGATGAGAAAAGTAGAGGGACCACTGTTGCACTTCTATTCACACATCATCAGCTTCAGAACCCCAGCAAACCAAAGCCTGTGTCCATTTGACAGAAAGTCTCGGCACAGTTCCTTTATACCACATGCTTGCCCAGTGAGCAGGATTTCAACTAGGCAAACCCAGTCTGCCCTCTCATTTGGAGCAAGAAGTGGTCTGAAAACAGTGCAGGGCAGTTTTGTCCAGGCATTTATGCATCTCAGTACCAGGTAGATGTGAACATTACAGGACCAACAGGTTTGTAAGCCAGCAGCATGGTAACAGAGCAACAGGCTCGCCACTGAGACAGCAGGGTTTGCAACAGAGAAAAGAGAAAGTTGCATGATTACATGGTGCCAACCGAGGAGATGGGAGGAGACGCTCAAATTCTTCTCCCTGGGGGGTTCTGGGGTTTTTGTTTTTTTTTTGTTTTTGAGACTGTGTTTCACTCTTGTTGCCCAGGCTGGAGTGCAGTGGCGCGATCTCGGCTCACTGCAACCTCCACCTCCCGGGTTCAAGCAATTCTTCTGCCTCAGCCTCCCGAGTAGCTGGGATTATAGACATGCACCACCATACCTGGCTAATTTTTGTATTTTTAGTAGAGACGGGGTTTCACTGTGTTGGCCAGGCTTGTCTCAAACTCCTGACCTCAAGTGCTCCGCCCACCTCGGCCTCCCAAAGTGTTGGCATTACAGGCATGAGCCACTGCTCTCATTTTTAAGGGGATCATGGAGGATAAGGGACTGGAGAATTGGAGACGTTGATTGGTCAGAGGAAGGGGGATGAAATCATCGGGATGAGGAAAGTACATTCTTTGGTGCGTCAGTTTCTCACGGCATTCCTCAGATCAGTGAGCATAGTCATTTCATCAGAATGCAGGACCTGAAGGAATATCTCAAAGAGAAAACTTAATGTTTTATAATTTTCAAGTTGTTATCTACAGAGCAGCTAAGGAGACCTATAGGCCAGGCACAGTGGCTCACACCTGTAATCCTAGCACTTTGGGAGGCTGAGGCAGGAGGAGGATTACTTGAGGCCAGGAAGTCGAGACCAGCCCAGCCAACATGGCAAAACACTGTTCTTTTTGTCTTTAAAAACAATTTTTTTTTAATTAAAAGGAAAAAAAAAGAAAGAAAAAAACAGGCACTCTGTTGCCCAGGCTGGAGTGCAGTGGCTCAGTCTCAGCTCACTGCAATCTCTGCCTGCCGGATTCAAGTGATTCTCCTGCCTCAGCCCCCTGAGTAGCTGGGATTACAGGCACACGCCACCATGCCCAGCTAATTTTTCTATTTTTAGTAGAGACGGGGCTTCACCACATTGGCCAGGCTGGTCTCAAACGCCTGACCTCTGGTGATCCACCCACTTCAGCCTCTCAAAGTGCTGGGATTACAGGCGTGAGCCACTGTGCCTGTCCAAGCTTATGTTTTTTGACTTTTATCCATCCTCTCATATTTTCATTTTTCCCTGCTAAAGGCCTGTTCCTTTTCTCCTTAAAATTGCACATGGAGCCAGCTACTCGGGAGACTGAGGCAAGAGGATCACTTGATCCCAAGAGCTCAAGGCTGCAGTGTGCTGTGATCACACCTATGAATAGCCAGCCACTGCACTCCAGCACCTGGGCAACCTAGTGACACCCTCATCTCAAAAAAATAAAAATTTCACATGGACTCTCTGTCCAATTCTCTTCCACTTAGAATTCCTGATCGTTTCCTTGATCTCTGCAGAACTGTTCCTCAGTAACATGACACTCTCCATGTTGAACCCCTGACCTTACCGTCATCACATTCCTGACACTGCAGAATCTCTGATGTCTTTCTCTGCTTCCTTCCTCTTGCTTTCTTCCCCTTCACATTTTTATCATACATGTTGAGTGAACATTTAGAAAGAAATCCACACAGAGGCCTGGCGCGTTGGCTCATGCCTGTAATCCCAGCACTTTGGGAGGCTGAGGCAGGTGGATCACATGAGGCCAGGAATTCAAGACCAGCCTGGCCAACATGGTGAAACCCCATCTCAACTGAAAACACAAAAATTAGCCAGGCATGGTGGCACGCACCTGTAATCTCAGCTACTCAGGAAGCTGAGGCCAGAGAATTGCTTGAACCTGGGAGGCGGAGGTTGTAATGAGCCAAGATCATGCCACTGCACTCCAGCCTGGGCCACAGAGTAAGACTCTGTCTAAAGAAAAGAGAGAAAGACAGAGAGAACGAGAGAGAGAGAGAGGAAAGAAGGAAGGAAGGAAGGAGGAAGGAAGGAAGGGAAAGAAAGAGAAAAGAAAGAAAGGAAGGAAGGAAGGAAGAAAGAAAGGATGGAAGGAGCGAGGGAGGGAGGGAAAGAAAGAAAGAAAGAAAGAGAGAAATCCACACGGAGATTGCCTATGTCATCATCTCTAACCCACCTTTACTTTCAACAAAGAATTTAACTTTTGTGCCACTGTATTTCAGATTGGGCAACTCCATGTAAAACCAAAGACGCAACCCCTCAGCCGGATATTCTTCCTAAAAGAACATTTCCTGAAGCCAACAGAGTGTGTCTCACGAGCATCAGTTCCCAGCACTCCACATTAAGAGAAGACTGGAGATGCCCCAAAACAGAGGAACCACACAGGCAGGGGGTGAATAATGTGAAGCCACCTGCAGTTGCCCCTGAGAAAGATGAATCTCCTGTTAGCATTTGTGAAGATCATGAAATGAGGAACCACTCTAAACCTACCTGCAGGCTTGTGCCTTCACAGGGAGATTCCATAAGACAATGTATCCTAACACGTGACTCAAGTATTTTCAAGTATAATCCTGTCTTAAACGATAGTCAAAAAACACATGAAAACAACGAAGACGATGGAGTCTTGGGGTGGAACATTCAGTGGGTTCCGTGTGGGAGAAAAACAGAGCTGAAATCAAGCACATGGACTGGCAGTCAGAACACTGTGCATCATATACGTGATGAAATTGATACGGGGGCCAACAGGCACCAGCGGAATCCATTTGGAAAAGCTTTCCGTGAAGACGGATCCCTTAGGGCACACAACACTCATGGTCGAGAGAAAATGTATGATTTTACTCAGTGCGAGAACACCTCCAGAAATAACTCAATTCACGCCATGCAGATGCAGTTGTATACCGCAGAGACAAACAAGAAGGATTGTCAAACTGGGGCAACCTCTGCCAACGCTCCAAATTCCGGTTCACACAAGAGTCATTGCACTGGAGAGAAAACCCATAAATGCCCCGAATGTGGGAGAGCCTTTTTTTATCAGTCATTCCTTATGAGACATATGAAAATTCACACTGGAGAGAAACCGTATGAATGTGGGAAATGTGGGAAAGCCTTTAGATATTCCTTACACCTTAATAAACATTTAAGAAAGCATGTTGTGCAGAAGAAGCCCTACGAATGTGAAGAATGTGGGAAAGTCATTCGGGAGTCCTCAAAATATACACATATAAGGAGCCACACTGGAGAGAAACCCTATAAATGTAAGACATGTGGAAAAGACTTTGCAAAGTCGTCAGGACTTAAAAAACATCTTAAGACTCACAAAGATGAGAAGCCCTGTGAATGAAAGGAAGGTGGAAAATTTTTCATTAATTTTCTGACTGTACCAAACATGTGAGGAGGACATATTGGAAGGGAGCTCAAGGGGTTAGCATGAGTGAGAACATCTTCCCTGAACTCTCGTATCTTACAGAAATGTGAAAAAAAACCCTGTGAAGGTAAAGTCTACAGAAAGCCTTTCATCTTCATTCATCTTGAGTAGACATTTGTTCTCACCCTGGAGAGAAACTGCGAATCTAAAAGGAATATGACAAAGCCTTCAGCGTGGTCTCAAATTCATGGTTCATACAAGAACTCACACTGCAGAGACTCCTTACGGAAATAAAAAATGTAGGAAAGACCTGCCGGCCGCGGTGGCTCATGCCTGTAATCCCAGCACTTTGGGAGGCCGAGGCGGGCGGATCACGAGGTCAGGAGATCAAGACCATCCTGGCTAACACGGTGATACCCCGTCTCTACTAAAAATACAAAAAAAATTAGCCAGGCGTGGTGGCAGGTGCCTGTAGTCCCAGCTACTTGGGAGGCTGAGGTAGGAGAATGGTGTAAACCTGGGAGGTGGAGCTTGCAGTGAGCCGAGATGGAGCCACTGCACTCCAGCCTGGGGGAAAGAGCGAGACTCCGTCTCAAAAAAAAAAAAAAGTAGGAAAGACCTCTTTAAACACTTACCACTCATGTTGCATGTGAATCCACATCCTGAAGGGAGGCTACAACTGGAATAAAAATAAGAAAGCTTTCAAGGCCTGGTGCAGTGACTCACACCTGTAATCCTAGCACTTTGGGAGTCCAAGGTGGGGGATTGCTTGAGTCCAGGAGTTTGAGACCAGCCTGGGCAACATGGAGAAACCCCATCTCTACAAAAAAAAAAAAAAAAATGCAAAAATTAACCAGGAGTGGTAGCACATGCCTGTAGTCCCAGCTACCTGGGGAGCTGAGGCAGGAGGATCGCTTGAGCCTGGGAGCTTGAGGCAGCAGTGAGCTGTGTTTGCACCACTGCACTCCACCCTGGGTGACAAAGTGACACCCTGTCTCAAAAAAAAAAAGAAAGCTTTCAGGTCCAGCCTTTCACTTAGGCACAATGAGCGCACAGTAGGACTGAAACACTGTAAATGTTCATGATTTTCCAGTTTTTCCTTTCTAAAAAAAAAAATGCTACAAGATGAAGGATATCCCTCTTTGCACACTCCCAGCTCTGCCACATAAATGTTGGTATATAGCAGGTTCATTATAACTCACATACACGTGGTCTCATTTTCAATGTGAAGCCTTCTTTGAGCCTCATTCAATTTAGACTTGGGATTCATATACTCCATGATACCATTTTTGTCTTATTGGTCACTGTTCAACTGCATTATGGTCAGAGTATGTGGTCTTTCTGGTACCAACTTGGGTTACTTGTTATGACTTTGTCAGTCTAATGTGCCCTATTCTGTCAACTTCCCTGCCACCTCCATTCTTCTCATCTTCTTTACTAAGGGCACATAGATTCACTTTCCACAATGAGCACTATTTAATGTCTTATTTTTATTTTTATTTTATTTATGTATGTATTTATTTTGAGACAGAGTCTTGCTCTGTCACCCAGGCTGGAGAGCAGTGGGGCAATCTCGACTTACTGCAACCTCTGCCTCCTGGGCTCAAGTGATTCTCCTGCCTCACCCTCCCGAGTAGCTGGGATTACAGACACCCACCACCACGCCCAGCTAATTTTTCTATTTTTAGTAGAGACGAGATTTCACCACGCTGGCCAGGCTGGTCTCAAACTCCTGACCTCAAGTGACCTGCCTGCCTTGGCCTCCCAAAGTGCTGGGATTACAGGCATAAGCCACTGTGCCCGGCCTCTTTTCAATCTTTTAAAAGTTGGGAAACGGCCGGGCATGTTGGCTCATGCCTGTCACCCCAGCACTTTGGGAGGCCAAGGTGGGCGGATCGCCTGAGGTGAGGAGTTCGAGACCAGCCTGACCAACATGGAGAAACCCCATCTCTACTAAAAATATAAAATTAGCCAGGTGTGGTGGCTCACGCCTGTAATCCCAACTACTCAGGAGGCTGAGGCAGGAGAATTGCTTGCATCTGGGAGGCGGAGGTTGCGGTGAGCCGAGATTGTGCCATTGCACTCCAGCCTGGGCAACAAGAGTGAAACTTATCTCAAAAAAAGTAAAAATAAAAATAATAAAAAATAAAAGTTGGGAAATATGACTACCTGAAAATGCATGAAAATGTACATATACATTTTTTTTTTCGAGATGGAGTTTTGTTCTTGTTGCCCAAGCTGGAGTGCAGTGGCGTGATCTCCGCTTACTGCAACCTCTGCCTCCCAGGTTCAAGTGATTCTCCTGCCTCAGCCTCCTGAGTAGCTGAGATTACAGGCACCTGCCACCACGACATTTCAAAGTTAATAAAGTGATCACCCTTATACCCACCATCCAAGCCCGTAAACAGCTCATCATTAAACACCAGGCAATTCACGTCTGTGCCTCACAGACGACATCTCCAGCCCCAAGAGGAAACCGCCATGGTTCATTTTGTATCATTCGCCCCCCTCGCTCATCTTTATGTTTGCAGCTATGCAGAAATCCCCAAATACCCTGTTTTCTAGTTTCGATGATGTTTATGCTGCGTATGATGGCATGGCATAGAATATTTCTTTGTGCCTTGCTTCTTTCAGGAAAAGAAAAGCTAAGCAGGTAGGGTGCAGGTGGCATTCATTCTTTCTTAGTTATATTCATTCCAGAGACCCTGGATCTGTATCTCACTTTAGAGATTATAAACATGCTGCTAACACCAATTTTGCAAAGCCCTCCCAATGAGCATTTTATGAAAGTCATTCTTGGCCGGGCGTGGTGGCTCACGCCTGTAATCCCAGCACTTTGGGAGGCCGAGGCAGGTGGATCACTTGAGGTCAGGGTTCAAGACCAGCCTGGCCAATGTGGTGAAACCCCGTCTCTACTAAAAATACAAAAATTAGTCAGGCATGGTGGCATGCACCTGTAGTCCCAGCTACTCAGGAGGCTGAGGCAGGAGAATTATTTGAGCCCAAGAGGCGGAGGTTGCAGTGAGCCGAGATCGTGCCACTGCACTCCAGCCTGGGCAACAGACAGAGTGAGACTCTGTCTCAAAAAAAAAAAAAATAGGCCGGGCGCGGTGGCTCATGCCTGTAATCCCAGCACTTTGGGAGGCCGGGGTGGGTGGATCACTTGAGGTCAGGAGTTCGGGACCAGCCTGGCCAACATGGCGAAACCCCATCTCTACTAAAAATACAAAACTTAGCCAGGCATGGTGCAGACATCTGTAATCCCAGCTACTTGGGAGGCTGAGGCAGGAGAATCACTTGAACAAGGGAGGCAGCGGTTGCAGTGAGCTGAGACTGCGCCACTGCACTCCCGTCTGGGCGACGGAGCGAGATTTCGTCTCCAAAAAAAAAGGAAAAGAAAAGAGAAACGCCACTGGTAAGAGCAGAGGTCCTCCTAGGCGCGCATTCTGCATGGCCCCAGCACTGTTAAGTTCAGCTTTCAGTGTTTGGGGAAGACCTGCAGGTCAGGGACCCCCACTGTGGCTGAGGGGGCTCAAGCTTGGCCCTTTCTCCCGGACCCCTGCTGCCTGCGTTTCCCAGCAATCTGCTGCTTTATCCTAGAATCTGGGTGACTCATGGCCCTCCCCATCCTGGAAGGAATGAAGAGGAGGAGGGGAGGCTGCTATGCCAGGACAGTCCCAGACCTTGCCAAGGGGCCTGGGTCCACTCCCACCCCCAGGGAGCGCTGTGCGGAGGAAAAGGACCATGGCTGAAATCAGAATCCCTGGATTCAACCGGGGGTGGAGGGGGCCGGGGCGGGAGGGGGGAAACATCTGTAGCTGAGGGAACACCCCTCCCGCCTCCAGTCGCTGAGGCTGAACTTAGCCGACTTTGGGGATTCCCCACCCTCTACCCCCAACTGGTCCTCAATTCTCACAGATGTAAACTGAGAATTTTCAACAATCGTTTTGGCAAACATACGCCAGGCCCCCTTCTGAGCGCTTTGCACCTATTAACTCATGCAACGCCTGCAACGCTATGAAGTGGCTGCTGTTATCACTACCATTTTACAGTGGGGGGAACTGAGGCACAGCGAGGCCAAGCACGATGCCCAAGATCACACAGCCAGCAGGTGGCCGGGAGGGGCTCGACCCCGTGCTGTCAGGCACCAGAGACTCGGCTCTTCAGCCCCAGGCCAGAGCCTCCCTGCACTGACGGGGTCGCGAATTCGGGCAGGAGGGTTCGTGTGTGTCCTCACCTCTGGGACGCGAGCTCCGGGGACGGGGGACCTCGTCTGGCGTGGGAGGCATTTAGTGAGCGCCGTGGACTGAAGCCGGGACGGTCTTAGGAGAACCACTTCCCTTCTTGGCCGCCTGAAACCCCCTACAGGGTTCTGCTTCTGGAACTGCATTCGAGGTCAGAGTTTCTAGTACGAGTAAAGCGGATCCTCGGGAAGAGACCCGACCAGAAGGAAATCGCCGTCTTGGAAGATCTAAGTCCGGGATGGAACAAAACCCACTCCGGGCGGGGGGAGCGCGCCACCTGGCGGCGGATCCTGCTAAGGCAGCGCCGCCCGGAGACCAGAAACGTTGGATTTGGGCAGTGGGCCGAGGTGGTTGGAATTGGCGAATGGGCAGTTGTCTGAAAATCATTGTGTGAAACTAAGGACTGTCTACCAGTGGCTTCCAAAATTCTGACGCACAGTAAGAAATCATTTTGCGTCAGCATTTTTTTTTTTTTTTTTTTGAGACAAGGTCTTGCTCTGTTGCCCAGGTTGGAATGCAGTGGCACGATCTCGGCTCACTGCAAACTCCACTTCCAGGGTTCAAGCGATTCTCCTGCCTCAGCCTCCTGAGTAGCTGAGATTACAGGCGCCCGTCACCGCGCCTGGCTAATTTTTTATTTTTAGTAGAGATGGGGTTTTACAATGTTAGCCAGGCTGGTCTCGAATTCCTGGCCTCAAGTGATCTGCCCGCCTCGGCCTCCCAAAGTGCTGGGATTGCAGGCATGAGCCACCGTGCCTGGCCGCATCAGCATACTTTTACAAAAGAATACCACCCTCTATAGCCAACAACAATGGATTGTATACTTCAAAATAGCTAGAACATTTTGCATGTTTCACCGCAAAGAAATGGCAAGCATCTGGGATGATGGATTTGCTAATAACCTTGATTTGATCACTGCACAATTTATATATGTATCAAAACATCACGCCGCATCCTATAAATATGTACAATTAAAAACAAAATTTAGGCCGGCTGCAGTGGCTCATGCCTGTAATCCCAGCACTTTGGGAGGCCGAGGTGGGTGGATCACCAGGTCAGGAGTCCCAGACCAGTCTGGCCAAGATGGTGAAACCCCATCTCTACTTAAAAAAAAAAAAAAAAAAAAATTTGCTAGGTATGGTGGCGGGCACCTGTAATCCCAGCTACTAGGGAGGCTGAGGCAAAGAACTACTTTAACCCGGGAGGCAGAGGTTACAGTGAGCCGAGATCGCGCCACTGCACTCCAGCCTGGGTGACAGGGCGAGACTCCGTCTCAAAAAAAAGAAAATTTTAGTTTTAAAAATACCACCCTGTATTACACGGCCCTGTATTACACGATGCTTTATATTCCACTCTATTCCTTTTTTTTTTTTGAGACAGAGTGTCACTCTATCACCCAGGCATGATCTCGGCTCACTGCAACCTCTGTCCCCCAGGTTCAAGCAATCCTCCTGCCTCAGCCTCCCTCAGCCTCCTGAGTAGCTGGGATTACAGGCTCCCGCCATCATGCCCAGCTAATTTTTGCATTTTTAGTAAAGACGGGGTTTCACCATGTTGGCCAGGCTGGTCTCGAACTCCTGTCCTCAGGTGATCCGCCTGCCTCAGCCCCCCAAGGTGCTGTGATTACAGGCATGAGCCACCAGGCCCGGCCTATTCCTATTTTTAAATGCTGGTCAGGTCACCTTAAAATGGTTTCCTGACTCTCTAAGGGTCTGGGATAGGGTTTTCCACTGTTCTAGATTATCCCCATGTTTTTTCACTTGACAGAGATTATGATGAGGAACCGGTTACACCCACGCTACCTCCCAGTGAGCCTTCCCCACCACACAAAGCTGCCTCCAGGATTCGCTGCCAGCTCTGATGTCAGGATGAGTAACAGCTCAGGATGCTGAAGACACTGGCCCAAGACCACACAGCCTGGATGTGGCAGTGCCTGTTTCTGCCTCACTCCTGGAGGAGGAAAATGATTAAATACCCGTAATTTCACTGCTATTGAGTACAATTTAATTCATCCTTCCTCCACTTTGGCTGATAAGATTGAGCTGCACTCACCTGCTGTTCTCTTAGGCTGTAGCATAAGGCATTCCAGAGGTCAAACTTTAAAATGTCTTTTTCACTTTGGGAGGCCAAGGCGGGAGGATCACTGGAGGCCAGGAGTTCGAGACCAGCCTGGCCAACATGGTGAAACCTCCATCTCTACAAAAAATACAAAAATTAGCCGGGCGTGGTGGCACACATCTGTAGTCCCAGCTGCTCAGGAGGCTGAGGCATGAGAATCACTTGAACCTGGGAGGTGGAGGCTGGAGTGAGCCAAGATTGCACCACTGCACTCCAGCCTGGGCAACAGAGCAAGACCCTGTCTCAAAAAAATAAAAAATCAAAAATCTAGGTTGAATTCTCAGGTGTCTCTAAAGTGGCCTTCGATGTATTCTGCGCTGGGTGCTGCAGGGTTGACCATCTAAAAGTGGCGAGCCCAGCCCCAGTCCAGGGGAAGGTAGAGGAAGTGAACCTGCTCATTGTAGGACTAGGACCCTTGAGGTGACAGAGAGCTGTGGTTAGCCTGAGTCCATCGCACTGTGGTGGTCTATGAGGCCGCTTTGCAGGGGCAGCAAATCAGAAGGCTCGGTCTGCTGTGCTTACTCTGCTATCTTTGGAAGGAAAGAGGAGGAAATCGCTCCGAAATGGGAGATAGGGCTGGTGGTCACGACTCAGCTCCACACCAAGATGAGACTTCCTGGGCCCCCAGGGAGGAAGAATAGCAGTTCCACTGCCAGGAGCCACGCCTCAGAGGAGCTGCCTTTCCACCTCCCTCCTGAAATGCCATTTTCAAATTTCTCCTTTACTCTTCCATCCCCAGAACCTAGTACAATATATGGCACATAGTACATGCTCAATAAATATTTATCAAATTAATGAGAAAAGATATGTGGATGTCCCCTCCTGTGCAGCTGTAAGGGGAGAAATAGAGTTCTTTTTTTTTTTTTTTAACTTTCCTACACCAGTTTTATTTAAAACACAAAAATAAGTATTTCTCTTTCTGTAAGGAAAAATGGCTCAAATATTGCTGAACACAGGCCAGACTCAGTGGCTCACGCCTGTATTCCCAGCACTTTGGGAGGTCGAGGTAGGAGCACACTTGAGGTCAGGGGTTCGAGACCAGCCTGGCCAACACGGTGAAACCCCCATCTCAAATACAAAAAAAAAAAATTAGCCAGGCATGGTGGCAGGTGCCTGTAATCCCAGCTACTTGGGAGGCTGAGGCAGGAGAACTGCTTGAACCCAGGAGGCGGAGATTGCAGTGAGCTGAGATTGTGCCACTGCACTCCAGCCTGGGCGACAGAGCGAGACTCCGTCTCAAAAATAAATAAATAAATAAATAAATAGAAAGAAAACACTACACTCCTTTCCATCTTTATCGCTGTCCTGCTAATAGTCACATGTAGTTCTGAGCATTTACTACTTGCCAGGTACTGTTCTGAGGCTTTCTGTGTATCAGTTCATTTTATTCTCACACAAACAAGTATGTACTATTATCAAGCCATTTTATTTATTAATTTATTTATTTTCTGAGATACAGCTTCACTCTTGTCTCCCAGGCTGGAGTGCAGTGTCATGGTCTCGGCTCCCTGCAACCTCCGCCTCCCAGGTTCAAGAGATTCTCCTGCCTCAGCCTCCGGAATAGGTGAGATTATAGGCATGTGCCACCACACCCGACTAATTTTTGTATTTTTAGTAGAGACGGGGTTTCACCATGTTGGCCAGGCTGATCTTGAACTCCTGACCTCAGGTGATCCGCCAACCTTGGCCTCCCAAAGTGCTGGGATTACAGGCGTGAGCCACCACGCCCAGCCACTGTTCTAAGGCTTTGTGTATAAATTCATCTTATTCTCACACAAAAAAGTATGCACTATGATCAAGCCATTTTAAGGGGAGGCTCAGGGTGCTACCTGGATTAGGAAGGTGGATGATAGATTATCTGTTTGGATTTGAACTTTTTTTTTTTTTTGAGACACTCTCACTCTATTAACCAGGCTGGAGTGCAGTACCATGATCTCGGCTCACTGCAACCTCCGCTTCCCAGATTCAAGCAATTCTTGTGCCTCAGCCTCCCGAGTAGTTGGGAAGACAGGTGCACATCACCATGCTCTGCTAATTTTTGTATTTTTAGTCGAGACAGGGTTTCGCATGTTCACCAGGCTGGTCTTGAACTCCTGGGCTCAAGTGATCCACCCACCTCGGCCTCCCAAAGTGCTGGGATTACAGGCGTGAGCCACCACGCCCAGCCTGAATTTTTAGAAGTTTTTATATAGCTTTGATACCAATGGATTAAATTTTGACAGGGCATTTGGCATGACTCAACTACAGGAAAGAGTTATCAAGGTGTTCTAAGCCCTCTCACTCCTACACCCACCCCCGCTGCAGGAAAGGGCCAAAGTCAGCTTTTTCTCTGTGACCCTGTGGCTGGAGTTAGGGCTGTCCATAAATAATCCTTCCTTTCTCTCCTTCCAGGCACATGAAAAGACTGCGCTTCCCGGCGACCCTTTGAAGTTCGGCGTAACCTGCTGACCCGCTCTGGCTGAGTGTGAGCTAAGAGGACAGGTGTCATATCAGGTCCAAGCCTCGAGAGTCACTGCCTGCTGTGCCATCCTCTCTTCTTCCCGTGCCAAAGGACTGGCAGCACTCCAGTGATGGCTGTGCCATGGGCCCGGGGTACACGAGTGATATGGAGCGGAGCGCTCAGCTGGCCCACAAAGGAGAGAAAACTCTGCTGCCTGAGGACCACAGAGAATCTGCAGCTGTGACTGCAGCACAGCCCAGCCTGCCCTGACCAACATAGCTCCAAGAGAGCCAGACACGTGGATCTCAGAGAAATGGATGAATAGGCTGGGTGCGGTGGCTCACGCCTGTAATCCCAGCATTTTGGGAGGCTGAGGTGGGCAGATCACCTGAGGTCAGGAGTTCAAGACCAGCCTGGCCAACATGGTGAAACCCCATCTCGACTAAAAATACAAAAATTAGCCGGGCGTGGTAGTGGGCACCTGTAATCCCAGCTACTCGGGAGGCTGAGGCAGGAGAATCACTTGAACCCAGGAGGCGGAGGTTGCAGTGAGCCGAGAACGTGACACTGTACTCCAGCCTGGGCAACAAGAGGGAAACTTCATCTCAATAAATAAATAAATAAATAAATAAATAAATAAGAACGCTGAATGAGTGAGTGAATGAATGAATGAATGAATGAATGGCAGGGAATCGGGACAGGGTCACAGATTACCCCCAGGCTGGAGGTAGAGGAAGCAGCCATGGCTGAAGCCAGCTCTCCACACATATACTTTATTTCCACAGTCCCATTTTCCCATGCTGAACCTGGCGTCTTCGCCCTGACTTTTCCCACACCTGTCAGCACTGGGGGGCTCTTGGGGAGTAAGGAGCTACAGAGACAGGGACACAGGATGCGTGGAGAGCCTGGGAGATGGAGATGAGGAGAGAGAGCCGGAAACAGGAGGTGGGGGATCCACAGGGGGCCAGGGCTCAGCAGACAGGGAAGGGGCAGATATGGAGACAAGACGGACAGACACTGACCAGGAAGCCCAGAGAACAGGAGATCAGGAGTCAGAGGGAAAAGCAGTGTCAGGAGCAGAGAGAAAGGAACCGGGAGACACAGGTGAGGCGGTGATGAAGGGCAGATGAAAACAGTTGAAGGGGCAAAAAGACAGAGGCCTGCCACTGGGAGAAAAAGACAGAGACCCACAAGGCAAACAGGGGAAGTAGAGACACAAAAAAAGACCCCACAGAGAGCCAGGGCAGGGTGGGGGCTGCGTGCCCCTCGTGTTAGCCCCGGGAGTCTTTGCTGGTGGAGGAGCCCGGGCCAGTGCTGGAGGCAGGGCCGGTGCTGGAGACGTGGTCTCTGCTGGACCCGAGGCCTCCGCTCGAATCAGACGCTGTGCCTCCGCTCTCCACACCACCCTCTGTGTTTTCTCCGCCCCTGCTGGACCCCACGTATCCAGTGGAGCCCAGGTAGCTGCTGGCGCTGACGGGTCTGAAGGTCACGTGGCCCCCACTCGAGGCACTGGTGGAGCCGAAGGTCACGTGGCCAGTGTTGGGGTCACCGTGCGTGATGTGGCTGGGCAAATGCCCAGTGCTGGAGCTGAGGCCGCCAAAAGTGACGTGGCCAAGAGAGCCACGGTCTCTGCTAGTCTTGTGGCTCAAAATGGACCCGGGGATGGCATGGGGGTGCCTGGTGGGCACCAGGACGGTACTGGAGCCGGCCCTCTGGGTGCTGGCCAGGTCCACGCTCAGGGTGCCGTCCAGCTTCGCGGCGGCGGCGGCCAGGTCCTTCTGGCGCTGCGCCTCCGCCTGCTCCTGGAGCTCCACCTGCAGGGAAGGTGAACTGGGCCCCGACACACACTGAGGCCTGGCCCCACCCCCGCAGGCCCCACTCTCACCAGCTTCTCCACTTGGCTCAGCAGCTCCTCCCTGCTCATGGGGTAGTCATCGCTGGCCTCAAAACCCGGGGGGTCTTCTCTGGGGAGGGGAAGGAAAATTGGAAAAGACTAGACCTCAGCCCTCAAAAAGGCCAGCGGCCCTTCCTGCTAAACCCCGGGAGCCTCAGCCATTCTCCCACCAGCCCCGAGTGCCCTTCCCTTCTGGGGCACCCGGGGCCCCATCCTCCCACACAGGTGCCAAGCCCCTACTCCTTCTGGCTGCCTCGAAGCACATACTTCATATTCTAACCCCCCAGGGCCACATCCGCCAGCCAGTCCCCAAAAGCCCCCCAAAACTCTCTATCCTGTGTGTTCCCTCTGCCCCCATGGAAGCCCCGTCCCCTCTGCGTCCCTCCTGCCCTGCGCCTCACAGAGTGTCAGGGGGCTGAAGTGGGGCCATCTTCTTCGGAAGGTCCTCCAGGCTCTGGCCCAGCACTAGGAGGGCAGCGTCGGCCAGGGAGGTGAAGCTCTGGAGAGTGTGGGAGCCTGCGGTCAGCTGGGCCACCCCCGAGACCGGCCTCCTGTCCCGGCTCCCTGCCGTCTCCCACCTGGGCATGTAGGAAGGCCTGCACTGTCAGGAGCTCCACCAGCCGCTTCTCAATGAGGCTCAGGAAGAGGCCCATGTCCCGGTCTCCCATGCTGGTCTTGACCCCAAGGAGGTCATCGATCATGCTGCTGTCGCAATGGGCCTTGGTGAAGAGGAGCTGGATATCTGCGTCATGGAGGGCCGGTTGTCAGGGATCTGGCACCGCCAGCTGGGTGCCAGCCCTCTCCCCACTCAGGTCCTCACTGCCCCATTCTACAGAGACTGCGGTCAAGGCTCAGAGACCAAAAGGGAGTCACCCGAGCTCAGCCAGCCAGGCAGGGGGACGGCACTGCTGTGCATCCCTCTCTCCCTGACTTGTCCTTCAAAGTCAGCCTCAAGTGTCACTGCCTCCAGGAAGCCTTCCCAGTGACCCCAGCAGAGCCAGCCTCATGAGTGTGAGATCCAGGCAGTGGTGAGGGGCCTGCACTTGGCTTGACACGCTGCTGCTCTTCCTATCTTGAAAATCTCAGCAATTTTTTAACAAGGGGCCCCTCATTCTGCACTGGGCCCCACAAATTATGGTCTTGCACCCCAGACTGAGTTAGGGCCTTCTCTCGCCCCCAGTGCCTGGGCGTCCTCTGTCCTAGCCCCTGAGTGATGAGTGCCCAGTGCGCAGGTCAGTCCCCTCCAGGGCCTCTCCCCACTGTGCCCACATCACCTAGCACAGGGCTCGGATCAGCCATCACGACAGCAGGAAGGAGGACCTGCCCATATCTGAGCTCCTACGGTATGCCCCGAGGAGGCTCTCCAGCTCGCTCCCCACCACCCCCCACCTTTCTCTCCATCCGTCATCCCTTCTAATTCTCATGACAACCCTGCAAAGTAGGCACTGCCATCCCCATTCCCAGAGCGGAAGGAGGAAGCCACACACCAAGGTTCACAATTGGTGGAGCTGAGATTCAAACCCAGGACAGGCTGGGTGCAGTGGCTCACGCCTGTAATCCAGCACTTTGGGAAGCCAAGGCAGGCAGATCATTTGAGGTCAGGAGTTTGAGACCAGCCTGGCCACCATGGTGAAACCCTGTCTCTACTAAAAATACAAAAAAACTAGCCGGGCATGGTAGTGCAGGCCTGTAATCCCAGTTACTGGAGAGGCTGAGGCAGGAGAATTGCTTGAACCCGGGAGATGGACGTTGCAGTAAGCCCAGATCACACCACTGCTCTCCAGCCTGGCTGACAGCGTGAGATTCCATCTCAAAAAAACAAATAAAAGCTAACAATAAATGTTTTAAAAAAGAGAAAAGAAACAGGACAGCCTGACTCCTGAGTGCTCTGCATGGCTACTTCCTGAAAAATAAGAAAGATGAGGCCCGGCGCAGTGGCTCACACCTGTAATCCCAGCACTTTGGGAAGCCAAGGCGGGTGGATCACCTCAAGTCAGGAGTTTGAGACCAGCCTGACCAACATGGCAAAACCCCCCTCCACTAAAAATACAAAAATTAGCTGGGTGTGGTGGTGTGTGCCTGTAATCCCAGCTACTGGGAGGCTGAGGCAGGAGAATCGCTTGAACCAGGAGGGGGAGATTGCAGTGAGCCGAGATCGTGCCACTGCACTCCAACCTGGGGAACAGAGCGAGACTTTCTCAAATTTTAAAAAATAATAATAATAATAGAAAAAAAGGATGCACAGGTGGATGCAACATACCCACAGAAGGGATTAAAAAAAAAAAAAAGAAACTCAGCCAGGAGTGGTGGCTCATGCCTATAATCCCAGCACTTTGGGAGTCCAAGACAGGAGGATCACTTGAGTCCAGGAGTTCAAGACTAGCCTGGACAACATAGTAAAATCCTATCTCTAAAAAAAAAAAGGGCCGGGCACAGTGGCTCATGCATATGTAATCCCAGCACTTTGGGATACTGAGGCGGGCAGATCACCTGAGGTCAGGAGTTTGAGACCAGCCTGCCAACATGGCGAAACCCCGTCTCTACTAAAAATACCAAAATTAGTTGGGCGTGGTGGCGGGCACCTGTAATCCCAGCAACTCAGGAGGCTGAGGCAGAACTGCTTGAACCTGGGTGGCAGAGGTTGCAGTGAGCCGAGATTGTGCCACTGCACTCCAGCCTGGGCAAAAGAGCGAAATTCCTCTCAAAAAATAAATAAATGAAAAAAATCTAAAAAAATTTTTAAAAAGGAAACTCTAGACCCCTACCTCATACCATAATGCAAATCAATTTGTCATAAGTCACAGACTTCAATGTGGGAGTTCAAACAATGAAACTTCTAGGAGAAAACACAGCATAATGCCTTTGTAACCTCAGGACAGGCAAAAATTTCTTAGGCAGGCCACAAAGTCATTAACTACAAAAAGAAAATTTCATAAATTAGATATCCTCAAAACTAAGAAACTTCAGTTCATCACCAAAAAAAATGAAAAGGCAAGCTACAGTATAAGAGAAAATATTTACCAAAAGTCTAGTATCTAGAATATACAAAGAACTCCTTCAACTCAGTTATAGCAAGACAAACCCAATTTTTAAAAAAACAAGTGCACAAGATTGAACAGGAACTTTACAAAAACATCTGAATGGCCAATACGATGCTCAATATTATTAGTCACCAGGGAAATGCCAATTAAATTAATAGAGAGAGTACGGCACACACGTTAGATGGCTAATATTAAAATGGCTGACGGCCAGGCACGGGGGCTCACGCCTGTAATCCCAGCACTTTGGGAGGCCGAGGCGGGCAGATCACGAGGTCAAGAGATCGAGACCATCCTAGCCAACGTGATGAAACCCCGACTCTACTAAAAATACAAAAATTAGCTGGGCGTGGTGGCGCACACCTGTAGTCCCAGCTACTGGAGAGGCTGAGGCAGGAGAATCGCTTGAACCCAGGAAGCGGAGGTTGCAGTGAGCCGAGATCATGCCATTGCACTCCAGCCTGGTGACAGAGCAAGACTGCATCTCAAAAACAAAACAAGATAAAAAATGGCTGACACTAGGAAGTGGTGGAAAAGGTGTGGATCATCGGGGACTCCCATATGCTCGCATAGGTGAGAGCATAAAATCTTGCGACCAGTGTGGAAAACTGTTCGGCATTTTCTAATAAATATCAACATATACCTACCCTAAGACCCATCGGTCCCACTGCTAGGCATTTATAGACAGAGATGTACATGGATGATCCATGGATGAATACTGGGTAGATGGATGGATGGGTGGATGATGGATATGGGACAGTTGGAGGGACAGCATCTGTTTTTTAGTGTTTTGTGAAACAAGTGGAATAATGCATAAGTGCCTTGCACAGTGAATGACACATAATAAACATTGCTATTATATTTTATCATCATTTTCTTTACAAATAATAACATTTTTGGTAACTAAGACTAAGAAGAAATTTGGTAACTAAGACTAAGAAGAAATTTGGTAACTAAGACTAAGACTAGGAAGACAAAAGTCAAATGTCATTGCAGATAGATGGATGAACAGATGGATGTGGGGCTGTTGGAGGCAGATGGACAGATAGACAATGGATGGATTGATGGACATGGGACAGATGGAGGGATAGACCCTGGATGGATGGATGGACATGGGACAGTTGGAGGGATAGACCCTGCATGGATGGATGGACATGGGACAGTTGGAGGAATAGATCCTGGATGGATGGATGGATGGATGGATGGATGGATGGATGGATGGATGGATATACGGACAGATGGATATAGGACAGATGAAGGGGTAGATCCTGGATGGATAGATATGGGACAGATGAAGGAATAGACCCTGGATAGATAGATGGATATGGGACAGATGGAGGTATAGAACCTGGATGGAGAGATAGATATAGGACAGATGAAGGAATAGATCCTGGATGAATGATGGATACAGGACAGTTGGAGGAATAGACCCTGGATGGATGGATGGATGGGTGGATGAATGGATGGATGGATGGATGAATGGATGGATGGATATAGGACAGATGGAGGGGTAGGTCCTGGATGGGTAGATAGATATAGAACAGATGAAGGAACAGACCCTGGATAGATAGATGGATATGGGACAGAATGGAGGGATAGACCCTGGATGGAGAGATAGATATAGGACAGATGAAGGAATAGATCCTGAATGGATGATGGATATAGGACAGTTGAAGGGATAGACTCTGAATGGATGGATGGATATAGGATAATTGGAGAGACAGACGTTGAATGGATGGATGGATGGATGGATGGATGGATGGATGGATGGATGGATATGGGACAGTTGGAGGGATCAACCCTAGATGGATGGATGGATGCATTGATAGATGGATGGATGGATGGGTGTAGGACAGTTGGAGGGACAGATGATGGATGGATAGATGGACATGGGACAGTTGGAGGGATAGACCCTGGTTGGAAAGATGGACAGATATGGGGCAACTGATAAGCAAGTGAACCAGGTTGTCCATGCAATGCCTCCAAGCCCCGCGGGCTGATGGTGTCCTTCCAAGTGGAGAAGCCAGGCTCGGGAGGGGGCGCCCATGGGTGCTCACCAGCCTTGAGCTTCTCCAGCTGTCCCCGCACATCCTGGAAGCGGGCCTCAAGGCGCTCAGCCTCCGAGTGCACCTTGTCCATGCGCTGCTGCAACACCTTCTGCTGCTGCTCCTGCAGCAAATGCTGGTCATCCTTGCTGGCACGTGCGCTCACCAAAGCCTCCTGCATCTGTGGGGACAGGGCTGAATGCTGGGCCAGATGGCAGCCTCGGGAGTTGGGGGTGTGGAGCTAGGAAGAAGCAGGAGGCAGGCTGAGGGAGGGAAGGGGGCGGGGAGGCCGGGAGGAGAGGAGGAGATGGAGAGGGCAGGCCTCACTCACCTCCTTGATCTCTTCCTGCACATGCTCCAGCTCCAAGTTCTGCTCGTTGATGAAGTTGAACTCAGCAAAGTTGCGCTCCTCGACTGGGAGAGTTGGGCAAGGCGGGGCCCAGAGAGAGGGAGACAGAGAAACAGAGACAGAGAGAACAGAGACAGAGAGGCATACAGAAGGCCAAAGAAAGTGAAGATGAGGAAGGCCACACAGAAACCAAGGCAGAGAGACGAACAGAGAGGAGTCACAGAGACAAAGAGGTGTGGGAAGATACGGCAGGTGGGACACAGAAATACACAGCAAGGCAGAGAGGGAAAGCCAGAGACTCGGCAATAGCAAGGGAGATGGGGAGATGCAGGCGGGGAGAACGGTAGATATGGGTAAGGAGAGAAACAGAGAGGGACAGGGTTGAGGGAAGGATGTGGAGAGTGACCCCAGGCCCAGGAGTTAGGAGGGGGTGGGGAGGGGCAGAGACAGGGCCACGGTAAGACGCCAGTGGACGCGGGCGGCGGGTCCCAGGCATGACGCCTTGTTCCTCCAGCACAGATGGAGGAGTTCCCCAGGGCCAGAGCTGAGGCCAGCCTGCACTGGACTCAGGGGGTGCCGGGGTCCCGGGCCTCCTCCCTCCACCCAGGGCCCCACTCACTCTCCAGATACTTCTGCACCAACAGGTCAGGGTCACTCTCCCCCATCAGCTGGGACAGTTTATTCAGGGCGTCCTCGTAGCAAAGCACCAGCCTCTCCTGGGAGGTCTTCCAGACGCCCTCGGCCACCTCCCCGGCTAGGGGAAGAGAGAACAGCAGGTCGGCCTCCTGGGTGGCCTCCAACACAGAGACCTCCTGGGTGAGGGGGAGCGAAGTGTGGTCCCACCTGGGGCACGAAGGTGTGCTGCAGGTGCCCCAGGGGCGGCCAGGCCCTTGAGATGCAAAGGCAGCAGCCCCAGCCTCACCCTGCTTTTCACGCTTCTCCAGGACATCGGGATCCGGCTGCCGGTCGTTGTTCTTGAGCTTGAGGAAGTGGTGCAGCTGCTCCAGGTGCAAGATCTGCCGCTGCAGGACCTGCGCCTCCATCTCGCTCTGGGCCTCCTCTTTCTCCGCGCGCTCCCGCAGCAAGCCCATCTTGGCCTTCGCCTCCTCCCTGCGGGGGTCAGCCGGGGTCAGGATGACTGGAGGCTGGACTGGGGTCGGCCTGGGGTCCTGGGGATGGGCGGGGTCAGCCAGAGGTTGTGGGGGGTGAGGTGGAGTCAGCTGGTGTCCCAGATGGGCAGGGCCAGCCTGGGGTCACAGGAATGGGGCTGAATCAGGTTGCAGTTATCCTGTGGTCACAAAAAGCAGAGAACTGGCTGGGCACGGTGGCTCAGGCTGTAATCCCAGCACTTTGGGAGGCAGGAGGATCACCTGCAGTCAGGAGTTTGAAACCAGCCTGGCCAACATGGTGAAACTCCATCTCTACTAAAAATACAAAAATTAGCCAGACCTGGTGGTGCATGCCTGTAATCCCAACTACTTGGGAGGCTGAGGCAAGAGAATCGCTTGAACCTGGGAGGTGAAGATTGCAGTGAGCTGAGATCGCACCACTGCACTCCAGCCTGGGTGGCAAGAGCGAAACTGTCTCAAAAAAAAAAAAAAGACAGAAGCAAGAACTTCAAAAGAGTGCGACATCATATTAGAAACACAACACAAAACTCTCGGTGTGCTGCTGGCTCACGTTCTTTCAGCAGCCTGCTCTCCTCATCCTTCAGAGTGTACTGTCTCTCTCTAGGTAAACTCTCTGTTCTCTATTTGCCTTCAGTAAATTCTCTTTGTTGGCTAAATCAGTCTCTTGGCAGAATTCTTTCTCCCAAGTAAGACTAAAAAGCGAGGATTCCTGTACTTCCCGGTGGCAGGTAGTTTTCCTTTTGGAGTGATGGAAATATTTCAGATCTAGACAGAAGTGGTGCGGTTGCACGGCCCCGTGAATGTACTAAATGCTGCTACATTCTACGCTTTAAAATGGTGAATTTTGCCACGTTTGTTTTAACAGAGAGAGAGAAAGAGAGAAATCACAGAGACCCTAAGGCCGACCCAGGCCACAGCTGATGTCGATCAGGGACCATGAGAAAACAGAAGCCAGAGAAGAACTTAGTAGAAGGTAAGAAAGCATTTGGAGCAAAAGAAGAGGGCGAAGCTGAGAAAGAGACAGGGATGGAGTGAGAGAGAGAGCATGGAGCTCATGAGAGCCCCAGAGAGGGAGAGAGAAGCCAACACCTAAAGCAGCTTCAGCTCCTCAACTCCTTACAGTGTGCCTCTATCTGAAGGTGGCCCGAGAGGATCTCTGTCCCTTGCAACCAATGCTGACGAATAACAAATTCGCCAGATGCTTCCAGGAACCCTGCTGCACTATATATGTGCTAGATGCGCTTTTTTTTTTTTTTTCTCCTGAGACGGAGTCTCACTCTGTTGCCCAGGCTGGAATGCAGTGGTGCAATCTCGGCTCACTGCAACCTCCGCCCCCAGGGCTCAAGCAATCCTCCCACCTCAGCCTCCCAAGTAGCTGGGACCACAGACACCCGCCACCATGCCCAGCTAAGTTTTTATATTTTTGGTAGAGATGGGATTTCACCATGTTGGCCAGGCTGGTCTCGAACTCCTGAGCTCAAGCAATCTGCCTGCCTTGGCCTCCCAAAGTGTTGGGATTACAGGCGTGAGCCACCTCGCCCAGCCAGTAGATACATTCTTATGTGCTAGATGGGGTCAGTAGAGGTTAATTTACATGCCCAAGAAAAAGAACAGGGCCGGTGGGGTGCAATGGCTCATGCCTGTAATCCCAGCACTTTGGGAGGCAGAGGCGGGTAGATCATGAGCTCAGGAGTTCAAGACCAGCCTGGTCAAGATGGTGAAACCCCATCTCTACTAAAAATACAAAAATTAGCCAGCCACGGTGCCGGGCACCTGTAATCCCAGCTACTCGGGAGGCTGAGGCAGGAGAATTGTTTGAACCTGGGAGGTAGAGGTTGCAGTGAGCCAAGATAGCGCAACTGCACTGTAGCCTGGGCGACAGAGCCAGACTCTGTCTCAAAAAAAAAGACAGAACAGGACCTTGCCAGTGGAGGTGGGGAACTGGTGGCGGGGAGAGAGAAAAAGGGGATATTATGGGAGAAAAAATAGGTTCTGACGTGTTTCATGAGTCCTGAACCTTCCCATCACTGCCTTATGGAAAGGTGCGTCCTGAGTCATCTGGGTCCCGCCATCCCAGGATACCCGCAGTCTCTACCTGACGGCGTAGGCAGAGGTGGAGGAGAGGATAAGGGTGCTGACCAGGTGATGCAGGTGGTGGATCTCCTGTGGGGGGAGGAGAAAAAAATCAGTGCCACTTCTTACAACCCCATTGCTCGAAGTCTTTCCTTTTGGCCCCGTGCTTCTCCAATAAGGAGTAAAGCTCTTGAGCCTTCCAAATGTGGACCCTCCTCATTAGCGACTGCCCATGAAAGGGATTTTAAAGAGGTGTGAAGTCAAATTGATAAGCTGGATCAAAAGGCTCTTTCTGTAGATAAGCAGAAACTAAGAAAATATTTAGTAACCTACGGGGACTGGGTGGAAATGAGGTGGAGGAGATGGAGAGGAAATGACGTTTCCCTAGGAGACCTTTTGGAATAGTTTGATTTGAGAACCTTGTTAATGTTTTACATATTCATAAAGGAAATTAAATCAATAAAGAGAGGAGAGAAAACTAAAACTGAATGCAAATGGAAGCAAGTGAACTTTATTTAAAAATAATAATAGGGCCAGGTGCGGTGGCTCAGGCCCATAATCCCAGCAGTTTGGGAGGACGAGGCGGGCAGATCACCTGAGCTTGGGAGTTCGAGACCAGCCTGGCCAACATAGAGAAACTCCATCTCTATTAAAAATACAAAATTAGGGCCAGGCGCGGTGGCTCACGACTGTAATCCCAGCACTTTGGGAGGCCAAGACGGGAGGATCACCTGAGGTCGGGAGTTTGAGACCAGCCTGACCAACATGGAGAAACCCTGTCTCTACTAAAAATACAAAAAATTAACCAGGCGTGGTGGTGCATGCCTGTAATCCCAGCTACTTGGGACAATGAGGCAGAAGAATAGCTTGAATCCGGGAGGCGGAGGTTGTGGTGAGCCGAGATCGTGCCATTGCACCCTAGCCTGGGCAACAAGAGTGAGACTCCATCTCAAAAGAAAAAAAAAAAGAAAGAAAGAAAGAAAGAAAGATGAAATGAGGAATGCTCAGGAAAAAGCTGGTGATATTGGAATGGAATCAGAGGTATCAATGTGAACTCACTATTGTAAAATATGTCAGCCAGGCGCAGTGGCTCATGCCTGTAATCCCAATACTTTGTGAGGCCAAGGCAGGAGAATCACCTGAGCCCAAGAGTTTGAGAGCAGCCTGGACAACATAGTAAGACCCCATCTCTACAAAACATAAATAGAATTTTAAAACATATAAAATATGTGTGCTTCCTAGCTCTCTCCAGAGGAAGGGCCTCAAAGCAATGACACCCAAGTAGCAACAGAGTCTCTTAGTGCCAGGCTGGTGGTTCACGCCTGTAATCCCAGCACTGTGGGAGGCCGAGGTGGGCGGATCACGAGGTCAGGAGATCGAGACCATCCTGGCTAACACGGCAAAACCCCGTCTCTACTAAAAATACAAAAAATTAGCCGGGCGTGGTGGCAGGTGCCTGTAGTCCCAGCTACTCGGGAGGCTGAGGCAGGAGAACGGCGTGAACCTGGGAGGCGGAGCTTGCAGTGAGCCGAGATCATGCCACTGCACTCCAGCACTTTAGCCTGGGTGACAAAGCGAGACTCCGTCTCAAAAAAAAAAAAAAAAAGAAAACGGTCTCTTAGTGCCTCAACACCTACTCTTCCCTAGAAAGAACCGGGACTCCTCAGAAAAATGGCCAACCCCAGGGATGGGGCAGAACAAGGTCCAGATTACCCAGACTATCTTCGTGTGCCAGAAAGTGAGGAAGTACTCCCAAAAAGTGATGGGGTATGTCCAAAGGCCACAGAAGCCAGCTTGAAGGGGCTCCCACTAACCAAATCTGGGGCAATTTGAATATTAAAATGAATGGCAGTTACGGATCATCATCTATAAAGTCAGAATACACTAATGCTCACTGACAACACTCAAATATACAGGGGGAGAAAGAGAAGTGTTTCCTTTTTGCTTTTTTTTTTTTTGAGACAGAGTTTCACTCTTGTTGCCCAGGCTGGAGTGCAATGGCACAATCTTGGCTCACTGCAGCCTCCAGCTCCCTGGTTCAAGTGATTCTCCTGCCTCAGCCTCCCAAGTAGCTGGGATTACAGGCGTGCACCACCACACCTGGCTAATTTTTTGTATTTTTAGTAGAAACGGGGTTTCACCATGTTAGCCAGGCTGGTCTCGAACTCCTGACCTCAGGTGATCCGCCTGCCTCAGCCTCCCAAAGTGCTGGAATTACAGGCATGAGCCACCACACCCAGCCGAGAAGTGTTTCCTTAAGGAAAATGCGATCTTATAAATGTGGGAGAAATGACAGAGTCTTTTAAATTACCCTGTTGCAGCCATTACAGTAATAACCATTCAGGGAAGAATCATTCATGGATGATAAAATTGATGGCAGTAGCTGCTGGCTGTGGCTGCACACTCCATGGAGCCGGTAGGAGCCCTGACCCTTCTGAGTTGGGATGGGAGCTCCCCGTGTGCAGCTGCAGCCACCAGAACCACAGCTGCAGACCCAGGCCTTCTGCTCCACAGAGCAGGCAGGATCCCCGCCCTCCTGGGCGGGACTACAGCTGCCCAAACTGCTGCTGTGGATCTGAGCCTCTCTGTGCTCTTGCAGGGAGCCAGGAGCAGGCAGGATCTGCCCTCCCGGGTGCAGCTGCAGCTGCCCAACCCGCAGCTACAGACCCGGGCCTCCCACTCCAGGGAGCAGGCAGCAGCCGGGGACAAGCGAGGGTCCTGCCCCTTCCGAGTTGGTGGGGTGGGAGCTCCCAGAGTGCAGCTGCAGCCACCCTCCCAACCACAGGACCTAGGCATCTCTGAAGTTCTCTGCAGCCTGTACCCTGAACGGCCCAGGAAAGCACCACCGCACCCCCCTCCCCACCCCGATCCCTGCAGGCTCGAGCGTGTCTGCTCCTGCTGCTTGGCCTCTCTCCTCTCTCACACCCACTCTGATCTCAGAGAGGGGTTGGGGTCCAGCCCAGTGCCATGAATGGCAGCAGGAGGCAGGCAGATTCCTGGGCAGAAGAGGGCAAGTACCCGGTAAGGTCCCTCCTTCAAGCCAGGGAGGGCCTGAAGGCTGGGGGCCAGGTTGCCAGTACTGCAAAATGAGTGGGGACTTGCAACGTCTCCTCCAGGCCTGCCCATGGCCACCCATGGAGCTACCCTCTCTGCTGAGAGCTTCAGAGGCCTGCAGAGACATCTGAACAATCTGCCTGCGGAGAGGAACCACCCTCTCCAGGGCCTCCTCACTGCTGATAGCTGAACACTGGACGAGACGACCTGCCTGCAGAGGAGCTGCCCCCTGCAGGTCTCCTCTGAGCTGTCCTAACACTCGGTAAAGCTCCTCTTCATCTTGCTCACGCTCCACTTGTCTGCCTACCTCCTTCTTCCTGGACACAGTACAAGAACTCGGGCAAAGGCACCACTGGCCAAGGAGGTTTCCAGCCAGAAAAGTGACGCCGTAAATATCCCGTAACAAAATGATTGAGTGAAGGTGTGTCAGGGGACAAGATATTTACACAGTCTCAGAGAATCTCCCCACAGACCACTTATTCACTACAAAAAGGAAAACTCTTCCTGGCTAGCCAAGTGATCAAAGACAACATCACTAGTCATGGGACAAGTTGACATCAGGTGCCTCCTGAGATCTTGCACAGGAAGGACACACTATCACTGCTGTGACATTCCCCCCAAAGTGCAGATGCCAAGTCTAATCATGAAGAAAGATCAGATAAACCGGCCGGGCGTGGTGGCTCATGCCTGTAATCCCAGAACTTTGGGAGGCTGAGGCGGGTGGAACACCTTAGGTCAGGAGTTTGAGATCAGCCTGACCAACATGGAGAAACCCTGTCTCTACTAAAAATACAAAATTAGCCGGGCATGGTGGTGCATGCCTGTAATCCCAGCTACTCAGGAGGCTGAGGCAGGAGAATCACTTGAACCCGGGAGGTGGAGGTTGCAGCGAGCCAAGATCACGCCATTACACTCCAGCCTGGGCAACAAGAGTGAAACTTAGTATCAAAAAAGAAAAAAAAGACCAGATAAACCCATGTCAGGGGACATCGCACAACACAAACGGCCTGGATGCTTCCAAAATGTCAACGTCATGGAGAAAAAAAAGCCCAAGGGACTGACCCAGATGAACAGAGCCAGAACAACCAAATGCAACGTGAGATTCTGGACCGGAGCCTAGAGTAGGAAAATCAAGTTCACTGTAAAGGACATCACTGGGACAATCAGTGACCTTGACATATGGACGGTTTAGAATTCTAACAATGTTAACCTCCCTGACTTGGATAACAGCACTGTGTTTATGTAAGGAAATGGCGTTGTTCTTAGGAAATGCTCTCTCAAGTACTTAGGAGCATAATGTCTACAACATATTGTCAAACAGTTCAGCATTCAGGATAATAAATTATTCTCAGCAAAACAATAATTACACACACCAATAGTAAGAGTGGGGGAGAAAGAGAAAATAAATGTGGCAAATTATCAAACTGGGTGAAAGATATATAGGAGTTCTTTGTATAATTCTTGCACCTTTTTCTGTAATTTGAAATTATTTCCAAATGAAAGTCAAGACCGGACGCAGTGGCTCACGCCTCTAATCCCAGCACTTTGGGAGGCCGAGGCAGGCGAATTGCCTGAGCTCAGGAATTCAAGACTAGCCTGGGCAACATGGTGAAACCCTGTCCCTACTTAAAAAAAAAAAAATCGGCCGGGTGTGGTGGCTCACGCCTGTAATCCCAGCACTTTGGGAGGCCGAGGAAGGCGGATCACGAGGTCAGGAGATCGAGACCATCCTGGCTAACACAGTGAAACCCCATCTCTACTAAAAATACAAAAAATTAGCTGGGCGTGGTGGCAGGCCCCTGTAGTCCCAGCTACTCGGGAGGCTGATACAGGAGAATTGCTTGAATCTGGGAGGCACAGGCTGTAGTGAGCCAAGATCACTTCACTGTGCTCCAGCCTGGACGACAGAGTGAGACTCATCTCAAAACAAAGAAAGAAAGAAAGTCAAAAGAGAGGGGACAGGGCTGGTTCTTCAAAGATCCCCGTGGAATGTATAATAAATGGTCTTGCTTGCTCATAGATTGCCCTGGGTGATACTATTCAGAATGACATTCTGCTTTCTACAACTATAAATGAGGCCACTTTTTTGTTGGAAATGTCCTCCAACATTTCCCAGGCCTCCATGCCTTTTGGACTAAAGCAAGCCTACCGCTCTAGTCAATCCCATACTTGAGGCCTGAGTGCTAGAGCAGGAAGGGCAAACAGCTGTGGGGAGGACCTGCGCAGGGGTCCCTGTCTCCTCCCCTGGATTTCAGGGCCACTGACCTTCTTCAGCTTGCGGTCCACGTTCAGATAGCGGTTCCTGTCGATCCGCAGCAGATCCAGCTCCTCCCGCAGGGCCGCATTCCGTACCAGCTGGTTGTCAAAGTGACAGGTGACCTGGGAGTAGAAAGGTGGATGGAAGAGTGGGTCTGAAGCCAAGTCTGCCTGCCTCCTCCAAGCTCAGCCAAGGAGGAGACACTTATCAGAGGTTGGGCCGGCCTGTTTCCTGAGAAACAGAGGTTCTTTGGGGTTCCCGAAATCAATGTCCACTCCCCTCTAAGGACCCATCATTCTCCTTTCCTTGGGAACCTCCATCCCTCCAGAATCCTGTGTCCTGACACATATGTGCACACACTGCCCAGCATTTCCAGAATCCAATGACCATGCCCAGTTCTTCCCATAACCGCACAATTCAGGTCGAGGGACCAGGAGTTTGACCCTCACCCTGTCCAACTGGTTTTCTAGGATCCTGATCCTTCGCCTGATCTTGACCTTCTGATCCAGGATGAATCCCGGGGACCTGACATTCTTACTGTGGGTAAAGATCCGCGTCTCCCACTCCTGGATCTACAAGAAAGAGGATGGTACCTGTTTTTGGTTGCCTGAATGTGGGAGAGATTGAATGGCCCAGGGAAAATGAGTCACTAAGCATGGCAAACATCTGCTGTCCCTGTCACCCCAGAATAACATCTACCCTTCTGCTGACACTATCCAGCCCTCCATGTGGTTCTGGTGGGCCTTCCAACCACAGTGTATCACCCTATCAGCCACATGACCCAGGTCTGGACACTCACAGGGATTGGCCTAGAGATGGGAATGTGACCCCATGGAGCTAGCCTGACTCCTTTCCGTTTTTTTTTTTGTTTTTTTTTTTTTTTTTTTTGAGACAGAGTCTTGCTCTGTCTCCCAGGCTGGAGTGTGCAGTGGCGCGATCTTGGCTCACTGCAACCTCCACCTCCCAGGCTCGAGCAATTCTAGTGCCTCAACCTCCCGAGTAGCTGGGATTACAGGCACGTACCACCACACCCAGCTAATTTTTGTATTTTTAGTAGAGATGGGGTTTCACCATGTTGGCCAGGCTGATCTTGAACTCCTGACCTCAAGTGATCCACCCGCCTTGGCCTCCCAAAGTGCTGGGATTACAGGCAAGAGCCACTGCACCCGGCCCTGACTCCTTTCCTGATAGTCTGGGGGAAGCACATGAGATGGAAGGATGGGATTCCAGGACTTCTCCTGTCATGGCCCCACCACAGGGAGGGTCCTGGGAGAATGAGGCCAGTGGACAGAAGTGGAGATGAGAGTCGGAGAGACGGTGAGAATGAACTTGATGACATTAGTAGCCCTGGGTCTGCTTATGCCTAAGACCAGCTTCCAATCTGTCCTCATTTCTGTATTCATCTGTACTTATTGGGGTGTGCTCTGTCTCTCCCAGCAAACTGGGGGTTCCATGAGGACACAGAGTCTTGTGTTTTCTCCCTGTCCGAGACAAAGAAGGTATTCAACATAACATGCAGACTAAATAGATAAATGAATTGCTCAACACTTCAATTTGTGCTCTGTTATGGGTTGAATCATGTCCCATAAAAACTCATATGTTGGCCGGGCACGGTGGCTCACACCTGTAATCCCAGCACTCTGGGAGGCAGAGGTGGGTGAATCAGCTGAGGTCAGGAGTTCAAGACCACCCTGGCCAACATGGCGAAACCCCACCTCTACTAAAATACAAAAATTAGCAAGGCGTGGTGGCAGGCACCTGTAATCCCAGCTACTCGGGAGGCTGAGGCAGGAGAATTGCTTGAACCCAGGAGGAGAGGTTGCAGTGAGCTGAGATTGTGCCACTGCACTCCAGCCTGGGGAACAGAACAAGACTCCATCTCAAAAAAAAAAAAAAAAAAAACCAAAAAAAAACCTCACATGTTGAAGTCTTAACCCCCAGTACTTTAGAATGTGACCTTATTTGGAGACAGAGTCTTCATAGAAGTAATTAAAATGAGGTAATTAAGGTGGGCCCTAATCCACTACGACGAGGTGTTCTTAGAAAAATGGGAAATTGCTGGGTGTGGTGGCTCATGCCTGTAATCCCAATACTTTGGAAGGCTGAGGCAGGATGATCTCTCGAAGCCAGGAGTTCAAGACCAGCCTGGGCCACAAAGCAAGACCCCATCTCTACAAGATACAAAATAAATTAGCTGGGCATGGTGGTGCACACCTGTAGTCCTAGCTACTTGGGAAGCTGAGGTGGCAGATCCCTTGAGACAAGGAGCTCGAAGCTGCAGTGAGCTGTGATTGAGCCACTGTACTCCAGCCTGGGTGACAGAGGGAGATCCTGTCTCAAAACAAAACAAAACAAAAAAGGAAATTTGGACATAGATACGCACACAGGGAGAATGCCACGTAAGGATAAAGACAGAGGTCAGGTGTGGTGGCTCACGCCTGTAATCCCAACACTTTCGGAGGCTGAGATGGGTGGATAACTTGAGGTCAGGAGTTCGAGACCAGCCTGGCCAACATGGCGAAACCCCATCTCTACTAAACATACAAAAATTAGCCAGGTGTGGTGGCACATGCCTGTAATCCCAGCTACTTGGGAGGCTGAGGCAGGAGAATCGCTTGAACCCAGGGGGTGGAGGCTGCAGTGAGCTGAGAGATTGGGTGACATGTCTACAAGCCAAAGTACCCAAGACTGCCAGCAAACCGGCAGAAGCAGAGAGAGAGAGGCATGGAACAGACAGATTCTCCCCCACACTGCTCAGAAGGAACCAAACCTGCCTACATCTTGATCTTGGACTTCTGGCCTTTGGAACTATGAGAAAACATATTTTTGTTATACGAGCCACCCAATTTGTGGAACTTTGTCATAGCAGCCCTAACAAACTAATCCACGTACCAAAGATACCCCAGAAGGCTGCAGCAAACTTAAGACTCAGCATGAGGATGTTTTAAATTTTTGAGGAAGACCTTGATATTGGTCAGATACCACATGAACTGCTAGCTTAAGGCAGTTCACAAGTTCAACATGAGAGGGCGCTATCATCCTTTTGAAGATGTCACATCTTTGTGAGACTGGATTTTCAGCAGTTGCTGCAATAAAAGCCAAATACCCAATTGTTGGTGGGCGCAGTGTCTCACGCCTGTAATCCCAGCACTTTGAGAGGCCGAGGCGAGTGGATCACCTGAGGTCAGGAGTTTGAGACCAGCCTGGCCAAAATGGTGAAACCCCATCTCTACTAAAAATACAAAAATTAGCTGGGCGTAATGGCACGTGACTGTAATCCCAGCTACTCGGGTGGCTGAAGCACGAGAATCACTTGAGCCTGGCCTGGGAGGTGGAGGCTGCAATGAGCCGAGATTGCACCACTGCACTCCAGCCTGGGTGACTGAGCGAGACTCCACCTCAAAAAAGAAAAGAAAAAGAAATGTCCAAAATGTTGACACTGGGGGAAAATGCAGCAAAGTGTACAAGGGATGTCTCTGCATTATTTCTTTCAACTGCACATGAATCCCAACAAAATTTTCTTTCTTTCTTTTATTTTTTCTTTTTTTTAGAGACAGGGTCTCACTCTGTCACCCAGGCCGAGTGCAGTGGCACCATCATAGCTCACTGCAGCCTCCACCTCCCAGGCCAGGCTCAAGCAATCCTCCTGCCTCAGTAATTGCTTTATGAAAGAAGAGATGACATACGGTAAAACTGCACATATTTAGTGTTCAATGTGGGATGGGCACGGTGGCTCACGCCTGTAATCCCAGCACTTTGGGAGGCTGAGGTGGGCAGATCCCCTGAGGTCAGGAGTTCGAGACCAGCCTGGCCAACATGGCGAAACCCCGTCTCTACTAAAAATACAAAATTAGCCAGGCATCGTGGCAGGCACCCGTAGTCCCAACTACCCAGGAGGCTGAGGCAGAAGAGTTGCTTGAACCCAGGAGGTGGAGATTGCAGTGAGCTGAGACTGCGCCACTGCACTCCAGCCTGGGTGACAGAGCGAGACTCCATCTCTAAATAAATAAATAAACTGTGTAATTGTTATGTTTTGACATAAAATAGTGAAAATATCCATCGCCCCTAAAAGTTTCCTCATGCCCTTTTGTATTTCCTCACCTCATCCTCTTCCTGCAGTCGAGTCTCCCCCCAGCAATCACTCATCTGTTTTCTGTCACTATAGATTGGTTTGATTTTCTAGAATTTTATATTAATGGAATTGTATAGTAAGGACTCTTTTGGGGATCAAAGGGGTATCTGGTTTCTTTCACTCAGAGTAGTTATTTTGAGATTCACCCATGTTGTGTGTATCAATAGCCGGTTCCTTTTATTCATGAGTCACATTCCATTCCATGTATAGACCACAATTTGCTCGTCCACTCGACCACCGATGGACATTTGGGTTGTTTCAGTTTTCGATTTTACAAATCAAGTTGGGTTGTTATGAATATTCATGTACAATTCATTATATGGACATGTGCTTTCTTTCCTCTTGGCTAAACATCTAGGAGTGGAATGTCTGAATCATATTGTCAAGTATACGTTTTGTTTTTTGGCAACTGCCAAACTGGGCCAGGCACGGTGGCCCACACCTGTAATCCCAGCACTTTGGAAGGCCGAGGCAGGTGGATCACTTGAGGTCAGGAGTTCAAGACCAGCCTGGCCAACATAGTGAAACCCCCCATCTCTACTAAAAATATAAAAATTAGCTGGGAGTGGTGGCACACACCTGTAATCCCAGCTACTCAGGAGGCTGAGACAGGAGAATGTTTGAACCCAGGAGACAGAGGTTGCAGTGAGTTGACATTGTGCCATTGCACTCCAGCCTGGGTGACAGAGCGAGACTTCGTCAAAAAAAAAAAAACAAACCTGCCTAACTGTGCAAACTGTGTACCAAAAGTAGTGTGCCATTCCACATTCCCACCAGTGGAGTATGAGAGTTCTGCTTCCTCTACATCCTTCCCGCAACACTTGGTATGGACCGTCTTTTTAATGGAGTTTGGGAAAGTTCTTAATATATTCTGGATACAAGTTCTCTATCAGATACGTGCTTTGCAGATATTTTCTCCCAGTCTGGACCTTGTCTTTTCATTCCTTGCCTTTGCCAGTTTCTGCAGATGGGATTCCTTGACTTGGGGACTCCTTACCTGTGGCCGCATCACTGGTTTTTGTTTTTTAAAGGGGTTCCGAGCCAGGCACAATGGCTCACGCTTGTAACCCCAGCACTTTGGGAGGCCACGGTGAGTGGATCACCTGAGGCCACGAGTTTGAGACCAGCCTGGCCAACATGGCAAAACCTCATCTCTACCAAAAAATACAAAAATGAGCTGGGCTTGGTGGCACGTGCCTGTAATCCCAGCTACTCAGGAGGCTGAGGCAGGAGGATCGCTTGAACCTGGGAGGTGGAGGTTGCAGTGAGCCAAGATCCTGCCAGCCACTGCACTCCAGCCTGGGTGACAGAGCGAGACTTTGTCTTGAAAAGAAAAAGAAAGTGGGTCTCTCTCTGTTGCCCAGGCTGGAGTGCAACGGGGCAATCACAGCTCACTGAAGCCTCAAACTCCTGGGCTCAAGTAGCTCTGCCCCCTCAGCCTCAAGACACGCACCACTGTGCCCAACTGACAAATTGGTTTTTTCAATGAAGGCTAGACCAGAATTTAGCAGAATGAATCCCACATTAAAAAATGTATATATATATATATATTATTTGCTGAAACTTCTGTTTCAGATATATTAATATATGTGTGTGTGTATATCTGTATGCATCTTGGTGTGTATGAACTACACCTCATGAGTCATGGTCATAAAAACTTGACAGATCACTGGCCTAGAAAAATCACATTGTTTGCAAGGTCAAATAGCAAGGTCCCAAAACAGATGGGATTCGCAACCTGTCTAGACTGTGGCATTACCACCGTCCTTGTTTGCAGATGAAGAAACTAGGGCCCAGAGAGGGGAAAACCTGCCTGCCCCCGATCACAGAGCTCCGATGGCAGAGCCAGGACTCTAATGCAGGTTTTGGGGACTCTAACATGCGAACCTTTCCTGCTTAACCACACCAGTCCTGTTTTTGAATGCCTGGGACTGTGCTAAAGCAGCAAACATCTATGTTTCCACTGAACACAACTCTACCAGATGGATGCTTTCAATAGCCCCGATTTTTTTTTTTTTTTGAGACAGAGTCTTGCTCTGTCAACCAGGCTGGAGTGCAGCGGCGCGATCTTGGCTCACTGAAACCTCTGCCCCCCGGGTTTAAACGATTCTCCTGGCCGAGCACAGTGGCTCACGCCTGTAATCTCAGCACTTTGGGAGGCCGAGGTGGGCGGATCACAAGGTCAGGAGATCAAGACCATCTTGGCTAACACAGTAAAATCCTGTCTCTACTAAAAATACAAAAAAAGTAGCCAGGCCTGGTGGTGGGCACCTGTAGTCCCAGCTACTCGGGAAGCTGAGGCAGGAGAATAGCATGAACCTGGGAGGCGAAGCTTGCAGTGAGCCGAGATTGTGCCAATGCACTCCAGCCTGGGCGACAGAGCAAGACTCCGTCTCAAAAACAAAACAAAAGAAAAACTATTCTCCTGCTTCAGCCTCTCGAGTAGCTGGGATTACAGGCATGTGCCACCATGCCTGGCTAATTTTTGTATTTTTTGTAGAGATGGGGTTTCACCACGTTGGCCAGGCTGGTCTTGAACTCCTGACCTCAAGTGATCTGCCCGCCTCAGCCTCCCAATGTGCTGGGATTACAGGCATGAGCCACTGTGCCCGGCCTAATAGCCCCAATTTCACATGAGGAAGCTAAGGCTCAGGGAGGTTACAACACTTGCCCGTAAGCAGGATCCGTAGAACCACCTCTCAAACCCCACCTGCTTGTCCAGGGCCCTGGTCTGCTCCTGCAGCTCCTCGATCTCCGCCTGCACCTGGGCCCGGCCCTTCAGCAGGCGGTCCATGTTCTCCAGCCGCTGACTGTCCCGAAGCCGCTTGACCTGGTTCTGGGCTGCGCTGATCTGCACCTGGAGATCGCCCCGTACCTCCTCCAAGCGCCGGATCTCCTCACTACCCAGGCAGGGAGGTGGAAGAGGGGCCAGTAAGGGGGCAGAACTCAGCATCACTAAAGGCAGGACCCAGGAGTCCAGTCTTCAGCCCCTCTGACCCCCTCCTCCCCAGCTCAGGGCCCAGGCGCCCAGCTCACAGTTGCTTGTTGATGCGCTGGTGGACTTCCTTGCTGTAGGCCCGCCTCTCCCCTTCCATCACTTTGCATTGTCGCTGCAGCCTACTCAGCTCCCAATCCACTGAGAACAGGGCCAGCCAAGGGACTCAGCAGGGATCCTGGCCACCAGCTCCTCCCAACCCAGGACCTAGGAATTCTGCTCCCTTTGGGGTCTCACAAACTGCAACTGAACTGCAGATCCAGCCCCCAACACCCCTCTAGGAATGCACCTCAGTTCCGGGATCCCTCGAGCTTCCTCATCCCTTCATACCCAAAACTGAACTCAGGGTTTTTTTCCCCTAAAACCCACTCCCATCCCACCAGAGGGCACTTCTGGAAGGCCTCTGGGTCTTCTGGGACCTGGGCACACCACCTGGAATTGGGAAGGCTCTTGCTCCCTCCCTCCTTTTCTGCCCCACCATCAGCAGCCCTCAGCCCCATCCTCTTGCCTCCTCCCTCTCTCAACCCATCCCCTGGGCTCAGCCTCATCCTCTCCTACCTGGACCATCACCCCAACCTTTCTCTCAACTTCCAGCCTTCCTGCACAGTCCCAGAGGGTCTCTCTACACCCACAGCCAACCCTACCCCACCCACAGCAGACCCTACCCCTCATAGGCCTCCCATGATGCCCCAGTACCTGCAGGACAAAGTCTCAGCACCTCAGCCTGGGATCCCAGACCCCAAGTGACCTGACCTTACCCACCTCTCCAGTCTTGCCCGTATGCTCCCCATCTCCAAAGGCCCAGTAGTTTTCAATCAGCGGGTGATTCTGCCTTCCAAAAACATTTGGCAATGTCTGGAGACTTATTTTTTTCTAGACAGGGTCTCGCTCTGTCCCCCAGGCTCTAGCGCAGTGGCACAATCTCAGCTCACTGCAGCCTCCACCTCGCAGGCTCAAGTGATCCGCCCACCTCAGCCTCCCGAGTAGCTGGGATTATGGGTGCACGCCATCACACCTGGCTAATTTTATTTTATTTTTGTAGAGATGAGGTCTCACTGTGTTGCTCAGGCTGGTCTTGAACTCCTGGGCTCAAGTGATCCTCCTTCCTCAGCTTCCCAAAGTGCTGGGATTACAGGCATGAGCCAGCATGCTCAGCCTAGAGACATTTGTCATTGTCATGACTTGTGGAGAAGGGAGGGGGCTACTGGTATCCAGTGAGTAGAAGCCATGGACACTGCTTGGCATCCTACGACACACAGGACTGCCCCCACAACAAAGAATTATCCCACCCCAAGAGTCAACAGTACCAAGGTTGAGAAAGCCTACTCTAGCCACATTCTGTCATCTCTGTAGAAACACCCTTCCTTCCTTCTCCCCTTGGCAATTCCTACAGGGAGTTCTGGGCCCCACTCAAACTTCTGCTGCCTGAAGTCTCCAGCCTGCCCCACTGCCCAGGCTTGGCCCACCCACCGTGGTGCCCGCCCCGCCTCCCTTAGGGCGCATGTCTGTTCCCACCAGAGGGCGCTCCTGGACAGACACTCTCCCTCCCTCCCTACAGGACCTGGAACTTGGGAAAGCTGGGGGCTGGAAAAGAATGGGTGAATGATATAAAGAATGAATGAATTACCCATTCCCTCCAGAAATGCCTCGCTTCCCTCCTCGGAGCGGGCGCTCCCTGCCAAGCGTCCCAAAGGCATCCTGGCCAAACAGGGTGGGGCTCCTGTAGGGATGGACATATAAGACCCTTCAGACAGCAGGCGGGCCAGGGCCCAGAGAGGGTGGACAATGAACTGCGAGGGACTGGGAATTGAAAGGGGGTGACCCTAGAACCACGCTGGCCTCATTCCTCCAAGAGGGGTTGGAGGGGGACCTCTCTCAGGCCTCTCCCACACCTCTCCAGCCCTCCCACCTCTCACACTCTGGGTCTTGCGTCTAGGCTCCGATTCTGGCGCGGGTTTGGCAGGGGACAGGCCTCCTGGGCTCTCAGGATATCTGAGGCCAGGCTGTTTGGTCGCAGGAGAGGGGGAAACCCCGGCCTGCTGTAGTGGGGGTTGGGCAGGGTCGGGGGAGTCCTGGGCCCTACCTGCCGACGGGCCTGACCTGTTCTTGGTGCTCCAAGTTCAGTGTTGTGGTCTGGTTACTGGGGAGATAAGGGACCAATGAGGACTGAGGACAGCGGCCAGGGAGGGACTGAGGCCGCGGGAGAAACTATGGGAGGAGGGGCGGAGAAGGATGCGAGGCGTAGACCTGCAGGGTTCCCACGGACTGAGAACTGATGGGCAAGGCCAGGCGCGGTGGCTCACGCCTGCAATCCCAGCATTTTGGGAGGCCGAGGCGGGCGCATCACTTGAGGTCACGAGTTCGAGACCAACCTGGCCAACATGGTGAAACCCCGTCTCTACTAAAAGTACAAAAAATTAGCCGGACATGGCGGCTCGTGCCTGTAATCCCAGCTACTCAGGAGGCTGGGGCAGGAGAATCGCTTGAACCCGGGAGGCGGAGGTTGCAGTGAGCCGAGATCCCGCCACTGCACTCCAGCCTGGGCGACAGAGCGAGACTCCGTCTCAAAAAACAAACAAACAAACAAACAAAACTGATGGGCGGCGAGGTCCTGAAAGGGGCGGAGCCGGGAGGGCCTGTGGAGCGGTGCTGCGGAGCCCTGAGAGGTGCACGGCTGTGAGGCCTGAGAGGGGCGTGCCGTAGGGAGCTGTGATGGGCGGGGCTGAGACCTGTGAGGAGAGTGAGTGGGAAGAACTTCGAGGGGCGGGGCTTCGGGGCCGGCGAGGGGAGGGGCACGGACACCAGTACAGGACGGGGCTTCGCAGACAGCGAGCGGAGGGGCTTCCCCGTAAGGGGCGGGCTTCGAGGGTCGCGTTTGGAAGGCCTTACGAGGGGCCCGGTGGAAGGGCGGTGAAGGGCGGGCTAATCGGGAGGCGCTCAGGCCTTGAAGGCCTGCGGGAGGTCGAAATGGTCCTGGGGAGGTCGAGGCTGAGGTCTCACTAGTACCGCGGGCCTGGAAGCGGCGGGAGTTGAAAGAGCCTGCGGTGACCTGTATGGAAGCCCTCGAAGCCAGGCCGAGGTCCTACAAGACGGAGCCCGAGAGGTGCCGGTCTTAAGCTGACTGTGACCACGTTAAATTAAGGATTCATAGGAAGGAAGGCGGTGTCGAAGCCGGGAGTTGCGCGGAGAAGGAGCGCTCAACACAGCCTCAGCGGTTCACTACGCAAGCGCGACCAACGGCTTCCCGGGAAGCAGCCAAAAACGCTTGGCCGCCTACCACGTCCGCGCGCTGGAGGGCGGAAGTGGGTGAGACCTCGGGCACTCCATACCGCCCCCCGGTTTCTGGCCACGCCCCCTCTGGTTACACCCACTCGCTCTGTAAGGCACGCCCCCTCCGCGGCGGCGGCTGCTGCCCACGTGGGCCTCCCCGGGCGGGCGGGCAGTGGGCGCCTCTCCCTGCAGGCTGGGTGTGCCCGAAGCCTGCGGTTTCCTGTGGGAGGAAGCGGCCTGCGTACGCTCAGCTCAGCTCATAATCTCGGAGGCCCAGGATGGGGAGATCCCGCCGCCACCCTCAGATCCTTTGATTCTTCCCCTTCTACATAGCCATAGTGCGGGGACCCCCCTAATATCCCCAGGGTACCCAAGCCTGGCGCCGATCCCACTCAGGGAACTTGATTCTGAGTCCTAGACTCGTGTTTTTCACCTCCCCGGCTCAAGTTTCCATCTTCCTAGCCCCTGGCTCCCCCTAGTCCTCTCAAGAAAGTGGAGCCCTCTTTTCCTGCTCCCCAAGAGGAACGTATGTCTCCCCAGCCCCTAATTTTTCCTTCAGTGACCCAGACTTTGCAACTTCCTTAGGGATCTGAGTGCGGACCCCAGTTTCTGTCTCTCAGGCACTTAAGTTTGAGACTACTTATTCTCCCCCAGGGACCCTCATTTTGGATTCCCAACTTTAGCCTTGAGACCCAATGGACCCAAGAATTTGCCCCTTCCCCAACTCCTAGAGATCCTGAATCAGGGTCCCCCAGTACTGACTCCACTCAGAGCCCCAATGCCTGATATGACTAGCACTACCCTAAGAACTGCCCTATAATGTATTTACTATTATCTCTATTTTTCAGATGAAGAGACTGAGGCATAGAGAAGTTATTAGTAACTTGCCAAAAATTACACAGCCATTGAGTAAAACAGCTTGGATTTTGAGTCCAACCAGTGTGGCTCTAGAGTCTGTGCTATACTGGTATTCCAGCTTCCAGGTCTTGGGGTACCCAGCCAAGCACTGAACTGTCCATCCCTCACCCCCTCAGGGAGCCCGAATCACCAACAGCTATCCCAAACCCAGCTCTGGCCCATCAGATACCCAGACATCCCATCATCCAGTTCCCTTCCCTGGATCCAGGATTTGAATTCCCCTGCTCTCAATTTATCAGAGTTCTGGGCACCTGGTCCCCTCCCAAGAGACTCGTGTACATAGTAGTCATCACCCCGACCCTAATTTAATATCCCCAAAATTAATAATAATAGTTAACAGTAAACCTTTGGGGCCAGGCACAGTGTCTTACGCCTGTAATCCCATCATTTTGGGAGGCCAAGGCAGGCAGATCACTGGAGGTCAGGAGTTCGAGGCCAGCCTGGCCAACATGGAGAAACCCCCGTCTCTACTAAAAATACAAAAATTGGCTGGGCGTGGTGGCGGGCACCTGTAATCCCAGCTACTCAGGAGGCTGAGGCAGGAGAATCGCTTGAACCGGGAGGTGGAGGTTGCAGTGAGCTGAGATCATGCCACTGCACTCCAGCCTGGATGACAGAGCAAGACTCCATCTCAAAAAAAAAATAAAAATCTTTGGTACTACACTCTGTTAAAACCTAATGGCTTTCCACTGCACTTAGAATGAAATCCAAGCCCCTCCCCTAGTCTTCAAGGGCACCCTTTGATTTCCCTTCTCACCACTCCCTCTGTCTCCCTGTGCTCCAGCCACACTGGCCCTTCTGTCTGCTCCCTAAACAACCTGAGCTTGTTCTCAAAAGCTTTAAGAGCTTTTGCACTTCCTCTCCCCCCGACGCCCCCCCACCACTCCCCAACCCCAGCGTTCAAATGACTCCTGTCTTCAGCTCAAATGTTACCTCCTCCAAGAGGCCTTCCCTGATTTTCCTGTTTCAAGTAGTCTTCCCTGCACTCTGTCATTATCTCCATCACTCTGTTTGATTTATTATTGTATTTATTTTTCTTTTCTTCTTTTATTTTTTTTTTTCTTTAAGATGGAGTCTTGCTCTGTCACCCAGGATGGAGTGCAGTAGCGTGATTTCAGCTTACTGCAACCTCCGCCTCCCGGGTTCAAGCAATTCTCCTGTCTCAGCCTCCTGAGTAGCTGGGTTACAGGCGCCCACTACCATGCCTGGCTAATTTTTGTATTTTTAGTAGAGACAGGGTTTCACCATGTTGGCCAGGCTGGTCTTGAACTCTCGACCTCAGGTGATCCTCCAGCCTTGGCCTCCCAAAGTGCTGAGATTACAGGCATGAGCCACCACGTCCAGCCTATTGTATTTATTTTTCAAGTCACTTATCCTTATCTGAGATTTATCTTCATCATTGATGTTTTCTCTTGTCTGTCTTCCTCTACTAGAATACAAGCTCCATAATACCAGCAGGGCTCATGTCTGTTTTCATTATTAACTCCCAGATCAGAGTACATGTTCAATAAATGTTTGATGAAGGAAGGAACAGGTTAGGTGTGTGAGTGTGCCAGTATTACCTTATTCATTCAGCATAAGTATCAGAATTATTATTATCAGTATTAGTATTTTGTCAGCATTATTATACTCTCAACATAGACTAAGATACTGGAGCCCAGGTGGGTGAAATAATTGGCTCAAGGTCACTGAACCAGGAAATGATGGCGCTGGGATTCTTAGCTTCCGCTTCCTCCCCGCTTCCAGAGTTTCACAAGGTTTTTTTTTTTGTTTGTTTGTTTTTTGTTTTGTTTTGTTTTTTTTTTGCGACAGAATCTCACTTTGTCCCCCAGGTTGGAAGGCAGTGGTGCAAACTCAACTCACTGCAGCCTCCACCTCTCGCGTTCAAGCGATTCTCATGGCTCAGCCTCCCAAGTAGCTGGGATTACAGTCGCCCGCCACCACGCCCGGCTAATTTTTGTATTTTTGATAGAGACGGGTTTCCACCATGTTGGCCAGGCTGGTCTCGAACTCCTGACCTCAGATGATCTGCCCGTCTCGGCCTCCCAAAGTGCTGGGATTACAGGCGTGAGCCACAACGCCCTGCCGAGTTTCACAAATTTCATCTCCCATCCTCTGACCCCCCACCACGGGGCCAACTTCACCAGCCCAATCTCAAGTCCATGCCACAGAAATCTGGCCTCTTTTCCCAGACTCCTATCCAGCTCCAAGCTCCATCAGGGAAAGCAGACATCCGGCCCCAGGGCAAGACCTCAAAACTCAAGGGTCCTGAGAATCGGGCCCTCCCACCCCTGACGCTTGCCCCCCCCAAGAACCCCATTCCAAGAGTTTCTCATCTCAACCCTGGGAGGGAGCCCCAGATGATGTCTGTCTGGAGGGATTGGGTGGGGGCCCAAAGAAAGAGGAACCGGAGTGCCTGGGCCCTCCCACTGGCAGCCGACCTCAGCTGGGTGCGGTGAGGGTGGGTTTATAAAAGGGTCAGTATATATTGAGAGGAGGAGAGAAAGAGAAACGGGAGCAAGAGAGAAGGAGGCCCAGACAGTGAGGGCAGGAGGGAGAGAAGAGACGCAGAAGGAGAGCGAGCGAGAGAGAAAGGGTTCTGGATTGGAGGGGAGAGCAAGGGAGGGAGGAAGGCGGTGAGAGAGGCGGGGGCCTCGGGAGGGTGAAAGGAGGGAGGAGAAGGGCGGGGCACGGAGGCCCGAGCGAGGGACAAGACTCCGACTCCAGCTCTGACTTTTTTCGCGGCTCTCGGTAAGTTTCCAGTCCGTTATTCAGGGCTGGGACTTCTTAATTTACTTGGGAATGTAGCAGTTTGGGAAGGACACCCCCAGGCTGGGAGAGACGTCCCTGACTCTTGGAAATCCTTTTAATTTAATAAGTGATCTCTTAGCACTTGAGGTGGGGATATGGGAAGGGGTGGGGCCCGGCAAAGTTTTGGGGTCCCAGCAGAGCCCTCCACTGGAAAACTTCCTGCAGTTTTTCCCTCAGCGGTGTCCACTGTCCTCTGGGGTCCCTGAGATCAGGGCATTGCATGAGAACACCCCAAATCTGGGAGACCTCTAGGTCCCCTGTTCCTGGGCACCAAAGAGTCCTGGGAGGCTAACTCCTTCTTGGGCCTCTCTTCCCCCCAGCGCGAATCCTATCCATTTCCTCCAGAAGATGTCCAACAGTCACCAGTCTGGCAGCAGGGTGGGGTGAGGACCTCGTGGACATAGCCAGGGGCTGGGGTTTCCCTGGTGCTTAGAGATGGGGGGGGGTGGGGATGAGTCACCAGATGACTCACCAGGTCCCCCTCCTCCCCTCAACCCAGGAGAGGAGTGGTGTGAGTCAAGAATGCCTGTTGCTGGGGGCAGCTCCTCAATCCTGATGTCGGGGTGCAGGGTGGGGTCTCAACTTGAATTTTCACTATCTGGCCTGTATGTAACCCAGAGTCAGGGTTCTGGGGAGAGAGGAGCCACATTGCTAGTCCTCCTCATTCAAGGAACCCAAGAGTCCATCTTTGGCCCTCTCCACCCCTCCAGCCAATGGGGATCTCAGGAATCCAGGCCCCAGCGGTCTCCTCCCTGAGAGACCCAGGAGTCTGCACCCATGCCCTTCCTCCATCAGGAGACATCTCACCTGCCTTTATGCCAAATTTTTTTTTTTTTTTGAGACGGAGTCTTTCTCTGTCACCCAGGCTGGAGTGCAATGGCATGATCTTGGCTCATTGCAACCTTTGCCTCCTGGATTCCAGTGATTCTCCTGCCTCAGCCTCCCGAGTAGCTGGGATTACAGGTGTGCACCACCACACCCAGCTAATTTTGTATTTTTAGTAGAGATGGGGTTTCACCATGTTGGCCAGGCTGGTCTCGATCTCCTGACCTCAGGTGATCCTCCCGCCTCGGCCTCCCAAAGTGCTGGGGTTATAGGCGTGAGTGTGCCTGGCCTGTGCCAACCTCTTGAGACTCCGTCCCCTGCTCCCCCTCCCCAGGCTTCCACTGCAGCCATGTCACTCCTCTTGCTGGTGGTCTCAGCCCTTCACATCCTCATTCTTATACTGCTTTTCGTGGCCACTTTGGACAAGGTAAGCCTACTTGGAGCTCAGGGCCCTTCTGTTCCCCTTTGGAATCTTGCCACGCCCCTCCTCTAAAGGCATTCTGGCCCCACCCCCTTTACCTAGTATTTCTTTTTTATTTTATTTCATTTATTTTGAGACAAGGGTCTCACTCTGTCCCCCAGGCTGGAGTGCAGTGGTGCGATCTCGGCTCACTGCAACCTCGGCCTCCCGGGTTCAAGCGATTCTCCTGTCTCAGCCCCCCAAGTAGCTGGGATTAGAGGCACCTGCCACCAAGCCCGGCTAATTTTTTTATTTTGGTAGAGACGGGGTTTCACCATGTTGCCCAGGCTGGTCTCGAACCCCTGGCCTCAAGTGATCCACCTGCCTCGGCCTCCCACAGTGCTGGGATTACAGGCATGAACCACCAGGTTAACCCTTTTAGCTCTACCTCCGATGCCTCCTCCCTGTCCTGACCCTACCCCCTCTCATATTAAATCCTAACTCTCCCCAGTTCTGCCCCATCCCAGATACCCTGCCCTTTTCCCAGCCCTTCCCACAGTCTGCCTGACCCTATCCCCTCTCCTTTCCTAACCCTGCCCCTTGTTTCGTTCTCTGTCCATCCCAGTCCTGGTGGACTCTCCCTGGGAAAGAGTCCCTGAATCTCTGGTACGACTGCACGTGGAACAACGACACCAAAACATGGGCCTGCAGTAATGTCAGCGAGAATGGTGAGGGGTGAGGGCGGCGGGACTGGTCTTCAAAGGGGAAGGTAAACCCTTCGTGTCCTCATGGGACTGAGAATTGGGAACCCTCCCCCAACAAAGTTGGAGTGGGCGGGGTCCAGGCCTGAGTGGCTGAGTGCCTAGGGCTAATGCATGTCCCGCCTGTCTGGATGTACCTACCTCTTGTTTTTTTTGTTTTTGTTTTTTGAGACCGAGTTTTCCTCTGGTTGCCCAGGCTGGAGTGCAGTGGCGCAATCTTGGCTCACTGCAACCTCTCCCTCCGGGGTCCGAGCAATTCTCCTGCCTCAGCCTCCCGAGTAGCTGGGACTGCAGGTGTGTGCCACCACGCCTGGCTAATTTTGCATTTTTAGTAGAGACAGGTTTCACCATGTTGGCCAGGCTGGTCTTGAACTTCTGACTTCAGCTAATCCACCTGCTTCAGCCTCCCAAAGTGCTGAGATTACAGGCGTGAGCCACCACATCCAGCCAGTACCTCCTGTTCTGAAGAGGCCATATAGATAAAAGCATGCTATAGGTTTAAAGAATAGAGAGGGGAGGCCAAGGCGGGTAGATCACGAGGCCAGGAGTTCGAGACCAGCCTGGCCAAGATGATGAAACCCCGTCTCTACTAAAAATACAAAAAAATTAGCCGGGCATGGTGGCGTGCGCCTGTAGTCCCAGCTACTTGGGAGGCTGAGGCAGAAGAATCGCTTGAACCCAGGAGGTGGAGGTTGCAGTGAGCTGAGATTGCACTACTGCACTCCAGCCTGGGCAACAGAGCAAGATTCTGTCTCAAAAAAAAAAAAAAAAAAAAAGAATAGAGAAAAATCTCCCAAGATTCTGAGAAGACAAGAGTATTTTTCCAAAGCTCTAAGGAGATGGGGCTGGTGCTCTGAATGGATGCCTGGGACCATTTCATCCAAATTCCAAGGGGATGGGGCTGAAACCACTTAAGGTTCTAAAGGGGTGGGGCCAGGTGCATTGGAGTTCTAAAGGAATAGAGCTGCATCTATCTAAAGTTCTGTGTGAAAGATTTAATGCAAAACTAAGATTAAAGGAAGTGGTCTGCTCTCACCACTTCTATTCAACCTTTTACTGGAGTAGCCAATGCAAGAAGGCAAGAAAAAGAAATAAAGGGCATGGGAAATAAATTAGGAAAAAGTGTCTCTATTCCCAGTAAACATGTTGTTTATGTAGAAAATCCATTAAAATTCTGCAAAGCAGACAGACACAGTGGCTCACACCTGTAATCCCAGCACCTTGGGAGGCTGAGGAGGAAGGATCACTTAAGCCCAGGAGTTCAAGACCAGCCTGGACAACATAGGGAAACCCTGTCTCTACAAAAATTTAAAAATTACCCAGGTTGTGGTGGCTTGTGCCTGTGGTCCCAGCTACTCAGGAGGCAGGGGTGAGAGAATTTCTTGAGCCCTGAAGGACGAGGCTGCAGTGAGCCATGATTATACCACTGCACTCCAGCTTGGGCAACAGAGCAAGACCTGGTTTCAGAAAAAAAAGAAAAAGGAAATTGGCAAAGCAACTACTAGAACTGAGAAGGGAATATAGCAAGGTAACAGGGCTCAAGGTCAAAATAAGTGATACATCTAAGTATCTAGGCTTGTATGGGCCTAAACGGGAGCAGGGATGGGGCAGAGAAGGGTCACATGGTGAGCAAGCAGGTGAAGCTGGAACTCTGGACCCACGGTGATGTCCCCCTCTGTGTCCTCCTTACTGCAGGCTGGCTGAAGGCGGTGCAGGTCCTCATGGTGCTCTCCCTCATTCTCTGCTGTCTCTCCTTCATCCTGTTCATGTTCCAGCTCTACACCATGCGACGAGGAGGTCTCTTCTATGCCACCGGCCTCTGCCAGCTTTGCACCAGTGAGCACTGCCCCTCCCCAACCCTAATCCCCCAAGAATTGAGCAGAAGGGAGTGGGGTGTGTCAAGATGCTGGGGGCCCTGAGAATGGGCCTCTCGTAGAAAAAAACAACTTTCAACACCCCACGAGCCACAAGAGGTGCCTCCGTGGGCTACATCTCTGCCCCCAGGGATTGCTGGGACTTGTAGTTTTCAGTGGCTAATGATAGTTATGGCTTGTGCGTATGAGTCATCAGGGAACTCAGAGTTTCAGGGAGCCGGGGCTGGGGAAGGAGGTATAGGTAAATAGTTTTGGTCCCAGGGATCGGCCGTGACGTGGGGGGATAAACTAATTAGTACCTCAGTAGAGAGCTCTAAATCATAATAATAATGGTATTTATATCAGCCAACCGCTGTTTCTTGCGTGCCTATTGTGCATCAGATACTTCAAGAAGTTTTGCGTACTTTTTAATTTTTTGACTTAAGGTGCAAAGGGCTAACTTAATCACAGTCAGTTTGGGGAACATTATAGGTTCTTGCAAAGCTTCTCTCTTGGTTTATGAATTTACTACTGCATGTTTGGCTTATAGAAACACACTCAAAAATATTCCTTGGATGGATAGAGAGATATTATTGGACCTAGAGAGATTAAATCAGTTACCTAAGGCCGCGCTACAGTTGCACGGCGCTGGGCGGGGGGGAAAGAACCACAACTCCCAGCAGGCAGCGGCGCTGCCCACGGGCCCTCCGGCGCTTCTTTGCCCCCATGGGATATTGGGAAATGTAGTCTTGAGGGGGCACTGCATGACGTGTGGTTTTCATCTTCCGCAGGCGTGGCGGTGTTTACTGGCGCCTTGATCTATGCCATTCACGCCGAGGAGATCCTGGAGAAGCACCCGCGAGGGGGCAGCTTCGGATACTGCTTCGCCCTGGCCTGGGTGGCCTTCCCCCTCGCCCTGGTCAGCGGCATCATCTACATCCACCTACGGAAGCGGGAGTGAGCGCCCCGCCTCGCTCGGCTGCCCCCGCCCCTTCCCGGCCCCCCTCGCCGCGCGTCCTCCAAAAAATAAAACCTTAACCGCGGGCTCTGCCTTGATCTTCCTTCCTTCCGCCTCCAGGGACCCAGGCTGCGCACGCTTGACCTCTCCTGAACCTAACATGGTCCCCACCGCCAGCTGCTCAGCCCTCAGAATGCCCATCTCCCAGCCCCCAACCCCTTCCTCCCGAGGACACAGGAGCCGGGACCCCAGGCACCTTTTCCCTCCCACAGACCCAAGAGCCTGGGCCTTCCCCGCTCAAGGCCCAAGAGACCTCTGTGAGGCACCTGAATCTAGACCTTCAGACACTTCTGGGAAGAACCTGGATTCTGGGTCCCAGCAGACCCTGTTAGGATAGGAAGCCTGCAGTGACCAGTCCTGTCTCCTTGCTCAAGCTTCTGTCACTCTGTTGCTCTCTCTCTCTGAACCCCGGGCATAGTGTGTGTTTCTAGATTGTCGGACTCTTTTTTTCTTTCTGTCCAGGTTGGAGTGCAGTGGTACGATCTCAGCTCACTGCAACCTCCGCCTCCCGGGTTGAAGCGATTCTCCTGCCTCAGCCTCCCGAGTAGCTGGGACTACAGGCACGAGCCACCACACCCGGCTAGTTCTGGACTCTTTTTTCTTTCTACTAACTTTCCATTTGGGAAGACAGCTTTCTTTTTCCCTCTAGGAAACCAGTCTCCCTCTCTCTCTTTTTTTTTTTTTTTTTTTTTTTTGAGACGGAGTCTCGCTCTGTCACCTAGGCTGTAGTGCAGTGGTGCGATCTTCACTCACTGCAACCTCCGCCTCCCGGGTTCAAGCAATTCTCCTGCCTCAGCCTCCTGAGCAGCTGGGATTACAGGCGCCCACCACCACGTCCGGCTAATTTTTGTATCTTTAGTAGACACGGGGTTTCACCATGTTGGCCAGGCTGGTCTTGAACTCCTGACCTCAGGTGATCCACCCACCTCAGCCTCCCAAAGTGCTGGGATTACAGGCGGGAGCCACCGCGCCCAGCCCAGTCTCCCTCTCTAGGGACTGAACATTTGGGGTCCTAGAGAGGGAGACTTCCCCTGTCTCCCCAAAGGCTGCCTCTAGCCCATATGACACGTTAGCAAAAATTAGGAGGCACCCCTTCTTCTGGCTGACCCAGCCCCACACCAGGATACATGTAGGGGTATGGGCTGGGTCTTACAGCCACCCACCCGTGGCTGTGTTCCTTTGTGCAGTTAACAATCTGCACAGGCCGGGTGCGGTGGCTCACGCCTGTAATCCCAGTACTTTGGGAGGCTGAGGCAGGTGGATCACCTGAGGTCAGGAGTTCGAGACCAGCCTGGCCAACATGGTGAAACCCCGTCTCTACTGAAAATACAAAAAATTAGCCAGGCGCGGTGGCAGGCGCCTCCCAGCTACTCGGGAGGCTGAGGCAGGAGAATCACTTGAACCCAGGAGGCGGAGGTTGCAGTGAGCCAAGATCATGCCATTGCATTCCAGCCTGGGCAACAAGCGCGAAACTCCATCTCAAGAACAAAAAAAAATCTGCAAATCTGCACAATCGCACATGGCTACGCTATCTCCTCTGTTCATCAGGCCCTGGGACTCCTCTGGAATCAGATCCTTCTAAGATCCTCTTCTATGACTGTCTTTGTTTCACCGACCATGAACCCAGCCTCTTTTTAGGACTACAGCTTTCTCTGTCTGGGACCCCAAGACCTAGCTAGAGTCCCTCCCCTCTTTCCAGGATTCAAATGCTTTCCTTCCCTCCAACTCCTGCAGCCATCCCACTCATCTAGATTTTTAAAAATAATTTTTTAACCACTCCTACAGAGCAGGGTTACCCTAAAGGCAGTGCGTTAAGAGTAGCCTCATCCAGACTTATTAAACATGATTTATTACTTTGGGACAGGAGACGGGAGAAATTGATAGACCAATAAATATTGCACAGGCTGCTGGTGGTGGGGAGATCCAGACCGAGGTAGTTTCTGTAGAAAGGGTGAAAGACCTGGGCGAGGAAGGCACCTGAGGTTGCCGGGAGCCAGGTTGGGAGCGAGTCTTGGTGGCGAGGGTGGTTTCTGGTTCACCTACCTAGCACAAGGTCTCCAACTCCTTCAGCCTAGACACCCTGATCAGCAGCTGACCAGTTGGCCTGCCATTTAAGCAGCAGCAATTGATAGCAAGATCAGGTTTCCTTTAGAAATTCTTATTGGTTCCTTCCCTGCAGCGACAACCGGCTGCCCAAAGTTGATGGAACCCAGCAGCTGTCACTGGACGTTTGCCAGGAGGCAGGGCTAACGGCCTTGGTGCACATGATGGGCAGTTTGCCCGGAGCGGGCTGAAAAAGACAATGATATATAGTCTCGGGAGGGCGCAGCTTTAACTCTTCTACCTGGCGGTTTACAGAAGCCAGAGCTGAGCAGCTGTGATTGGCAGACACCCTCAGCTCCTCAGCCAAACCACACTTGGATGTTTATGGTGAGGGTGGGACTAAGAAATGGAACAGAAGCAGAGCTAAATCGCTTTGATTGGCTGTTCATCGAAGGGGCGGGGAAGACTTAACAACTGCTAGCTGCTTTGATTGGCTGCTTTGCTTAAGCACACAGTGCAGCAAAAATAATCACCTGTCAGTTATTGGAAGTTGGAGTGAAAAGTATAATAACCGTAATTGACAGCCTGTCGTGAAGGAGGCGGGGCTTAGTTCCTAGCCTGCTGACTGGGCAGGGAGGTAGGTTCTACTCAGGAGATGTTACTGCTGGGCGTGGCTTGCGGGGGCTCGGAAGTGATCGGAGCCACTGGGTCTAGTTTGGGGAAACCCGGGGGTGGGTACAATCCCATGCTGGGGGTCAGGGCCTGCAGATGCGCCAGGGCCCGAGTTCCGTTGAAGGTCACCTCACAGCCTGACTTGGCTAGGAGCCAGTTCTCCACCTCCGACCGGAGCCACCTGGAGGTCTCTGCAAGGGGAGAGGCAGGTGTTCTGAGGTCACACTGAGATCGGGGAAGATTCGAGGGAGCAGCAAGGAGGGGCGTAGGGCAAAGAACAGGAAGGGCCTGGGTTTGGGAGAAGCCTAGGAGTGATCTTGAGGCTTGGAGGGGAGCGGAACAAGGCCCAGGAGGGTCGAGAGGGCCAGAAGGCCCAGCTCTGGGGCTTTCGTCTGGGGACCAGTCAGGGGCTCTTGGGCAGGGAAGGTGGGGGCTCCTGTAGGCAAGGGGACCACCTGGAGCCCACACAGGGAGCGCGCAGGATCTCTTGTAGGGAGAGTGTCAGCTCAGGTAGAGGAAAGAATGACAGGAGGGGGCCGTGCCATGGAGCCAAGACTCCCAACCAGGCTGAGGTTAAGAAAGGGCTGTCACATCAGGCACCAAGATCGGAGTCTGGATTCGGAGGTCCTGTCTGCTGAGGGCCGGGGTCTCTTCGCAAACCCGTCAGGTTCACCCGTGGGAACTGGGGGTGGGGACGCATCTCGCTGGGGCGGGGCCTCGCGGGGGTGTGGCCCCTGGGGGCAGGGTCCCAGGGCCACGTCCTACCTTCGGGCGAGCCTTGAGTGCCCCCTGGCCGCCGGGCCAGGAAGCTGTGAGCCAGCAGCGCCTCCTTGGTGTGCTCGTCCTGCGCGCGCAGGGCCAGGGCGCTGAGCAGCTCCGAGTTGTTGGACGTACTGCGATAGTACAGCATGTGCGCCAGCTCCAACGCCTGCGCGCTGCGCCGCTGCCCGAACATCTGCAGGCGGGACAGCGCCCCGTGGGCTCAGTTCGGGGTGCGCCCCCACCCATACACAGCCCCCGGGGTCACCCCCGCTGGCACGGCCCACGCCGCTTACTCCCCTGAGGAGGCGGGGAGGTCCTACCCAGACCTCTTCAGTACGGGTCCCCAGAGCTCAGTCGAGGGATCTATTTGGGGATTTTTGGGGTCTGTCTTTTCTTTTTCTTTCTTTTTCTCTCTTTCTTTCTTTCTTTCTTTCTTTCTTTCTTTCTTTCTTTCTTTCTTTCTTTCTTTCTTTCTTTTTCTTTCTTTCTTTCGTTCTTTCTTTCTTTTCTTTCTTTCTCTTTCTTTCTTTTCTTTTCTTTCTTTCTTTTTCTTCCTTCCTTCCTTTCTTTCTTTTCTTTCCTTTTTTTTTTTTTTTCGACAGGGTCTCGCCCTGTAGCCCAGTCTGGAGTTCAGTGGCTATTCACAGGCAAACTCATAACGCACTGAAGCTTTGAACTCCCGGGCTCAAGCGATCCTCCCGCCTTGGCCTCCTAAGTAGCTGGGACTACAGGTGTGCGCCACCAAGCCCGATATTTTTTGTAGAGACGGGATTCTCCCTGTGTTGACCAGGCTGGTCTCAAACTCCCAGCCTGGAGTGATCCTCGCTCCTCAGCCTCCCATAGTGCTGGGGTTACAGGCGTGACCCAAGGCACCGGCTGGGGATCTGTATTTTTAACACACGTGCCCTCATTCCAGTGGCTCCAAGACCACCAGCCCCATCTGGCCTACAGTTTTCAGCAACCACTGCACTGGTTTGCTCATCTGAGCCATGTATTAATGGATTTACCCAAAGGTTTGCAGATGATAGGAGTTTTAGCTTTGAAAGATTTTGTTACAATACATCCTTATGTTTTAGAGACATAATAAAGTATTTCCAAATAAGTCTAGGTAGGATTTACTTCAAAATCATCCAATAGTAGGACAGTGGAGGTCTTCAGGGGAAATCTGATTAACTATTGCTAATTGTTGATGCTAGGTGCTGGCTAGTGGAGTTTATCATACTATCCTATTTCTGTGTTTGTTTGAACTTTTCTATAATGAAGGAAAAAATGGTTTAAAATATTAAACTGTAGGCCAAGTGCAGTGGCTCAGGCCTGTAATCCCAACGCTGAGAGGCCAAGGTGGGTGGATCACCTGAGCCCAGGAGTTCAAGACCAGCTTGGGCAACATGGCAAAAGCTTCATCTCTACAAAAAATTAAAATTAAAAAACAATAGCAGGCTGGGCTCAGTGGCTCACGCCTGTAATCCCAGCACTTTGGGAGGCCAAGGCAGGTGAATCACCTGAGGTTGGAAGTTCGAGACCAGCCTGACCAACATGGAGAAACCCGTCTCTACTAAAAATACAAAATTAGCCGGGCATGGTGGCTCATGCCTGTAATCCCAGCTACCCGGGAGGCTGAGGCAGGAGAATCGCTTGAACCTGGGAAGCAGAGGTTGCAGTGAGCCGAGATCATGCCATTGCACTCCAGCCTGGGCAACAAGAATGAAACTCTGCCTCAAAAAATAATAATAATAATAATTAGCTGGGTGTGATGGTGAGCACCTGTAGTCCCAGCTACTCATGAGGCTGAAGCAGGAGAATCACCTGAACCCAGGAGGCTGAGGCTACAGTGAGCCATGATCATACCACTGCACTCCAGGCTGGGCAACAGAGTGAGACCCTGTCTCAAAAAAAGAAAAAAGTTAAATTGTAAAGAGAAGAGGAGAGGGGAAGGATGTTGGGGGGAAGAACAGGTCTGGGCCCAGCTGTCTACTGGCTGCCCACTTCCCCACCGTTAGTCTCTTTGCTTGGACCCCTCTTCTCATCCTTGATATTGGTAAGGAGAAATGAGGGCATCAGTGCCCTCTGGGCTCCCACTGAAAAACTGTGCCCAGGCCAGATGCAGTGGCTGACACCTGTAATCCCTGCACTTTGGGAGGATGAGGAGGGCAGATCACTTGAGGTTAGGAGTTCGAGACCAACCTGGGCAACATGGTGAAACCCCATCTCTACTAAAAATACAAAAATTAGACCTGGCACGGTGGTTCATGCCTGTAATTCTAGCACTTTGGGAGGCCGAGACGGGCAGATCACTTGAGGTCAGGAGTTCGAAACCAGCCTGGCCAACATGGTGAAACCTTGTCTCTACTAAAAATACAAAAAAAAAAAATTAGTCAGGTATGGTGACAGGCACCTGTAATCCCAGCTACTTGGGAGGCTGAGGCAGGAGAGTCGCTTGAGCCCGGGAAGTGGAGGTTGCAGTGAGCCAGGATTGCGCCACTGCACTCCAGCCTGGGCAACAGAGTGGGACTCTGTCTCAAAAAAATAAATAAATAAAAATACAAAAATTAGTCAGGTGTGTGTCATGTGCCTGTAATTCCCGCTACTCAGGAGGCTGAGGCAAGAGAATCTCTTGAACCCGGGAGGCAGAAGTTGCAGTGAGCCGAGATCGTGCCACGGCACTTTAGCCTGGGCGACAGAGTGACACTGTGTCTCAAAAAAAAAAGCGGTCGGGCGCAGTAGCTCACGCCTGTAATCCCAGCACTTTGGGAGGCCGAGGCGGGTGGATCACGAGGTCAGAAGATCAAGACCACGAGGTCAGGAGATCGAGACCATCCTGGCTAACACGGTGAAACCCTGTATCTACTAAAAATACAAAAACAAAATTAGCTGGGCGTGGTGGTGGGTGCCTGTAGTCCCAGCTACTCAGGAGGCTGAGGCAGGAGAATGGCGTGAACCTGGGAGGCGGAGCTTGCAGTGAGCTGAGATCGCACCACTGCACTCCAGCCTGGGTGACAGAGCAAGACTCAGTCTCACAAAAAAAAAAAAGAAAAAAGAAAAAAAAGAAAACCTGTACCTGTACCCAGATTCCTCCATTCAGCCACAAAATGAGCTCAGGGCCACTGGACCCTGTAGCTGGCAGGCCTGGCTGCCTGACCCACTAAACCCTTACCGGCTGCCCCTGGTAAGACCTAAGTCCTCAGTCAGCACTGTCTGTACAACAATGCCAATGCCAGGGAGGGTTCAGGAAGTCAATACACGGTTAATAAAACATTGGGACAGCCGGGCGCGGTGGCTCACGCCTGTAATCCCAGCACTTTGGGAGGCCGAGGCGGGCGGATCACGAGGTCAGGAGTTCAAGACCAGCCTGGCCAACATAGTGAAACCCCGTCTCTACTAAAAATACAAAAAATTAGCCAGGCATGGTGGCGGCGCCTGTAATCCCAGCCACTTGGGAGGCTGAGGCAGGAGAATGGCTTGAACCCAGGAGGCAGAGGTTGCAGTGAGCTGAGGTTGCACCACTGCACTCCAGCCTGGGGGACAGAGCGAGACTCCATCTCAAAAAAAGAAGAAAAAAAAAAAACATTGGGACAAAGCCTGGCCCCTCAGAAACACTTACCAAACATCAGCTACTATGGAACAGTCACCCACACCCTGTGCTGGGTGCCCATAGGGTGTTCCCATCTCACACCGAGGCCTGAGGTGAAATGCCTCTCAAGTCAGCGCACCCCAGAAAATCGCTGAAATGGCCTGCAAGGTACCAATGACACGCTTGCATGTGGACTGTACCCTCTTCTCACCAGGCCAGCACAGTCAGTTTAGGTGCCTGCATTGGAACGAATCGCCATTTCTTCGGTTGAGGGCAAGATGCAGGAATAGCATGCGTTAGGGACCGTGTGGTATGAAAAACACATTGGGTTTGTGTCAGTATCTGCCAAGCCGATGGAGCTGAATTCTAGTTAAAGGAGCAGGTCACTCTGTGGCACACAGATGAAGCCAGAGTCTCCCTGGAGAGGGGTCCCCCTGCCACCCGGAGGGTCCCTTCAGCACTACCGCTGCCCACAAGGAATACAGCACTCGCTCCTCCTACCCTGGGGTCTATGTCTTGGGCAGCCCCTCCACCTACTCAGTCACAGGCCAGGCCCCTGGCACCATCCTTGCTCCCCCTTCGCCAACCTGTCAGTCCCAACCCCATTCTGCAGTCCCCTGACTCTCTCTGCCCGTCTCCTCCTCTGCAGCTCCCCAGCTCATCCTTGGCTCAGACTTTATCCCCGCCTGCATCACTCCAGCCTCCTCCCTGGCCTCAGTCTCCCCGTCCAGTTTGTCTGCACATAGGTTCAGAGCTGCCCCTGCCCCTCCCCTGCTCATGGTCCTCCCATGGCTCCCCAGTGCTCTCAGAGTCCAAGCTCCGTGGCCCGGCACACGAGGCCCTCCCTGTCACCTCCTGCTCCTCCCCTGTGAATGCAGCGCATGCTGAAAAAGCCGGTTTACCCTGAACAGGTCCTGCTCTCTCAGGCCTCCAGGCCCAGGCACAAGCCAAACCACCCCTGGTGTGTTCTTGGAAAATGTTCACTGCCTCATCCTCAAGGCTCAGGATGGACATCACCTCTCGCGGACGAGCAGATGCAGCCTCGGGCTCCTGCTGTGCCAGCTGCCGCCTCCATTACAGACCGACTGCCTGTGTCCAGGGACCCCACACCTCTCCCTCCAGGGCAGGATCGGGCTGCTGCATCTCAGGGGCACCAGTTCAACATCCCTCCCCAGGCTGCCCCATGGGCCTGCTTGGTGCTGGGCTAAGGGGCTTCACAGTAGAGCCCAGGGTATGGAGGAACCCACAGGGGCACCACCCCAGCCTGGGACATCCGGGAAGGCTTCCCAGAGCAGGCAGCCTCTGAGCTGAGGGTGAGGGGTGAGCAGGGGTTGGCCAGCCCAACAAGAGGAAAGGGCATTTCAGTCCAAGGGAACAGCACAGGCAAAGGCAGAGAACGAGGGATGGCAGGGTGGGGGCGCCGCAAGCATGCAGGAGGAGCTGAGGCGCAGATTCGAGGGGAAGGATTGTGTCCAGTGAGGCTGGGAAGCAGGGTCCCTGGTGCCAGGCTGTGCCCAGAGGAGGGGCAGGGCAGGACTGGGTAGAATGGGGAATGGGCTGGAAGGGACCAACTGGAGGCTGGGAAGAGGGCCTGAGCAGGGGGCACAGAGGTGGGACAGGAAGGGTGGGCTGGGGGTCTAGCCAGTGACTGGCGGGATGACAGGTCATCCTTAGATGCGGAGCCCAGAAGAGAAGATGTCAGGGGAGACGCTGTGCTTGGCCTACAGTGAGAGTGAGGGCCCCAGCCGGGAGGCTGAGCCTGGAGCTTCTTGGTTGATCTGATCATGGACAGTAGAGAGCTCCTGTGGAAACCACAGAAGCAGAGCAGCCCTGTGTCTTGGAAGAAAGAGGGCCCCATACTCCGCATCCCGCACCTTGCTCCCCGCACCCCTTATCCCGCAGTGGGGCTCTGAGTGCCTGTTCCAAGGTGAGATGGGGAACTTGAGAGGAGCAGGAGGGTTGAGGCAGCTGGACTCTGGGCTCATGGGGACACGCTGCACATGGGCTTGGGTGTGTCCAGGGAACAGGAGAAGCCAGATTAGGGGACTAGGGGAGGGGCTTGCAATGAAGACAGAGATCTGGGAGCAACTGAAGCGCAGGAGGGGACCAGCCAGGAGGGAGTCTGGGAGGGCCAACTGTTTTTTTGTTTCTTTGTTTGTTTGTTTGTGTTGGGATGGGAGTCTCGCTCTGTCACCGAGGCTGGAATGCAGTGGCGCAATCTCAGCTCACTGCAACCTCCACCTCCCGAGTTCAAGTGATTCTCCTGCCTCAGCCTCTCAAGTAGCTGGGATTTCAGGCATGCGCCACCACGCCTGGCTAATTTTTGTATTTTTAGTAGAGATGGGGTTTCACTACGTTGGCCAGGCTGGTCTCGAACTCCTGACTGCATGTGATCTGCCTGCCTCAGCCTCCCAAAGTGCTGGGATTACAGGTATGAGCCACTGCACCCAGCCAAGGGCCCACATGTAAAGGCTGGGCCTCACCCCAAGGCGTGGGGAAATACCTCATGAATTCATGAATACACTAAATTAACTTGTCAACTGGGATTTTTTTTTTTTTTTTTTTTTTTGAGATGGAGTCTCACTGTGTCGCCCAGGCTGGAATACAGTGATGCCATCTCAGCTCACTGCAACCTCTGCCCCCTGGGTTCAAGTGATTCTCCTGCCTCAGCCTCCAGAGTAGCTGGGATTACAGGCATGTGCCACCATGCCCAGCTAATTTTTGTGTTTTTAGTAGAGATGGGGTTTCACCATCTTGGCCAGGCTGGTCTTGAACTCCTGACCTCGTGATCCACCCGCCTCGGCCTCCCAAAGTGCTGGGATTATAGGTGTGAGCCATTGCGCCTGGCTGGGCTTTTTTATTGTTATTTTTTGATTTGGGGTTTCACTATGTTGCCCAGGCTGGACTCCCAACTCCTGGGCTCAAGCGATCCTCCCACCTTGGCCTCCTGAGTAGCTAGGACTACAGGCATGTGCCACCATGCCTGGTGTGAATTGGGTTTGAAATAGGGTCTTTCAGAGCCTGACAGGCTCCATAGCACCCCAAGGGCCAGCAAGGGGTGAGGCAATAGTCACCGTGGGCTGGGACTCAGTGTCTTCTCCCCAGAGGCACCGGGCCTCCCTGCCTCTCATCTCGCCCCTCCCCTCTGCCCTCCATGGTTGCAGCTTACAGCCATTCCACAGCTCCCTGCGGCTCTGAGGATAAGGCCTTGGGTACCACTCTGGGCATTCAAGGCCCTCACCACCCTCTGGGACTTCCCCTCTCTACCCTGCTCACTGGATCCAGCCCCATGAGATACGCCAGGCTGAGCTCGTGGGCTCTTTCTCCACCAGGCTCAATTCCTGTCTTCCAGAGCTTTCCTCAGATCCTACCTGAGCCCTGGTCCCAAGCAGAAATTGCTCCCTCCCCAGCCCCTCTGTTGGCCCAAGTATGCCAGCACCCTCTCAGGCGGCACAGCCTGGCTATTATCTGCGGGATTTATTACCAGCCTTCCTAAGAGCCTGTCAGCATGGCTGAAAACAGCTTGAAAACCAATGAGCCAGCAGGTGAATGATCGCGTACGACAGATGCTTCACACCAGTCTACACTCCTGGGGCCGGTGCCAACCCTGGGAAGAATCAGTAAAAGGCAGCTCCCCTCTGGGCTGACTCAGCCTCGAGACAGGACACGCATTTTGGCAAGCGGAGCACAAGTTGGGTGTCAGCCTCCACCTGGCCCCTGGGCCACGAATCCTTGGATGGTGAACAACCTGTGCAACTGTTCAAGGCAGCCCGGCACTCACATGTAGCAGAATCAAAAGGGAGCTTGTTAAAAATATAGTTCCCTGGGCCCCAGTCCCAGAGTTTCCAATTCAGTCCACTAGGACTGGAGCCCAGGAGGCTGCATTTGTCAGCCAGCTCCCCCAGTGATAATGATACCCAGTCAGGATGGGGACTTGGAACAAACAGCCCAATTAGTAATGATAATAATCATCATCCTGGTAATAGCTAACTCTCACATAGCACCTCCTGTGCCATGTGGGAGGCTCTATTCTCAGCACTGTGCATGTTAATTCATTTAATCCCCACAACACCTCTATGAGTTAGGTCCCACCATCATCCCTACTTTGCAGATTTTGAAGCTGAGACACAGAGAGGTTAAGCAACTTGTTCAAGATCACACAGCGAGAAGAGAGTAGAGTCAGATTCAAATCCAGGAAGTCTGCTTCCAGAACACACCCCCTTCACCGCATCACTAAAGCGCCCCTAAAGCCGGCACTCAGTGAGCGGCTGTCAACCCTTATGTAGCCCCTACCACGAGCCGAGCACTGCCCAGTGCTTCTCACAGACTCACTCATTTCATGCTCACAACCCTACAAGGCAGATCTCGCTATCATCCCCATTTTCCAGATGAGAAAACTGAGGCTCAGAGAGATTAAGAAACCCCCCTAAGGGGTGTTGAGTAAATGAAGTAGGGAAGGGAAGGGGAAGGGAGGGGAGCGGAGGAGAGGGCAAGAAGGGAGGGAAGGGAGAAAGGGAAGGGGGGAGGAAGGAGGTGGGGAGAGGGAGGGAAGGGAAGGAAAAGAGGAACAGGAAGGAAGGGAGGGAGGGAGGGGAAGGGGAGGGGAGGGGAGAGGAGGGGAGGCGGAAGGAAGGGGAAGAAGGAAGGGAAGGGAAAGGGGAAAAGGAAGGGGAGGAGAGAGAGGGAGAAAGGAAAGAAGGGAGGAAGGGAGGGAGGAAGGAAGGAAGGACAGGGAGGGAAGGGAAGGGAAAGAAAAGAGGAAGAATGGGAAGGAAGGAAGGACAGGGAGGGAAGGGAAGGGAAAGAAAAGAGGAAGAATGGGAAGGAAGGAAGGGAGGGAGGGAGGGAGGAGAGCATGACGCAGGAACAATGCATGAAACAGAGACAACTACAGGGGGCCTGACCTGGTCCCCACAGCGCAGGGCCGCAGGAGGCGTGGCAGGCGCATGCTCACCTTGGAGGCCCGCAGGCCCATGAAGATGGCGAAGAGCAGCAGCAGCAGGGAGGTGGCCACCTTGAGGTCGGTTAGCACCACCATGCCCACGTTGACGAAGATCGCCACGCCGGAGACTACCAGCATGAGGTTGAGCAGGGCGCGCTGCAGGGTGGGCGTGCGCACCTTCAGCTCCGGCAGCAGCTGCTCCAGGCCTTCCAGCGGCGTGTCCTTGAAACTCTTCAGTACCAGGTGTCCCCGTTTGGTCCGGGCTGCCAGGACCACCCGCTTAAAGTATCTCCTGAGGGACAGAGACAGAGGCAGGAGCAGGATCGGGACTGCACTGCCCGGGGAGCCCCCTCCAATCCTAGGACGCTCACTCTGGCTCTACAGTCGCACAACCATCTTAAAAGCGACTCAGTAATCATGGGGAAGAAACCAGGGATCAGCTGTGTCCAACCACAGGGGATCGGTTCAATCGCGCCATCGATCCCTGGTATTGGACGTGCAGATTGTTTGTTGGAATCCTGGCCGTGCCGCATCTTCAGAATGTGGACCTCCCTCTCCGAGCCTCAGTTTTCCTTATTGGAAAATGGGGAGAACTGTCCCCATCCTTTCTCTTCCCCTGGGAATCAAGTGTAGTACTCACTTTCCCTTGAGAAGAAAAGACAGCATTTGGATGAGTCACGCCTCCCATTTCTCAACTTCCCGCCTGGGGCCCAGACACCCAAACCAGACACTGACCTGTCAGTCCCCTCTTGACTCTAACCTTGCTCCCTCTTGCTGCAGCTGGGGAACAAGGGCCGCCTCACCTCTCCGCAGGGGGCAGCTTGGTGAAGAAGCCACGCCTGGAGCCCACGCTGGACTTCAGGGGCATCTGCCCGACTCGCTGGCCCAGGGCCCAGAAGTGAATGTAGACATACTGATCCAAATTTACTGTCACCTGCCGGGGGGATGAAGGAAGCAGTGGCGGGTGAACATGGGCAGGAGTGTTGAGGGCAGGATACCAGAATCAGATGTCCTGCCCCTAAATAATTCCCCCGTTTCCCACTTATCCCCATTCACCATCTAGGCAGGGCTGTCACATATGGTTGTCCATGTCGTATACTGCACAAGGGCTCATGATCTAACACAGTGCCATTCACGTAGAAGTCATCTTTACCATATTTCCTAGAATCTAAGGTGCCACTGACTCTACCTGATTATTTTATGAAGCAACTAAAAACAAAATACGTTGCCAATTAAATGATGTCACACCACCACCTGTAAATTACATCCCAATTTCAGAGATGACAAAACATGACTTTGGAAAAACTGCAGTTTAAAATCACTAAAATGTGGAATTTGGGGAGATTTTAGTATTTTTTATTTCTGTTTTTATTTTTATTTCTATTTTGAGATATTGTCTCACTCTGTCACCCAGGCGGGAGTGCAGTGGCACAATCTCAGCTCACTGCAGCCTCCACCTCCTGGGTCCAAGTGATTCTCGTGCCTCAGCCTCCCAAGTAGCTGGGACTACAGGCACCCGCCACCATGCCTGGCTAATTTTTGTATTTTTAGTAGAGATGGGGTTTCACCATGTTGGCCAGGCTAGTCTCAAACTCCTGACCTCAAATGATCTGCCTACCTCAGCCTCCCAAAGCACTGGGATTATAGGTGTGAGCCACTGCACCCAGCTGATTTTAGTATTTCTTATAATTTTGTTAGCATTTTGCGTGCTTTTAGGGGCTTGGTTTTTTTTTTCTTTTTTAATGTGTCTCTCTGTGTGTGTGTGTTTTGTTTTGTTTTTTTGAGACAGGTTCTCAATTTGTCATCCAGGCTGGAGTGCAGTGGCAAGATCATGGCTGACAGCTCACTGCAGCCTTAAACTCCTGGGATCAAATGATCCTCCCACCTCAGCCTCCCGAGTAGCTGGGACTGCAGGCCCGCACCACCATATCCAACTAATTTTTGTATTTTCTGTAGAGACGGGGTCTCCCTGTGTCGCCTAGATGAGTCCGGAACTCCTGGGCTCGAGCGATCCTCCTGCCTCGGCCTCCTGAATGCTGGGATTACAGGAATGAGCCACTGAACCCGGCCTTGTATTATATTATTTATTATTACAATTTTGGCAGATGGTGCTAAGTCTCTTGCCCTAAGAGAGCCATATCATATGATACTTTTCCAACAGATGGCAGTGAAGTGACCTGAGACAGCAGCACCTCCTTTTTTTTTCCAGATGGAGTTTCACTCTTGTTGCCCAGGCTGGAGTGCAATGGCACGATCTCAGCTCACTGCAACTTCCACCTCCCGGGTTCAAGAGATTCTCCTGCCTTAGCCTCCCCAGTAGCTGGGATTACAGGCACCTGCCACCATGCCTGGATAATTTTTTATATTTTTAGTAGAGATGGGGTTTCACCATGTTGGCCAGGCTGGTCTTGAACTCTTGACCTCAGGTGATCCACCCACCTTGGACCCCCAAACTGCTGGGATTACAGGCTTGAGCCACTGCATCCAGCCAAAAGTAGCCCCTTCTCTGAGTTCACCAAGTGCGCCATATGGGCCACAGTCCCAGGCTCAGGACTACAACTCCCAGCAGCCCATGCCTCTCAGAGGCTCTGCCCCACCCTAGAGGCCTCCTGGGAGTTTTGTTCTCCTAGGGAGCCAAGTACCTGGACCTCATCCTGAGGGTGGTGGACCACCAGCGCGTAGGCCAGGGTGTCCTCAGACAGCGGGGAGAAGTTGGCCTGGGCCAGCAGGGGCTCCAGAGCCCGAAGCACCTCCTGCTCATTAGACAGACGCTGGGGATCCGTTAGTGATGGCTGATCGAGGGTCTCCCTGTCAGGGTTGATGGGGTCATATAAGGCCTAAGAGGAGAGTCAGAGAGAAAAAGATGGGATAGGTCTCTGCATGAAGGATTCTAGGGACATCTAAGGACATCCCTCTCCAGATACTTTCATTTATTTATTTATTTATTTATTTATTTTATTGAGATAGAGTCTCGCTCTGTTGCCAGGCTGGAGTGCAGTGTCACGTTCTCCGCTCACTGCAACCTCCACCTCCCGGGTTCAAGCAATTCTCCTGCCTCAGCCTCCCAAGTAGCTGGGACTACAGGCGCACGCCACCATGCCCGGGTAATATATATATATATTTTTTGTATTTTAATAGAGATGAGGTTTCACTGTGTTGCCCAGGCTGGTCTTGAACTCCTGAGCTCAGGCAATATGCCCGCCTCGGCCTCCCAAAGTGCTAAGATTACAGGCATAAGCCACCGTGCCCGGCCTGTGTTTTTTTGTGTTTTGTTTTTGTTTTTTTGAGACGGAGTCTCGCTCTGTCGCCCAGGCTGGAGTGCAGTGGCACAATCTCAGCTCACTGCAACCTCCACCTCCTGGGTTCAAGCGATTCTCCTGTCTCAGCCTCCTGAGTAGCTGGGATTACAGATGCACGCCACCATGCCCGGTTAATTTTTGTATTTTTAGTAGAGAAGGGGTTTCACCATGTTGGTCAGGCTGGTCTCGAACTCCTGACATGTGATCTACCCACCTCGGCCTCCCAAAGTGCTGGGATTACAGGCATGAGCCACCTTGCTCAGCCCTTTTTTCTTTTTCTTTCTCTTTTTTTTGAGATGGAGTCTCGCTCTGTCACCCAGGCTGGAGTACAGTGGTGCAATCTCAGCTCACTGCAACCTCCACCTCCCAGGTTCAAGCAGTTCTCCTGCCTCAGCCTCCTGAGTAGCTGGGATTACAGACACATGCCACCACATTCAGCTAATTTTTATATTTTTAGTGGAGATGGGGTTTCACTATGTTGGCCAGGCTGGACTCGAATTCCTGACCTCAAGTGATGCAACCACCTCGGCCTCCCAAAGTGAGATTACAGACATGAGCCACTGTGCCCAGCAGATTCTTTTCTTATCACACCCATATCCAATCCTCTGGCAAGTTCACTTGCTAAACCCCTGAATCTTCTTGAATCCACCCTCCTCTCTATCTCCTTTGCTGCTATCTTCTCACTGAAGCCACCTTCATCTCTCACTTAAACAATTATGTAGGGCTTCTGTTCCCCAACTTTTACTCTTACTACTTTCTTTTTATTTATTTATTTTTTTGAGACAGAGTCTCACTCTGTTGCCCAGGGTGGAGTGCAATGGCATGATCTCAGCTCACTGCAATCTCCACCTCCTAGGTTTAAGTGATTCTCCTGCCTCAGCCTCCCGAGTAGCTGGGACTACAGGTGCCCACCACCACGCCTGGCTAATTTTTGTATTTTTAGTGGAGATGAGGTTTCACCATGTTGGCCAGGCTGGTCTCGAACTCCTGACCTCAAGCGATCCCCCCACCTCAGTCTCCCAAAGTGGTGGGATTACAGGCGTGAGCCATCGCACCTGGCCTACTCTTGCTACTTTTCAACCAGTATCCACATGGCCATTGGGAAGAACTTACTGAGGCTGTAAACAGCTCCCACAATCCACCCCTCCAACAGCTTCCCACTGTATTTAGAATAAAATCTAGAAGCTTTCCGTGATGTTCAAGTTCCCTCACAAACTGGCATCTAACCTGCCTGCCTCATCTTATGTCCCTAAACGTCCCCCCTAAAAAACTCTTGGAATGAATGTCGCGTGAGTTTCCAGTTGCCTAGCCTATTTTGCTCACGGAGAGACTGAGTCTCAGGATGACATATAACTTGTCCCAGACTCTACAACAGCCTCCAAGGAAATCACCCCTCTATAAAACCAGATCATAAACCTAACCCTCCATGTGTCTCTTGGGAGCAGGGGTCCTATGAAGCAGCTTGTTCAGGCCAGGTGCGATTCTGAATTAGTGGAAGGAGAGAGGGCCGGTTCTCCAAGTGGGAGGAATGGCCTAAGTGAAGGTTTGGTCATGGGGAAGCCCAGGGCCTCAGAAACAACTGAGCAAGGAGACTGGGATGCAGAAGAGATTCAAAGGCCGGCACAGTGGCTCACGCCTGTAATCCCAACACTCTGGGAAGCCAAGGTGGGAGGATCACTTGAATCCAGGAGTTTGAGACCAGCCTTGGCAACACGGTGAAATCCTGTCTCTACAAAACTTTTTTTTTTTTTTTTTTTTGAGACAGAGTCTCGCTCTGTTGCCCAGGCGGCAGTGCAGTGGCATGATCCCAGCTTACTGCAACCTCTGCCTCCCAGGTTCAAGCGATTCTCCTGCCTCAGCCTTCTGAGTAGCTGGGACTACAAGCGAGCACCACCATGCCTGGCTAATTTTTTGTATTTTTAGTAGAGACGGGGTTTCACCATATTGGCCAGGCTGGTCTCAAACTCCTGACCTTGTGATCCACCTGCCTTGGCCTCCCAACGAGCTGGGATTACAGGTGTGAGCCACCGCATCTGGTCTTTTTTTTTTTTTTAATTAGCCAGGCACAATAGTGCATGCCTGTGGTCCCAGCTACTTGGGAGGTTGAGGTTGGAGGATAACTTGAGCCCAGGAGGTTGAGGCTGCAGTAAACCATGATCGTGCCACTCCACTCCACTCCAGCCTGGGTGACAGAGCGAGACCCTGTCTCAAAAAAAAAAAAAAAGAAAAAGAGAAAGAGTCAAGCCAAGAAAATCCTCCTCTGAAGTAAGCCCTAGGGCTGTGCCCACATCCTCCAGCCTAGGCTGGTCGAGCAGTTCTGGGACTTACAGAGTGACCTTGAGAAATTCCATTCCCAGGCTGAGCTGCAGTTTGAAAGCTGGAGAAAGAAATCTGCATTGATCAAATGTCCACTGTGAGCCAGATTCTCTTCTGGAAACTTCACATCCTCCCAGGGCTTTGGGCCAAAAACCTGGACATTGCACGTGATCCCTGTTGCTCCCTTCCCTGTCACAATAAATCCTGCCGATTCCACCTTCAAGCAGACCGCACTTCACCCAGCTCTCTCCTCCCCACCCGCCTGGTCCCAGTCCATGCCAGCCACCACCATTTCATCCTGCCTGGGTGAGCCCAACAGCCTTCTCAATAGTCTCCCCAAATCCTGTAACACACACCATCCCCTGCCAATCGGTTCTTTACACAGCTTCCAGGGAGATCTCGTCAAACAATAAAATAACAACAATCATCATCAATGATAATGGTGCACATTTACATAGCACTTACTGTGTGCCAGGCACAGATTGAAGTATGTTACACGCACATTCTCACAGTGTGAAACTCCTCATTTACAGATGTGGAAACTGAGGCACAGAGAGGTTAAGTAATTGCCCGAGGTCACATGGCCAGGAAGTGGTGTAACCAGAATGACACATTTGACCATGTCAATCTCCTGCTAAAACCCTCCCAAGGCTTCTACTGCCCTCGGGAATCAGGATCACACTTCCTAGTAGGGCCTGCAAGGCCTCACAGGACCGTAAATCCCCTCGGTCACTCCATACCATCCAGACTGTCTTTAGGTTGGCTGGGCGCGATTGCTCATGCCTGTAATCCCAGTAGTTTGGGAGGCCGAGAGAAGAGGATTGCTTGAGCCCAGGAGTTTGAAACCAGCCTGGGCAACACAGCAAGATCCCATCTCTACCAAAAAAAAATACATTTATATATATAAAAATTAGCCAGGCGTGGTGGTGCACACCTGTGGTACCAGTTACTCAGGAGGCTGAGGGAGGTGGATTGCTTGAACCCAGGAGATTAAGTCTATAGTGAGCCATGATCACAGCTTGGCACTCCAGCCTGGGCAACAGAGAAGACCCTGTCTTCAAAACAACAACAACGACAAACCAGATTGGTTTTAGTTCCTCCAGCCACAGAGACTTTGCACATGCTGTTGGAAGACTCTCTCTACACCCTTCCTGCCTCCTTCCCTTTTCACCATTGAAGTCTTACTCTCTGTCATATTCTAGGTCCATCATCACTATCAAAAAGCCTCGGACAGGGGCAGTGGCTCACGCCTGTAATCCCAACACCTTGGGAGAACAAGGCAGGAAGGACTGCTTAAGGCCAGGAGTTCAAGACCAGCCTGAGCAACGCGGTGAAACCCCATTGCTACTAAAAATACAAAAAATTAGTTGGGCATGGTGGCGGGCGCCTGTAATCCCAGCTACTCCGGAGGCTGAGGCATGGGAATCACTTGAACCCTGGAGGTGGAGGTTGCAGTAAGCTGAGATCGCACCAACTGCACTCCAGCCTGGACAACAGAGTGTGTCAGTGTGTGAGTCTCTGGCTCAAAAAAAAAAAGCAGCAGCCTTCCTCTACTCATCAAACTGAGCAGGGCCACCCTGTGTGGTTGGGCAGGATGTACACTGCACAAAGATACCAGATCTAAGGGCAGACCTGTCCATTTATCATGACAGCCACCCTTCAGATGGAAATAAAGGAACAGAATAGCACCATCCACTAGAACTCCCTGCAGTGAGGGAAATATTCTAGATCTGCACCATCCAATAAGGTCGACACTGGCCATAGGTGGCTACTGAGCACCTGAAACATGATCAGTATGCTGAGAAACAAAATTTGTAATTTTGTTTTAGTTATGTTAAATTTTAACAGCTAGTGTCTACATTTAATTTTTTTTTTTTTTTTTTTTTGAGACAGAGTCTCACTCTGTCACCCAGGCTGGAGTGCAATGGCGCAATCTTGACTCACTGCAACCTCCGCCTCCCGGGTTCAAGTGATTCTCCTGCCTCAGACTCCGGAGTAGCTGGGATCACAGGAGCCCGCTACCATGCCAGCTAATTTTTTTTTTTGTTGTACTTTTTTTTAGTAGAGACGGGGTTTCACTATGTTGGCCAGGCTGGTCTCGAACTCCTGACCTCATGATCCACCCACCTCGGCCTCCCAAAGTGCTGGGATTACAGGCGTGAGCCACTGCGACCAGGCTACATTTAAATTTAATGAAGTTCGTGGCTACTATAACGGACAGTTCCAGGCTAGAGAAAGAGGCACCTTTTTCTAATTTGCACATGGACCCCAGTATAGCAACCAAGGTTCAGGTTCACTCTGTTATCCCCCTGCAGGGCACCATGCCCATCGCCCTCATGGTCTGAACTTAACCATCACTGGGGAGAGCATCTGATTCATGACCGTCCCCACCACCCACGTTCAGCTCCCAGAGCGCACGATGCAGGCCCAGTTTCACTCCTCAGTGAAGACACAGCACCTGGCACCGGGCCTCGCACAAACATCTGCTAAAAGAATGACTTAATTGGTGCCGGGCACAGTGGCTCACGCCTGTAATCCCAGCACTTTGGGAGGCTGAGGCAGGCGGATCATTTGAGGTCAAGAGTTCGAGACCAGCCTGGCCAACATGGTGAAACCCCGTCTCTACTGAAAATACAAAAATTAGCCAGGCATGGTGGTGCGCGCCTGTAGTCCCAGCTACTTGGGAGACTGAGGCAGGAGAATTGCTTGTACTCAGGAGGCGGAGGTTGCAGTGAGCCAACACAGTGCCACTGCACTCCAGCCTGGGAGACAGTGAGACTACATCTCAAAAAAAAAAAAAAAAAAAAAAAAAAGAATGACTTAATTGGGTCTTTGTGGCAATTGCTGCTGCCATATTCCACCATCAAGCATTCCCTTGTGGCTGTCACATGCCATCTGTCTACTGAGGACTCCCAGATTTCCATCTGCAGTCCAGATATCTCGCTTGAGCTCCAGATTCACACGGCTGGGCGTCTACTCAATACTTCCATACAGATGCCCCATGGGCCTCTCAACACCTCCGCAAGGGCATCCTCTCAAACCCACGATGCCCCAAACCTGCTCCTCTCAGCCTTGTCCCCATCTCAAAAGATGCAACTCCATCCTTCCAGGTGCTCAGGCCCAAAGCCTGGGGGTCATCCTGGAGTCTTCCCTTTCTCACACATCCAACCCATTGGCAAATCGTGATGGTAACACATTCAAAACAGATGCAAAATCTAACTGCTTCTCAACCCTTGGTCTCAGCCACCCTCCTCCCTGGCCTGGGAGCTGTTCTCCCCGCCCCGTCCCCATCCCCAGTGGGTTCCCCAAGCAGCCACCAGAGGGCGCCAGTTTGCACCTACAGCAATTCCAGTCTTTGCTTAGAACACTCTGCTTAGCCACCGACCCACTCAGTCAAAGCAAAGTCCTCACCACCGCCCAGGGGGGCCCTGCAAGATCTGGCCCCAGGTCCCCCTCCCTCTGCCCTCACCTCCTCTCTCTTCCCTGGGTCGCCAGGCTCTAGCCCCGCAGGCCTCCTGGCTGTTCCTCCACACACCATGCACACTGCTGCCCCAGGGCCTTTGCACGTGGAGTTCCCTCACATCTCCATAGGGCTTGCTCCCCTCTCCTTCAGGTCTCTGCTCAAATGTTCTCTGCTCAGTGAGGCCTTCCTGACCACCTTACCTGAAACTGAAAAACACCCCCTCCCTTGCTTTCCTTTTCTCCTTATTAGGTTTTGAAAAAAAGAAAAATACAGTCATCCCTTGGTATCCATAGGACATCAGTTCCAGGATGTCCCATGGATACCCAAACCTACAGATGCTCAAGCCCCTGATATAAAATGACATGTCTGCAGCCGGGCGCGGTGGTTTACGCCTGTAATCCCAGCATTTTGAGAGGCCGAGGCGGGCGGATCACGAGTTCAGGAGATCAAGACCATCCTGGCTAACATGATGAAACCCTGTCTCTACTAAAAATACAAAAAATTAGCTGAGCGCGGTGGTGGGCGCCTGTAGTCCCAGCTACTCGGGAGGCTGAGGCAGGAGAATGGTGTGAACCCGGGAGGCGGAGCTTGCAGTGAGCCGAGATCAAGCCACTGCCCTCCAGCCTGGGTGACAGAGTGAGACTCTGTCTCAAAAAAAAAAAAAAAACACCATATCTGCATATAACCTCTACACATCCCCTCATATACTTTATTTTTATTTTTTTAGAGACAGGGTCTAGCCCTGTCCCCCAAGCTGGAATGCAGTGCTGCAATCATGACTTACTGCAGCTTCAACCTCCCAGGCTCAAGCGATCCTCCTGCCTCAGCCTCCCAAGTAGCTGGGACCACAGGTGTGTGCCACCACGCACAGTTAATTAAAAAAAAAAAAATTATGGAGGCCGGGCACGGTGGCTCACACCTGTAATCCCAGCACCTTGGGAGGCCGAGGCGGGCGGATCACTTGAGGCCAGGAGTTCCAGACCAGCCCGGCCAATATGGTGAAACCCCGTCTCTACTAAAAATACAAAACCTAGCCAGGCATGGTGGTGCACACCTGTAGTCCCAGCTACTCAGGAGGCTGAGGCAGGAGAATCACTTGAACCCAAGAGGCAGAGGTTGCAGTGAGCCAAGATCACACCACTGCACTCCAGCCTGGGCGACAGAGCAAAAATCTGTCTCAGAAAAAAATATATATATATTTTGTGGAGACAGAGCCTTACTATGTTGTCCAAGCTGGTCTCAAACTCCTGTCCTCAAATGATCCTCCCACCTCAGCCTCCCAAAGTGTTAGAGTTACAGGCATAAGCCACTGTGCCTGGCCACGTATACTTTAAATAATCATCTCTCTCTAGATTACTTATAACACCAAATACAATGAAAACATTATGTAAATAGTTGTAATGCTACATTGTTCAGAGAATAATGACAAGGGAAAAAAAGAGTCTGTACATGTTCACTACTGATGCAATTTTTTTCCCAAATATTTTTTATCCACAGTTGGTTGAATTCACAGATGCAGAACCCATGGATATGGAGGGCTGACTGTGCAGGACACCACTTACATCTGAATTTCAGATCAACGACAAACTTTTTTTTTTTTTTTAAACGGGGTCTCACTCTGTTGCCCAGGCTGGAGTGCAGTGGTGTGATCTCGGCTCACTGCAACCTCTGCCTCCTGGGTGCAAGCGATTCTCCTGCCTCAGCCTCCACAGTAGCTGGGATTACAGGCGCCAGCCACCATGCCCAGCTAATTTTTTTTTTGTATTTTAGTAGAGACGGGTTTTCACCAGGTTGGCCAGGCTGGTCTCGAACTCCTGACCTCAAGCAATCCACCCGCCTTGGCCTCCTAAAGTGCTGGGATTACAGGTGTGAGCCACCATGCCCGGCCCAACAACAAACGATTTTTTTAGTTTAACTACATCCCATGCAATATTGGATGACTGTATTGCATAGGACACACTTCCACTGTACTAAAAAATTACACATAGTTTATCTGAAATTCAAATTTACTGGGTATAATGAGTTGAATGTTGTCCCCTAAAAATTTACATCCCTTTGGAACCTCAGAATATGATCTCATTCGGAAATAGGGTCTTTGCAGGTAGAATTAAGGTAAAGATACAGATGAGATCATACTAAATTAGGGTGGAACCTAAATCCAATGAGAGTGTCCTTATAAGAGACAGAAAAGGACACACATAGGACACCGAGAAGGCAGCCACAGGAAGATGGAGACAGGGGTTGGAGTGACTCATCTACAAGCCAAGGAGCACCAAGGGTTGCTGGCAGCTACAGGAAGCCAGGAGAGACACCATAGATGCTTCCCTCTCAGGGCCTCCACAAGGAAACATCTTTTAATACATTTCACTTCTTTTTTTTTTGAGACATAGTCTCACTCTGTTGCCCAGACTGGAGTGCAGTGGTGCGATCTTGGCTCACTGCAGCCTCCGCCTCCCGGGTTCAAGTAATTATCCTGCCTCAGCCTCCGGAGTAGCTGGGATCACAGGCATGTGCCACCACACCCAGCTAATTTTTGTATTTTTAGTAGAGTCGGGGTTTCACCATGTTGGCCAGATTGGTCTCGAAATCCTGACCTCATGTGATCCACCTGCCTCGGCCTCCCAAAGTGCTGGGATTATAGGCGTGAGCCACCGCGCCCAGACTTTTTCTTTTTTTTTTTTTTTTTTGAGACATAGTCTTGCTCTGTCACCCAGGCTGGAGTGCAGTGGTGCGATCTCAGCTCACTGCAGCCTCCGCCTCCTGGGTGCAAGTGATTCTCCTACCTCAGCCTCCCGAGTAGCTGGGACTATAGGCACCCGCCACCACACCCAGCTAATTTTTGTATTTTCAGTAAAGATGGGGTTTCACCATGTTGGCCAAGCTGGTCTCGAACTCCTGACCTTAAGTGATCCGCCCACCTCGGCCTCTCAAAGTGCTGGAATAACAAGCGTGAGTCACTGTGCCCGGCCAAATTTCACTTCTGTACCTTGTTGCTGGTCTCTTCCTCAGTAGAACAGAGCCTGTGAGGTACATCTCTCATGCTGTCCACTGTCTCCCAGAGCCTCAAGCCATTCCAGAGACACAGTAGGTGCTCAATAAATATTTACTGAGCGAACTCAATGAATGAATGAATCAGCGAAAAAAGATCAGAGAGAGGTCACCCGCCAAGGTCACCCGCACCACTAGTGAACAACCAAGCTATTGTTTGAACCGAGGCTATGCTGCTTCTTTCCCTGCCCAGGCCACATCTTCAAAGGACTTAAGTCATCAGCAAATGGTCACCCAGCGGGCCTCACCCGCCTCTGCCACTTCTACCCTGCCCCTGCCTCTGTTTAAAATCTCCTGCCTGGGAGATATATGCTTATTCACTTATGTTCTTTCTACATTTCTATATATTTATACATTTCTATAATAAAATAGGCTTTTTTTAACTTTTTTTTTTTAAGAATCTTGCTCTGTCACCCAGGCTGGAGTGCAGTGGCGTGATCTTGGCTCACTGCAACCTCCACCTCCCGGGTTCAAGTGATTCTCATGGTTCAAGTGATTCTCATGCCTCAGCTTCCTGAGTAGCTGGGACTACGGGCACCCCCCACCACAACCGACTGATATTTATATATTTAGTACAGACAGTTTCACCGTTTGCCAGACTGGTCTCGAACTCCTGGGCTCAAGTGATCCGCCTACCTCGGCCTCCCAAAGTGCTCAGATCACAGACAAGACATACCAAGCCCAGCCTTAACTTTTAAAAAAATAGAAAAAGAAAAAAACAACCGTGGCTCCAGAGGCCATAGGTGCCCTGTGGAAGAGCTTGGAGGCAGGCAGACGGGGGCTTGATCTCGACTCCACCAATTATGAACTGTGTGATCCTGGGCACAACCCGGGCCCTCTGAGACATTCAGTTTCTCCATGTATGAATGGGCTGATGGCGGCTGTCTCTCCGCACTGCAGGAAGGAGTCAATAAGCCAGACACAGCAAGCGCTCAGCAACAAGGGGCTGTGATGGCCACTGTTGCTGGGGTTGTTATTATTCAAAGCAAAGTGCGGAGCTGCAGAAGGCAGTGGTGGGATGTGGCGAGGGGTGAATGCAGCAGGCCTGGGTTGTCCAAACCCCGCACATTCCAAAGAAAGGACCGGCCCTGGACCAGCTTCTGGGAGGGAACCTCTAAGCCCTTGGAATGTCCTGACTGATAAGAGTGTCTTGGTTTACCTGGGGCCTGGGGCCACACTGGATGCTGTGTGTTAATGTTGTCATCTATGGTCAGGGCCTGGAGCCACTGAGCATCAGTTTGACCTCGGAGGGGCTGGAGTCTCAGGTCAGCCACCATGCATATGTGACTGACCCCCAGTAAAAACCCTGGCCACCCAGGCTTACAGGAGCATCCCTGGTTGGCAGTACTGCTTGCGTGTTGTCACACATCTTGCTGGGAGAATTAAGTGCCGTCCATGACTCCACCGGGAGAGGACAGCTGGACGCTCACGCCTGGTCTGTCTTGGATTCTGCCCCATGTGCCTTTTTCCTTTTTTTTTCTTTTTTTTTTTTGGGATGGAGTCTCACTCTGCTGCCCAGGCTGGAGTGCAGTGGCACAATCTCAGCTCACTGCAACCTCCGCCTCCTGGGTTCAAGTGATTCTCCTTCCTCAGCCTCCTGAGTAGCTGGGATTACAGCTACTGGGATTACAGCGCCACTATGCCCAGCTAATTTTTGTACTTTTAGTAGAGACAGGGTTTCACCATGTTGGCCGGGATGGTCTCGATCTCCTGACCTCGTGATCTGCCAGCCTTGGCCTCCCAAAGTGCTGGGATTACAGGCGTGAGTCACCACGCCCGGCCCTCCTTTTTTTTTTTTTTTTTGAGACAGAATTTTGCTCTGTCACCCAGGCTGGATAGTGCAGTGGCAAAATCTCAGCTCACTGCAACCTCCGCCTCCTGGGTTCAAGCGATCTCCTGCCTCAGCCTCCCAAGTAGCTGGGATTATAGACATGCGCTACCAGGCCCAGGTAATTTTTTTTTTTTTTTTTTGAGATGGAGTTTCACTCTTATTGCCCAGGCTGCAGTGCAATGGTGCGATCTTGGCTCACTGCAACCTCCTCCTCCCAGGTTCAAGCAATTCTCCTGCCTCAGCCTCCCGAGTAGCTGGGATTACAGGCATGCACCATCACACCCAGCTAATTTTGTATTTTTAGTAGAGACGGGGTTTCTCCATGTTGAGGCTGGTCTCGAACTCCTGACCTCAGGTGATCCGCCCGCCTCGGCCTCCCAAAGTGCTGGGATTACAGGCGTGAGCCACAGCACCTGGCCTTTTTTTTTTTTTTTTTTTTTTTTTTTTTGAGATGGAGTCTCACTCTGTCACCCAGGCTGGAGTGCAGTGGCGCGATCTCGGTTCACTGCAAGCTCCGCCACCTGGGTTCAAGCGATTCTCCTGCCTCAGCCTCCTGAGTAGCTGGGATGACAGGCACATGCCACCACACCTGGCTAATTTTTGTATTTTTAGTAGAGACGGGGATTCATCATGTTGGTCAGGCTGGTAATTTCTGTATTTGCAGTAGAGACAGGGTTTCGTCATGCTGGCAAGGCTGGTCTCGAACTCCTGACTTCAGCTGATCCACCTGCTTTGGCCACCCAAAGTGCTAGGATTACAGGCGTGAGTCACCGCGCCCGGCAGTACTACCATCTATTAATAGATCCTCCCACAGCAGTTTCTCAGCCCAGACCTCTCCCTTCACCTCCAGATCCACATATTCAAGTCTATCTTTCTTTTTTTTTTTTTTTTTTTTTCTGAGACGGAGTCTCACTCTATCGCCCAGCTGGAGTGCGGTGGCGCAATCTTGGCTCACTGCAAGCTCCGCCTCCCGGGTTCACGTCATTCTCCTGCCTCAGCCTCCCGAGTAGCTGGGACTACAGGCGCCCGCCACCACGCCCGGCTAATTTTTTTTTGTATTTTTAGTAGAGACAGGGTTTCACCGTGTTAGACAGGATGGTCTCGATCTCCTGACCTCATGCTCCGCCTGCCTTGTCCTCCCAAAGTGCTGGGATTACAGGCATGAGCCACCACGCCCGGCCTCAAGTCCATCTTTCTACCTGCCTTTCTAAAAGGCAGCTCAATGGATAAAGAAAATATGGTCTATATACACCATGGAATACTACTCAGCCATAAAAAGGAACAAAATAATGTCTCTTGCAGTAATTGGATGGAGTTGGAAGGCCATTATTCTAAGTCAAGTAACTCAGGAATGGAAAACCAAATAGCCGTATTCTCACTTTATAAGTGGAAGCTAAGTAAGCTATGAGGGTGCGAAGATACACAGAGTGATATAATGGAATTTGGGGACTCAGGGAGGGGGGTTGGGATGGGGGTGAGGGACTACATATTGGGTATAGTGTACACTGCTCTAGTGATGGGCACACCAAAATCTCAGAATGCACCACTACAGAATTCATCCATGTAACCAAAAAGCACATGTACCCCAAAAACTACTGAAATAAAAAATGTTTTAATTAAAAAAGAATGGGCCAGGCACGGTGGCTCACGTCTGTAATCCCAACACTTTGGGAGGCCAAGGCAGGTAGATCACGAGGTCGGGAGTTTAAGACCAGCCTGAGCAACATGGTGAAACCCCATCTCTACTAAAAATACAAAAATTAGCCAGGCGTACTGACACACGCCTGTAATCCTGGCTATTCGGGGGACTGAGGCACAAGAATCACTTCAACCCGGAAGACAGAGGTTGCAGTGAGCCAAGATCGCACCATTGCACTCTAGCCTGGGCAGCAGAGTGAGACTCTGTCTCAGAAAAAAAAAAAAATATATTAGAATAAATAAATTCATAAATAAATGGTAGCTCAAATTCTTAAGTCCAAAACTGAGCTCTCAGTCCTCCCTGCAGATCTTTCTCCCCATCCCACCACGGTCTCCCCCATCCCAGTAAATGGCAGCTCCATCCTCCAGGAGGCTCAGGCCAGAACTGCTGGAGACGCACCCCTACTCCTCTCTCTTCCTCCCCAGAACACCCCCACAGCCAGCACATCAGCAAAACGCTGATGCCTTCCAACATAACCAGCATCTGACCGTTTTTCACCATTTCCATCGCTATTACCCTTGTCGGAGCTTCCATTATCTCTCCCCTAGACAAATATAATAGACTCTTTCATAGATGTCCCTGCCTCTGATAGTCTGTTCCCTACACTGCAGCCAGAGAAATCCTGTTAACACCTAAATCCGCTGCTCACATCTCTCCTCAGCTCAGAGCCCTCCCATGGCTCCCGGCTCACTCAGAGTCAAAGCAAGGTCCTCGGCCTGGCACAGTGGCTCACGCCTGTAATCCCAACACTTTGGGAGGCCAAGGCGGGTGGATCACTTGAGGTCAGGAATTCAAGACCACCCTGGCCAACATGGTGAAACCCAGTCTCTACAAAAAGTACAAAAATTAGCAGGGGGAGGTCGTGGACGCCTGTGGTCCCAGCTACTCAGGAGGCTGAGGGAGGAGAATCGCTTGAACTGGGGAGGCGGAGGTTTGCTGTGAGCTGAGATCGCACCACTGCACTCCAGCCTGGGCAACAGAACAAAAACTCCATCTGAGAAACAAAAACAAACAAACAAAAAAACAAAGCAAGGTCCTCACAGTGGCCCACAAGGCCCAGTACGATCTGTCCCCATCCCCTCTGCCCTCATATCCCACCCTCCCCGCACATTCACTCTCCTGCAGCCACAGTGGCCTCCTCACTGTTCAATACTCCAGGCCTCCACTCACCTCAGGGCCTTTGCACTTGCTCTTCCATCTGCCAAGAACATCCTCCCCCAGGCATTCATCAGGCTCGTTCCCCCTCTTCACTAAGCCTTTAGCCCACATGTCACCTCCTTGGGGAGCCCTTCCCCACCCACCCCGTCTGAAACAGGCCCCATCTCACCCCTCTTTGTTTTTTTTTTTTTTTTGAGACAGAGTTTCCTCAGTCGCCCAGGCTGGAGTGCAGTGGCGCAATCTTGGCTCACTGCAAGCTCCGCCTCCCGGGTTCATGCCATTCTCCTGCCTCAGCCTCCCGAGTAGCTGGAACTACAGTCGCCCCCCACCACGCCCAGCTAATTTTTTTGTATTTTTAGTAGAGACGAGGTTTCACCGTGTTAGCCAGGATGGTCTCGATCTCCTGACCTTGTGATCCACCCGCCTCAGCCTCCCAAAGTGCTGGGATTACAGGCGTGAGCCACCGCGCCCGACCCATCTCATCCCTCTTTATCTCACTACTCCGCCTCATTGTTCATGGCACTTATCACCACCAGGCATCATATTTTATATTTATTTGATTCCTTGTCTCCCCACTTGGAATGTTGGCTCCATGAGGGCGTCACTTCACCTGTCATGTTCACTATTGAATCCCCAGCACTTAAAATAAGGGCCAGGCTCCAAGAAGGTGTCAGGGAATGTTTGCTAAATGAGCGGATGCTCGAACAAGCACCACAGGGCTGGAAGGGCCCCGTCCTCACCTGCAGCCGGGCCAGGATTTGGTGGTAGTGGAACAGGGTGCAGAAGTCCACGTGGGCCGAGAACGCCTCCAAAGCCGCCTTCTCTGCCGGACTCGAGTGGAATTCCTGTTACCTCAGGAAGCAAAACTTCTCTGTAGGCCTTTTCCCCTTCCCCGAGGGAAAGAATTCTTTCCCTGGCTGCCTAACTACACAATCAGAGCTCTGGACTTTGAAGTTTTGTTCTGGGGCTGGGCGCAGTGTCTCGCACCTGTAATCCCAGCACTTTGGGAGGCCGAGGCAGTGGATCACTTGAAGTCAGGAGTTCAAGACCAGCGTGGCCAACATGGTGAAATCCTGTCTCTACTAAAAATACAAAAATTAGCCGGGCGTGATGGCATGCACCTGTAGTCCCAGCTACTCAGGAGGCTGAAGCTGGAGAATTGCTTGAACCAGGGAGGCGGAGGCTGCAGTGAGTCGAGATCGTGCCACTGCCCTCCAGACTAGACAACATCAAGACTCTGTCTCAAAAAAAAAAAAAAAAAAAGTTTTGTTTTGGTTGGGTGGGGGCTGACCAATTTTACTGAAACTGAGGCAGCCAAATATAGTGAAAAACTATACTGGGCTTAAAAAGCTGGAGGTTCAAGTTTTTGCTTTGACATTTCCTAGCCAATACACACACACACAATTCCAGGAACGGTTTGACAGTGTAATATCATCCTCCAGAAGTAGATGGAATTATTATTATTATTATGTTGAGACAGAGTCTCGTTCTGTCACCCAGGCTGGAGCTCAGTTGTGCAATCTCAGCTCACTGCATCTTCAACCTCCTGGGATGAAGCGATCCTCCCACCTCAGCCTCCTGAGTAGCTAAGACTACAGGTGCCCACCACCATGCCTGGCGAATTTTTTTCAATTTTTTGTAAAGGTGGAGTCTCACTATATTGCCCAGGCTGGTCTGAACTCCTGTGCTCCAGCAATCCTCCCACCTCAGCCTCCCAAAGTGCTGGGAGGCTGAGCCACCATACCCCCAAGGTTGATGGAATTATAACTCCCATTTGTCAGTGGGAGAAACTGAGGCTCTGGAAAAGTCATTTGGTAAGGGCTGCAGTGTCTGTGGGAAATGACTGCTATCTAGGCCTGTCTGACTCCAGGGTACACATTGAACCATTTCCTTTTTTTTTTTTTTTGAGAAGGAGTCTCACTCTGTTGCCAAGGCTGGAGTGCAGCGGCCATGATCTCAGCTCACTGCGACCTCTTCCTCCACGGTTCAAGCAATTCTGCCTCAGCCTTCTAAGTAACTGGGATTATAGGCGCCTGCCACCACGCCTAGCTAATTTTTGTACTTTTAATAGAGACGGGGTTTCACCATGTTGGCCAGGCTGGTCTCAAACTCATGACCTCAGGTGATCCACCTGCATCGACTTCCCAAAGTGCTGGGATTACTGGCGTGAGCCACCATGCCTGGCCTTGAACCACTTCTTCTTCTTTTTTTTTTTTTGAGATGGAGTCTTGCTCTGTTGCCCAGACTGGAGTGCAGTGGCACGATCTCGGCTCACTGCAAGCTCCGCTTCCCGGGTTCACACCATTCTCCTGCCTCACCTCCCAAGTAGCTGGGACTACAGGAGCCTGCCACCTCGCCCGGCTAATTTTTTGTATTTTTAGTAGAGACGGTTTCATCGTGTTAGCCAGGATGGTCTCAATCTCCTGACCTCGTGATCTGCCCGCCTCGGCCTCCCAAAGTGCTGGGATTACAGGCGTGAGCCACCGCGCCCGGCCTTGAACCACTTCTTTATGTTTCCTATGTCAATGTCCTGGGTAATTGTCTTCACTTCTCTGAGCCTCAGTTTCCTCACTGGCAACAGAGGATTACACGCTCTTTCTTGGAGGGCTACGGTGAGAATTTGATGAGATTACACATGTCCTATATACACATGTGTTTACATATATGTGCATATATTTGTATATTTATGTGTGTATATTTGTGTACTTTTGTGTGCATATATTTGTGTGTGCGTGTATTTGTGTGTGTGCATTTGTATGTGTATATTTGTGTATTTGTGTACACATATTTGTGTATTTGTGTGTGTACTTGTATGCATATACTTGTGTGTATTTGTGTGTGTGTATTTGTGTGTGTATCAAGTCCAGCACAGAATTGAGTACATACAGTAGGTGTTCAGTAAATAAATGTTAAATTAATGAATGATGGTGAGGTGTGGTGGCTCATACCTGTAATCTCAGCACTTTGGGAAGCCAAGATGGGCAGATCACTTGAGGCCAGGAGTTCGAGACCAGCCTGGCCAACATGGCAATACCCTGTCTCTACTAAAAATACAAAAATTAGCCAGGCAAGAGTCCCAGCCTCTCGGGGGCTGAGGAAGGAGGATCACTTGAGTCTAGGAGGCAGAGGTTGCAGTGAGCTGAGATTGTGCCACTGCACTCCAGTCTGGGCAACAGAGTGAGACCCTGTCTCACAAAAATAAATAAAGAAAAATAAATGAATAATAATCCTCAAAATCCTCAATAATGACAATGATGATGATGGTGGCAATAAGACCTCAGGTTCTAGAGTGAGACCAAGACTAGGATGAGGTGAATATGGCACCCAAGGGTGCAAAATTTAACGGGGCACTCACTCTTAGGGTCAAGCGAGTGCCCTACTTGCCTAACCCTAGTCCTGGGCCAGCTCTGGAGTCAGACCACTTTGGTTCAAATCTAAGCCACTATGTTGTGGCCTTGGGTAAGTCACTTTCCTTCCCTATGCTTCCATTATCTCATCTGTAAAATGGGGATGATGGTGGTATCTCTCTTACTGATGATTCAACAATACATGAAAAATGTCTGGCACAGTGCCATGGAGTCAGAGCTCAAATTGTGTGATAATAATTATGATTACAGCGTTGTGACTTTATAGGTACAATTATTATCAGGTAGTAGAAATAGTAATGATGAGGATGATTACTATACCCATCTTAAAGAGGGAAAAACCATGCCCCAGAGAGTGCCTGTTCAAGCCCTCAGAACAAGCCAGAGTTGGGAATGGATGCTGCGTCTGCATCTCGGAGACCTGGCTCCTGCATTCCAGCTCATCTCCCGCCCACTAGGGAAACACGAAGGGACCCGGGAACTACAACTCCCAGGAGGCGCCAGGGCAGCTCTCTGCAGCAACTAGGGCCCTGCCGCCGCGAAGCCTGCTGGGAGCCGTAGTCCCCAGGCTCTTGGGCCTGGGACAGGCGGTACCTGTATTAGGAGGCGGAGCAGCTGCTCCTTGGAGAAGGGAATGAAGCGCTCGCGGTACTGCTGGGCCCAGTCGCGGGGCTCCCTGGGGTTCCACATCTTGCGATACTCCCCCATTTTGGCTGCCAGCGATGAGAGGGCCCGGGGGGGCCCGAGGAGCGCGGGCAACAGTGGCCATACTCGGACCCTGGACCCCCAGACCCCCCGGGTCACATGCAGCATGGCTAGACCCTTTCCCCGGAGCCTAAACAGAGGAAAATGGGCAGGGGTCAAAGGCCATCTAGAGGAAAAGCGCCCTCTCCACCTCCACGTCCCACCCTCCAGAAGCCGTCTCTACCCCAGGCAGGGCGCAGAGCCCATCCGCTCGCCTCAAAGCCCCTGTTGCCTGTCCCCTTCCCACACTGCTCAGTTGGCCTGGGTCCCAGACAGGGGTCAGAGGTCTTAGGTTCTGGGGCGTTTTTCAGGCCCAGAGACCCTGTAGTGGTACAACGTTTCTTTGGGGTCTAGACAGCGAGGTAGATCTTAGGAGAGCAGGAAATGCTCGTAAAGGTTACCTAGGGGGTGCAGGGCCGCCCTCCCTGGCCATGCAATCCCCCGATTTCTCCCTCACCTTAGCCAAAGCTCGACTGTCATTGAGCCTCCTGCGCATGTGCAGGAGGGCGTCCTGGGCTCCCGAGGTTCGGCTTCACCCAGCAGTAAAACGCATGCGCAAAGCTTCGGTCAATGCGGGCTGTCCATTTCTCACCGCCGACTCCCTACATCAACTACGCATGCGTTGCCTGCCTTTCTCCACCGCCGGCCTCGTTTGGGCGCGACGCATGCGCCGCAGGAGTGTCTCCTTGTCAGCTTGCTACAAAGGGAAGGGGCGGTGTGGACGCGAGACTCCCTAGAGGGATGGGGCGGGGTAGGGCTCCCGCGCGCAGTCCGCCAACGGCGCGCAGTCCAACGTTCGCCGAGGCCACGCCCCGGCTCGTGTCAGCTCCTGAGTAGGCGGAAAGAGGGAGGGGGCGGGACTTGGGCGCAGCCAATCAGCTGTGGAGGAGCGAAAAGGCGGGAAAAAGCGGAACCAAAAGAAGGCTGAGGTGGCGCTAGGGACCAGGAGGGGTGGGGGTGGCGAAAGGAAGGGCGGGCCCTCAGGTGACGCAGATTGGCCCTCCAGAGAAGGGGCGGCCCCTTCTCAGGTGCCGTCACCCCCAAACCTCAGCACTGCCATTCCAGGTCCTTAAAGGGGAGACCGCGATTCTAAGAAGGTAGCCCAGTGCCGGGGCGTGGCCTCATTCTGAGGTTCCCCACAAATCCGAGGTCCCGACTCCCAGCTTGAGGAGGTGCACTTCCGTGAAAATGGAGCTGAATTCGAAAGGGAGGCCCTTATTCTGGGAAATGGCCCCAAGTGACAAGGACAGCCTGAAATATGCCCTGAGATACCTGGGTTCTCCACGAAGGGTGCTGTCACCCCCAAACCTGAAAGGGATTATTCGGTTTCAGACCTCCCAGGGGCTCTGATCTCAATGGCCGCACCCCCTAGTCCCCAGAAAGTCCCACCTGTGTCCTCTCACAGAAGGACCCAGTCCCTCTGCAGGCCCTTCAGCTCCTGGGTCACAAGACGTGGTCCCCAAATATCCCAGCCCTCCCCTGCACTCCACCTCTGGGATCCCTGACAGCCCTCTCGCCCAACAACCCCCTCAGCCCACATTCCTGACTTCTGGAACCTGAAGCAGCCCCTTCACTTATGTCCCCCACTCCTGGGACCCCCAGAATCACCCTCACCCCAGGCCCTCACCTCTCTGGAATCCTCCATAGACCCCCTTAACCCACACCTCAACCCAGGGGACCCTTAGCGACTCTCTCATCCTGCACCTCCACCTCTGTGACCCCTGGCAGCCCTCCCCACACGACACCTTGCCTGGGACCCCTAGTATCCCCATCCTATGCCCCCCTCTCCTGGGACCCCCAGAAAGCTCCCTCACCACACACAACCCCATTCCTGGGAACCCCCAGCACCCGCATCCTATGTCCCCCACTTCAGGGACCCCTAGCAGCCCTCTCCACACAACACCTTTCCTGGGACCCCCCAGAACCCCCATCCTATGCCTCCCACTTCTGGGACCCCTAGTAGCCCCCTCACCACACAACCCCATTCCTGGGACCCCCAGCACCCCCATCCTATGCCCCCCACTCCTGGGGCCCACAGAAGCCCCCTCAGCACACACAACCTCATTCCCTGGGACCCACCTGCACCCCCATCCTACGTCCCCGACTTCTGGGGCCCCTGACAGCCCATTCACCCCACACCCTGACTCCTAAGAGGCTCAGCAGTCCCCTCACCCCACACAACTCCATTCCGGGGACCCCCCCCATCCCCACCCCATGTCCCCCAATCCTGGGGCCCCCAACAGCCCTTCCACCCCGTGCCCCTGACTGGCATCCCCCATCTGTGTCATCCCACAGCAGCCAAGCCCAGGGCTGGCCTGAAGCCCCCGGACGGCAGTGCCCAGCAGGCAGCGCCCAGCACCCTGGCTCCCACCTCCCAGTGGCCCCAAAGGAAAACAGCTGCCATGCACATCCCCAAAAGCCTCCAGGAGCTGGCCAACAGCGAAGCCGTGCAGTTTCTGAGAAGGCCCAAGACCATCACGCGGGTCTTCGAAGGGGTGAGGCCCTCCCATGGCCCGACTGTGCCCCTGGGTGACAGGAGCCAGGAGCTCTCAACTCCCAGACACAGTGCGGGAGATGGGAGGACAAGGAAGGGGTCAGACGGGGAAACAAGACAACGGAGCAAATGCTGACACCACCTTTTCCTGAGCACCCCACTATAGGCCCTATGCTATTGAGGCACTGATGGACTCTCATAGTAAGGAACAGCCCTCACAGTAGGTGCTGCAAGTCCCATCTCTGAGATAACAAAACTAGGGCTTAGAAAAGTTAAGTAAATTTTTTTTCTTTGAAACAATCTTAATTAGCCAGGCATAGTGGCACACACCTGTAATCCTAGCTACTGAGGAGGCTGAGGCAGGAGAATCACTCGAACCCGGGTGGTGGAGTTTGCAGTGAGTGGAGATCATACCACTGCACTCCAGCCCAGGCAACAGAGCCAGACTCCATCTCAAAAAAAAAAAAAAGAAAAAAGAAAAGAAAGAAACAGTTTCGCTCTGTTGCCCAGGCTGGAGTGCAAAAAGCAGTGGCGTGATCTCCGCTCACTGGAACTCCACCTCCTGGGTTCAAGCGATTCTCCTGCCTCAGCTTCCCAAGTAGCTGGGATTACAGGTGTGCGCCACTGCGCCTGGCTAATTTTTGTATTTTTAGTAGAGATGGGGTTTCGCCATGTTGGCCAGGCTGGCCTCAAACTCCTGACGTCAAGTGTTCTGCCCACCTCAGCCTCCCAAAGTGCTGGGATTATAGGTGTCAGCCACCGCGCCCAGCCTAAGTAAATTTTTTAAATCTGGGATGTCCAGTGGGGTAGCCACAGCCACATGTGGCTACCTCACTTTGCACTAATTAAAATAAAAGTCCATTCTTCACTCACAGTGGCCACATTTTAGGTGCTCAACAGCCACATGTGGCTGGGGACTCTCATATTAGACAGTACAGGCTGGGTGTGGTGGTTCATGCCTGTAAAACCAGCACCTTGGTAGGCCAAGGCAGGCAGATCATTTGAGGTCAGGAGTTCGAGACCAGCCTGGCCAACATGGCGAAAACCCATCTCTACTAAAAATACAAAAATTATCCAGGCATGGTGGCGCAAGCCTGTAGTCCCAGTTACTTAGGGGGCTGAGGCTCAAGGATGGCTTGAGCCCATGTGGCGGAGGTTGCACTGCAGCCTCGGTGACAGAGTGAGACTCTGTCTCAAAAAAAAAAAAAAAAATTGTGGCTGGGCACGGTGGCTCACACCTGTAATCCCAGCACTTTGGGAGGCCGAGGCGGGCGGATCGTGAGGTGAGGAGATCGAGACCATCCTGGCTAACACGGTGAAACCCCATCTCTACTAAAAATACAAAAAAATTAGCTGGGTGTGGTGGCAGGCGCCTGTGGTCCCAGCTACTCTGGAGGCTGAGGCAGGAGAATGGCGTGAACCCGGGAGGTGGAGCTTGCAGTGAGCCGAGATCACACCACTGCACTGCAGCCTGGGCGACAGAGCGAGACTCCATTTAAAAAAAAAAAAAAATTAGTGCAGATATGGGACATTTTCATCATGCCAGAGAGTTCTATTAGACAGCATTGGCTAAGGTCACGCAGTAACAGGCAGGGGCAGGATTCAAACTCAGATCTGTGAGATGCCAGAGCCCATTTATTTTCCACCTCCCAGTTGAGGGAGGAGGAGAAGGAGAGGAACAGGGGCTGGGGCTTCTAGGAAGAGAATAAGGAGTGCAGCCCTGAAGTGCCAGATGTTGGGTGGTAACCGTGTGCCAGGCACCATGCCACCGTTCATTTCATCATCCCCACACTCCTGAAGAATCTGGACACCTGGAGTCAAATCCTCATTCAGCCCAGACTTTGCTGTGTGATCTTGAACCAATCACTGTTCATCTCTGGATCTCAGTACATGAAGGGTTAGGGCTGTGGCTCTGACCTTTAACCTGTGCTGCTTCCACCACTCCGCTTTAACAGAATTGGAAACTAAGGCCCAGGGAGATGTTGAGACTTGATCGAGGTCTTAGGAGTAGGTGGAGTTCCCCGGCTCAGACCCAGGGTCTCCACCCCCAGAGTGCTAATCCAGAGTATCTCCTCTCTGCCCCTTCTAGAGCCTGAGCTTGGAGAAGGAACAAACAGGCCTGGAATCCTGGCTCAGGCACGTGCTGTCCATGCAAAGTGGCATACTGCCCAGTTTACCTGGGCCAGGCCTGATGTCCTTACCAGCAGCAGCAACTTTCTTTCTCAAAAGTGCCCCTTTGGTTTGATGGCTTGCCTGGTCACCCTGTGTCCGTGTGACCCTGAGCAAGCTATGTGATTTCTCTGAACATCTCCTTACTCTCGTCTGTAAAAAGAGGATCCTAATAATCTACTCCTAGGAAGAATCATTGTGAAAATGTAACAAATTAATGCCTATAAACTGATTAGCATGGGCCAGGCAAGTAGTGATCTTTCCTTAGTGATTTTTTTTTCTTTTTCTTTCTTTTTTTTGAGACAGACCCTTGCTCTGTCACCCAGGCTGGAGTACAGTTGGTGCAGTCTCAGCTCACTGCAACTTTCGCCTCCTGGGTTCAAGCAATTCTTGTGCCTCCGGAGTAGCTGGGATTACCAGCGTGCACCACCATGCCTGGCTAATTTTTGTATTTTTAGTAGAGATGGGGTTTCACCATGTTGGCCAGACTGGTCTTAAACTCCTGACCTCAAATGATCCACCCGCCTCGGCCTTCCAAAGTGTTGGGATTACAGGCGTGAGCCACCGCACCCAGGCTTAAATAGTGATTATTATCAAAACAAATCATTACCGTGTGTGAGGAGAGGGCCTAGGATGATTGAGATTTGTGTCCGTTGTCCTCCCCCAGGGAAAGAGGGGAATCTTGAAAACCGCATCCCAGCACCAGATCTTTCGCTGGTGTTAGTTTCTCTACTCCTCACCACAACCCTGTGACACAGGCATTATGATCCCTGTTTAACCCAAGGGGAAACTGAGGCTCACAGAGGTTGAGTGGCATGCCCAAGGACATCACCCAGCTGGTGAGCAAGTCCAACTCGGATCCACCCACCTATCTGGAAAGCCTCGGAAGGCAGGGCGGGTGGCAAGGAGACGGAAGCCCAGCTGGTGTGGACTGGTGCGGGGAAGGAGGAGGAAGAGCCGCCAACCATGCCAGACGTTCTGGTCACGGACTTTGCCCGCCGCCTCCTTCCACCGTCCCTACCCCCCCGCCCTCTCCTCCTTCCCCCCTGGCCTGGCTCCTCAGTAGGGAGTCTCTGGGCAGCTGGTGCTCTTGTCCTCGCTGCCGCCTGCCAGCTGGTGCCTTAACTGATAAATCTTTGCTCCCTCCCTAGGGACAGGCCAGGGAGGGCATGGAAGGAGTTTGGACTGAAGCTTAAGAGGGATAGGGTCCCTCTAGCCCAGATGAGCCCCTGCTCCTCAAATCTCCAGTGTCCCGGGCTCATGTCACAGCCCAGGGTTTTGGGGGTCAGTGGACAGACAGCCCACCGGCCTAGATGTCAGGAGGGCTAGATTCCAATCCCCCTTTCACCACTTACTGACCTTGAGAGGACGCCTTCCCTCTCTGGGCAAATCACAAGAATGACCATTTTCCTGAGCACCTACTAGAGCCAAGCCCCTACCCCCACATTCCTCCTTTTCATAGCATAGAAACAGACCAGGAAACTGAGGCTCCAAGAGATGAGTGATTTGCCCCAGGCCATACAGCTGGCACAGTCAGAAGCATCTGGCTCTTTCCACTCCACCAAAATGGCTTCGATTTATCACCTGTGAAACAGAAATGAATTAATAATCTCCACCACGTGGGGCCGGTGTGAGGTTCCAGGGAGGTAACGCAGGTAAAATGAATATGGGCTCAAAAATGATCAATGTGCTTTCTTGTCCTCGACCTGACTCTGCCTCAGACCAGCAGGGCCAGACACACCCCCTCTACAGTCAGTTCTTCTGCTCCAAAATAGGGAGAATCATCTTACAGCCTCCCTCCAAGGGTTGCTGTGCAGATCAAGTGAGATGATGGATGTGAATACCCTTGGTTATTGCTGAAGGGCTAGGCAAAAACAGGGAGTCAGGGTGTTGCTGCTGTTGTTGTTCACAGAAGGCAATTAAGGCAAAGGAGAAGGGAGGATGGACGGAAGCTCAGGAGTTTAGGGGTCCGTTCTTTGCCTCCTCCATCTCCACTCTGAAGGGCAGGGCAAGAGTCAAGACAAGCCAAAGCCATTCACTCTTTCAACACACATTTGCTGAAGTCCAGTCTAGCGCTGGGTGCTGGGGATAGAGAGCAGGGGCCCGGCAAGGTGGCTCACGCCTGTAATCCCAACACTTTGGGAGGCCAAGGCAGGAGGATTGCTTGAGGCCAGGAGTTTGAGACCCACCTGTGCAACATAGCAATACCGTCTCTACAAAAAATTAAATATGAGTGAGGCATGGTATTTCGCACTTGTAGTCCCAGCTACTCAGGAGGCTGAGGTGGGAGGATTGCTTGAGCCCAGGAGGTCGAGGCTGCAGTGAGCCGTGATCACGCCACTGCACTCCGGCCTGCAAGACACAGTGAGACACTGTCTCAAAAAAAGAAAAAAGAGAGAGAGAGTCCTGTGTGGAGCCTATCCAGGAAGAGTTCCAATTCTAACGAAGGGGAGATTTTCTTTTTCTTCTCTTTTGAGACAGGGTCTCACTCTGTTGCCCAGGCTGGAGTGCAGTGGTGCGATCACAGCTCACTGCAGTCCAGACCTCGTGGGTTCAAATGATCCTTCCGCCTTAACCTCCCAAAGCACTGGGATTACAGGCATGAGCCACCACACCAGACCAAAGAGAAGATTTTCAACAGTCTGTTTCCCTTAGCCTACCCCCGCCATCCCCAACCCCTATCGCCAACACTGCCACTTCCAATCAATCACCAAGTCCTATTTTACACGCTAAATATTACTGAATTCCCCAGGGCTCTGGCCTCAGCCTTTCTCACCTGGGCCTCCCCGCCTCCTCTCAGGTATGTTGGCCTCTTGTCTTGCCCACCTCCGATCCATCAGCCACGTGACCCCAGAGGGCTTCTCTAACCCCAAGGCTGACCCCAGCTGTCCCCTGCACAGAATCCTCCCATGCATAATATTGAATGCTTTCCATGGCTCCCCAAGTCCGGCTCCTGGCCCTGGTGTTCCGGGCCTCTTAGAGCCTGGCTCCCACCCACTTTTCCAGCCTCATCTCACACCAGAACCCTCCAGTGAGTTTCTCTCTTATCTCTGAAACTGCCCGCTCTGCAGCATCTGGCTTTTCCACATGCCATCCACCCTGCCGGGAATGCCCTTCCTCCTCTTGTCTGTCTGAGAAACTCCTTGTTCTTTAAGGTCCAGTTCAGAACTCACCTGAAATCCAGCCCTCAATCTGGCTTCCACCTTGACTCTCTCCCCCACCCCAGGCCCCAGCCTCCTCCCCACCACCCCATCTACACACCAGCTCGTCTTTGTCTGGCACAGACCTGCCCTGCTGCATTGTGACCATCTGGGACAAATCACTGGGGCTTCAAATTTTCACCGAATTTCGTTGATAGGAGCCCCCGCCCTCAAGGCGCGTGGTCCAGTGTGAGGAAGAAGAGCAAGAGGTCAAGGGCAGACTCAGAAGCCAGGCTACTTCTGTTCAAATCCAGGCTCTGACACTGACCAGCTGATTTTTTTTTTTTTTTTTGAGACAGGGCCTCACTGTGTCACCCAGCCTGGAGTGCAGTGGCACAATCAGGGCTTACTGCAGCCTTGACTTCTGGGTCTCAAGTGATCCTCCTACCTCAGCCCCCCAAGTACTTGGGACTACGGGTGCATGCCACCACACTGAGCTAATTTTTTTTTTTTAAGAAGTTTTGGTAGATACTAGGTATCACTCTGTTGCCCAGGCTGGTCTCCTGAGCTCAAGCGATTCCTCCCACCTTGGCCTCCCAAGTGTTGGGATTACAGATGTGAGCCACTGTGCTTGGCCTTTTGTTTGTTTGTTTTGAGACAGAGTCTTGCTCTCTCGCCTCGGCTGGAGTGCAGTGGCATGATCATGGCTCACTGCAGCCTCAACCTCCTGGGCTCAAGTGATCCTCCTGCCTCAGCCTCCCAAGTAGCTGGGACTACAAGTATGCACCACCACACCCAGCTATTTTTGTTTTTAATATTTTTGTAGAGACTGGGTCTCGCTCTGTTGCCCAGGCTGGTCTCAAACTCCTGGCCTGACACGATCCTCCCATCTCAACCTCCCAAAGTGCTGGAATTACAGTCATGAGCCACCTCGCCCAGCCACTGGCCAGCTAATTGGATTCGGCCAACTCCTTATCCTCTCTGTGCCCCAGTTCCATTATCTGAAACACAGGGCTGTGAGTAGTGCCCGTGTCCTAGGGTGGCTGTAAGGATGACCTGGGTGAGTGTTTATAGAGTGTTTCCGTGGTTTTTTTAGCAAATACACATAGAAGACAGGCATGGCCGGGCGTGGTGGCTCACGCCTGTAATCCCAGCACTTTGGGAGGCCAAGGCAGGCGGATCACGAGGTCAGGTGATCGAGACCATCGTGGCTGGCATGGTGAAACCCCGTCTCTACTAAAAATACAAAAAAAAAAAATAGCCAGGCATGGTGGCGGGTGCCTGTAGTCCCAGCTACTCGGGAGGCTGAGGCAGGAGAATGGCGTGAACCCCGGGGGCCGGAGCCTGCAGTGAGCCGAGATGGCGCCACTGCACTCCAGCCTGGGTGACAGCCAGACTCTGTCTCCAAAAAAAAAAACAGACGAGAGGGACAGGGTTACCAGATCAGTGTCGTAGTATTTGTCTAAAACAAAATCCCGAAGCCAAAAAACAAGGCAAAATGTTAATATGTGTTAGTTTGGCCAGGTGACACTGGGTGTTTCTTATGTTTCTCTTCGTATTTTTCTGTATGCTTGGACTATCTTGCAAATGAACCTAAGAAATTAATAGGAATTAGTGAGGCCAGGAGGGAAGAGACAGAAGTCGCAGAGGGAAGGGCTCTAAGTGCCTCCTCTCGTTTAGTCCTCAGAACCACCCCAGAGGGAAGAGCTGAGAGGCAGAGAGAATAATCACGACTGCAAACACTGATTCAGCTCTTCCCATGTCCCGGGCACTGTGCCAGGCATTTTATATGGGTACCTGGGTTTGGTGGCAGAAGGAGAGTGTGGGGGAGGCAGGGGTGAGTGAGGAGAGATGAAATTGGAAGAGTGAGGGAAGCGGAGACTCTGCAGGGCCTCCAAGGCCAGGCTTCAGGGCTGGGACTCAGTCCTGAGGCACTGGGGAGCCATGAGGGGCTGTGGCAGGGAGGGGCAGGGTGTGGAAAGACTCCCCTGGGGCCATGGTGGAGATGTGCTGAGGTGGGGAAGACTGGAGGTGGGGAGGCTGGGAGGAGGCTGGGGCAAGGGCCAAGGAGAGCAGACGAGGCCTGAGCCAGGATGGAGCAGAGGGGACGAGGGGCAGGAAGCTGAGGGCTCTGACACTGTGACAATGTCAAAGAGGGAGAGGTCCAGACGGACCAGTGACTGGGTATACGGAAAGACCGACAGCACCAGGGAGGAAGGAGGAGCAGCTTCAGGGAGAGACTGAGCTCTTCTCTGGCCCCTGGAAATCCACAGGTCTTCTCCCTGATCGTCTTCTCCTCCCTGCTGACCGACGGCTACCAGAACAAGATGGAGTCTCCGCAGCTCCACTGCATTCTCAACAGCAACAGCGTGGCCTGCAGCTTTGCCGTGGGAGCCGGCTTCCTGGCCTTCCTCAGCTGCCTGGCCTTCCTCGTCCTGGACACACAGGAGACCCGCATTGCCGGCACCCGCTTCAAGACAGCCTTCCAGCTCCTGGACTTCATCCTGGCTGGTGAGCCCCCAGGACCCCCAACCCAGAGCTGCCCCTCCTCCCGCTCACAGCCCTCCTGGCTCCCCAGGGCCTCCCGGGCACAACCCTTCACCACCTAGCCGGCCTCCACCCTGACTGTCCTCCCAGTAGGAGGCATCTGACCACAAGTGGCCCAGAGCTTCTCACTGTGCCTGGCACCTGCTGTCTCCTCCTGGGGAATTATTTTTATCCTTCAGACCCTGGGTAAGGGTCACCTCTTCTGACCCCCAGACAAATTATAGCAGCCTCCCTTCTGCCCCGTGCCTTCTTTGCATTTGCTTCCCTCATTTACAGAAAATCTCTCTTTTTTTTTTTTTTTTTTTTGAGATGGAGTCTCACTCTGTCGCCAGGCTGGAGTGCACTGGCACAGTCTCGGCTCACTGCAACCTCCGCCTCCCGGGTTCAAGCGATTCTCCTGTCTCAGCCTCCTGAGTAGCTGGGATTACAGGCGCACACCACCACACCCGGCTAATTATTTTTTGTATTTTAGTAGAGACGGGGTTTCAGTGTGTTAGCCAGGATGGTCTCGATCTCCTGACCTGGTGATCCACCCACCTCTGCCTCCCAAAGTGCTGGGATTACAGGCGTGAGCCACCACGCCCAGCCAAAGTCTTGCCTCCTAACCACTGCCAAACACTCCCGATGGAGCCTGGCATAAGCAAGCACAAAATGTGTGTCCTTCTTTGGGGCCTGACCTCCTTCCTCTCAGTCTGTTTGATCTCAACTCCTCCCCACCCTGCCGCTCCTCCTCCCTACTGGGCCAGTCCCAGTGACTTAGGGCCAAGGGAGCCTTAGAAGGTCATCGAATCTAGTGCTGTGCAGGAGAACTCCCTGTGAGGGTGGAAATGTTCTGTCCCTGCGCCTTCTCATGCAGGAGCCACTGACCACCCGTGGCTATTAAGCACTTGAAATGCAGCTGCTGGCCGGGGACGGTGGCTCACACCTGGAATCCCAGCACTTTGGGAGGCCAAGGCAGGTGGATAACTTGAGGCCAGAAGTTTGAGACCAGCCTGGCCAACATGGCGAAACCCTGTCTCCACTAAAAATACAAAAATTAGCTGGGCAGGGAGGCGAGTGCCTGTAGTCCCAGCTACTCGGGAGGCTGAGGCAGGAGAATCGCTTGAACCCGGGAGGCAGAGCTTGCACTGAGCTGAGATTGCGCCATGGCACCCCAGCCTCGGCAACAGAGCGAGACTCTGTCTCAATAACAACAACAACAAAAAAAGAAATGTGGCCAGTGCAGCTGAGAAACATTTTTTTTTTTTTTTTTTGAGACAGAGTTGCGCTCTGTCGCCCAGGCTGGAGTGCAGAGGCGCAATATCAGCTCACTGTAACCTCCGCCTCCCAGGTTCAAGCGATTCTCCTGCCTCAGCCTCCTGAGTAGCTGGGACTACAGGTGCCCGCCACCGTGCTGGGCTAATTTTTGTTTTTTCAGTAGAGACGGGGTTTCGCCATGTTGCCCGGGCTGGTCTCGAACACCTGGCCTCGAGTGATCCACTTGCCTCAGCTTCCCAAAGTGCTGGGATTACAGGCGTTAGCCACCTCGCCTAGCCTAAAATCCTGTGTTAATGAATAGAAATTTAAACCGCTGCATGAGGCCGGCGGCTCCTGTATTAGACAGCGCAACTCTACTCCAGCAGCTCACTTTAGGGAAGGCTAGGAGGGACTGGGGAATGACTTGTGGGAGATGTGTCAACATAGAAGCTAATAAAAAAAGTATTTTTCAATACCTCGTGGAAGTTCGTGCAGCAAGACCACCAGCCCCATCCTTCCCATGCCTCAGCAGCCCTGCCTGAGTGAGCTTTCCCCCTGCCCCTTTTCTCTCCCTGTGACGCCACAGTTCTCTGGGCAGTTGTCTGGTTCATGGGTTTCTGCTTCCTGGCCAACCAATGGCAGCATTCGCCGCCCAAAGAGTTCCTCCTGGGGAGCAGCAGTGCCCAGGCAGCCATCGCCTTCACCTTCTTCTCCATCCTTGTCTGGGTGAGGACAAGCCCCTCCACCACCCCTCCCTAGGAGGGCACCCTCTGCAGGGTGGGGTTGAAAGGGCTAGAACATTCCTGCTCTCACTTAGCTCCCCTGGGGGTCAGGGGTCGGGGGTTCCCCCAGGACTCCACTGGTCCCTTCCAGGTGCCGCTTCCTCTGAGCAGCCACAGCCCAGCATCAGGGCCTGTGCTTTGGCCTAGGGCTCCTGGGCAGTGAGCAGTCCAAACACCGGTATCTTTTGTCTCCTTCCCAGGCCAGTCCCCAGCCCAGTCCCTCTCCTGACCTGCCCAGCCCAAGTCAGCCTTCAGCACGCGCTTTTCTGCCCACAGATATTCCAGGCCTACCTGGCATTCCAGGACCTCCGAAATGATGCTCCAGTCCCTTACAAGCGCTTCCTGGATGAGGGTGGCATGGTGCTGACCACCCTCCCCTTGCCCTCTGCCAACAGCCCTGTGAACATGCCCACCACTGGCCCCAACAGCCTGAGTTATGCTAGCTCTGCCCTGTCCCCCTGTCTGACCGCTCCAAAGTCCCCCCGGCTTGCTATGATGCCTGACAACTAAATATCCTTATCCAAATCAATAAAGAGAGAATCCTCCCTCCAGAAGGGTTTCTAAAAACAGCCCTCAGTCCTTCTCATGTCTGTTCCACTCTGGTTGCTTGAGTGGCGAGGGTGGGTAAGAATCCCACAAGGTCACCGCTGGGGTCTCTGCACTGGGTCACATTTCCATACCATCTCCTGGAACCATCACTGGGGCACCACCTTGATAGTGACGGATGGGAGGTGGTGAGAGGCGGGAAGCACTTTTTTTTTTTTTTTTTTTTTTTTTTGAGACAGAGTCTCGCTGTGTCGCCCAGGCTGGAGTGCAGTGGTGCAATCTTGGCTCACTGCAACCTCTGCCTTCCAGGTTCAAGCAATTCTTCTGCCTCAGCCTCCCTAGTAGCTGGCATTACAGGTGCGCACCTGTAATGCCCACCACCACGCCTGGCTAATTTTTGTATTTTCAGTACAGACGGGGTTTCACCATGTTGGTCAGGCTGGTGTCGAACTCCTGACCTTGTGATCCTCCCACCTCGGCCTCCCAAAGTGCTGAGATTACAGGCCTGAGCCACCGTGCCCGGCCAGGAAGCACTTTCTTCAGGCCTGTTACACACTAAGTCCTGTCAAGTCACTACTCCTTGAGTCCCCACACTGGCCAGGGGAGGGAGGCACAAGGAGCCTCCTCTTACAGTTGAGGAAACCAAAGTTCAGAGAGAAAATGCTTCCACCCGTGGAGAGAGCACCAAGAGGAAGGGCCAACAAGGGGACCCAGCCCTGTCACTCAAGCCCAAGCCCTTTCACTCCTCATGGTGACCAAAGACTAAAAACCATGGCGTGTGAGGAGTCAGTGAAGGAACGGGGTGCTGAGTCCGCGAATGAGATTCAAGGGAGACCCTTGTCTTCAAATATTTCAAAGAATATCTTTGGGGAGGAGGAGTTTTCATTCCAGGAGAACCCCAGTGGTAAGCGGGGGACTCAGGCACGGGCCACAAACGTTCCTACCTGTAGGAGCCAGGCAGGAAACCCCAGTGGGTGAAGCGCCTATTAAGGGAATAGTGGGAACAGGGCCACATCCAGGAGGGGCAGCCTTCACTCAGCGCACATTCAGTAACGGGGCCTGGAGTTTCTTTTTTTTTTCCGAGATGGCATCTCGTTTTGCAGCCCAGACTGGAGTGCAGTGGTACAATCATAGCTCTCTACAGCCTTGACCTCCTGGCATCAAGCAATCCTCCTGCCTCAAGCCCCAAAGTAGCTGGGACTACAGGTGTGTGCCACCACTCCCAGCTAATTTTTCAATTTTTTTGAAGAGATGGGATCTCACTATGTTGCCCAGGCTGGTCTTGAACTCCTGGGCTCAAGCAGTCCTCCTGCCTTGGCCTCCCAAAGTGCTGGGATTATAGGCATGAGCCACCACGCCTGGCCAGCCTGGGGTTTCTAGAACAGTGCTGTCCACTTGAAATCTGATGTGACACCCAAGGGGAGTTTAAAATAGTCTAGTGGCCACATTAAGAAAAGTAAAACAAGGTGGATGCGGTGGCTCATGCCTATAATCCCAGCACTTTGAGAGGCTGAGGTGGGCAGATCACTTGAGGAGGCCAGAAGTTCAAGACCAGCCTGACCAACATGGTGAAACCCCGTCTCTACTAAAAATACGAAAATTAGCCGGGTATGCCTGTAATCCCAGCCACTTGGGAGTCAGAGGCACGAGAATCACTTGAAACCAGGAAGTGGAGGTTGCGGTGAGCCAAGATTATGCCACTGCACTCCAGAATGAGACTCTGTCTCAAAAAAAAAAAAAAAAGTAAAATGAAACAAGTGAAATTAATTTTAATATTTTATTTATGTCAATATATCCAAAATATCATTTCAACATGTAATCAATATAAAAATTATTAGTGAGGCATTTTCCACTCTTTGGTACTAAGTTTTTGAAACCCATCGTGTATTTACACCAATAGCACGCCTCAGTTTGGACTCGCCAGGTTTCAGGGGCTTGACAGTCACACATAACCACTGGCTACCCTACCAGACAGTGCAGCTACAGAAACTCTGGTTTTTCTACGACAGTTTGGACATCCATTCTGTGGCAGGTTTTAAAATGTGAAATCAGGCCAGGTGCGGTGACTCACACCTAAAATCCCAGCACTTTGGGAGGCCCAACTGGGCGGATCACGAGGTCAGGAGTTCAACACCAGCCTGACCAACATGGTGAAACCCCGTCTCTGCTAAAAATACAAAAATTAGGCCGGGTGCAGTGGCTCACGCCAGTAATCCCAGCACTTTGGGAGGCCAAGGCAGGCAGATCACTTGAGGCCGGCAGTTCGAGACCAGCCTGACCAACATGGAGAAACCCCATCACTACTAAAAAATATAAAATTAGCTGGGCGTGGTGGCGCATGCCTCTAGTCCCAGCTACTTGGGAGGCTGAGGCAGGAGAATCACTTGAATCTGGGAGGCGGAGGTTGCGGTGAGCTGAGATCGTGCCATTGCACTCCAGCCTGGGCAACAAGAGTGAAACTCTGTCTCAGAAAAAAAAAAAAAAAAAACAAAAATACAAAGATTAGCCAGGTGTGGTGGCGTGCGCGTGTAGTCCCAGCTACTCAGGAGGCTGAGGCAGGAGCATCGCTTGAACCCAGGAGGTGGAGGTTGCAGTGATCCGAGGTGGTGCCACTGCACTTCAGCCTGGGTGACAAAGCAAGACTCCATCTCAAAAAAAAAAAGTGAAATCGGTGGGTAACAAATACAAAATAAACGTTGGGCAGTCCAAACGAAACACACCTGCCTGGGGCCATCGTGGCCTGCAGAGCACTAGTTCACAAACCGGACGAAAGGATATGAGATGTGGGGAATCAAATTTGGGTTCCATTAGTCCTTTTTTGGAGGCTTCCTGTGTGGCTGGCCCTGTACCTGGAGGTGTAGAAATAACTATGTGGTCCTGCTGGGTATAGAGAGAAAACAGCAGCAGTGCAGTGAGACAGGAAGTGTTCTGACATGGAAATGAGAGGACTCAGCACTAGACGTCCCTCTGGATAAGCATGGGTGTGTCACTTACTGTCTCTGGGCCCAAGTTGTATTGGCTATAAAACTAAATAATTAGACAGATTTTTTTTTTTTTTAAAGACAGGATCTCTGTTGCCCAGGCTGGAGTGCAGCAGAGTCATCATGGCTCACTGCAGCCTCAACTTCCTGGGCTCAAGCAATCTTCCCACCTCAGCCTCCTGAGTAGCTGGGACTATAGGTAAAGGCCACCATGTCCAGTTAGTTTTTTGTTTTTTATTTATTTTTTTTTTTGAGATGGAGTCTCACTCTGTCACCCAGGCTGGAGTGCAATGGCTCGGTCTCGGCTCACTGCAACCTCTGCCTCCCAGGTTCAAGTGATTCTCCTGCCTCAGCCTCCTGAATAGCTGGGACTACAGGCACATGCCACCACACCCAGCTAATTTTTGTATTGTATAGTAGAGACGGGGTTTCACCTTGTTACCCAGGATGGTCTCGATCTCCTGAACTCGTGATCCGCCAGCCTCGGCCTCCCAAAGTGCTGCGATTACAGGCATAAGCCACCGTGCCTGGCCTTTTTTTTTTTTTTTAAAGAGAGTGTCTCACTCTGTTGCCCAGTCTGGTCTTGAACTCCTGAGCCCAAACAATTCTCTCACCTCCACTTCCCAAAGTGCTGGGATTACAGGCGTGAGCCACTGCACCCAGCTAAAGAATTGAACCGGATTTAGATGGATGCTTTTCAGACTATTCAAAGAGATGCCGGCCGGGTGCGGTGGCTCACGACTATAATCCCAGCACTTTGGGAGGCCAAGGCGGGTGGAACACCTGAAGTCAGGAGTTCAAGACCAGCCTGGCCAACATGGTGAAACCCCATCTCTAAAAAATACAAAAACTAGGCTGGGCACAGTGGCTCACGCCTGTAATCCCAGCACTTTGGGAGGCCAAGGCAGGTGGATCATGAGGGCAGGAGTTCAAGACCAGCCTGGCCAAGATGGTGAAACCCCGTCTCTACTAAAAATACAAAAATTAGCCCGGTGTGGTGGTGGGCGCCTGTAATCCCAGCTACTTGAGAGGCTGAGGCAGAGAATTGCTTGAGCCCAGGAGGCGGAGGTTGCAATGAGCTGAGATTGCGCCACTGTACTCCAGCCTGGACCACGGAGCGAGACTCTGTCAAAAAAAAAAAAAAAGAGAGATGCCTTGGGGCTGGGCACGGTGGCTCACGCCTGAAATCCCAGCACTTTGCGGGGCTGAGGCAGGAGGATCACTTGAAGTCAGGAGTGTTTGAGACCAGCCTGGCCAACATGGTGAAATCCCATCTCTACCAAAAAATACAAAAATTAGGCCGGGCGCGGTGGCTCACACCTGTAATCCCAGCACTTTGGGGGGCTGAGGCAGGTGGATCACCTGAGGTTGGGAGTTCAAGACCAGCCTGGCCAACATAGTAAAACCCCGTCTCTAAAATACAAAAATTAGCTGGGCGTGGTGGCGGGCACCTGTAGTCCCAGCTACTTGGGAGGCTGAGGCAGGAGAATTGCTTGAACCCAGGAGGCGGAGGTTGCAGTGTGGTGAGATTGCACCACTGCACTCCAGCCTGGGCAATAGAGGGAGACTGTCTCAAAAAAAAAAAAAAAATTAGCCAGGTGTGATGGTACACGCCTGTAGTCCCAGCTATTCTGCAGGCTGAGGTAGGAAAATCACTTGAACCAAGGAGGCGGAAGTTGCAGTGAGAGAAGATCGCGCCACAGCATTCCAGCCTGGGAGAGTGAGACCTGTCTCCAAAAAAAAAAAAAAAAAAAAAAAGAGGTGCCTTGGGCTGAGCAGGCAGCAACACAACCCCCTTCCCCAGTCAACCCCAGCGAGCGAGCAGCCCCGCTCCTGTGTTTTCCATATCGGGCTTCCAGGCACAAATCTAAACAGAAGGTCCCTTGACTTAAGAGAAAGAAACAAAAAACCGGCTGAAAAACCACACAGCGTTGGTTAAACACACAAGCTCTGGCATCACGAAGTCCAGGTGCAAAGCCCACCTTTGCCACTCACCCCTCTGAACCTGTTTCCTCATCCACAAAGTGCCCCCTCTGTAGGGATGCTGTGAGGGTTGCAGGAGTTCATCTATGTAACACACAGTACCTGGCACATATCAAGTGCTCAGGAAACGCCAGCTCCCTGCCTCCTCAGGCTTCCAGAGCCAGCCTCCAGGGAAGCTGCAGACAGTTAGGAAGGTCTTAGAGGACATCTAGGAAGTTTGACCTAGTCAAGGGTCAAAAATCCAAAAGCCAACAACAGCCAGGCAGGTAACGTAAGTGAAGAAAATAGGCCAGGTGTGAGGCCAATCTGGAGAGAGACAAGGAAAATATTTCACTTTCCTCTTAACTTCGCAAACAAACAAAAATAACCACACGGCATCAGCCCAATAATAAATGTAACAAGCCTGCAGCCAAGTCCTGGGGACTGTGGTGAAAAGAGCTGCGTCCCATCCATTCAGATCCAGCCATCTGTTGCCACCCAGAAATGAGGACCCAGCATTGTTAGACTGATGGATTTTTTTTTTCAAGAGAAGCCAGAAATGTGAAAATCTGGTTTTTAAAGGCTAGCGACCCATTCTCTTTTTTTAAGGAAACAGAATGCCTCAACAAAAAATGTCAAGTGAGGGTAGGACGGGGGCTGCCCATGTGTGGTCCCTGACATACATGCTCTTTTTTTTTTTTTGAGATGGAGTCTCACTCTGTTGCCCAGGTTGGAGTACAGTGGTGTGATCTCGGCTCACTGAAATATTCGCCTCCTGGGTTCATGCAATTTTCCTGCCTCAGCCTCCTGAGTAGCTGGGACTACAGGGGCACACCACCACGCCCAGCTAATTTTTTTTTGTATTTTTAGTAGAGACGGGGTTTTGCCATGTTGGTCAGGCTGGTCTCAAACTCCTGACCTCAGGTGATCCGCCCGCCTCAGCCTCCCAAAGTGCTGGGATTACAGGCATGAGCCACCATGCCCAGCCAATTCTCCTGAAGGTCCTCTGCAACCCTGAGGGTTTGGAGAACCATCAGACAAGTTCTGTGCCAAGGTAAGAAGACTCTTCAAGATTCTCTCCAAAACCTCTTCCCAGCAGCACGGCGAGGAACTGCACAGCTGAGAGTCTTGGGAGACCCAGTTTCTCCTCTTCCTGCTCCTCCTAGGCCTCGTCGCCTACAGATAGTCAATAAGGCAAAAGCAGAAGCAGAAAGAGGGGCGGGGGCGGGACCCCATACACACCAGGGACAGAGTGGCAAGGAGCAGCAAAAGAAAGGTTTCATTTTCTTCTGTTTATTTCAAGAGAACAAAGATTCAACCATCAGTTCTGTACAAAAACATGGTGTGAGAGCCATGGGATCCTCGGGCCAGCCCCCTTCCCGCACTTGAGCCCCGGGCCCCCCTAATTTGCCAAAAAACCAGGAGAAGACCAAAAAATTCAAACTCTGGGGAAAAAAATTACTATGAAAAAAAATCAGGGGAGACCTTCCTGGGCCTCCCTTTCTCCCTATCCCCAATCTAGAAATTTAGTGGGGGTCGCGGTTCATGGCCATGGCAGGAGGTGGGGCAGATGGGTGTCGGCAGATTTAGTGTTTGGCAACCAGTGGGGCTGGGGGTGGGATCTGGGAGGGAGCCGAGGGGCCTGGGGAAGGGAAAAGATCTTGGACCCTGCCCCGGCCCATAGGACACTCAAAAACACTTTATAAAAATTGGGGCCACAGAGTAGAAGAAAAACGAGTCATCAGAATCAAAAACTAAAGAGTGGAAAGATTTTTTTTTCTTGTCTAAAAGGCAAAAAACTACAAACAGCCCAAGTCCTGAGCTCCCCAAGACCTGGATCCTCCACTGTCCCCCTGAAACCCGGCAGGAGGCGGGATGGGGAGCACAAGAGGTGGGTTCTTAAAAAAGTCACCCCTGGATGGGAAAGCTCTTCATCTTCTGCCGCCTTCCTCTGCCTCCCGCTGCTGCCGAGGAGAGAGATGGAGAGGACCGGGGCTATGCCGGCAAACTCAACTTCTTCCCCTTTAGGACTGTGAGGAGAGAAAACAGGGAGGGCATTACCGCTGGGGCCCCTGCAGGGAGGGGACAGCCTCCCACAGCCAGAGCAGGGCAGGCACGCTAGATGGGCAGATCCACAGGGAGGGAGGTCCCCCAGGACTCACAGATACATTCCTGGTTTCTTTCCTTCCTACCCTTTCTCACTACTGGCAATTTTCTTTCTTTCTTTTTTTGAGACAAGGTCCCACTCTGTAGCCCAGGCTGGAGTGCAGTGGCATAGTCACAGCTCCATGCAGCCTTGACCTCCTCAAGCAATTCTCCCACCTCAGCCTCCCAAGGAGCTGGGACCACAGGCGTGCACCACCATGCCCAGCTAATTTTTTTATTTTTTTATTTTTTATAGTGACAGGGTCTTGCTATGTTGCTCTGGAACTCCTAGGCTTAAGAAATCTCCCTGCCTCAGTCTCCCAAAGTGCTGGGATTACAGGTATGAGCCACCATGCCCAACTAATTCTTTCTTTACTTGTTCATTCACCATCTCCCCCACCAGAATAAAAGGGAAATGGAGGCCTTTGTCTATCTTTTCTCCTCCTAATGTATCCCCAGAGCCTAGCACCTGGCTGGGGACATAGAAAGTACTCAATACATTTGTTGCATGAATAAATGAATGAATTTCAGTGGGCTGAGTCCCTGCCCTGCCTGGCCTACGCTCCAAGTGACATGGGGGCTAAGGACAGAAACTCCTTAGCCCTTAGGGAGGCAGAGGCTAACGGTCTGAATTCCTAGGAGGATGGTAGGCCTGCCACCCCAGAAACCCGGCGAAGAAATGCTCCCTTCTTTGCATAATACAGGGGTAAGGAGACCCCAGTCCCCAGGGAGGGCAGGAGCTGCAGAAATAGGAGGTTCCCTTCCAGCCGTCCCACATTCCAGCTACCTTTGGTGATATAGAGGTAGAAGAAATCGCAGTAGAGGACTGTCTGGACCAGGCCTGCCACAATGGCGATGAGGTCGAAGAAGCCCTCGAAATGGTAGCGCCAGATCCAGTTGAAGAGATAGAGCGTGCGGTAAACGCCTAGCGCAAACAAGTAGTGGCTGGTGATGGTCTCCGCCTCGCCGGTCTTGCTCACCATGAACAGCTGCGGCAAGATGGCCACTGACTCCAGGTAGATGGAGAAGGTCCAGAGGATCTGCAGAGAGGCCGGGGACATGATGAGGTGGGAGGGGACAGGGCGGGAGAAAAGGCAGAGGACAACATTGCAGTTACAGGTGCCGCGAAGGTGGAGAGAAGGAAGGTGATCCAGGTGCTGCCAAGTGCCAGACACAGTTCTGCCCGAGTTACTGGTACCTCTGATTTAATCATCACCATGGCCCGGCGAGGAGATCCTATGATTAGCACACTTATTCTACAGATGAGGAAACTGACACCAGAGAAGGTAAGATACTCGCCCAAGACCATGTAGCCAGCAAGCAGCAGAGCAATGATTCGAACCAAGGATTCGCAGTCCGTTCTCATGAACACTTTGCAATTGCGCCTCTCTGAAAGGCAGGCTGGGTTGGAATCTTGCCTTGGAAATTTCCCTTCCTTTTTCTTTTTCTTTTTTTTTTTTTTGAGATGGAGTATCACTCTGTCACCCAGGCTGGAGTGCCATGGGGTGATCTCGGCTCACTGCAACCTCTGCCTCTTGGGTTCAAGCGTTTCTCCTGCCTCAGCCTCCTGAGTAGCTGGGATTACAGGTGCCCACCACCACACCCGGCTAATTTTTGTATTTGTAGTAGAGACAGGGTTTTGCCTTGTTGGCCAGGCTGGTCTCGAACTCCTGACCTCAGGTGGTCTGCCTGCCTTGGCCTCCCAAAGTGCTGGGATTACAGGCATGAGCCACCGTGCCGGGCCCACATGCCATTTCTTGTGGCAGGCTGCATATGCTGTTCCCACAGCAGGAAAAGCTCTTCCCCTACACTGTCACACATCTGCCTCCTCCGTATTCTCCCAGCCTCAGCTCATTAGTCACCTCCCGAGAGGGACCCTCCCTGGCCATCCTTCCCCCAGGACTGTCACATCACCCCATCTTATCTCCTTCCTGGCCACTCGCACCAGCAATTGAGCTCTGTGAGGGCTGGGATCCTACTTCTTGTTCACCCCGTGGCCCTAGCACCTAGCACAGTTCCTGAATGAGTGAGGAAATGGGAGTTAGCATCTATAAAGGGGTCCCCATGTGCTCAGCACAGGCCACCATTTAGGGAGCACTGACAACCATCATTCATGAGCAGGACAGGACATCATGGGACAGGGAAGAAGACATCTGCCAGCCCCCTTTCAGTCCCCAGCTCCCTGAAAGTGCCACCTGGGGTGATCTGTGATCTGCAGACACACTGAAACCTCAGAGAGCAAAGCCAGGTGGCAGGTGTGGCTCCTTGGTTGTCTTGGTTTGTGGAAGGAAGGTGGGGGGCACCAGGACCTATTCATAACAACTCATGCTTTTCTAGCATTTACGACATCCAAGGCATCGCTCCTTAGGGTGTTAACTGGCCTGAGCCTTAACCCCATGAGGTAGGTACTGTTGTCATTCCCATTCTACAGATGAGGAAACTGAGGCCCAAAGGATAAGAAACGTGTCCAGATTCCCACTGAAGCACGTAGAGTCCAGGACCTGCTCCCAGAATCATCCAGAATCCTCCAGGGAGGCTCTCGTGAAGCCAGGTTAGTTGATGCTGCTGGGAAACGAACCCATTAAATTGATGCCCATTCAACTCTCACCCCTGGGGTTGCCCTTAGGGAACAGAGTCACCGTTTAAAGAGAGACAGAAGGTCTGTTGCTTTTTTTTTTTTTTTTTCCTGAGGCCGAGTTTCACTCTTGTCACCCAGGCTGGAGTGCAGTGGCGCGATCTCGGCTCACTGCAAACCTCCACCTCACGGGTTCAAGTGATTCTCCTGCCTTAACCTCCCAAGTGGCTGGAATTATAGGCACTCACCACCACGCCCTGCTAATTTTTGTATTTTTTTAGTAAAGACAGGGTTTCACCATGTTGGCCAGGCTGGTCTTGAACTCCTCACCTCAAGTGATCCACCCACCTCACCCTCCCAAAGTGCTGGGATCACAGGCGTGAGCCACTGCGCCCAGTCTTGCATTTTTATCTATTCCATGCTGTTTGAATTTTTTTTTTTTTTTTTTGAGATGGCGTCTTGCTCTGTCACCCAGGCTGGAGTACAGTAGCACGATCTCAGCTCACTGCAACCTCTGCTGCCCGGGTTCAAGTGATTCTCCTGCCTCAGCTTCCCGAGTAGCTGGGATTACAGGTGCATGCCACCATGCCCGGCTAATTTTTGTATTTTTAATAGACAGGGGGTTTCAGCATCTTGGCCAGGCTGGTCTTGAACCCCTGACCTCGTGATCCACGATCCACCTGTCTCAGCCTCCCAAAGTGCTGGGATTCAGGCGTGAGCCACTGCGCCCAGCCTGATGTCTGAATTTTTAAAGAATATTTTCCTTAGGTCAGGCACGGCAGCTCACACCTGTAATCCCAGCACTTTGGAAGGCTGAGGCAGGTGGATCACTTGAGGCCAGGAGTTCAAGATCACCCTGGTCAACATAGCAAAACCCTGTCTCTCCTAAAAATACAAAAAAATTTTACCTGGGTGTGGTGGCTCATGCCTGTAATCCCAGCTACTCGGGACGCTGAGGCACGAGAATTGCTTGAACCTGGGAGGCAGAGGTTGCAGTGAGCAGAGATCGTGCCACTGCACTCCAGTCTGGGTGACACAGCAAGACTTAAAAAAAAAAAAAAAAAAAAGACGCCTGGGTTCTGGTCTGGCCTCCTCCACCTTCAGCAAGCCGCACTACCTCCCTCAGCCTCAGTCTCCCCATCTTCAAAATGGGTCTAGTAATCCCTAGTCAACAGGGCAGTTATGAGCTAAGTCAAGGGCTTGGATAAGTGATCCAAGCAAGGTGGTAACAATATGTTTGCAAAGTCCAGGGCCTGGAGCCAAGCCCAGGATTCCCACCACAGCATGATGCAGCCTCCCTCTGATATCTCTGACCCATGGGCCAAAGTCACCCTCTGTTGGATTTGTCTGGCCTATACAGTGCTTTTAGAGATATGTTTTGAAGGCCAGGCACGGTGGCTCATGCCTGTAATCCTAGCACTTTGGGAAGCTGAGATGGGAGAATTGCTTAAGACCAGGAGTTCAAGACCAGCCTGTCAACATGGTGAAACCCCATCTCTACTAGAAACACAAAAATTAGCCAGGCGTGGTGGCAAGCACCTGTAATCCCAGCTACTCGGGAGGCTGAGGCAGGAGAAACGCTTGACCTGGGAGGCAGAGGTTGCAGTGAGCCAAGATCGTGCCACTGCACTCCAGCCTGGGCGACAGAATGAGAGTCCATCTCAAAAAAGAAAAAAAAAAAAAAAAAAGAAATATAGTCTGAATCTGTGGCTAAAATTTTAAAATGAGACATCTTGCCTGAAAACTCCTGAATTATGGCTTCTGTTGAAAAGATCAGCACATCTGGCCACCCAGGCCTATCTTCCTATAAGGCAGGAGTGGGCACAGGTAAGAAAAGGTTACCCTGAATTTATGATTCCTGCCAGGCCCCAGGAGGCAAGAGATCGCAAACTTAGCACTGGCTCTCGCAAAATTCCTCCCAGGAGTTTGTACAGGTCCCAGCAAAACACCATGGAATAAAAATCATTAACAGCGAACATTTAAAAGTAAAAGTATCAGAGATGGGACTAAACACTTCAGTCATTGAACATTGATTGACACAGCACTTCCTACCTCATCCCAGATACTGTGCTTTATTAATACCAACCTCTCATTTGAACCCTATGACATAGGAACTGATTATCTCCATTTTACAGATGAGGAAACTGAGGCACAGGGTAGTTATGTGATTTGCCCAGAATCCCATAGCTGCTACATGGTAGAGGCAGGGTCCAAATCCTTACACTCTGATTCTAGAGTCTTTATGTGTTTTGACACCAGGCAGTGCTGCAAAGTCTCAGTAAATTCTCACAATGACCTGATCACAACTTTACAAATGTGGAAACCGAGGTACAGAGAGGTCAAGTCACATGCACGGGATCATGCTAATAGAAACTAGCAGATTTGGAGCCGGGCGCGGTGGCTCATGCCTGTAATCCCAGCACTTTGGGAGGCTGAGGAGAGTGGATCACCTGAGGTCAGGAATTCGAGACCAGCCTGGCCAATATGTTGAAACCCTGTCTCTACTAAAAATACAAAAAATAACCTGGCTTGGTGGTGGGCATCTGCAATCTCAGCTACTCGGGAGGCTGAGGCAGGAGAATCGCTTGAACCTGGGAGGTGGAGGTTGCAGTGAGCCAGAATCATGCCACTGCCTCCAGTCTGGGCAACCGAGCGAGACTTTGTCGAAAGAGAAAGGAAAAAAGAAAGAAAGGAAGAAAAGGAAGAAAAGGAAGAAAGGAAGAAAGGAAGGAAAGAAGAAAGAAAGGAAAGAAAGGAAGAAAGAAAGAAAGGAAAGAAAGAGAAAGAAAGGAAGGAAGGAAGGAGGAAAGGAAGAAAGGAAGGAGGAAAGGAAGAAGGAAAGGAAGAAAGAAAGGAAGGAAGGAAGAAAGAAAGGAAGGAAGAAAGGAAGAAAGGAAAGAAAGAAAGAAAGAAGGAAAGAAAGAAAGAAAAAAGAAACTAGCAGATTTGGAATTCAAATTCAAGAAGGCTGGGCCAGGAATGGTGGCTCACGCCTGTAATCCCAGCACTTTGGGAGGCCAAGACAGGCAGATTATTTGAGCCCAGGAGTTCAAGACCAGCCTGGTCAACATGTGAAACCCTGTCTGGACTAAAAATACAAAAATTAGCAGAGCATGGTGATGTGCACCTGTCTTCCCAACTACTCGGGAGGCTGAGGTAGGATAATTGCTTGAACCTGGGAGGCGGGGGTTGCAGTGAGCCGAGATCATGCCACTGCACTCCAGTCTGGGCAACAGAGCGAGACTTTGTCTCCAGAAAAAAAAGAATCCCTAAGCCTCAGTTTCCTCATCTGTAAAGTGGGGCTGCTGAGAAAAGTAAGTAGGTGAAATGCTTAGGGTAGTGACTGACACATAGCGAGTCTTGCTGCTGTTGTGTTAATTTCCTCTGACCCCAGAGCCCATGCACTGAACTTATGCATCCTAAAATAAGGCAGTTTGGGCACACCCTGCAGAAGGAAGCCTGTGAGAGGGTCTCCTGTCATAGCTACTCTGCCACAACCATCCCCCCAAATAAGGAGTCACAGCAAGGCGCCTACCTCCAGAGGGGTGAAGTCATGATTGACCAGGAACGCCAGAATGGCTGTGGGAACGACCAGGAACTCCACTCTGAACGTGTCATGGTTCCCATCGTAAGTAGCTTTGAACTTGCTATAAATCAACCAGACCGTGGTGAAGGAGCAGGCTATGTAGACCACCTGAGGAGGGGGATGATGAGAAGGGGCCTCAACTCACAGGCCTGTGCCCCAGTAGGCTCAGAGCCCGGAGTCCAGGCCCCTCCCTCAGACGCAGGAGTCCAGACCCCCAACCCCTCCTCCCTCAGACCCAGGAGTCCAAGCCCCCAGCCCCTCCTCCCTCAGACCCAGGAGTCCAGGCCCCCAACCCCTCCTCCCTCAGATCCAGGAGTCCAAGCCCCCAGCCCCTCCTCCCTCAGACCCAGGAGTCCAGGCCCCCAACCCCTCCTCCCTCAGACCCTGGAGTCCAGGCCCCCAGCCCCTCCTCCCTCAGACCCAGGAGTCCAGGGCCCCATTCCCTCCTCCCTCAGATCCAGGAGTCCAGGCCCAGCCCCTCCTCCCTCAGACCCAAGAGTCCAGGCCCAGCCCCTCCTCCCTCAGACCCAGGAGTCCAGGCCCCAGTCCCTTCCTCCCTCAGACCCAAAAGTCCAGGCCCCCGGCCCCTCCTCCCTCAGACCCAGGAGTCCAGACCCCCAACCCCTCCTCCCTCAGACCCAGGAGTCCAGGCCTCAGTCCCTTCTTCCCTCAGACCCAAGAGTCCAGGCCCCCGGCCCCTCCTCCCTCAGACCCAGGAGTCCAGGCCCCCAGCCCCTCCTCCCTCAGACCTAGGAGTCTGGGACCCACACCCGGCTCCTCTGCCTCAGTGGGGGCCAGAGAGGTGGGGTGGAGCCTCTACCTTCATACACGTGTTGTAGAGTGAGATGTAGTTGGTGAAGAGGTCCAGATATCGGGCAGTGAACACCACAGCAAACAGGACCTGGCTCTTCCCTGAAATTCCTGTGGTCCAGAGACAGAGAAAGAGAGAGAGAGAGAGACAGAGAGAGAGAGAGAGACAGACAGACAGACAGACAGACAGAAGGAGAGAGGAAGCTGGGGGTGGGCTGCATGGGCAATAAACTAAGGCAGGGCGCCCGGGACCAGCCTGGAGGCAGCTCTGGAGTGCAGCTGTCCCCGGAGGCCTCCCCAGCCCGCCCCGCCTGAGCAGGGCCCTTTCCCACGGACCACAGCCAGGGGGCAGCCCAGGCCCCCGAAGCTACTCCAGCCCGAGGCTCCGTCCCAGACTAGGCCTCATGGCTACCCCTGGCCCCTCAGGGTCCTCCCGCAGTCTGGACCTGAGGTGAGGCCTAGGGAGGACCTTCCCTGACCTCAGGCCCCGGATCCGGTCACCTCCCTCCCGTTCCCTTCCTGGCCGCCACGGTCCACGTCACCAACTCACAGCCACCTCCCCGCCTGCCATGGTTCCCTGTTCCCGGTCCATGAACCCTCGGGCTGCCCAGATTGGGGCTGGGGGTGGCTGAATTGGGGGCCTAAAGCCATTCACATGAAACTGTATGCACCCCCGCCAGTCTGGGGAAGGGAGCTGATCCCCTGGAGACCCAGAACCTAGAAGAGAGATCCCCAGCAAGCAGTGGGGGTGGAACCTGTGCCCCTAGTGCCCCCAAACCCTTCCTGAGTCCTGCGACGTCCCCCAACCCCCGCCCGCAATCTCTCTCCTTCGCCAGCCCTGGTGGGCCTCTCACCGGCGCACGAGCGGGACTTCCAGATTTTGAGCAGTAGCAAGATGATGGCGAGGAGGTGGGAGAGGTCTCCCAGGAATCGGAAGAGATTCATGGCTGGGGAACCCTGGCAGGGCTGAGCGGGAGGGAGGCAGGCTGGCGGGGGGGTGCCCCCCGAGGCTGCTGGTCTGAACGGGTAGCTGGGCTGGGGGGACGGAAGAGGGACCCTAGGTGCGCTCCGCTCCGGGGAGGGGACTTTGGGAGGGGGAGCAAAGGCTGGAGCTGGCGGCGGAGCTGGAGCCGGGAAGAGGGAGGAGAGCGAGAGGGGGAGGAGTCCGGGAGGAGAGGCTCCGCCCCCGAGGGCGGGGCCTGGATCCCCGGCGCCCCCTATCGCCCACCTCCTGCTTTGCCGTGGCGGCGCTAAACGCACCCCCAAAGCTGCCCCATAGGAACTTGGGAGGGTCGCAGGGTTCGGAAAGTGCCAAATCCAGCACCGGTTCGCCCAGGCAGTCTGTGTCTCTGGAAGAGACGCAGTCCAGTACACCAGCCTCAGCCCTTGCAGGGATGTAGAGACTGCCCTCTGAGCTTGAAAAATCCTGCAGGGACCCGGAGGCTCAGCTGCTAGCTTTTGCAGCTTTCAGGCACTCTAACTCCAATCCCCCAGAAGACAAGAAAGATACCCCACCTACTTCCTCCCCTAGACCCAGGACTCAAGGCCCCAGCCCGTTCGTCAAACCCAGAAGTCTGGGTCCCCAGCCCCTCCTCCCTCAGACCCAGGAGTCCAGACCCCCAGCCTCTCCTCCCTCAGACCCAGAAGTCCAGACCCCCAGCCCCTCCTCCCTCAGATCCAGGAGTCCAGGCCCAGCTCCTCCTCGCTCAGACCCAGGAGTCCAGGCCCCCAGCCTCCTCCCTCAGACCCAGGAGTCCAGGCCCCCAGCCTCCTCCCTCAGACCCAGGACTCCAGGCCCCCAGACCCTCCTCCCCCAGATCCAGGAGTCCAGGCCCCCAGCCCTTCCTCCCTCAGACCCAGGAGTCCAGACCCCCAGCACCTCCTCCCTCAGACCCAGGAGTCCAGATCCCCAGCCCCTCCTCCCTCAGACCCAGGGGTCCAGGGCCCCAGCCCCTCCTCCCTCAGACCCAGGGGTCCAGGGCCCCAGCCCCTCCTCCCTCAGACCCAGGGGTCCAGGGCCCCAGCCCCTCCTCCCTCAGACCCAGGAGTTCAGGGCCCCAGCCCTTTTCCCTCCTAGGACGCTGTTCCTTGGAACTTAGGGTCCCACCCCCACCATCTTATGGATCAAACATCCTAACCTTAAGAATCTAGATCTACAGTTTCTCCCTTTACGACCCACAGATTTAGGCCCTGATTCTCTTCTTTTTCAGGAATGTGCACCTCACCCTGTTCTCCCAGACCTTGAGGATGAAGGAAACAGGAGCCTCACCCAGGAGGCTCAAGGCCAAAACTCTGACCCAAACTACCTCAGGAGCCCCTGGCCCTGGCTTCCCCCCTGCTCCAGAGTTTCTGCCCTGCCCACACACACACACCCTCTTCCACCCTCAGAGGCCCCGGTGTCCTGCCCCACGCTCTACCCCAGAGCCCCACGGGTGGCTTTATAAAAGTGCCGGGCCCAGCCCTCTAGCAGGAGGGGAATGCTGGGCATCTGGGTGTGGGACCCCCGGGGAACAGCCTGTGGTCTGGACTCCTGCATCTATGAGGGGACAGACGTGGCTTCCCTTCCGGATGATGGGGTACCCACAGATGATGGAGGCCAGGGTCCCTCAATAAAAGAAGGGGTGCAGGCGTGTTGATTTCTTCAGAGGGCTGGAAGGACGGGGTGCCCAAGGGTGACATCCACGAGTCTTGGGTCCCTGAGGGTGGCTTGTACGGGGGAGAGTCGGGATGACTGAGTCCTTAAAAGAGACTCCGACTTGGAGGCGGTCCCCAAATTCCTGGGTCCCAGTAGAGAAGGGGACTCCTGGGTCTGAGGGAGGAGGGGCTGGGGGGTGGGACTCCTGGGACCAGGGTCGAGACCTGGTTTTCAGGCCTGGCCTTCTGGGGCAATAAAAGCCACAGCTTGGGTCTTAGTGTGGCGAACACTGAAGTCAGGGAAAGGCCTCCTGTTTCCAGAGCCTCAAGGCAGGGCGGGGGCAGAGGGCAGCAACCCCCAGCCCTGGAGTCTAGCTCTGAAGCTGGTGTCTCCATACCGGGTTCTGAGTCCCTGCCTGCCTGTCCCCAGCCTGACTTCTTCCTCCCTTTTTATTTTCAGCCCCTCACTCCCTTGTCCCAGGAGGAAGGCAGAGGCTGGTAGCTAGGGGTGGGGGGCGGCCCCCTCCCCAAGCCTGGCAGGAGAAGGGGTCCCCAGGGAGGCCAGGAGGGGGGGCTGTGGGTCTCCCGGCAGTGGCAGACGGGGACTGAATGTTAATCGCATCCCGAGTGAGTGTGTGTGTGCGAGAACACAGCGAGTGTGTGAGTCCCTCCCGCTCCAGCTCCTCCAAGCCGCGGCCGCCGCCGCCACCCTCGCCCGCAGCCTCCCGCAGCCTCCCTCGGCCACCGGTGCCTGCTGGGGGTGTTGCCTGGGTAGGTCGGCCCGGCCCCCAGGGGTCTCTCGAGCGTCTGCCATCTGCCCGGTGAGGATCTGTGTGTCCGGGTGTCTGGGGCTGGCTGGTGGAGGGGGGGTGTGTCTGTAAGCGCTGCGGCGGCGGAGGGAGGGAGGGGTCTGTCTGTCTGTACCGACCCTGAGCTGCCTGCCTGGGTGTCGTGGGGCTCCCGCTCCTTCCCCCCGGCCCCCCCAAACCCAGATGGATGGTGTGTACCTGGGTTCTGTGCCTCCTGCCTGCGTCCGGCCAGGCGTCTGGGCGTCCCCGGCTGCCTGTGTCCTCCTGTCTGTCCAAACAGCCCCTATCAGCAGTGGCAGCCTGGCCCCCATTAGACCCCCCACTCTGTGTGTGTGTGTCTGTGTGTGTGTCCCTCCTCAAGCTCTGGGGGTGTTGAGGGGGAATCCCAGGGAAGTGAGATCGTGCGTGTGTGCGTGAGTGTATGTGTGTTTCTGCCTGTGTTTGAGAGTGGGGGAGTCAAGGGGGGGTCTAGAGGTGGCCAAGCGAGGAAGGGGCAAGCAGTTCCCCAAGCAGGCAATCTCCCGCTCCTCACACGCACACACCAGCCACTAGCTTCAGAGGTGACCCAGACAGACAGATAGACACAGACGCTGGAAGGGGGGGTGGGGGGGCTGAGGGCACAAAGCGGGGGTGCGAGTGAGCCAGGGAGAGGCGGGACTGGACACATGGAAAGGGGGGAGGAGCCGGGGCTGAAGCGGCAGAGGGGGGCACCCCGGGTGGGCGGAGGGGGGATCCCCACGGGGTCGGGGCGGCAAGAGGACACCCCGACAGCCTCTGCAATGTCCGGGGCCCAACTTCCAGAGCAACATGTGTAGCCACGTCCTCGCCTAGTCCAGGTGGCCGCAACCTTGGGGGAGAGACAGGGCAGGACAGGACCAAGGAAGAGGAAGGAGAGACGGAGCCAGGGACAGACAGGAGGTCCGGGCTGCCGCTGCTGCCGCCACCACCACTGCCGCCGCCCCGGGGCCTGCCCCCCGACATCGGCTCTCTGAGCCCTCCTCGGAATCTTGGGGTCGCTGGACGCCGGGTTCCGGTCCTGGCCCCCCCGCCATCCCCCCAACAGAACAGGGTCATGAAAAGGTAAGGCGGGGACAGGGGATGCAGGGATGGTGGTGGGAATGTGGACCCCCAAATCTAGGACAGAGGAAGTTGGCAAGAAGCCTCGTGGAGGGAGGGGGTTTGAACGGTGGGCAGGGGTCTTGACCCCCACCTAGCTCCCCTGTCCCTCAGGGACTCTCCTCCACCCTCTCTCTCTCCCTCTCTGAGCCCCTTTTTCCTGAGTCCCTACACCTCAGACCTTTCACGCCCCCATTTCTCTGACACTTGGCTCCCTCTCCCCATCCCCACATACCTGATGCCCCATATCCCTGTGCCTCCATCTCTCTATCTCACCTTCTCCCTGTACCCCCCTCCCTGCATCAGTCCCCCCATCGCGAGCCGGTCCTCTCCCTCTCTCCTCTCGCTCTCCCCTCCCATGTCAGAGCTATGAGTCTGCTATTAATACCCCCGCCAAGGACCTTGAGGGCATCCAGGCCCCCAGCACCCCTCGCCCCAAGCTCCCACCCCTTCCTCAAGGTTCTGGAACACCCTTCCAGCCTCTTCCAAGCATCAGGATTCGGGTGGGGAGAGACCGATGTTGTGTGTGTGTGTTGGGAGGTGAGGGGGGAGGAAACGGGATGCCGTCTGCAGCACAACTCGAGGTTGTGGGGGGAGCTGTTGATCGAAGTGGCCGCTCCTCTCTTCTCTGTTGGATGCTGTGGGGGGCAATGAAGACAGGGACACCCTAGGAATTTCTGGCACCCTCCTCCTCCTCCCCGCTTGGGGACAGGCTGTGCTATGTACAGGATCTAAGTGGGGTGACTAGGGAGGCCAGAGCTCGGTGGGGGGGCACCCAGGATGTTGGGAAGGATAGGGTTTGAAACCAAAAGGGGATCCTTAAGGGAGGACAGGAGCCGGAACCCGGACTCCTGGGTCCTTGGGGGAAGAGGGGAGCTGGGGACCTGGACTCTTGGTTCCTGCAGGGAGAGGAGGCTGGGCACTGGAGTTCCAGAGTCTTGGGGCAGGAGGGGCCTGGCCTCCTGGGTCCTGGGAAAGAACAGGACCGAATGCCCAGACTCCCAAGGCCTGGGGGAGGAAGGGGCTGCCAGAAGGACTCCTGGGTCTTTACGGGAGGAGGTAGGGGATAGCGCTTCCGTCTGAGGAAGGCAGGCTGGGAGCTCAGTCTCCTGAGTCCCTGACAGGGCAGGAGATGAGTGTTGGGGACTTTAGCCCTATGCAGATGGAAGTGGAAACGGAGGCTCATGAGGAGGTAGAGATGGAGGCGGGGGGAGCGGGGGGTTGTCCAGAGGCTGGACTCTGTGATCCCTGAGGGCGTGGGTTCTGGGGGTTGGGCCTTCAGAGTCCTGGAGGACTGGGGATGCCCCTCCTCAGGCCCTGGAGTGGGGGAGGCTGCTCTCCCTAATCCCTGTGGTTAGGAACTGAGCATGCAGCCCCCGTGAGAAGGGTGGGGCCGGGGGCTGCCCTCCTGGGCCTCAGTAGGGAGTGGGACGCGGGGTCCCTAAGAGCAGAAGCCAGGTAGGGGTGGGTCTGGGAGAGGCAGAGGAGGGGCTGGAGGGTGAGCAGCCACTGGGAATGGAGGGGAGCGTGAGTGTTAACCCCGCGGGGGCCAGGCCACAGCTGTGGGTTATTTTGGGGCGGAGTGGGGGGGTTATTCTGAGCGCTGATTGAGCCAGCTGCTTGGGGAAGGGCAATGGAAAGGAGGAGCGAAGAGAAGCCAGGATCGGGGAGGGATGGGCATACTAGGAGCCCCCAACCCCTTCCCTGGGGAGACAGGGGCCCGAGATCTCTGGGAAGGTGAGGTGGTGGGCAGAGGGGACGGGCTGTGGCCTCGAGGCAGGGGAGGGGTGGTGGACCTTTCCCCCGCCCTGGCTGTCTGTGGGGTGGACGAGGCCTGCGCTACCATGGCAACCAGACAGGAGCATGACAGCCAGGAGAGAACCCTTCCTTGTCTGGACCCTCACCCCTTCTGGAAGCCCCTAGTGCGGACTCCAGTCCTTCTCTGGGAACCAGGAGTCCAGACTCCCAGTGCCCTCCTCCCTCAGTCCCAGGCAGGACCCAGGAGCCTGGCTCCCAGCCCAACCACCCCAGGCGGCTAGTATTCAACAGGGGGCACAGGAAGAGAGGCTGTATTTCCTCTAATTTACCAAATTGCTCTGGGCTGGGTGCCAGGGACCCCCACACCCACCCCACCCAGCTCTCCACAGCTGTGCCCCCCAACCCCACATCCCAGATGGGGCCATGACTCCCTTGCTTTGAGAATGAGGGGATGGGGACAGGACTAAGGGGACAAAATGGGTTAGGGGTTGTGGTCAGGGTGAGGAGTAAGGTCATGTGGGGATTTTCTCTCCTTGGGGTGCCCCACTAATTTCTCTCTTTCTCTCCCCACACACCTGACCCCTTTTCCCTCTCATTTTTTCTCTCCCTTTTCCTCCCTTTTATTTCTGCTCCCTCCTGCCACTCGCCTTCCCCGCCTTACTTTCATGTCTGTACTGGGCACCTCCCTGGTGGGGGTCCCGATCTTGGCCTTGCTTCGCTATTTCTGTCCTCCTGTTTTCGCTCCGCTCTGCCTGCCTCCCTCAATCTCAATTGTTTCCCCATCCTTTATGTGCGCGTGTCTCTTGGTGGCCTTGGGGTCTCTGTCTCCCTCTTCCTGCCTTGCTGTCTTCTTCTCTGTCCAACTTTCTTGCCTCGCTTATCTCTCCCGCCTTCCTGCATCTCTTCCCGCCTCTATCATCCTCTCCCTGGGCCTCCCTCATTCCTGTTTCTGTCACTCCGTCCTCTCTCTCTCCGTCTTCTCCCCGTCTCTGCTGCTTCCGTCTCTCTCCTTCTTCCTGCCGCTCTTTCCCTCCCCGTCTCCCTGGGCCTCTCTCTGCTCCTATCTTGATCCCATCTCTGTGGGTGTCCCCATCCCCACCTTGTCTATCTTCCTCTCTCTCCCCTCTTACCTCTGTATCTTCCCCTGACCCCATTATCCACCCTCGTCTTTGCGTCTCCCCCAATCCCATACTCCACTTCTTCCTATCTCTGTCTCGCCCTATCTCTGCGTCTCTCCCTGTTTCACCTCTTCCTCTGGTGTTTCTTCCCCACCTCTCCCTTCCACCTCCCTCTGCTGTGTCTGTCTCTCCCTCTGTCTCTGCCTGTCTCTCCTCCATCTCTCTCTCTCCGTCTCCCCCTCTCTCTCCCCTCCATCTCTCTCTACCTCTGCCCGTCTCTCCCTCTGTCTCTCCTCCATTTCTCTCTCCCTCTGTCTCTCTCCCTTCCATCTCTCTCGTCCTCCGTTCCTGTCTCTCCCTCTGTTCCATCACCCCGACCGCTCCCTGTCCTCCCCATCTCGGCGCCTGTCCCTCGCTGCATCTCCTCCTCTGTGCGTCTCTTTATCTCGTCTCCCTGTCCCTGCGTCTCCCGTCTGTGCCTCCCTCTCCTCCCCGTCTCTCCCGGCCCGGGCGCTCAGAGGCCGCCCGGCGGGGCCCGCAGGCGATGCGCGGCGCCGGTGGCCCCCGCGGCCCTCGGGGCCCCGCTAAGATGCTGCTGCTGCTGGCGCTGGCCTGCGCCAGCCCGTTCCCGGAGGAGGCGCCGGGGCCGGGCGGGGCCGGTGGGCCCGGCGGCGGCCTCGGCGGGGCGCGGCCGCTCAACGTGGCGCTCGTGTTCTCGGGGCCCGCGTACGCGGCCGAGGCGGCACGCCTGGGCCCGGCCGTGGCGGCGGCGGTGCGCAGCCCGGGCCTAGACGTGCGGCCCGTGGCGCTGGTGCTCAACGGCTCGGACCCGCGCAGCCTCGTGCTGCAGCTCTGCGACCTGCTGTCGGGGTTGCGCGTGCACGGCGTGGTCTTCGAAGACGACTCGCGCGCGCCCGCCGTCGCGCCCATCCTCGACTTCCTGTCGGCGCAGACCTCGCTGCCCATCGTGGCCGTGCACGGCGGCGCCGCGCTCGTGCTCACGCCCAAGGTGCGCGCGACCGGGGCGGGGCGGGGCCACAGGAGGGGCGGGGACAGCCGCTGAGGGGCGGGACTGGGACAGCCAGCGGGGGCGGGGCCTAGAGGGGGCGGGGACTGTCCTGTGGGTCCGAGTCTGGGACAAGGTGGGCCCAGATGGTAGGCAGGGCTTAGGGCTAGATTAGAGGCGGGGCTGACTTGGAGGGGGCTGGTCTATAGGGTAAGCTGGGCCTTTAGGGTCAGAAAGAGGCCAGTCCTCGATGATCAGAGTATAGGGAGGACGTGGGCCCATTCATTGCAGGTAAGGGTCTGTAGTAAAGGCGAGTCGAGGGAAGGGTTAGGGGCTGGGAACGAAAAGGGACTAGCCCCAAATGGCAAAATCTGAGGGAGGGGTGGGACCTAGGATCAGCACAGGAAGAAGTCAGTTGAAAAGGAATGGGCCTGGGCGCGGTGGCTCACGCCTGTAATCCCAGCGCTTTGGAAAGCCGAGGCCGGCGGATCACTTGAGGTCACAGGAGTTTGAGACCAGCCTGGCCAACATGGTGAAACCCCGTCTCTACTAAATATACAAAAATTAGCCGGGCGTTGTGGCGGGCGCCTGTAATCCCAACTACTCGGGAGGGTGAGGCAAGAGAATTGCTTGAATCCGGGAGGCGGAGGCTGCGGTGAGCCGAGATCGTGCCACTGCACTCCAGCCTGGGCGACACAGTGAGACTCTGTCCAAAAGAAAAAGAAAAGGAATGGAGTTCAGAAAGAAAGGGGCGAAGTCTAGTGGAGAGGTGGCAGCTAGGAAGTATCAGAGGTATCAGGTACCAAGGACAGAGTTTGGGGAGGCGTTCGGCCGGTAGAGCATAGGGTCTAGAAGTCAGCCAGGGATGGAGGAGCCATCTTCTAAGTGGAAGTCGGAAAAGAGGAAGAGTCATTAGAGAGAGGAGGACGGGCAAGGGGTAGAACCAGGAAGCAAGGAATTGAGATTTGGTGCGAGGCCAGTCAGGGAAGGAGTGAGTCAGAAAAGGGGGCGGGGCTAGCCAGTTGGGGGCGGGGCCAGCGAGGGGCGGGGCCTAAGCACTCTAATAAAGGGGTGGGTCTAGGGAGGAAGCCGGTCCTGAGAGTAGGGTTTGAGAAGGGGCATACCCCGCTGTGAGGTGTGGAAAGCGAGAGTCCAGAGGATGGGCAGGAGGATGAAGGCTTATGGTGGAGGCCGACCCAGCCAATGACAGATCAAAGCCAGGAGCCTGCTGGGAAGGGATGGTAGAGGCTGGAGCTGGCCAGAGCCTGGAGAAAGGCCTGACTCCCAAGGGCACAGAAGGGGCCAGTTGTAGCGGACCTCTGGTAGAGAAGGAGAGAATTGGACCAAGCCTGCTCTGTGGATTGAGAATGGGTCAGCTAGGAGGTGGGGCCTGAGAAGGGGCGGGGCCTCTCCAGAGGTGGGGCCAGCGCAACCCAGAGGTGGAGCTTCATTCAATCTGCCCATTCCCTGCTGTGCGGGCCTGTGGCTGTGTGACTGCATCACTGTTGTATGCAGAGGCTCGTAGTCCTCTCCTGTCCAGAGCATTCTGGGAAGGACCTCTGTCCAACTTTCTTGTTCTCCTTGGCATGGTACTTTTCAGAGATTTGTAGGTAGATGCCCTGGGAGGCGAACTTATTTCTTAACTGCCACTTCCAAGGCATACTCAAAAGACGTGATCCCTCGTGCCTTCATTGCTGCTGAGAAGTGTGGTCCTCTCTGTTTCATTGTCCGCTGGGCACTGCGGTCGGCTCAGTGTACGCCCATAGCATTCTGGGAAATGTAGTCCCCGTGCTGCCCCTGGATGGAAGAAAGAATGATCTTCACAGCTCCATCTGTGCCCCACTGAATGCTGGGAATGTGGTCCCCTCAGCACACCTCCACCTGCTGAAGGAAGAGGTTCTCCTTGCATTACAATAAGACCTCATTTCCGGCCAGGTGCACTGGCTCACACCTGTAATCCCAGCACTTTGGGAGGCCGAGGCGGGCAGATCACCTGAGGCCAGGAGTTTGAGGCCAGCCTGGCCAACATGGAGAAACCCCATCTCTGCTGAAAATATGAAAATTAGCCGGGCATGGTGGCGCATGCCTGTAATCCCAGCTACTCAGGAGGCTGAGGCAGGAGTAATCGCTTGAACCTGGGAGGCGGAGGTTGCAGTGAGCCGAGATTGCAGTGAGCCGAGATCTTGCCACTGCACTCCAGCCTGGGGGACAGAGTGAGACTGTTCTCAAAAAAAAAAAAAAAACAATAAACAAAAAGAACTCATTCCCTCAGGACAACTGCAGTATCCCCTGTGCGCCTAGGGAGAAAGCCCACTTGCTGTTCTCATTGCATTACAGGAAGATTTATTGAGAGCTGATTCTGTGCCAGGGCTGTTTTAATTCCTAGGGAATACAGTTCTAGAGGGGGGGGGAAAAAAAGAGAGGGAGACAAGGTCCCTGCCTTATAGAGCTTGCATTTTAATGGTGAGACAGACAAAACCAGTAACAGTAAAATCCGGCTGTCCTGGAGGAAATCAACACAGGATGTTGTAATGACTGAGGATGGAGTTTCAATAGATGGCAGTCAGGGGAGGCCTCCCTGAGGCGGTGACACCTGAGCTGGAGGTGTCAGGTGGAGGTCTGGCATGGAGGAGGTAGGGAAAAGTGTCCCCAGGAGAGGCAACAACAAAGGACAAAGCCCTTGAAGCAGGAAGGAGCTTGATGTATTTGAGGAAGAGCAAGAAGGGAGTGTGGCTGGAGCCCACTGGGGGATTGGGGTGGCAGGAGATGAGGTCAGAGAAGCAACGGGGGCCAGTTCACGCAGGGCCTTGGGGCCACGGTGAGGACTTTGGCTTTGATTCTGAGGTAGAATCACTGGAAGGTTTTCAATTGAGAAGGGATGTGATCCAATTAATATTTTGAAACAATCACTCTGGCTGCTGTTTGGAGAATAGACTGGAAGATGCAAGATTGAAAACAAAGATAGGCTGGGCGCAGTGGCTCATGCCTGGAATCCCACCACTTTGGGAGGCCAAGGCGGGTGGATCACTTGAGGTGAGGAGTTTGATACCAGCCTGGCCAACATGGTGAAACCTCCCTCTACTAAAAATACAAAAATGAGCTTGGCATGGTGGTGCATGCATGTAATCCCAGCTACTTGGGAGGCTGAGGCAGGAGAATTGCTTGAACTCAGGAGGTGGAGGTTGCAGTGAGGCGAGATCTCGCCACTGCATTCCAGCCTGGACAACAGAGCGAAACTTGAAAGAAAGAGAGAAAGAGAAGGAAAGAAAGAAAGAAAGAAAGAAAGAAAGAAAGAAAGAAAGAAAGAAAGAAAGAGAGAAAAGAAAACAGAGATGGGTGGGAAAGTTGTAGATAGCTGGGCAAGAAAGGGTGACAATGAGAGTTGTGACAGTGATGGCAGTGAGGAGTGGACAACTGGAGCTATCTTTGAACGTAGAGCTAAGAAGACTTGGAGATGGCTGAATGTGTGAGGGAAAGAAAGGGAAAGGATGATTTAGGTTTGGGGCCTGAGCATCAGGGTGAATGAGAGAGAGAGGAAAAAAAAGGCAGCTGCTCTTTATTCCTTAAGATTCTTTACTCCTGGCCGGGCGCGGTGGCTCATGCCTGTAATCCCAGCACTTTGGGAGGCCGAGGCGGGTGGATCATGAGGTCAGGAGATCGAGACCATCCTGGCTAACAAGGTGAAACCCCGTCTCTACTAAAAATACAAAAAATTAGCCGGGCGCAGTGGCGGGCGCCTGTAGTCCCAGCTACTCGGGAGGCTGAGGCAGGAGAATGGCGTGAACCCGGGAAGCGGAGCTTTCAGTGAGCCGAGATTGCGCCACTGCGGTCCGCAGTCCGGCCTGGGCGACAGAGCAAGACTCCGTCTCAAAAAAAAAAAAAAAAAAAAAAAAGATTCTTTACTCCTTTACGAGAGAGAGAGAGAGAGAGAGAGAGAGAGAGAGAGAGAGAATAGGGAACAGTCTTGAGATAGGGGAAAGATCGAGCAATCTGTTTTTGACATGCTAATTTTGAGACACCTTGGAAATCCAAGAGGAGATATTGAATAAAAAGGAGGATAGGGGCCAGGCATGGTGGCTCACACCTGTAATCCCAGCACTTTGGGAAGCCGAGGCAGGCAGATCACTTGAGTTCAGAAGTTCGAGACCAGCTTGGCCAACATGGTGAAACCCTGTCTCTACTAAAAATACAAAAATTAGCTGGGTGTGGTGGCATGTGCCTGTAATCCCAGCTACTCAGAAGGCTGAGGCAGGAGAATTGCTTGAACCCAGGAGGCAGAGGTTGCAGTGAGTGAAGATGGTGCCATTGCACTCCAGCCTGGGCAACAGAGGAAGACTCTGTCTCAAAAAAAAAAAAAAAAAAAAAAAAAGGCTGGAGGATAGATTTGTCTGGAGCTCACATGAGAGGTTGTGACTGAGGACAGGAGCCATTAACATATCCAGCACTGTTCAATAAAACTTTCAGCAAAGATGAAGCTGTTCTATAGCTGCTCTGTCCGATTTGAAAGCCACAAGCCACATGTGGCTGTTGAGTACTTGACAAGTGGTTAGTGCACCCAGAAAACTAAGTTTTAAATTCTATTTAACATTTTTTTCCTCTGGTCCTTGATTCAGGATAAATTTTATTTAATTTTAATTTGAATAGTTATGAGTGGCTAACAGCCACCCTATTGGATAGCATGGGAGACAGTATTTAAACTCATGGGCCTGGTTGAGATCACCAGGGAGAGAGGAATAGAGAAGAGAACAGTAAGGCACTCCTAGTGTTTAGAATTTAGAATTCTGGCTGAGGAAGAAGGGCCAGCAAAGGAGGCAGAGGAAGAGGTGACAGAGAGGTAGGAGGAAAACCAAAGAAGGGAAAGGACACTCTGCAAAGCTTCTTCCAGTAGGGAAATACCATCAGCACCCTCATTGCATGCTGGGAGATGTAGTCTCCTCACTGCCTTCAGGGAACCAGTCCCTCTCAGTGGCTGCTGGGGGCTGTAGTTCCCTTACCGGATGCTGGTTGTATTAATGACAGTGATGTTAGCTGCTGGAACGGATGAACCCCCAAATCTCAGTGGATCACCCAACAGGAGGTTGTTTCTCATTCATATAAAATCCAGGCCAGGCACAGTGGCTCACGCCTGTAATTCCAGCACTTTGGGAGGCCAAAGCGGGTGGATCATCTGAGGTCAGGAGTTCAAGACCAGCCTGGCCAACATGGAGAAAACCCGTCTCTACCAGAAATACAAAAATTAGTTGGGCGTGGTGGCGCACGCCTATAGTCCCAGCTACTCGGGAGGCTGAGGCAGGAGAACTGCTTGAACCCGGGAGGCGGATGTTGCAGTGAGCCGAGATTGTGCCATTGCACTCCAGTCTGGGCAACAAGAGTGAAATTCCATCTCAAAAAAAAAAAAAAAAAATCCAAACAGGTGTTCCTGATTGGAGGTGGCTTTCCTCCGTATGGTGACTCGGGGTTTCAGGCTCTCACCCTCTTGTAGCTCTGTAATCCCCTTCAGAGGACTAAGCTTCAAGAGTAAGGTTTTATTAGGCTGGGCACGGCAGGAGAATCACTTGAACCCAGGAGGCGGAGGTTGCAGTGAGCCAAGATCATGCCGCTGCTCACCGGCCTGGGCGACAGAGCAAGATTCTGTCTCAAAAAAACAAAAAACAAAAAAACAAAACAAAAAACTAAGGTTTTATGGATGAGTCTAGAATAACTCATCACGTGGCTAAACCTAATCCAGATCTAGCCCTGTGCCCCAGGAGGAAAAGGAGATGGGTTTAGTGAACCTGTCGAGTCAGTCTGCCATATTGGGAGCTGTGGTCCCCTTATTCATTGCTGAGAAATAAGGTCCCCACATCGGCAGGCCTGACATCCTCCTCCCTCCCTGGCAGGAGAAGGGCTCCACCTTCCTGCAGCTGGGCTCTTCCACCGAGCAACAGCTTCAGGTCATCTTTGAGGTGCTGGAGGAGTATGACTGGACGTCCTTTGTAGCCGTGACCACTCGTGCCCCTGGCCACCGGGCCTTCCTGTCCTACATTGAGGTGCTGACTGACGGTAGTCTGGTGGGCTGGGAGCACCGCGGAGCGCTGACGCTGGACCCTGGGGCGGGCGAGGCCGTGCTCAGTGCCCAGCTCCGCAGTGTCAGCGCGCAGATCCGCCTGCTCTTCTGCGCCCGAGAGGAGGCCGAGCCCGTGTTCCGCGCAGCTGAGGAGGCTGGCCTCACTGGATCTGGCTACGTCTGGTTCATGGTGGGGCCCCAGCTGGCTGGAGGCGGGGGCTCTGGGGCCCCTGGTGAGCCCCCTCTTCTGCCAGGAGGCGCCCCCCTGCCTGCCGGGCTGTTTGCAGTGCGCTCGGCTGGCTGGCGGGATGACCTGGCTCGGCGAGTGGCAGCTGGCGTGGCCGTAGTGGCCAGAGGTGCCCAGGCCCTGCTGCGTGATTATGGTTTCCTTCCTGAGCTCGGCCACGACTGTCGCGCCCAGAACCGCACCCACCGCGGCGAGAGTCTGCATAGGTGAGTGGGGCTGGAATGGGAGGGGTGTGGGAGGGCTCCCAGAGCCTAACTACCTCAGTATTCACTGAATGAGTGGCTCAAATGGGCCACATCTGCTCTTTGAGCCTCAGTTTTCTTTTCTGTAAAGTGGGTGCAATTGGGTCTCTTTTCTGAGGTTAAATCAAGTAATTTGGAAAAAGCACCTGAGATAAAGTGAGTGTATTACTATATTTCATGACTCTAAGATGCATAATGTTTCACATTTTAATGTCTTTGAAAACGAGATGTGTCTTATAATTGATGACTTATCATGGCTTAATTGGCAGCACTTTTGTCTTTCTTTGTGGTACATCTTATAATTGAGAGCATTTTAGATTTAGTCTAAATACCTAGACTATAAACTGAGCTTCAGTAGCAAAAAAGACCCAACAATCCAGTGGCCCAGATGAGGTCGAAGTTTGTTCCTCTCTCACGTAACAACCCTGATAAGGAGACTGCTGTTCCATGTGATCATTCAGGGACCCAGGATTCTCCCACACTGTTACTCTGGCATCTCTGCATGGTCGAAGTGGGTCGTGGGGATGTCTGAATTGTAGCTCATGAGAAGGGGAAAAGAGAGGAAGTGGACAGCAAGCACTTTCCTTTTGAGTAAGTGAGGCAGAAAGGACACGCCTCATACCTTACTGTTGAGAACGTAGTCATATGGTCAGGGCTGGCTTACTGGTTGTTGACAGTGGTGTCCATTCTGATTGGTTGGACGTCTATTGGAATTAGCTAGACGTCTATTCTGATTAGCTAGACGCCTATTCTGATTGACTAGACGTCCATTCCGATAGGCTAGACGTCCATTCCTGGCTAGACGTCCATTCTGATTGGCTAGTGCCTGTGCAGCGCCGATTGCTACATATTTTGAATATTACTCCTGCACATGGCCTGGCCAACTGCAAGGAAGAGTGGGAAATGTCAGTCCTAGCTGGACAGGTGTGTGCCCAACTTACGCACTATTATTTTAGAAGAGGCGAACAGAGTTTGTTGGAAAATAGCATCTCCACGGTAGGAAGCTCTGGGAGTGGAAAAATTGGTAAGTTTGGTGACAGAACAGTGAAAAGAGAGACCTTTAATCCTGAACGAGGATGGGGTGAATTTGGGAAGAGATGATGGTTGGGGAAGAAGACCTAAGAGAGGGTAATTGAGAACTGGTGACTTGGGAATCAGGATCCCCGAAAAAGAGGATGAGAAAAGCATCCCTTCTTCATAAATACTTACTGAGCACCCGCTAGGAACTAGGGCTCATGCTGGGCGCTGGGAACATAGATGAATAAGACCATGAACTTATTCTTCAAAGAACGCAGGGTCCTGTAAGAGTGGCAGACAGGGACAGGGATAATGGCAACGCAGCATGATGCTTGCAGTAATGGAGGTCATGCGGGCATGGCGGGGGCACGGGGAGGAGCACTGGCTAAGCCAGGAGATTTTCGGATGCATGAAGCAGAGTCTCACTGGAGTTTCCTTAGGGAAAAGGGGGTTTATTGGAAAAATAAACACACAGAGGAATTAAAGCCAGGAATTGAGGCTAAGCCTGGGGCCAGCTACTCTTTCAGCTCTTTCTGGTTCTTTCTTTTTTTCTTTTTCTTTCTTTCTTTTTCCTTTTTCTTTTTTTTTTTGAGACGGAGTCTCACTCTGTCGCCCAGCTGGAGTGCGATGGCGTGATCTGGGCTCACTGCAACCTCCACCTCCTGAGTTCAAGCGATTCTCCTGCCTCAGCCTCCTGAGTAGCTGGGGTTACAGGCACGTGCCACCATGCCCGGCTAATTTTTTTTGTATTTTTAGTAGAGATGCCATGTTGGTCAGGCCAGTCTCGAACTCCTAACCTCAAATGAACTGCCCACCTCGGCCTCCCAAAGTGCTGGGATTCCAGCCGTGAGCCACCGAGCCCAGCTGGTTCTGTCTTTCTTATTCTATGCTTTCTCCCTCCCTCCCTCTGTCCATCTCCTTCCTCTCTCTCTCTCTTTCTCTTTGTTTCTCAGGCTTGCCTCTCCCAGACGCTGTTCAGTTCTTTACCCAGAATTTCTTCTCCCTCATAACTTCAGCTCTTGCTGGTCACAACTCATCCCTCCAGATCTCATAGCAAAATGTCATCCCAAGAGAGGAAATGTATTAGCCTCAGTCTGCCTTCCAAACCAGGTTGCACAAGTCACAAGTCAGCCTGTGGAGTCAGGAAGGTTTCTAGGAGAAGGTATCTGAGCTGTGACCTGAGGGATGAATTGCTCATTGATTCATTTATTGATTGAAACGCCCTTTATTGAAAGTCTGCTATGTGCCAAGCATTGCTTTAGGCACAGGGTGTATATAGTGTTAAATAAGGTCCCTGCTCTCTCAGAGCTTACAATCTGATAAAAGAGAAATGCAATGAGCAAATAAGTAAAGAAAAGGAAATATCAAGCAGGCAATAACTTCTGCTATGAAAATCAAACTGGGGAATGTGATAAGAAATGCATAGGGGGCTATGCTAGGTGGGGTGGTCAGGAAAGGCCTTTCTGAATAGGTGAAATTTGGAGGTTAAAAAACATGGATAGGCCGGGCTGTGGCTCATGCCTGTAATCTCAGCATTTCGGGAGGCTGAGGCAGGAGGATCGCTAGAGGCCAGGAGTTCCAGGCCAGCCTGGGTAACATAGTGAGAACTCCATCTCTACAAAAAATTTAAAGATTAGCTGGGCGTTGGCCGGGCGTGGTGGCTCACACCTGTAATCCCAGCACTTTGGGAGGCCGAGGCGGGCGGATCACAAGGTCAGGAGATCGAGACCATCCTGGCTAACAGGGTGAAACCCTGTCTCTACTAAAAATACAAAAAATTAGCCAGGCGTGGTGGCGGGCGCCTGTAGTCCCAGCTACTCGGGAGGCTGAGGCAGGAGAATGGCATGAACCCGGGAGGCGGAGCTTGCAGTGAGCCGAGATCGAGCCACTGCACTCCAGCCTGGGTGACAGAGTGAGACTCCATCTCAAAAAAAAAAAAAAAAAAATCTGGGCGTGGTAGTGTGTGCCTGTAGTCCTAGCTACTTGGGAGGCTGACATGGGAGGATCACTTGAGCCTTGGAGATCGAGGCTGTAATGAACTGTGATCTCTTCACTGCAGTCCAGCCTGTGCAACAAAGTGAGACCCTGTCTCTAAAATAATTTAAAAAATTAAAATTTAAGAAATAGGTAGGCAAGGTGTGGTGGCTCACACCTGTAATCTCAGGGCTTTGGGAGGCTGAGGTGGGCGGATCACTTGAGGTCAGGAGTTCAAGACCAGCCTGGCCAACACAGGGAAACACCATCTCTACTAAAAACTACAAAACTTAGCCGGGCGTGGTGACAGGCACCTGTAATCCTAGCTGCTTGGGAGGCTGAGGCAGGAGAATCACTTGAACCTGGGAGGTGAAGGTTGCAGTGAGCCGAGACCATACCACTGCACTCCAGCCTCAGTGACAGAGCAAGACTCTGTCTTAAAAAAAAAAAAAAAGAGAGAAAGAAAGAAATGGATAAAGCGAAGGAGCCAAGTATTGGAAGATCTCAGTGAAGGGAGAGGGAACAGCAGGTGCAAAGGCTCTGGGGCTGGAACTGCCTTGTCTTAGTCTGTTTTGTGTTGCTATGACAGAATATCATAGGCTGGGTAATTATAATGAATGGAAATTTGTTGGCTCTTGGTTCTGGAGGCTGGGAAGTCCAACATCAAGATGTCACCGTCTGATGAGGGTCTTCTTTCAGCATCATTACATGAGGGAAGGCATCACATGGTAGAAGGGCAAAGAGAGGAGTGAGGGAAGATCAAGCAAACCCACTCCTGCAACCACAGCATTAGTCCATTTGTGAGGGTACTGGAGCCCCATGACCTAAATGCTTCTTAAAGTTTCCACCTCCTAATTCCCAATACCATCACAATGGCAATGGCAATTAAATTTCTTTTTTTTTTTTTTTTTTTTTTGAGATGAAGTCTCACTCTGTTGCCCAGGCGGGAGTGCAGTGATGTGATCTTGGCTCATTGCAACCTCCACCTCCTGGATTCAAGCGATTCTCCTGCCTCAGCCTCCGAGTAGCTGGGACCACAGGTGCCTGCCACCACACCTGGCTAATTTTTGTATTTTTGTAGAGATGGGGTTTCACTATGTTGGCCAGGCTGCTCTCAAACTCCTGACCTCAGGTGATCCACCCACCTCAGCCTCCCAAAGTGTTGGGATTACGGGCGTGAGCCACTGCACCTGGCCGTAAATTTCAATATGAGTTTTGGAGCGGACAGACATCCAAATCATAGCTTGCCTGTTCGGAAGCCTGTTTGGGAGCCTGCACTGCTGGTGTGGCTAGAACATAGTGGGCAAGGGGAAGGAAGGTATGAGTAGCGGATGGAGAGGGTTGCAGGGCCCAGCTTGTGAAGGGCCTTTAGGCCAGGGGGCAGGGGTTTGGACATGATTCTTTTTTTTCTTTTTTTTGAGATACAGTCTCGCTCTGTTGCCCTGGCTGGAGTGCAGTGGCACAATCTTGGTTCAGTGCAACCTCAACCTCCCTCCCGGGTTTAAGTGATTGTCCTGCCTCAGCCTCCTGAATATCTGGGATTACAGGTGCCCGCCACCATGCCCGGCTAATTCTTGTATTTTTAGTAGAGACGGGGTTTCACCATGTTGGCCAGGCTGGTCTAAAACTCCTGACCTCAAGTGATCTGCCCCCCTCAGCCTCCCAAAGTGCTGGGATTACAGGCGTGAACCACTGCGCCCAGCCTGGACTTGATTCTGAGAGTAGTGGGGAGTTCACCGGAAATAGTATTCCAGTCAGGGGAAACGAGCATATGCAAAAACCCAGAGGGGAGAGAAACTTGGGCAGATGGTGGGACCACAATAGTTCCAAGCAGATGAAGGCCACAGAATTAGGAGTCAGAGTGACAGGCCAGGCGTGGTGGCTCACGCCTGTAATCCCAGCACTTTGGGAGGCCGAGGCGGGCGGATCACGAGGTCAAGAGATTGAGACCATCCTGGCCGACACAGCAAAACCCCGTCTCTACTAAAAATACACAAATTAGCTGGACATGGTGGTGCACGCCTGTAATCCCAGCTACTCGGGAGGCTGAGGCAGGAGAACCGCTTGAACCCAGGAGACGGAGGTTGCAGTGAGCTGAGATCGTGCCACTGCACTCCAGCCTGGGCAACAGAGTGAGACTCTGACTCAAAAAAAAAAAAAAAAAAAAAAAAGCAGTCGGAGTGTGGGTGGCACCAGGCCTTTGCCTTCAATGCAGGTTGAGAGGCCTGGATCTGTTCCACAGCACTGGTGAGCCAGGGGTGGGTTATGAGCAGGAGACGGGTGGCGTGAGTTTTGGGTATAGAAAGACGCCTCTGGGACCTGGTGGGGAACAGACTGGAGTAGAGAGATTGGAGGCTGGAGGCCAGGCAGGAGGCTGGGATGAGGGCCTAGGAGGGCTGTGGGGAGGCACAGAAGAAGACAGGGCAGAGAGAGCCCCAGGCCAGGAAGAAGGAGACTTGGGGACCGATAGGCTGGGTAGCGGGAGGGAGGAAGGCGGCTAAGAGTCTAGTCCAGTGACTGGGTGGATGACATGAGAGACAGTCAGAGTACCCAGGGTGATGTTGCATAGTGAAGATATTGAGGAGTCCAGGGACACCCCCGGCCATCCCCAGCCCTGGGCACTTCTAACCAGAGGAAGAGACATTTGAGCTCAGTCTTTAAGACACATGGAGTTGGTCAAGGCTGGGTACAGCGGCTCGTGCCAGTAATCCCAGCACTTTGGGAGGTCAAAGCAAGTAGATCATCTGAGCTTGGGACATGGCGAAACCTCGTCTCCACCAAAAATACAAAAATTAGTTGGGCATGGCGGTGCACATTTAAAGTCCCAGCAGCTTCACAGGAGGCTGAGGTGGAAGGATCACTTGAGCCTGTGAGGCAGAGGTTGCAGTGAGCCAAGATCACGCCATTGCACTGCAATCTGGGTGACAGAGTGAGACCCCGTCTCAAAATAATAATAATAATAATAATAATAATAATAATAATAATAATAGGCCGGCAGTGGTGGCTCACGCCTGTAATCCCAGAACTTTGGGAGGCCGAGGTGGGCAGATCACAAGGTGAGGAGTTCAAGACCAGCCTGACCAACATGGTGAAACCCTGTCTCTACTAAAAATACAAAATTAGGCAGGCGCGGTGGTGCTTGCCTGTAATCCCAGCTACTCAGGAGGCTGAGGCAGGAGAATCGCTTGGACCTGGGAGGCGGAGGTTCCAGCGAGCTGAGATTGCACCATTGCACTCCAGCCTAGGTGACAGAGCAAGACTCCATCTCAATAATAAATAAATAAATAAATAAGAAGAATAGTTGGTCAGGATAAGGGGTGGTATAAGGTTTTTCAGGCAGAGAGAACAGCATCTGCAAAGTCCTAGAGATAAGAAATCACTTGACATGTTTGGGAGACACCTTGAAGCCAGTGTTGATAGAGAAAAAAAAAAAGAATTTTGGGGTGAAAAGAGTTTGAAGTTTGAGGGTGGGAACTCTCAGAGATGCGGCTTCAGAGGAAGGCAAAGCCAGAACAAAAACAGACTCTAGGGGCCTGGCACAGTGATTCACACCTGTAATCCCACTATGTTGGGAGGTTGAGGTGGGAGGATCACTTGAACTCAGGAGTTCAAGACCAGCCTGGGAAAAGTAGTGAGACCCTATCTCTACTTAAAAAAAAAAAGAGGCTGGGCGTGGTGGCTCATGCCTGTAATCCCAGCACTTTGGAAGGCCGAGGCAGGCGGATCACAAGGTCAGGAGATCAAGACCATCCTGGCTAACACGGTGAAACCCCGTCTCTACTAAAAAAAATACAAAAAATTAGCTGGGTGTGGTGGCAGGTGCCTGTAGTCCCAGTTACTTGTGAGGCTGAGGCAGGAGAATGGCGTGAACCTGGGAGGTGGAGCTTGCAGTGAGCCAAGATCGCACCACTACACTCCAGCCTGGGCGACAGAGCGAGACTCTGTCTCAAAAATAAATAAATAAATACATACATACATACATAAAAATTTAAAAAAAAGAAAAGAAGAAAGAGAAAGAAAAGAAAGAAAGAAAGAGAAAGAAAAGAAAGAAAGAAAGAAAGAAAGAAAGAAAGAAAGAAAGAAAGAAAGAAAGAAAGAAAGAGAGAGAAAGAAAGAGGCGGGCCAGGCCAGGCGCGGTGGCTCACGCTTGTAATCCCAGCCCTTTGGGAGGCTGAGGCGGGCGGATCACCTGAGGTCATGAGTTCGAGACCACCCTGGTCAACATGGTGAAACCCTGTCTCTACTAAAAATACAAAAAATTAGCCGGGCATGGTCGTGGGCGCCTGTAATCCCAGCTACTCGGGAGGCTGAGGCAGGAGAATTGCTTGAACCCGGGAGGCGGAGGTTGCAGTGAGCTGAGACCACACCATTGCACTCCAGCCTGGGCAACAAGAGCAAAACTCTGTCTCAAGAAACAAAAACAAAAACAAACAAAAAACCACACATTAAAAAAAAAAAAAAAAGAAAGAGGAGGGCATGGTGGCTCATGCCTGTAATCCCAACACTTTGGGAGGCTGAGGCAGGTGGATCACTGAGGCTGAGGTCAGGAGTTCTAGACCAGTCTGGCCAACATGGTGAAACCCCATCTCTACTAAAAATACAAAAATTAGCTGGACATGGTGGTGAACACCTGCAATCCCAGCTACTCAGGAGGCTGAGGCAGGAGAATTGCTTGAACCCGGGAGGCGGAGGTTGCAGTGAGCCGAGACCATACCATTGCACTCCAGCCTGGGCAACAAGAGCAAGACTCTGTCTCAAAAAACAAAAACAAAAACAAACAAAAAAACCACACATTAAAAAAAAAAAAAAAGAAAGAGGGCATGGTGGCTCATGCCTGTAATCCCAACACTTTGGGAGGCTGAGGCAGGTGGATCACTGAGGCTGAGGTCAGGAGTTCTAGACCAGTCTGGCCAACATGGTGAAACCCCATCTCTACTAAAAATACAAAAATTAGCTGGACATGGTGGTGAACACCTGCAATCCCAGCTACTCAGGAGGCTGAGGCAGGAGGATTGCTTGAACCAGGAGGCGGAGGTTGCAGTGAGCGAAGATCATGCCACTGCACTCCAGCCTGGGTGACAGAGCAAGACTCTGTCTCAAAAAACAAAACAAAAACAAAAACAAACAAAATATTAGCCAAGCATGGTGGTGCATGTCTATAATCCCAGCTACTTGGGAGGCTGAGGCAGGAGAATCACTTGAACCCAGGAAGTGGAGGTGGCAGTGAGCCAAGATCATACCACTGCACTCCAGCCTGGGAGACAGAGCAAGACTCTGTCTCAAAAAAAAAAAAAAAAAAAAAGACCAGCCTGGGAAAAATAGTGAAACCCCATCTCTACTTTAAAAAAGAAGGAAAGAAAAGGGGACTCTAGGGCCTCAACACCAAGCTGAAAGAGAGTCTGGAACCTTATCCTGGGGGGCACTGGGCAGCCAAGGGGAGGGTGCTGAGCAGGGAAGGGGTATATTCGTGTTTTTGAGACCTTGGAGGTAAAAGAAGAGAGATTCCAGCTGGGGGCTGGGGCTGGTCTGCAGAAAGGGGACTTTCTCTGCCTTCCGCTGCCAAGGTCCAGCCCAGGCCCCAGCATGTCCCCTTTCCCTCCTCCTGGGCAGGTACTTCATGAACATCACGTGGGATAACCGGGATTACTCCTTCAATGAGGACGGCTTCCTAGTGAACCCCTCCCTGGTGGTCATCTCCCTCACCAGAGACAGGACGTGGGAGGTGGTGAGTCGTAGCCCCAGACCTCAGGCATGGCAGAGGGTGTGGACTCCTGCATCCTGGCAGAGGGGGGGCTTGAGGTCGTGGACTAAGAGGGAGGAGGGGACAAGGAGCCTGGACTCCTGGGTCCTGGGATCTGAAGGTGGGAGGGGCTCCTGGGTCTTGGAAGAAGCTGCTGCCCACACACCTAGGTCTGAGGGAAGAGGATCATGGAGGCCAGGATACACCGGGAAGTCTTCCCAGGAAGCCTGACTCTCTTTCCCTTTGGCCAAGGTGGGCAGCTGGGAGCAGCAGACGCTCCGCCTCAAGTACCCGCTGTGGTCCCGCTATGGTCGCTTCCTGCAGCCAGTGGACGACACGCAGCACCTCACGGTGGCCACGCTGGAGGAAAGGCCGTTTGTCATCGTGGAGCCTGCAGACCCTATCAGCGGCACCTGCATCCGAGACTCCGTCCCCTGCCGGAGCCAGCTCAACCGAACCCACAGGTGACAGCTCGGGATCCAGGAGTTCCGGCTCCAAAACCCGCCTCCCGTGAAGCCCAGTAGTCTGGGCCCCCAGCCCCCTCCTCCCTTGGGACCCAGGACCCACAAAGCCCTCCAGCTTGGTGACCTTAGGCAAACCTCAGAATTCTTTGAGCCTGAGTTTCCCCTGAAAGCGCTAACCATAGTTTTAGCTGCCGCCTATCCCTTCCTCCATATCCTCTCTTCATGAGAGAGTCTAAGGAGGGGGTCCCCAAACTCCCCAAGCCTGGTCACTGCCCGCAGCCCTCCACCGGATGCCCCCCGCCCGGAAAAGCGCTGCTGCAAGGGTTTCTGCATCGACATTCTGAAGCGGCTGGCGCATACCATCGGCTTCAGCTACGACCTCTACCTGGTCACCAATGGCAAGCACGGAAAGAAGATCGATGGCGTCTGGAACGGCATGATCGGGGAGGTGAGGGGGCGGACGGGAGGCGGGGAATCTTCGGGGCGGAGTCGAGAGGCGGGCACAGCCGGGCGTGGTGGCTCACGCCTGTAATCCCAGCACTTTGGGAAGCCGAGGCGGGCGAATTGCCTGAGCTCAGGGGTTCGAGACCAGTTTGGGCAAAACGGTGAAACCCCGTCTCTACTAAAATGCAAAAAATTAGCCGTGCGTGGTGGCGGGCGCCTGTAATCCCAGCTACTCGGGAGGCTGAGGCAGGAGAATTGCTTGAACCCGGGAGGCGGAGGTTGCAGTAAGCGGAGATCGCGCCACTGCACTCCAGCCTGGGCACAGAGTGAGACTCAGTCTCAAAAAATAATAATAAAAAAAAAGAGGTCGGCACCCTGGGGCAGGGGCGCGGCCAAATTGAGGAAACACCTGATTGGGGCCTGGGGCGGGGTCGCGGGAGGGACATGCCTTGGAACAGGGGGCGGGGTCAGGAGGTGTCAGGGGCGGGGTTTGGAGGAGGGACTTTGGAGCAGAGGAGGCGGGGCTAGGAGGGTGGGACTCCTAGGGGAAGGGGGCAGGGCTGGGAGGAGGGACTTTGGGGCAGTGGAGGCGGGGCTAGGAGGGTGGGACTCCTAGGGGAAGGGGGCGGGGCTGGGAGGAGGGACTTTGGTACAGAGGAGGAGGGGCCAGGAGGGTGAGAATCTAGGGGAAGAGGGTGGGGCTGGGAAGATCTGGACCAAGGCCTTGAGGTCTTGCTGGGAGCAGCCGGGTAGGACGCGGGCTACCAATTCCCAATCTTGTTCCCCATTTCTCACCTCCGCCCTTCCCTGCCCCACTCTTCGTCCCCCTCCTCACCCACCTCGCAATCCCTCTTGGCCCCTTCCCTCACCCTGTCACTGGTCTGCTCCCGGGGCCCGTCTCTGCTCGCCGTCCGTGTCAGTCTGTCCGCTTGAGCCGGGTTCCCCCGCCCACTCCTCATCGCCCCCACCCCAGGTGTTCTACCAGCGCGCAGACATGGCCATCGGCTCCCTCACCATCAACGAGGAGCGCTCCGAGATCGTGGACTTCTCCGTCCCCTTCGTGGAGACCGGCATCAGCGTCATGGTGGCGCGCAGCAATGGCACGGTGTCCCCCTCGGCCTTCCTCGGTAATCTGGGGCCCTGGGACAGGGAGCTAGCCCTAGGCAAAGTAGCCGTCCCCAACCGTGTGGGCCCTGGGATCAGAAAACCTGGGTTCCCGGTATCATCGGTACTTGAACCCGCTGTGCAACTTCGGTGAAGTGACATCATTTCTGAACCTCAGTTTCCTAATCTACAAGATGGAAGAAATAATTTCCCTACCCAGAAGACATTTCATCAAGAGGCTAAAGAAGCTTGAGCTCAGGAGCCTTCTCTTGCACTGCAGCTTCCAAGCCCTGCACCTGGTTTTGTATTCATAAGGTTGAATTATTTTTTCTCAAAGAGAGCCCTCCAAATTGTGCAAGCTTCAGGCCCCACAAAACCCAAGTGTTTTCCTGTACTAGGTATGAGATGAAGAGAACAAATTAGCATGGTACCAATACCTTGTAAGCACTTAAGTCACCATCAGTGTTTACTGAGCATCTACTATGTGCCAGGTGGTGGGCTCCACACTGGGAACACAGTGGCAAATGAGGAAGACACAAATCCCTGTCCAGTAGGATCTCTCAGCCTTGTGAAGGAGGCAGAAGATAAGCTTCTACTTCTCTCTCTCTCTCTCTTTTTTTTTTTTTCAGACAGAGTCTCACTCTGTCGCCCAGGCTGGAATGCAGTGGCACCATCTCGGCTCACTGCAACCTCAACCTGCCTCTCAGGTTTAAGCGATTCTCCTGCCTCAGCCTGCCAAGTAACTGGGATCACAGGCATGCACCACCACGCCTGGCCAATTTTTGTATTTTTAGTAGAGACGGGGTTTCACCATGGTGGCCAGCCTAATCTCAAACTCCTGACCTCAGGTGATCTGCCCACCTCAGCCTCCCAAAATGCTGGAATTACAGGCGTGAGCCACTGCACCCGGACAAGGGTTTTAACTACAGAAGATGGTGTGGGGATATATAATCAGATTTAAGTTTTTAAAATATCCAGCTCTGTGTAATCCCAGCTACTCCGGAGGCTGAGGTGTAAGGATGGCTTGAACCCAGGAGGCAGAGGTTGCAGTGAGCCAAGATGGCACCACCGCACTCCAGCCTGGATGACAGAGCCAGACCCTATCTCTAAAAAAGAACAAAGAAAAAAATCCCACTCTGTGGAAGCAAGTGGCTGGTGGGGATGCTACTGCAAGGTTTATGCCAGAGACAGAGTGGGGGTGTGCAATAGGAAGGTGACAGCAGACAGATGCAGGGTGTGGTTAGAGAGCTGCCCACCAGATGGGCTGGTGGCTTTGAGATGGATTGGGTAGAGGGACCATTGCTGAGCTGGAGAAGCGTACATCGGCCAAGGGCAACAGTGCTTGTCAGTTCCCACTTGCTCTCTGAAGTGTGAGCAAAGCTCCTGGGAGAGGGGAGGGGCTGGAAGAAGAGCCATCCCTTCCTTTGTGTTTTGTTTTCTGTTTATTTCGCCCAGTGGTGTCTCCTGTGGCCTCCCCTTTGCACCAAGGTCTCTGCAGGGCACACTGAGAAGCACCACGTGGGGCCCCTGCTTGCAGGCAGCACACTGCAGAGGAGTGACAAGGTCCTATTTATGCCCCACCAAGTTGCCCAGCAGAGGTGACAGGCGTGTCCCCAGCTGCCGCAGTGACAGTCCAGGGTGCTGACCTTGCTGTGACGGGGGCAGTCCTGACAGCTCACACTTGGCCCTGGAAAGTTGAATCACCTGGTCCTAATCTCAATGAAATGGTGATTTGGGTTTATTGTTGGTGAGCTCCCAGGGGCTAAACACAGTTATCGAATGTGAGGAGGGGACACATGAATGGGAGGTTGTCTAATGGACAGGGCAGGGTGTTAACTCTAGCAGGGACACCTAGGAGACAAGGAAGAGAGGGTGTCGCTGATTCAGGCACCTGCGAGTTCTTTTTTTTTTTTTTTTTTGAGACAGAGTCTTGCTCTGTCACCCAGGCTGGAGTGCAGTGGCACGATCTCAGCTCACTGCAACCTCCACCTCCTGGGTTCAAGCAATTCTCCTGCCTCAGCCTACTGAGTAGTTGGGACTACAGGCGCCCACCACGACACCCAGCTAATTTTGTATTTTTAGTAGAGATGGGGTTTCACCATGTTGGCCAGGCTGGTCTTGAACTCCTGACCTTAGGTGATCCTCCCACCTCGGCCTCCCAAAGTACTGGGATTACAGGCGTGAACCACCACACCCAGCCACCTGTGAGTTTTGAGTAAAGCATGGGTGCTTGAGAGAGTGATCAGGACAGAAAGGAGAGTGTGACAAGGCTGAGTGGCAGGGACTTTGTCCTGGGGGTGCTAGGGAGCCTGGGGAGGGCTGTAAGCAGGGGAGGGGCCAGGTCCTCTCTGTGCTGTGTGGGGGATAGGCTGTAGGGGACAGACAGGAGCTCAGGAGGCTGGGGAAATGGTTGGTGGGAGGAGATGAGGCCTGAGCCCTGTTGGCCATGAGAATGGAGAGGAGAGGCCCAAGTAGCATCAGGGGCAGGAGCGTGGGGCTGGATACTGACAGGCTGTGGCCAGCGAGGGAGAAGGAGGGAGGAAGGGAGGACGGCAAATGAGGTTTGGGCCTGTGACTGGGTGGATGGTGGGGCTCCCATCATGAGGAGCGTGGGAGCTGGTCTGGGCTCAGCATGGGACATGATGAATGGCCTGAGGAGATGGCTGGGGTAGGTGGAGGCTTGGGCCTGTGACTCAGGAAACATTTAGGAGACAGTTTCTATTTGGTGGCTGAAACCACAGAAATGCCTGCGACGGCTCTCTTTGAGAATGGCTGCCTCCTAGGGGTATGGGTGTGCCATAAGACTATCTTGGAGATGGAGAAGCAGAGATAGGGCCAGAATAGGATGGGGTCAGATCTGGGCTGCACCTTGTTCCCTGCTGGTAGTACCCTAGGGTTTTTTTTCTTTCTTTTTTCTTCCTTTTTTTTTTTTGTAGAGACAGGGAGTTCAAGGCCAGTCTGGTCTTGAACTCCAGGCGTCAAGTGATCCTCCTGCCTCAGCCTCCCAAAGTTCTGGGAGTACAGGCGTGAGGCACCGCCCCAGCCTGATCCCCGAGTCTTTTGCTTGGCTGAGCCATAACCACGCACTCCCTTGTCCCCAGAGCCCTACAGCCCCGCCGTGTGGGTGATGATGTTCGTCATGTGCCTCACTGTGGTCGCCGTCACTGTTTTCATCTTCGAGTACCTCAGTCCTGTTGGTTACAACCGCAGCCTGGCCACGGGCAAGCGTGAGTCCCCCTTCCTCCATCCCCCGCCTCGGAGATCCCGAACCACAGAGACAGAGAACTACATTTCCCAGCAGCCCCTGGAGGGGGGGCGGTCAAGCTAGGGCCTCTCGGGAGGTGCCAGATGCCTTGAGGGCCACTGGGAATTGTAGTTCTTTCTTTTTTTTTTTTTCCCTTCCTTATTGAGAAGGGATTTGGGGTCCATGTCCACGTCCTGGCCCCCTGCAGGCCCTGGCGGTTCAACCTTCACCATTGGGAAATCCATCTGGCTGCTCTGGGCCCTGGTGTTCAATAATTCGGTGCCCGTGGAGAACCCCCGGGGAACCACCAGCAAAATCATGGTGCTGGTGTGGGCCTTCTTCGCCGTCATCTTCCTCGCCAGCTACACAGCCAACCTGGCCGCCTTCATGATCCAGGAGGAGTACGTGGATACTGTGTCTGGGCTCAGTGACCGCAAGGTGTGTGTGGGCCCAGGGCTGGGCTGGAGCTGGGGCTGGGGCTGGAGGTCACAGAGCTTGTCATGTGGTAGATTAGAGGGGATTCTTGCGGGGGGCGGGGGTGAGAGGGGTGGGGGGAGGGCGGGAAGGGGTCTCTTCCCAAGGAGAATTCCAGAATGGTAGAATGGAATGTTGTGGATGAAGAAAGAACACGGTTCACGATGAGCTATTTAAAATATTCCTAGGGAAGAGGGTGTCCCTGAATGTTCTAGGGGCAGTTGTGTCAAATAGGATATTCTAGAACCAGTGCTTCTCTCAAACTGTGAGGAAGGATTAATTTTTGAAACTTCTAAGGCTGGGCGCGGTGGCTCACACCTGTAATCCCAGCACGTTGGGAGGCCGAGGCGGGCGGATCACGAGGTCAGGAGATCGAGACCATCCTGGCTAACACGGTGAAACCCCGTCTCTTCTAAAAGTACATAAAATTAGCCGGGCGTGGTGACAGGCACCTGTAGTCCCAGCTACCCGGGAGGCTGAGGCAGGAGAATGGCGTGAACCCAGGAGGCAGAGCTTGCAGTGAGCCGAGATCGCCCCACTGCACTCCAGCCAGCGCGACAGAGTTAGACTCTGTCTCAAAAAAACAAAAAACTGCTAGTCCATTGCAGACAATGCTTTTGTAAAATTCAACGGAAATGAATTATTAGAAAAGTAAAATAAGATCTAAAACCAAGACAGACAAAAGTCAAACCTGGCCAGGAACGGTGGCTCACGCCTGTAATCCCAGCACTTTGGGAGGCCGAGGTGGGTGGATCACCTGAGGTCAGGAGTTCGAGACCAGCCTGGCCAACATAGTGAAACCTCGTCTCTAATAAAAATACAAAAATTAGCCAGGCGTGGTAGTGGGTGCCTGTAGTCCCAGCTACTTGGGAGGCTGAGGCAGGAGAATCGCTTGAACCCGGGAGGCGGAGGTTACAGTGAGCCATGATTACGCCACAAATAGAACTGATTCCTAGCCTGGGTGACAGAGCGAGACTCTGCCTAAAAAAAAGCCAAACTCACATTTTTATTTATTAGATTCAACAGACGAAAAAGAATTCTGTCAAATCACTCTAAATGCTCACTCTCTCCATTCCTGTACACATCTCACTGCAATCACCGTTTGTTGAGGGACTGGTGGTTTGCAGAGCATACTTTGAGACTAAAGTGATTAACTAGCTGGGTGTCATGACCTATTAGAGGCTTGAGAAATCAGTTTGATGGGTTGCAATAAGCATTTTTTAATGGAATGGAGTAGAATAGAATAGTTGCCTGCATCTTATGTATAAGTTTGGTTTTACAAAACTTGTTTTAGTTGTCTGGGCGCGGTGGCTTATGCCTGTAATCCCAGCACTTTGGGAGGCCAAGGCGGGCGGATCACCTGAGGTTGGTAGTTCGAGACCAGCCTGACCAACATGGAGAAACCCCATCTCTACTAAAAATACAAAACTGGCTGGGCATGGTGGTATGTGCCTGTAATCCCAGCTACTCGGGAGGCTGAGGCAGGAGAATCAGTTGAACCTGGGAGGCGGAGGTTGCAGTGAGCTGACAGTGTGCCATTGCACTCCAGCCTGGGCAACAAGAGCAAGACTCCGTTTAAAAAAAAAAAAGTGAACTATTTCTGAACGGATTGGTAAATAGCAACAGCTCCCAGCTCCTGCCATGCCAGCCTCTACTCCCAGGACCTCCCGCGATTCAGTAAGTGAAGACTTAACACCTGGCACATCAGGGGCCTCAGGGAGGCTTCTCGTGAACTTTTGGATCACGTGTCTGCAACCGTGTGTGCTGGGTGGGAGTGGAAAAGCATTCCCTAATGTAGTGAGCGAGTGTTGAGAAATATTGAACACTCCTGGGACTGGGGTGTCTGCCAGATAGCGGGTGTGTCTCAGAATGGGTGATTTATGTTAGGGATGTCCCTGCGGAGGGTGCCCTAATCACTCCCCATTCTGCCCCAGTTCCAGAGGCCCCAGGAGCAGTACCCGCCCCTGAAGTTTGGGACCGTGCCCAACGGCTCCACGGAGAAGAACATCCGCAGCAACTATCCCGACATGCACAGCTACATGGTGCGCTACAACCAGCCCCGCGTAGAGGAAGCGCTCACTCAGCTCAAGGCAGGGTCAGCGCAGACTCGGGCCGGGGGTGGGGGTTGGGCCGCTGGGGACCTGAGGATGCTCAAAGATGGCAAGGGGTCCAGGTTCATTCATTCAGTCCCAGAGGTCAGCCCTGGGTGGGTCAGCTTGGAGGGCGGAGGTCACTGAGGGTGGAAGTGGACTCCTCCTCCCAGGAGCAGGCTCCTTGGGATATTTTCTGGGATGCAGTATTTCTGGATTCTGGGGTGAGACTGATGGGGCTCAAATCTTTGCTCTTCCCCTTCTTGGCTTTGTGACCTTGGGCAAGTTACTCAGCCTCTCTGAACCTCTGTTTCCTCCTCTGTAAAATGAGGATAACAAGAGTATCCCCACTGTAATGATCATAAGGTTGTTACAAGAATTATACTAGTAAGCCGGGCACGGTGGCTCATGCCTGTAATCCCAGCACTTTCAGAGGCCAAGGCAGGCGGATCACAAGGTCAGGAGATCGAGACCATCCTGGCCAACATGGTGAAACCTGGTCTCTACAAAAAATACAAAAATTAGCTGGGCGTGGTGGCACGCGCCTGTAGTCCCAGATACTTGGGAGGCTGAGGCAGGAGAATCGCTTGAACCTGGGAGTCGGAGGTTGCAGTGAGCCGAGATCATGCCACTGCACTCCAGCCTGGCGACAGAGCGAGACTCCGTCTCAAAAAAAAAAAAAAGAATTAAACTAGTTAGTCCACTCAGAACATTTATTTATTTATTTAGAACAGTGCCCGGTGCACTATAGGTGTTTGCTGATATTATCATTATCATTAGACCTGAACTCACTGGAATCAATGCTTAGATTGTGTTTCTTATCTTTTTACATCCCTTTCCCAAATCATAGGGATGAAGTTAAATTCAGAGGCCAGGCGCAGTAGCTCACGCCTATAATCCCAGCACTTTGTGAGGCGGAGACGGGCAGATCACTTCAGGTCAGGAGTTGGAGACCACCTGGCCAACATAGTGAAACCCCATCTCTACTTAAAATACAAAAATTAGGCTGGGTGCGGCAACAGGCTCTTGGGAGGCCGAGACGGGCAGATCATTTGAGGTCAGGAGTTTGAGAACAGCCTGGCCAACATGATGAAACCTTGTCTCTACTTAAAATACAAAAATTAGCCGGGCGTGGTGGCGGGCGCCTGTAATCTCAGCTGCTTGGGAGGCTGAGGCAGGAGGATCGCTTGAATGCAGGAGGCGGAGGTTGCAGTGAGCCGAGACTGTGCCATTGCACTCCAGCCTGGGCAACAGAGACAGACTCCGTCTCAAAAAGAAAACAATACAAAAAAAGTTGAGTTCAGGCCCCAAAGTGCAGCCCACGAATACAACAAGGCTGAGCACAGTAACTCTCTCCCCGTCCTGCATTTACTCAGTCCTTCCGTGTGCATTTTTCTTATCCTCTGCTGTACGCTAAGCGGTGAACAAATAGACCCGATTCCTAGGTCTAGAGGTGGGAAATGAACAATAAACATGCAAACAGAAAAATCAAGATCTCTTCAGAAAGTGATGGTGAGCTAGAGGGCGGCAGGGCTGGGATATTTTCACCAGGGTGTTCAGGGTGGGCTTCTCGGAGGAGGTGACATTTGTGCAGAGCCCTGCAGGAGGTGAAAGAGCTAGCCAGGTGGACTTCCGGAAGCAGAGCCTTCAGACGGAGGGAACAGAGTGTGCAAAGGGCCTGAGGAAGGTGCAGTGTTGGTTTACTGGAGGAACAGCAAGAAGGCCAGTGTGGTTGAAGGGCAAGGAGCTGAGGTGAGAGAGTAGATGAGGGGAGGATTCTGGGCATGAGGCCAAGGTCAGGGCTGGACTTTATGCTAAAGGCGGTGAGAAGCCTTGAGGTGTGGAGATTTTACGTAAGGAAGGGTATGATCTGATTTCTGTTTTTGTTTGTTTTGAGACAGGATCTCACTCTGTTGCCCAGGCTGGAGTGCAGTAGTTCGATCTCAGCTCACTGCAACCTCCGCCTTCCCTGGGTTCAAGCAATTCTCCCACCTCAGCCTCCTGAGTAGCTGGGATTACAGGCGTGCACTACTATGCCTGGCTAATTTTTGTATTTTTGGTAGAGATGAGGTTTCACCATGTTGGTCAGGCTGGTCTTGAACTCCTGACATGAGGTGATCTGCCTGCCTCAGCCTCCCAAAGTGCTGGGATTAGAGGCGTGAGCCACCATGCCTGGCTTAAAAAAATTTCTAATGCCCAATGCAGTGGCTCACACCTGTAATCCTAAAGCTTTGTGAGGCCAAGGTGAGAGGATCACTTAAGACCAGGAGTTCAAGACCAGCCTGTGAAACATAGTGAGACCCCCTTGACTCACAAAAAAAAAAATTTTTTTTTTTTTTTTTTTTTTTGAGACAGAGTCTCGCTCTGTTGCCCAGGCTGGAGTGCAGTGGCACAATCTCGGCTCACTGCAAGCGCCGCCTCCCGGGTTCACGCCATTCTCCTGCCTCAGCCTCCCGAGTAGCTGGGACTACAGGCGCCCACCACCACGCCCAGCTAATTTTTTGTATTTTTAATAGAGACGGGGTTTCACCGTGTTAGCCAGGATGGTCTCGATCTCCTGACCTCGTGATCCACCCGCCTCAGCCTCCCAAAGTGCTGGGATTACAGGCGTGAGCCACCGCGCCTGGCTGGAAATTACTTTTAATAATATATTTTACCTAACTATGTCCAAAATATTATTTTGACACGTAATCAGTATAAACATGGGTGAGACCGTTTACATAATTTTTTTCCCCACACGCTGTCTTTGATATCTGTGGCATTTTACACTCACAGCACATCTAGGTTCAGAGTGACCACATTTCAAGTGATCCACAGCCCTAGTGGCGTGTCACTGCTGCACTGGACCGCCCAGGTCGACATCACCCAAATGCAAAAAGTTTCCTAGTCAACATAATGAACAGAAAATATAAAAGGGCGCTGGCCGCCCCCCAGGACCCTGGGACTTTTTCACTTCCTTACTCACCCAGAGCATTCTCCCCAGCCAGCCTGCTGACTCATCTCTCCCCCTTCCCCCTTCTTCCGTTTTCTTCTCGCCAGCCCTTCCCTCCAGGAAGGACCCTGAGAATTCCAGATTCTCTCTTCTCTCTCTCTCTCTCTCTCTCACACAAAACAGGGTGCCTTTCCAGGCTGCCACCTCCCACCTCTGCTTCACTTGCGCCTTCCTCAGAAGGCAGGGATGGCTGCAAACAGAATCACTTTCCTCTTTTACCCCTTCAGGGATACCTCACACTGCCAGCCTGCTCAGTCCTTGCAGTGGGAGAGCAAGAATTCAGAGACTCTCAGTGGGCGGGCGGGGGGGATCCCATTTTCTTTTTTTGAGATGGAGTCTCGCTCTGTTGCCCAGGCTGGAGTGCAGTGCTGCAATCTCGGCTCACTGCAACCTCCGCTTCCCGGGTTCAAGCGATTCTCCTGCCTCAGCCTCCCGAGTATTTGGGATTACAGGCATATACCACCATCCCCGGCTAATTTTTCTATTTTTAGTAGACATGTGATTTCACTATGTTGGTCAGGCTGGTCTTGAACTCCTAACCTTAAGTGATTCACCTGCTTCGGCCTCCCAAAGTGCTGGGATTACAGGCGTGAGCCACCGTATCCAGCGGATGGCACTTTCCAAATCTACTTGGTTCCCAAGTTTTGGATAGCAAGTGGTGAGAATGTGACTAGCAAGACAGACCAGCCCCATCTCTCAAAATGAACCTAAATCTGTCCCCGCCTTGAGTTCAGAGAAAGCAGGATACCTGTATTTTTTTTCCCATACAAATGTCAGCCACATCACCAGCCTTTAATAAGTAAAAATAGCTGAGGCCTCATCCCGTGTCTTTTTATAGATATTTTTCATCTTTTTTTTATTGAGATATATACATAGATACAGTGAGGTACAGTGAGGTACAAAAAGCGTGCAACTCATTATTTATACATTCATAGACATCCATGTGACCAGGTCCAGATTAAGGTATGGTGAATTTCCCGGCTTCTCATAAAGCTTCCCCTGCCCCTCCAGTCACCATAGAATATCATATAATTAGTTTTGCCTGATTTTGAACGTCCTCTAAACAGAATCAAACAGTGCATATAATACCTTCCTGTCTGGCTTATTTTCCTCAGTGTTATCACCAGATTGTTCCTTCATTGCTGAATACCGTTGAGTATACCATTATATAAATATACCATAATTCTTTCATTCTACTGCTGGTGGACATTCAGGTTATTGCCAGTGTTTGGCCATTATGAATATTGCTTTTTTTCTTTTCTCTTCTTTCTTTTTCTTTCTTTCTTTCTTTCTTTTTTTTTTTTTTTTTCTGAAACAGAGTCTCTCTCTATTGCCCAGGCTGGAGTGCAGTTGCGCGATCTCGGCTCACTGCAATCTCCGTCTCCTGGGTTTGAGCGGTTCTCCTGCCTCAGCCTCCCAAGTTGCTGGAATTACAGGCGCCTGCCACCACGCCCAGCTAATTTTTGTATGTTTAGTAGAGATGGGGTTTCACCATCTTGGCCAGACTGGCCTCAAACTCCTGACCTCAGGTGATCCAACCGCCTTGGCCTCCAAAAGAGCTGGGATTACAGGCATAAGCCATCATGCCTAGCTGAATATTCTCTTTTTTAAACATGTGTAATTGCCTCTTTTTTTTTTATTTTTTATTTTTATTTATTTATTTATTTTTTCAGACAGAGTTTTCCTCTGTTGCCCAGACTGGAGTCCAGTGGTGCAATCTCTGCTCACTGCAACCTCCACCTCCCAGGTTCAGGCGATTCTCCTGCCTCAGTCTCCTGAGCAGGTGGGATTACAGGCACACACCACCATGCCCGGCTAATTTTTGTATTTTTAGTAAAGACGGGGTCTCACCATGTTGGCCAGGCTGGTCTCAAATTCCTGACCTCAAGTGATCTGCCCACCTCGGACTCCCAAAGTGCTGGGATTACAGGCGTGAGCCACCACACCTTGGCCCATTATGAATATTCTACTATGAACATTCTTGTACAAGTGTTTGGGGGACATACACATTCCTTTTCCTTGGTTGTATTCCCATAGGTGGAACTACCCGGTCATAGGGAGAGTATGCTTAGCTATAACAGATACTGTCAGACATCTTCCAAAACAGTTAGGCACAGTGGCTCATGCCTGTAATCCCAGCACTTTGGGAGGCTGAGGCAGGCAGGTCACTTGAAGTCAGGAGTTCGAGACCAGCCTGGCCAACATGGCGAAACCCTGTCTCTACAAAAAAATACAAAAATTAGCCAGGTGTGCTGGCAGGCACCTGTAATCCCAGCTACTCAGGAGGCTGAGGTAGGAGAACTGCATGAGCCCTGGAGGCAGAGGTTGCAGTGAGCCAAGACCACACCACTGCACTCCAGCCTGGCTGACAGAGTGAGACTCCCTCTCAAAACAACAAAACAAAACAAAACAACAACAACAAAAATCCAAAGTGGTTGTACCAATTTACACTCTCATCAGCAATGCAAGAGAGTTCTACTTGTTCCATATCCTTCTTGCCTCCTTGCCAGGGCTTGGGATCATTCCTATATCTTCTTTTCTTTTTTTTTTTTTTTTTTTTTTTTTGAGACAGAGTCTCACTCTGTTGTCCAGGCTGGAGTGCAGTGGCGCGATCTCGGCTCACTACAACCTCCGCCTCCTGGGTTCAAGCAATTCTCTGCCTCAGCCTCCTGAGTAGCTGGGATTACAGGCATCTGCCACTATGCCCGGGTAATTTTTGTATTTTTAGTAGAGATGGGGTTTCACCATCTTGGCCAGGTTGATCCACCTTGAACTCTTGACCTTGTGATCCGCCCGTCTCGGCCTCCCAAAGTGCTGGGATTACAGGCGTGAGCCACCCTCCTTGGTCTACTCCTGTATCTTTTTAATTTACTTTGATGTTTATTATATATCAAGTCCTGTTCTAACTAATTTAAGTTCACAATTAGTTTGCAAAAAATTAATCAAATCAATGTTTTGATTCATAGTCCTGGAGGCTAGGCATCCTCTTGGCTCCTTCAGAGGGCTGTGAGGGAAGGATCTGTCCAGGCCTGCCTCTCCTTGGCTGTTGACTCTTGATCCCTGTATCTCTTCCCATCATCTTCCCTCTGTTTGTGTCTCTGTGGCCAAGTTCTTTTTTTTTTTTTTTTTTGAGATGGAGTGTTGCCCAGGCTGGAGTGCAGTGACATGATCTCGGCTCACTGCAACCTCTGCCCTCTGGGTTCAAGTGATTCTCCTGCCTCAGCCTCCTTAGTAGCTGGTATTATAGGCATCCGCCACCACGCCTGGCTAATTTTTGTATTTTTAGCAGAGATGGGTTTTTGCCATGTTGGCCAGGCTGGTCTCGAACTCCTGACCTCAGGTGATATACCCACCTCAGCTTCCCAAAGTGCTGGGATTACAGGTGTGAACCACCGAACCCAGTCAAGCTCCCCCCTCCCCCTCCCCGCTTTTTTTTTTTTTAATTGAGACGGACTTTCACTCTTGTTGCCCCGGCTGGAGTGCAGTGGCACAATCTCGGCTCACTGCAACCTCCACCTCCCGGGTTCCAGTGATTCTCTTGCCTCAGCCTCCCTCCTGTAGCTGAGATTACAGGCGTGTGCCACCAAGCCCCGCTAATTTTTGTATTTTTAGTAGAGACGGAGTTTCACCATATTGCTCAGGCTGGTCTCAAACTCCCATCCTCAGGTGATCCGCCTGCCACGGCCTCCCAAAGTGCTTGGATTACAGGCGTGAGCCACTGCGCCCGGCCCAAGTTCCCCTTTTTATAAGGACACTAGTCATACTGGATTAGAGCCCACCTTAATGATCTCATTTTAACTGGATTCCCTCTGCAGAGGCCCTATATACAAATAAGGTCGCATTCTGAAGTACTAGGGGCTAGGACTTCAATATGTGAATTTGGTGAGGGAACACAACTAAACCCTTAAGACCTCATAAAAAATCTTAGGTGGGTATGATTGGAAACATGAGGAGCAGCAAGCTTCTTGCATCTGCTAAGTGGCAGAACTAGGACTGGAACCCTGGCAGCCCAGTTCTACAGCCCAGGTTCTCACCACTAGGCTATATTGCCTCACATGTGCACTGAGTAACCCAGAATCACTCCTTTTGTCCCCCTCCCTAGAAGCTTCATGATTCACAAAGGACACCCCTGTGTTTCTCATTGTCATCTCTTGCTCTAATTTCCTGCTTCTGCTGAATTCTTTTTCTCCAGTATCCCTTGTTACTTTTTCTTTTTTTTCTAATTTTTAGTTCTATATTTATCAGAGTTCTCCATCCACATAGTTTGGAGAGTCAGATACAAGAATTTCAGTTTAGTTTAGTTTGGTTTGGGAGTCAAGGTCGCACTCTGTCACCCAGGCTGGAGTGCAGTGGCATAGTCACAGCTCATTGCAGCCTCAAGCTCCTGGGCTCAAGTGATCCTCCCGCCTTAGCCTCCCAAGCAGCTGGGACTACAGGTGTGCACCCCCACATCTGATTAATTTTATTTTATTTATTTATTTTTTTGAGATGGAGTCTTGCTTTGTCACCCAGGCTGGAGTGCAGTGGCGTGATCTTGGCTCACTGCAACCTCTGCCTCCTGGGTTCAAGTGATTCTCCTGCCTCAGCCTCCTGAGTAGCTGGGATTACAGAAGCCTGCCACCACGCCCAGCTAACTTTTGTATTTTCAATAGAGACAGGGTTTCGCCACGTTGGCCAGGCTGGTCTCGAACTCCTGACCTAGGTAATCTGCCCACCTCGGCCTCCCAAAGTGCTGGGATTACAGGCATGAGCCACCGGGCCCGGCCTAATTTTAATTTTTTAATGTGTGTGTGTGTGTGTGTGTGTGTAGAGATGGGGTTCTCACTATGTTGCTTAGGCTGGTCTTGAATTCCCAGGCTCAAGTGATCCTCCTGCCTCAGCCTCCCAAAGCACCAGGATTACGGGCACGAGCCACCGTGCCTGGAAAGAATTTTATCTTTAAGGAAAAAAATGGCACCCTCCATTTCTCTCAGCCCAGAGGAATCTACTTTCACCTTGTTTATTGTATCACTTTGTGATTTATCTCCCTATCTCTAAATACCATGTTTGCATGACTACCTCTTGATTTTTCAATTTTAGGCATTTTTCCATCCGCTTCTCACTATGGAAGACATACTCATACTCTTATTTAAATCAATTCAGCCTCCCACATTGTGACTCTGACAGATGAATATTCAGTGTTTACATGTTATGACTATGTAAATGCTCTCACAGCTGCCACAGTAGTAAACCGTGATTACTTTCCTCTCCTACACAATTCTTTGTTTTTCTTTCTTTTTTTTCTTGAGACAGGGTCTCACTATGTTGCCCAGGCTGGAGTGCAGTGGCGTGATCTTGGCTCACTGCAATCTGTGCCTCCCAGGTTCAAGTGATTCTCCTGCCTCAGCCTCCCGATTAGCTGGACTACAGGCGTGCGCCACTGCGCCTGGCTAATTTTGGTAATTTTAGTAGAGGTGGGGTTTCACCATGTTGGCCAGGCTGGTCTCAAACTCCTGACCTCAAGTGATTGGCCTGCCTCAGCCTCCCAAAGTGCTACGATTACAGGCGGGAGCCATAGCTCCCAGCTGATAGGGGGTTTCACCATGTTGGCCAGGCTGGTCTCAAACTCCTGAGCTCAAGGGATCTGCCCACCTCAGCCTCCCAAAGTGTTGGGATTACAGGTGTGAGCCACCATGCCTGGTCTATTTTTCTTGAGGTTAGTAACTGTCTTTTTTCTTTTTCTTTCCTTTTTCAGTTGCTTCATGGCTGTGTTTTCTTTGTGGTTAACTAATTCAAACCCAAATTATCTGTTTACTGTCTAAATCTCTTCTTGGTATGTTCAGAAGTATATTAATATACTTAATATGTTAGAAGTATCAGATACTCTGTTAATTTCTTTTTTCTTTTTTCTTTTTTTTTTTTTTTTGAGACAGGGTCTCTCTCTGTCACTCAGGCTGGAGCACAGTGGCACGATCTTGGCTCACTGCAGCCTCTGCCTCCTGGGTTCAAGCGATTCTCATGCCTCAGCCTCCCAAATAGCTGGGATTACAGTCGTGCACCACCACGCCCAGCTAATTTTTGTATTTTTTGTAAAGTGGGGTTTCGCCATATTGAAGAGCTTGGTCTCAAATTCCTGGCCTCAAGTAATCTGTTCACCTCGGCCTCCCAAGTGCTGGGATTACAGGTGTGAGCCACTGTGCCTGGCCTTGTCAATTTCATCTTATTGAAGAAGTTGCTCTTATGGCCTTCTGGCCTGCTCCAGCCTGGGCATAGCCGCCATCTTGGGATCACCTTTCACCTTCATCCCTTCATCTCTGGTTTGGATCCTGTTGTAGCACAAATTCTAACTCTTTCTGGGTTTTGCTTCCTTGTTCTTTTGAGCTTCCTGACAGAGGCACATAGCGGGTATATTTTTGGAGACATTGCAAATCTGAAAAGTCTTTTTTTCTGTCCTTGTACTTGATGGACAGTCAGGCTGGGTATAGAATTCTGCATTAGAGCTCATTTTCCTTCAGAATTTGGAAGAGTCACTCTATTGTTTTCTAATATCCAGTGCTACTGTAGAGAAATCCAAGATCATTCTGATTCCTATGCCTTTGTATGTAACCTGTTGTTTCTTTTCCTTGTCCTTGGTGGACTGACATTTATCAGTGACATGCCTTGATCTGTTTCCCTTTTTTTTTTTTTTTTGAGACGGAGTTTCACTCTTGTTGCCCAGGCTGGAGTGCAATGGCACGATCTCAGCTCACTGCAACCTCCACCTCCCAGGTACAAGCAATTCTCCTGTCTCAGCCTCCCAAGCAGCTCCGATTACAGGCATGTGGCACCATGCCCAGCTAATTTCTTTGTATTTAGTAGAGATGGGGTTTCACCATGTTAGTCAGGCTGGTTGCAAACTTCTGACCTCAGGTGATCCACCCGCCCCAGCCTCCCAAAGTGCTGGGATTATAGGTGTGTGCCACCGCGCCCGGCCTGCTTTCCTTTCTTTTCTTTTATCTTTTCTTTATTTTTTATTTTTTTGAGACAGAGTCTTGCTCTGTCACCAGGCTGAAGTGCAGTGGCGTGATCTTGGCTTACTGCAACCTCTGCCTCCCGGGTTCAAGCCATTCTCCTGCCTCAGCCTACCGAGTAGCTGGACTACAGGTGCCCACCACCAAGCCCAGCTAATTTTTGTATTTTTAGTAGAGACGGGGTTTCACCGTGTTGGCCAGGATGGTCTCGATCTCCTGACCTTGTGATCCGCCTGCCTCAGCCTCCCAAAGTGCTGGGATTACAGGCGTGAGCCACCGCACCCGGCCTTCTTTTTCTTTCTTTTTTTTTTTTTTTAGAGGCAGGTTCTCATTATGTTTTCCAGGCTGGTCTTGAACTCCTGGGCTCAAGCGATCCTCCTGCCTTGGCTTCCCAAAATGCTGGGATTACAGGCATGAGCCATGCGCATGGCCATTGATCTGTTTCCGTTGCTGGGTCTTTCAATCGTATTCTCATGTCATTTGTTCTGAGAAAATTTCTTGAATTTTCTTAAATTCTTTTATGTACAATATCTCCCTCTCCTTCATTTCTCTGTTTGTTTATTTATTTATGTTTAGAGACAGGGTCTCACTCTGTTCCCCAGGCTAGAGTGCAGTGAGGCAATCATAGCTCACTGCAGCCTTGACATCCTGGGCTCAAGCAATCCTCTCGCCTCAGCCTCCCGAGTAGCTTGGACTACAGGTGTGTGCCACTTTCGTGTAGAGACGGGGGTCTCACTATGTTGCCCAGGCTGCTCTTGAACTCCTAGGATCAAGCGATCCTACCACCTTGGCCTCCAAAAGTGTTAGGATTACAGGTGTGAGGCACCATGCCTGGCCAGAAACTGGACTTTCTTTTTTTTTTTTTTTATTTCATTTTGCTTTTTTTTGAGACAGAGTCTTGCTCTGTCACCCAGGCTGGAGTGCAGTGGCACGATCTCTGCTCACTGCAACCTCCACCTCCCGGGTTCAAGTGATTCTCCTGCCTCAGCCTCCCGAGTAGCTGGTTCTACAGGCGCCCGCAACCATGCCCAGCTAATTTTTGTATTTTCAGTAGAGGTGGGGTTTCACCATGTTGGCCAGGCTGGTCTTGAACTCCTGACCTCAAATGATCCACCCACCTCAGCCTCCCAAAGTGCTGGGATTACAGGCGTGACACCACCTGCAATACAGGTGCAATGGCTCACACCTGTAATCCCAGCACTTTGGGAGGACGAGAAGGGCGGATTGCCTGAGGTCAGGAGTTCAAGACCAGCCTGACCAACATGGTGAAACCCCATCTCTACTAAAAATACAAAAATTAGCCGGGCATGATGGTGGGCGCCTGTAATCCCAGCTACTCGGGAGGCTGAGGCAGAATCGCTTGAACCCGGGAGGTGGAGGTTGCAGTGAGCTGAGACCAGCACATTGCACTCCAGCCTGGGCAACAATAGCATAACTCTATCTCAAAAATAAAAATAGAAAATAAAGAATAAATAAATAAAATTTAAATGCAAATAGCCATATGTGGCGAGCTAGTGGTTGCCATAGAGGACAGCACTAGAAAATTCCATCTTTACAGTGAGGCACAAGGGAGAGGCAGCTCCCAGGGCTCTGGCCGGCTCGCAGGCCAAACGTGGGCTCACCCTACCGCTTCCGGCAAGTAACCCCACAGGGGGAGAAAGGAAATGCACGTCCTAAAAAGAAATAGAGAAACACAGCTTCTCCTCCCAGCCAGTTCTTGGTGCCCTTTCCATGAGAGATGTGCAATTTCTCACTCACTCAAGAGGGGCAAAAAAGGAAATATCAAGGCCCCTTTCCGTAATGTAAGCATTATTTTTTTTTCTTTTGGATCAATTAAAATATGGATGCATTCACACTCACACATTCCAAACTAACAGTACACACTGTTCTCATCTTGCCTTTTTCCACGGAGAAAGCCCTTTTGGCATCTTTTCTGTGTTAATGGAATCCTACTTCTCAGCTCCAGTGTCTGGGCCATGGAAGGCCTCCCTTGGACCAGTCTGAGTTTACTCATTTGGCCGCTTCTTTTCTTTTTTTTTTTTTTTGAGATGGAGTCTCGCTCTGTTGCCCAGGCTGGAGTGCAGTGGCGCGATCTCGGCTCACTGCAGGCTCTGCCTCCCGGGTTCATACCATTCTCCTGCCTCAGCTTCCCGAGTAGCTGGGACTACAGGCGCCCGCCACCTCATCCAGCTAATTTTTTGTATTTTTTTAGTAGAGACGGGGTTTCACCGTGTTAGCCAGGATGGTTTAGATCTCCTGACCTCGTGATCCGCCTGCCTCCGCCTCCCAAAGTGCTGGCATTACAGGCACAAGCCACCGCGCCTGGCGGCCGCTTCTTCTATTTTCTTTTGAGATGCAGTCTCGCTCTGTCACCCAGGCTGGAGTGCAGTGGTGTGATCTCAGCTCACTGCAACCTCCACCTCCTGGGATCAAGTGATTCTCCTGCCTCAGCCTCCCGAGTAGCTGGAACTACAGGCACACGCAACCACACCCAGCTAGTTCTTTTTATTTTTAGTAGAGATGGGGTTTCACCATATTGGCCAGGCTGGTCTTGAACTTCTGACCTGAGATGATCCGCCCACCTCAGCCTCCCAAAGTGTTCTTGGGATTACAGGCGTGAGCCACCATGCCTGGCCCACTTCTTTTCTTTTCTTTCGAACTTCTTTTTTAAAAATTTTTAATTGTATTTTTTTTTTTACAGATGGTCTCACTATGTTGCCCAGGCTGGTCTCAAACTCCTGGCCTCAAGCAATCCTCCCACCTTGGCCTCCCAAAGCGATGGGATGACAAGCTTGAGTGACCACTCCCTACCTGAACTTTTGTTAAATTTATTCCTAAATATTTTATTTTATTTTATTTTTTATTTTTTTGCCAGTGTCAAACTCCTGACCCCAAGGAATCTGCTGGCCTCAGCCTCCCAAAGTGCTGGGATTATAGGCATGAGCCACCGCACCCAGCCTGGAATTGTTTTAATTTCATTTTAATTGTTCATTGCTAGTATATAGGAATATAATTTATTTCACATATTTTGTAATTTATTTCGTATATTGATCTTGTATCATGAACCTTGTTGAACTTCTATTAGCCATAATAATTTTTATTGTGGATCCTTTGGGATTTTTCTATATACAATTCTATTAATTCGCTAGGGCAGCCATAACAAAATACCATAGACTGAGTGGCTTACACAACAGAAATGTATCGCCCCACAGTTGTAGAGGCTAGAAGGTCAAAATCAAGGTGTCGGCAGTGATGGCTCCTTTTGAGGGCTGTGGGAGGACCTCTTCCAGACCTTCCTCCTTGGCTTGTAAAAAGCTGCCGTCTTCCTCTGTCTCTTCACCTTGTCTACCCTTTAAGTGCCCATTCAGCCACTTGTTTTTTTTTTTTTTTTTTTGAGACGGAGTCTTGCTCTTGCTCCATTGCCCGGGCACCATCTCAGCTCACTGCAACGTCCGCCTCCCAGGTTTAAACAATTCTCCTGCCTCAGCCTCCCAAGTAGCTGAGATTACAGGCGTGTGCCACCACACCTGACTAATTTTTGTATTTTTAGTAGCAACAGGGTTTCGCCATGTTGGCCAGGCTGGTCATGAACTTCTGAACTCAGGTGATCCGCTCGAGGTTCAAGCAATTCTCCTGCCTCAGCCTCCCGAGTGGCTGAGATTACAGGCACATGCCACCACACCCGGCTAATTTTTGTATTTTTAGTAGAGATGGGGTTTCACTATGTTGGCCAAGCTGGTTATGAACTCCCGACCTCAGGAGATCCGTGCCCCGGGCGGCCTCCCAAAGTGCTGGGGTTAGAAGCATGAGCCACCACACCCAGCCGTCCAGCCATTTCTTAGTAAGCACCTAGTGTGTGCTAGGCACTGTTCTAGACCCTGTGGATACAGTGGTGAATCAGACGGGCAAAGTCCCTGCCTCATGGAACTTAAATTCCAGTGAAGGGAGACGTGCAATGCACGGAATAAATGAGAATATTCTATAGTGCATTCCAAGGGGATACGCGCTATGGGTAAAAATAGGGCAGGGTGAATGCATTTGGAAAACTGGGGCGGGAGACTGGAGGTTGCAGTATCAAATAGGGTGCTCAGGAAGGTGTCTTTGGAGCAAACACCTGACGGAGGTTGTAACTGCCCAGTGGGTTCACGTTGCCCGCTGCCTAGACAGAGCCGATTTATCAAGACGGGGGGTCTGCAATGGAAAAAGAGTCATTCACGCAGAGCCGGCTGTGTGGGAGACCGGAGTTTTATTATCACTCACATCAGTCTGCCTGAGCATTTGGGAACCAGAGTTTTTAAAGATAATTTGGCGGGTAGGGGCTTGGGAAGCGGGGAGTGCTGATTGGTCAGGTTGGAGTTGGACTCACAGGCGGTCGAAGTGAGGTTTTCTTGCTGTTTTCTGTTCCTGGGTGGGATGGCAGAACTGGCTGAGCCAGATTACCAGTCTGGGTGGCGTCAGCTGATCCATAGAGTGTAGGGTCTGTAGAATATCTCAAGCACTCATCTTAGGTTTTACAGTAATGATGTCATCCCCAGGAGCAATCGGGGGAGCCAGAGGCTGCATGGCCCCTAACCTTAATTTCTAATCTTGCAGCTAATTTGTTAGTCCTGCAAAGGTAGACTAGTCCCCAGGCAAGAAGGGGGTCTTTTTAGGAAAGGGCTAGTATCGATTTTGTTTCAGAGTCAAACCATGAACAGAATTCCTTCCCAAAGTTGGTTTGGCCTATGCCCAGGAATAAGCAAGGACAACTTAAGGGTTAGAAGCAAGATGGAGTCAGTCAGGCAAAGGCACTTTCAAGGTGAGAGAGTGAGTCAGGCAGCTGTCTAGGAGAAGAATGTTCCAGCAGGCAGAACAGCCAGTGCAAAGGCCCTGGGGCAGGAGCGAGCTGGAGAGGTCCAGGTGCATCTCCCAGGCCAGAGTGAGGGGGGGCTTGGGAGATGAGGGCAGATGGGTAAGGAGGGATGGGGTGTCAGGTGGCACAGGGCCTCTAAACTCGAGGTGATCCAAGTCACTCTGAGTGACGAGGGGAGCCAAGAGGGGGTGGTGAGCTGAAAAGGGACAGCGCTGACTCAAATGTTAAGATCCCTCTGGTGACAGAGTGGGAACAAACAAGAAAGAAAGGACGGATGCAGGGAATTTTAATTTTTCCCCAACCTACACCCAAACAAAGGCTGTAGGAAATGGCTGAGGTCTTTTTGTTTTGTTTTGTTTTGTTTTCGAGACAGGGTCTCCCTCTGTAACCCAGGCTGGAGTACATGGCACAATCATAGCTCACTGCAACCTCATCCTCCTACCCTCAAGCGATCCTCCCACCTCAGCCTCCCAAGTAGCTGAGATGACAGGCATGCACCACCAAACCCGGCTAATTTTTAAAGTTTTTGTAGAGACAGGTCTCCCTTTGTTGCCCAAGCTGGTCTCGAACTCCTGGACCCAAGCAGTCCTCCTGCCTCAGCCTCCCAAAGTGCTGGGATGACAGGCATGAGCCAGGGCCCCTGGAATGGCTGAGTTTTAATAGATATTTAGGGACCATGAAGGGGTGGTGGATGCGAGAGGGGAGGGAGACAGTATATCCCAGAAAAACTGAGCAAACCATTGAAAGTGAATGCTGTTAGAGCTCCTCTTTCTGAAATCTCTCAAATATTTCCACCACTGGAAGCCTTGACTTTTAGCTTTCTCCAAAATGTAACTTGAGTCTCTCCTTCCACTCCCGCTTGTCCTCTGAGGACCCCTGGAGACACTCCTCCCATCTTATCCCAGTCCCAGCCCTTCTATCCCTAACTCTAGAAACTCCACATTCTTCCCACTTAAACATCAATAGCACTTCACCTTTCACCCCCAAGGGCATCTTCCTAAACAAAGAGAAACGTAGGGAAAAATTACAGTTTGCCTACAAGGCAGAAGTGCCTGCAGGCAGTGGTGGTATTTTTCTCGCCTATACTTATATTCCAGATGTCATATGGGAACTCCCTGTTAGGATCTATATAAAATTAATTCAAACCCCATTCTCCAACGGTGGGATGATGAATGTCCTCCCCACGTTTCTGCTAATTCTCCGGAGCTTCACATTCTCCACCCCTGAGTCTTTGCTTCAGCTAGAGACATTCAATTTGGGGGATCCACTTCCTGTCTGTTTCCCCACTTAGCATGTATGGACTAATTCAGTCCTTTTCTCTAATTTCCACGCAAACAACCACACACACACGGCATTTATATGTGAGCCTGTGAGTGCGTGGACAGGGTTTTTCTGAAGGTTTGGGGACATAGGAGGACTTAAATCAACAGACAGGCTAACTACTCAAGACTAGAGGTTAAGTATTCTTCTCTGGAAGATCCTTTGGCTTCTCTTCAACTCAGCATCCAGCCGCCTTTTTTTTTTTTTTTTTTTTTTTTTTTTTGAGACGGAGTCTTGCTCTGTCGCCCAGGCTGGAGTGTAGTGGTGCGATCTCGGCTCACTGCAACCTCTGCCTCCCGAGTTCAAACGATTCTCTTGCCTCAGCCTCCTGAGTAACTGGGACTACAGATGCCTGCCACCACGTCTGGCTAATTTTTTGTATTTTTAGTAGAGACAGGGTTTCACCGTGTTAGCCAGGATGGTCTCGATCTCCTGACCTCGTGATCCGCCTGCCTCGGCCTCCCAAAGTGCTGGGATTACAGGCATTAGCCACCGTGCCCGGCCTAATTTTTGTATTTTTAATAGAGACGGGGTTTCGCCATGTTGGCCAGGCTGGTATCGAACTCCTGACCTCATGTGATCCGCCCGCCTCAGCCTCCCAAAGCGCTGGGATTACAGGCGTGAGTCACTGCGCCCGGCCAATATGAACTCATATTCTATATAGGATTCTGGGAGTAATTTTTGTGTTCATTTGTTTTGTTTTTAGAGACAGGGTATCCCTCTGTCACCCAGGCTGGGGTGCAATGGTGTCATCATAGCTCACTGCAGCTTCAAACTCCTGGGCTGAAGGGATCCTCCTGCCTCAGCCTCCTGAGTAGCTGGGAATATAGGTGCATCACCACACCTGGCTAATTTTTTTTTTTTTTTATAGAGGCAGGGTATCACTATGTGGCCCAGGCTGGTCTCAAACTCCTGGGCTCAGGCGATCCTCCTGCCTTGGCCTCCCAAAGTGTTGGGATTACAGGCATGAGCCATCATGCCCAGCCTAACTTTTTAAAAAATACACCCCATAAGGTCAGGTGTGAAAGCTCATGCCTGTAATCCCAGCATTTTGGGAGGCTGAGGCAGGAGGATTGCTTCAGCCCAGGAGTTTGAGACCAGCCTGGGAAACAGAGTGAGACCCCATCTCTAAAAACAAACAAACAAACAAATAAATAAATAAATATTTAAAAAATATATAAAATACACCCCATACATCCTTACCTGTCAGAGCATAAGCATTTATCTCATACCACAGAAGAGTTACACAGTATTCCTCTGTGTGGATTCATTTATTCATTCATTCATTTATTCTGCAAATATCTATCAACCCCGTCCTACATGCCAGGAACTATGCCCCAGCCACAGATGAGAATAAGACCAACTGGGACCCTGGGGGTCTTGCAGTCTCATGGGGAAGGTTGAGATTAATCAAACAACCACAGAAATAAATGTAAAATGACAGCAGTTGTAAATGAGAGTGATAGCAGCATGTGCCATAACAAATGCATCCATGAGAACTAACTCCACAGCCCTGCCCTTCTTCCCACCAAGTCTTAGAAATCAGGGCCTAGGCTGGGCACGGTGGCTCATGCCTATAATCCCAGCACCTTGGGAGAAACCCACTTTGGGAAGCCAAGGTGGGACGATAACCTGAGGTTGGGAGTTTGAGACCAGCCTGACCAACATGGAGAAACCCCATCTCCACTAAAAGTACAGAATTAGCCAGGCGTGGTGGCACATGCCTGTAATCCCAGCTACTCCGGAGGCTGAGACAGGAGAATCGTTTGATCCGGGGAGGCGGAGGTTGTGGTGAGCCCAGATCGCACCATTGCACTCCAGCCTGGGCAGGGCCTAGGCCAAGTGTGGTGGCTCACGCCTGTAATCCCAGCATTTTGGGAGGCTGAGTTGGGTGGATCAACTGAGGTCAGGAGTTCAAGACCAGCCTGGCCAACATGGTGAAACCCCATCTCTACTAAAAATACAAAATTAGCCGTGTGTGGTGGTGCATGCCTATAATCCCAGCTACTTGGGTGGCTGAGGCAGGAGAATCCCTTGAACCTGGGAGGTGGAGGTTGCAGTGAGCTGAGATCACGCCTCTGCACTCCAGCCTGGGGGACAAGAGTGAAACTCGGTCTCAAGAAAAAAAAAATAAATAAATAAATAAATCAGGGCCTAGTGGGAGAACCCAAGCAAGTTATGTGTCTGGGTCTGTGTTTTCCCATCTGAAAAGAATGGTTATCTCCCTACAGGCTCACACCTGTAGTCCCAGTACTTTGGGTGGCCAAGGCGGGAAGATCACTTGAGCCCAGGAGTTAGAGCCCAGCCTGGGCAACATGGAAAAACCCTGTCTCTACAAAAAATACAAAAATTAGCCAGATGTGGTGATGTGTGCCTTTAGTCCCAGCTACTGAGGAGGCTGAGGCAGGAGGTTCGGTTGAACCGAAGAGGTCAAGGCTGCAGTGAGCTATGATGGTGCCACTGCATTCCAGCTTGGGCAACATAGTGAGACCTCGTCTCAGGAAAACAAAAAAAAAGTGTCCTTAGACTAGATAGAACAATGCTTGGCACAATATAACTGATCATTCACTTGCATTATTTTTTTCCCTCAATCTTCCTCTTTATTTGTTTTGAGATGGCATCTCTCTCTGTCACCCAGGCTGGAGTGCAGTGGCTCGATTTTGGCTCACAGCAACCTCTGCCTCCCAGGTTCAAGCAATTCTCCTGCCTCAACCTCCTGAGTAGCTGGGATTACAGGTGCCTGCCACCACACCTGGCTAATTTTTGTATTTTCAGTAGAGATGGGGTTTCACCATGTTGGCCAGACTGGTCTGGAACTCCTGAGCTGACAGGTGATCCACCTGCCTTGGCTTCCCAAAGTGCTGGGATTACAGCCATGAGCTACCATGGCCAGTCTCAATCCTCTTTTTTAAAATGCAAGAGTAAATGGACTCTTTGGAGGGCTATGGTGAGGAGTAAAGGAATAACTATTTCATTAACAGTCACAGCTGGCCAGGTGCGGTTGCTCACGCCTGTAATCTCAGCACTTTGGGAGGCTGAGACAGGTGGACCACAAGGACAGGGGTTCGAGATCAGCCTGGCCAACATGGTGGAACCCCGTCTCTACTAAAAATGCAAAAATTAGCTGGGCGTGGTAGTGGGCACCTATAATCCCAGCTACTTGGGAGGCTGAGGCAGGAGAATCGCTTGAACCCAGGAGTCGGATCTTGCAGTGAGCCGAGACTGTGCCACTGCACTCCAGCCTGGGTGACAGAGTGAGACTCTGTCTCAAAAAAAAAAAAAAAAAAAAAAAGAAAGAAAAAGTCACAGTTAACACTTCTCCAGCACCTCCTTTGCATGAGGTACTATCTAAGCTTTCCCTATAGTCCCTGCTACTGGGGAGGCTGAGATAGGAGGATCGCTTGAGCCCAGGATTTCTGGTCCAGCCTGGACAACATAGCAAGACCCTGTCTCTTAAACAACATACTTTTGCAACAACTCTGAAGGGAGATACTGCTGCCATGCCCATTTTACTGATGTTGAAACTGAGGCACTGAGAAGTGCAATGATTTGCTCAAGAGCTCAGGGCCAGTTAGGATTTGGAGCAGTTGGAGGTTACAGGTGAGGAGGTTCCAGGCCTGGCGGCCAGGGCATCTAGGTGGGACTGACCCTACCCTCCATTCCCCCTCCCCCCAGGAAGCTGGACGCCTTCATCTACGATGCTGCAGTGCTCAATTACATGGCCCGCAAGGACGAGGGCTGCAAGCTTGTCACCATCGGCTCCGGCAAGGTCTTCGCCACGACAGGCTATGGCATCGCCCTGCACAAGGGCTCCCGCTGGAAGCGGCCCATCGACCTGGCGTTGCTGCAGTTCCTGGGGGATGGTGCGGCTGCACACAGGGATTTCCACAGCGGAGAGGGGGAGGGCGAGGCCCCTGGGTTCCGGGGAAGAAAGGGACAAAGACCCGGACACCAGGGTCTGAGGGAGGAAGGGGCTAAGGGCCTACATTCCCACATCACAGACAAGGGTCCTCAGAGGGTACTCATAGCAGGTGACTTTTGACCGCCCCTCCCTAGATGAGATCGAGATGCTGGAGCGGCTGTGGCTCTCTGGGATCTGCCACAATGACAAAATCGAGGTGATGAGCAGCAAGCTGGACATCGACAACATGGCGGGCGTCTTCTACATGCTCCTGGTGGCCATGGGCCTGTCCCTGCTGGTCTTCGCCTGGGAGCACCTGGTGTACTGGCGCCTGCGGCACTGCCTGGGGCCCACCCACCGCATGGACTTCCTGCTGGCCTTCTCCAGGGTATGGGGCAGAGAGGGAGGCAGAGAGGGGGAGATGGCAGGGGCGGGGACAAAGGTAAAGCCGAGCAGAGACAAGGAGATGTGGGTCGAGATGTGGATAGTGGGGAAGAGAGCGGGAAACACAGGCGGGTAAATGGAGAGGAGAGAGGGACTGAGGGGAGGCGGGCAGGCGTCCTGGGCATCTCGCGCTGACCCCCGTCCTGTCCCCGGACCCGCAGGGCATGTACAGCTGCTGCAGCGCTGAGGCCGCCCCACCGCCCGCCAAGCCCCCGCCGCCGCCACAGCCCCTGCCCAGCCCCGCGTACCCCGCGCCGCGGCCGGCTCCCGGGCCCGCACCTTTCGTGCCCCGCGAGCGCGCCTCAGTGGACCGCTGGCGCCGGACCAAGGGCGCGGGGCCGCCGGGGGGCGCGGGCCTGGCCGACGGCTTCCACCGCTACTACGGCCCCATCGAGCCGCAGGGCCTAGGCCTCGGCCTGGGCGAAGCGCGCGCGGCACCGCGGGGCGCAGCCGGGCGCCCGCTGTCCCCGCCGGCCGCTCAGCCCCCGCAGAAGCCGCCGCCCTCCTATTTCGCCATCGTACGCGACAAGGAGCCAGCCGAGCCCCCCGCCGGCGCCTTCCCCGGCTTCCCGTCGCCGCCCGCGCCCCCCGCCGCCGCGGCCACCGCCGTCGGGCCGCCACTCTGCCGCTTGGCCTTCGAGGACGAGAGCCCGCCGGCGCCCGCGCGGTGGCCGCGCTCGGACCCCGAGAGCCAACCCCTGCTGGGGCCAGGCGCGGGCGGCGCGGGGGGCACGGGGGGCGCAGGCGGAGGAGCCCCGGCCGCTCCGCCCCCGTGCCGCGCCGCGCCGCCCCCGTGCCCTTACCTCGATCTCGAGCCGTCGCCGTCGGACTCGGAGGACTCGGAGAGCCTGGGCGGCGCGTCGCTGGGCGGCCTGGAGCCCTGGTGGTTCGCCGACTTCCCTTACCCGTATGCCGAGCGCCTCGGGCCGCCGCCCGGCCGCTACTGGTCGGTCGACAAGCTCGGGGGCTGGCGCGCCGGGAGCTGGGACTACCTGCCCCCGCGCAGCGGTCCGGCCGCCTGGCACTGTCGGCACTGCGCCAGCCTGGAGCTGCTGCCGCCGCCGCGCCATCTCAGCTGCTCGCACGATGGCCTGGACGGCGGCTGGTGGGCGCCACCGCCTCCACCCTGGGCCGCCGGGCCCCTGCCCCGACGCCGGGCCCGCTGCGGGTGCCCGCGGTCGCACCCGCACCGCCCGCGGGCCTCGCACCGCACGCCCGCCGCCGCCGCGCCCCACCACCACAGGCACCGGCGCGCCGCTGGGGGCTGGGACCTCCCGCCGCCCGCGCCCACCTCGCGCTCGCTCGAGGACCTCAGCTCGTGCCCTCGCGCCGCCCCTGCGCGCAGGCTTACCGGGCCCTCCCGCCACGCTCGCAGGTGTCCGCACGCCGCGCACTGGGGGCCGCCGCTGCCCACAGCTTCCCACCGGAGACACCGGGGCGGGGACCTGGGCACCCGCAGGGGCTCGGCGCACTTCTCTAGCCTCGAGTCCGAGGTATGACGCGGCCCCGGGGGCCCCACCGCCCCCTTGGTCAGCGCAGGCCACGGCCCGAGGGGGCGCCCGCAGTGGACAGGACCCGCGTGGGTTGGGAAGGAAAGCAGTGGAACTGGCCGGACCCCGCCTGGAGCAGCGTCCTGCGCCCCCTGGTTCTGGAGGAACCGCAAGCCGGAGAGGATTTGGTCCCTCAACTATCACCCAGCCTGAGAACGAGGGGGCGGGGGCCTTGGAGCCCACCGGACTTTTTTTTAAACCCGACAAGGGCTTTTTAACGTCACCAGATGGGGCGGGAGGTGGGGGGTTCACGCCACTCCCGCGTCCCACCTCCACGCCCGGGGCCGTGGCCCCCACATCACTGTGCAGCTCCCCGGCCCCAGCCGCGCCTCCGGGGAAGCCCGTTTTTAACCTTTCATCCATTGGGACTCAAAACTGTGAGACGCGTTCGCCAAACTGTGACCCCAGACCTTGGCCCCGCCACACAGAAACCCCTGACCCAGACTGTGACATCCGACTCCTAAAATGGTCATCCGACTCCAGACTGTGACCCCTGACCCCAAACTGTGACCCGAACCCCAGACTGTGCCCCGACCAGACTGTGACCCTTGACATCAAACCGTGACACCCCCTCCTCCTCTTCCACCCTCGGTCGCTTTTCCCTACTCTGACCTAGGACACGTCCCCAACGGAAGCCCCGCCTTCCCTTGCACCGCGATGAACCCAACCTCCCTGAAGCCAAAACTTCCCACCCTGCCGCACCTCCGGACCACCCCACTTGCCACCAAGCACATCCTCTCCAAATCCAACCCTTATTTGCGACCCTTCAGTGATGACCCAGCAGACCTCCAAAAAGCCTCCTCTGCCCAGATCTCCAGCCGGGTCTGGGGCTGGGTTGCGGAGGGGAGGGTCTGGGAGTCCACACTTCTCCACCAACTTCCCTTCCCACTCTCTTATTCCACATTGCAGTGTTTGGAATAAACCATGTTTTTATGCCTCCTCAGTCCAAGCCTAAGCTCCGTATCTGTTAGCCCCCCTCAAATTCTCTGGAGGAAACAGAAACACAAAAGTCCCACAGGGGAAGAGGAGACAGAATTAGAGAGAGAACAGAGACTCTGAAAGGAGGTGCCTGGGGAGACAAAGACCAAGAAAGAGGAGGTGGGAAGAGACCCTGAAAAGAAAGTCGAGAGGGTACTGGGGCAGATAAGAGACCCCAAGAGAGTGGTGAGATAGATCCCGGAGACAAAACATATTAAGATCAAAGGTATGGTTTTATTTCCTATGGCTATAGGTACCAAGGCTTGCTACATTCTCAATATCCTGTTCATGCAAGCTAGGAGAGTGTCTGACATATCCCAGCCAATCCGCATTATCTTGAATGCTGTTAATCTCACCAATGAGAATCTATTTCTAACATTTCATTATGTCAATTAGCCAAACCGCTGGTGCTGATGGGCGATAAAGAGAGACGAAGCACTTGTAATAGCTGCCTCCAGAGGGTGGACTTTCTGATTAAGTGCTCGCTGACCAGAGCTGAAATGTGAATGTCTGGTTAGGCAATTGACTGCCCCTAGAGGGTAGATTGAACCGCCTAACTTACAGATAATATCCATCCTGTCTACAAGAAAGCATTTTTGAAACAAATGAAAGCCATCACAACAGAGAGAGGAAAAGAAACCGGCCTTATGGGTCCTCGGGGAGTAGAAACTCAGTCTCCTTGCCAGTGAAAGAGCAAATTTGCATATATGAATAATTAATTAACTGGAAAGAACGCTCTCGGAATCAAACTGGACAATGGGGAAAACAAGCCTCCCGTAGAACTACAACTCCCAGAAGGCCTTGCCACTACCGCGAGGAACAGCGCCCAAAGTCACGCGAAGATGCAGTTTCTCCGTATCCGCAGGCTTCTTTCGCTGGCGCCATTACCTGAGTTCTCCTCCAGCGTTTCCGCACCCTCTCCGATTAGCGGTCCCAGGAGTTTCCAAGGTAACCGCGCAGTAGGGCGGATCTCATTAGGCGGAAAGCGAAACCCGGAAGTGACGCTCTTACCGGGTGTCAGCAGCGAGAGGGTTCGAAGATGGCGGCGCGCAAGGGTCGGCGGCGCACGTGTGAAACCGGGGAACCCATGGAAGCCGAGTCCGGCGACACAAGTTCCGAGGGCCCGGCCCAGGTCTACCTGCCCGGCCGGGGGCCGCCGCTACGCGAAGGGGAGGAGCTGGTCATGGACGAGGAGGCCTATGTGCTCTACCACCGAGCGCAGACTGGTAGGGCTGAGTCCGGACTCCAGGGTCCTGAGGTGGCTGATCCCGAGCCTTTAACCTGAGAGGTGCTCGGGAAGAGAAGGCTGGGGTCTAAGAGAAGTGATTTCATACCGGAGGCGGTTGATCCATGAGGGAGGTGGGGACTGAGCTCTTACTGTCCCGTCTTAACTCGTAAACCCCGCCTTCCATCCCCAGGCGCCCCCTGTCTCAGCTTTGACATAGTCCGGGATCACCTGGGAGACAACCGGACAGAGCTTCCTCTTACACTTTACTTGTGTGCTGGGACCCAGGCTGAGAGCGCCCAGAGCAACAGGTAAGACCCGAGGCTTTTCCAGGACCAGGAGGCTCAGTTTCCAGCCCCTTCCTCAGCACCCAGGAGTTAGGGCTTCCAGTTTCTGCCTCTCGCAGATCCAGGAGTCTGGGTTTCCAGCCTCTCTCCTTCCTAAGAATCCTGGAATCTAGTGCCTAACTCACCCCACAATTTCTCCCAGACTGATGATGCTTCGGATGCACAATCTGCATGGGACAAAGCCCCCACCCTCAGAGGGCAGTGATGAAGAAGAAGAGGAGGAAGATGAAGAGGATGAAGAAGAGCGGAAACCTCAGCTGGAGCTGGCCATGGTGCCCCACTATGGTGGCATCAACCGAGTTCGGGTAAGTATGGTCCCAGGAGCCTGCTCTGCATACTCTGAAACACATCTGACCCATCCCCTGTGTCCATAACTCCCAACACCTCCTCATGTTCTTTTTTTTTTTTTTTTTTTTGAGACGTAGTCTCGCTCTGTCACCCAGGCTGGAGTGCAGTGGCGCAGCCTCGGCTCACTGCAACCTCTGCCTCCCAAAGTGCTGGGATTACAAGCGTGAGCCACCGTGCCTGGCCCATTTTTTTTTTTTTTTTTTTTGAGATGGAGTCTCGCTCTGTTGTCCAGGCTGGAGTGCAGTGGTGCGATCTTGGCTCACTGCAACCTCCCCTTCCCAGGTTCAAGGGATTCTCCTGCCTCAGCCTCCCAAGTAGCTGGGGCTATAGGCGCCTGCCACCAGGCCCTTCTAATTTTTTGTTTTTTGGTTTTTTTTTGAGATGAAGTCTTGCTCTGTCGCTTAGACTGGAGGGCAATGGCATGATCTCAGCTCACTGCAACCTCTGCCTCCCAGGTTCAAGCGATTCTCCTGCCTCAGCCAAGTAGCTGAGATTACAGGTGCGCGCCACCACGCCCGGCTAATTTTTGTATTCTTAGTAGGGACGGGGTTTCACAATGTTGATCAGGCTGGTGGTGAACTCCTGACCTCGTGATCCGCCTGCCTCGGCTTCCCAAAGTGCTGAGATTACAGGCGTGAGCCACCGCATCTGGCCAATTTTTTGTATTTTTAGTAGAGACAAGGTTTCGCCTTGTTGGCTAGGCTGGTCTCAAACTCCTGACCTCGAGTGATTGATCCGCACGCCTCGGGCACCCAAAGTCATGGGATTACAAGCGTGAGCCACCACACCCGGCCTCCTTCAGTTTTTAGAAAAGTACTTGTCACATAGTTTTATACAATTTAGCTATTATGATCAGTGTCATTACATGTTAGGTACTGTTTTAGATTATGAGGATATGGTTTATGTTCTTCACTTTTCTCTTTGGTAACATAGTGAGTTATAGAACTTATCTGATGGGGCTGGCATGAGGTCAAATGAAATAACATATAGTGCCTAGAATAGCACCTGGTTGTAATATGAGGTATGTATTTTCTGTTACTATTCAGGAACTGTTTTTGGTTGTGGCTGTTTGTTTTGTTTTTGAGTCATGGTTTCACTCCCATTGCCCAGGCTGGAGTGCAGTGGCGTGATCTTGGCTCACTGCAACCTCTGCCTCCCAGGTTCAAGTGATTCTCCTGCCTCAGCCTCCCGAGTAGCTGGGATCACAAGTGCACACCACCATGCCCAGTAATTTTTGTATTTTTAGTAGAAATGGAGTCTCATTATGTTGGCCAGGCTGGTCTTGAACTCCTGAGCTCAAGTGATCTGCCCACCTTCGCCCCCAAAATGCTGGGATTATAGGCATGAGGCACTGTGTCCAGCCTGTTTATTTGTTTTTTGCTTCAAAGCTAAAACATCTTCTGATCAGGTAGACTTGTAAGTACAATGATACGGTATATGAAGAGCACTTAGAGCAGTACTTGGCTGATAGCTGGGGCTGTCTGTTTCCATGAAATTATTTTTACTATGTTTCAGTACTGTTCTAGATGCAGAGGATTTAGCAGCAAGCAAAAGGTCTCTGGCTCCATCAACTTACACACTAGTGGGGGAAGGGAACGAGATGAAACTAAGTAAATGTGTACCATGTCCAAAGGTGTTAACTATCCTGGAAAAAATCCAATGAAGTAGGGGAAGAGGGTTAGGGTGCTCCAGGAGTGGGGTGCTATTTTTAAACAGTGTGGTTAGGAAAGTATTCTGTCATAAAATGCCATTTGCATAGATACTCACAGGTAGTGGGGCAGTGAACCCTGTAAAAGAATTTGCAGGCAAGGAAAAACACAAGTTCAAAGGCCCTGGGGTGAGCTTGGCATGTTTGAAGAGTTTCAAGTGAAGCGGGAGTGTCCAGTCTGTCTGGAGCAGAATGAACAAAAGGGAGAATGACACAATTTGGGGAGCGGGCACAGAGAAGACATTGTTCAGAGCCTTGTCGGCCACTGTAAGGACTCCAGCTTTTAATTGGGAGACGTTGGAGGGTTTCAGGCAGAGGAAAGACAGGGTCTGACTTCTGTTTTAAAGTGGTCCCTCTGGCTGCTGTCCTTAAATATCAATTGCAGAGAGGTAAGGGTCGGAGGAAAGAATCCTGTGGGGAGACTTACGGTATTCAGGGGAAGGATGACATCAGTAGTAGTGTGACAGCAATAGACATCATGAGAAGGGGGTTGGAAGTGAGCTTTTTTTTTTAGATGAGACAGAGTCTCGCTTTTGTCGCCCAGGCCGGAGCGCAATGGTGCGATCTCGGCTCACTGCAACCTCTGACTCCTGGGTTCAAGCGATTCTCCTGCCTCAGCCTCCTAAGTAGCTGGGATTACAGCCACCCACCAGCACGCCCGACTAATTTTTGCATTTTTAGTAGAGGCGGGGTTTCATCATGTTGGCCAGGGTGGTCTCGCTCCTGACCTCAGGCAGTCTGCCCTCCTCGGCCTCCCAAAGTGCTGGGATTACAGGTGCGAGCCACCGCGCCTGGCCCTGGAAGTGAGCATTTTTACTGTAGTCAGCATAGGTGCTGGGCATGAGGACCAAGAATGAGTTCTGAATTTTGGGGCCTGAGGTGGAGAGAGAGCAGTTGCAGGTGGCAATTAGGAGCTTGGCTTTGGTTGTATCAAGTTTGAATGGTCAGGCTGGCACAGTGGCTGATGCCTGTAATCCCAGCACTTTGGAAAGCTGATGCAGAAGGATCGCTTGAGACCAGGAGTTCCAGACCAGCCTGGGCAATAAAGTGAGACCCTGTCTCTACAAAAAAATTTTAAAAGCCAGATGTGATGGTGCTTACCCATAGTCCCAACTACTTGGGAGGCTGAGGTGAGAGGATCACTTGAGCCCAGGAGGTTGAGGCTGCAGTGAGCCATTATGGCATCACTGCACTCCGTCCTGGGCAACAGAGCGGGACCCTGTCTCAAAAACAAAAAAGTTTGAACGGTCAATGCAGTAAGAGTCTGGAGCCCAGGGGAGAGGTCAGGGCTAGGGGTATTGGAAACCTCGTGGCTGGACTGGGTCTCCTAGTGAACAAACACAGAGGCAAGGAGATCCGAGGACTGAGTCTTGTGGCCTTCTAGCATTTAGAGGGTTACCGAGACCAGGAGCCTGAACACCCTCCCAAGGGCTGGTGGGAATTGCAGCCTCAACTCCCAGGCATCCTGGGGCTCTATCCTCCCACCTCAGCTCCCCCACCCACTCCCACCCCCTGTGGAGAGCTGTCCCAGTTACCATGCTGGTTTTTGCAGGTTGTGATTTTCTTCCCACAGAGGTTTCAAGGAGCTGTAGTCCCAGGCCTGGGAGATCTGAGGAAGCGCACTTCTGGTTCTCTGGGATATGGGGAGCGTGGGGTCAGTGCCTTGATCCTCCTCTCCCCTCGCTTCACATCACCCTTCCCCCACCGCTCTTCTGCAGGTGTCATGGCTGGGTGAAGAGCCTGTGGCTGGGGTGTGGTCAGAGAAGGGCCAGGTGGAGGTGTTTGCGCTGCGGCGGCTTCTGCAGGTGGTGGAGGAGCCCCAGGCCCTGGCAGCCTTCCTCCGGGATGAGCAGGCCCAAATGAAGCCCATCTTCTCCTTCGCTGGACACATGGGCGAGGGCTTTGCCCTTGACTGGTCCCCCCGGGTGACCGGTGAGTCCCTGGGGTGTTCAGGAGTCCCGGGAGGTCGGGGGAGCAGGGTCTGCAACAAGGGGCCGGGCGCTTAGACTCCAAGGAGGGGAGCGAGCTGCGGCCAGGTGGGGCGAGGTCATTTCCTGACTCCCTTCCCCAGGTCGCCTGCTGACCGGTGACTGTCAAAAGAACATCCACCTCTGGACACCTACGGACGGCGGCTCCTGGCACGTGGACCAGCGGCCATTCGTGGGCCACACACGCTCTGTGGAGGACCTGCAGTGGTCACCGACTGAGAACACGGTGAGGGAGGGTGGGGTTCTGGTCGTTTAGTTCTGATGGATTCTAGGCCAGGGACCTAGAATCCTAGGTCTGAGGGAAAAGAGGGCTGGGAGCCTGACGGAGGTTTAGTTTCCAGGCCAAGTCATAGTAAGGGGAACAGTGAAAGAGAGAGTAGCCCACCGCTGGCGCTTGGGCTTCACTGCGGGCTGGGGGGCATTGGGACCACTCAGACTCCGCCTCCCCCAGGTGTTTGCCTCCTGCTCAGCTGACGCCTCCATCCGCATCTGGGACATCCGGGCAGCCCCCAGCAAGGCCTGCATGCTCACCACAGCCACCGCCCATGATGGGGACGTCAATGTCATCAGCTGGAGCCGCCGGGAGCCCTTCCTGCTCAGTGGCGGGGATGATGGGGCCCTCAAGATCTGGGACCTTCGGCAGTTCAAGGTATTTTCCCAGCCGGACACCTGGGGGCTAGAGAAGCTTGCTCCCAGCAGCCCCTGGGATTTGTAGGATTTTTCCTCCTTGAATAGTTTTACACAACCAGAGCTGGAGAGCCCTTAGAACTAGACTCCTGCCTCTTCAGGGTACAGAGGAGGAAACTGAGGCTCAGCAAGAGGAAGGGTGGCGGGTCTCCACTCTTGGGGTCACTCACTCTACCAGGGGAACAGCTGACAAGAGATGGAAGGGGCTGGGGCAGCAGAGACTAGGACTCTCATCTGCCTGTGGGCAGAAGTACAGGTGTCTGTACGGCCAGTGCTGAGAGCTTCAGAGAGTTGTAGATTTCTAGATGCAACTGAGAATCGGGGCCCAGCCTGCTCGTTGTAGGAGAAGACTGAGGCACAGAAAGGACAGGAGCCGCTGTGACATGACAGCCAAGCTAGAGGTTGACATTGTGGAGCTGGGAGGGTCCCTGTGCAGGAGAAGTTGCAGCGTCCGGCATCCCTCTGGACAAAGCCGCAGCTTTGTGTGGCTCTGCCTTCCCGGGCTGCCATGATGTCATCCTTTTTCTCCTCCAGTTTGATCGTTTCTATAGCGTCAGCCCTGGGGAGGAGGCTGGAGACGGATTCCAGCCTCCCAGGCCCACCAGGTCACACAGGGCCCAGCTTGTTGACCATTGGAACTTCAGAGCAGCCTCTCCTAATGAGAGAGACGCCAATTGAGCGGGGCCTTTGCTGTAGTGAAAGTGCTGTCATTCTTAGTCTTTCTTTGGGTCGGCTTCCGGGGATTGTGTTTCTGCCTCCTTTGAGGCCTTTGTAGAATCTGCTGGGAGAGCTCTGGGAGAGCCATGCCCTCCTTTTTTTCTTTTTTTTTTTTTTTTTCTTTTTTTTTGCGATGGAGTTTTGCTCTTGTTTCCCAGGCTGGAGTGCAGTGGCGCAATCTCGGCTCACTGCAACCTCCCGCTCCTGGGTTCAAGCGATTCTCCTGCCTCAGCCTCCTGAGTAACTGGGATTACAGGCATGTGACACCAGCCCGGCTAATTTTGTATTTTTAGTAGAGATGGGGTTTCACCATGTTGTTCAGGCTGGTCTCCAACTCCTGACCTCGGGTGATCCACCCGCCTTGGCCTCCCAAGGTGCTGAGATTACAGTCGTGAGCCACCGCACCCAGCCCATGCCCTCCTTTTACAAGGAAGAAAACAGGCAGGCAGAGGGAAGAGCAGGGGCGGGGGTTTTGCTACCTGAGCTGGGAGGGGCTTCTTTGCAGGTGAATCACAGTTCCCAGCAACCCCTGGGCTGGTCAGCCTTCTTAGCAGCCAGAATTACCCTGTGTCCCTTTCCTGGACTCTGGGCTTGTGAGGGCTTAAGGGGTGGGGCCCTGGCTGAACCCTGAGGCTGGAGAAGGGTTGGGGCTTCTGCCTGGGTCCTCCCCAGAGTCAGGCTGAGGCATTCAGAGCCCGTTCCTCCCATCCTCTCCCTCTAGTCTGGTTCCCCAGTGGCCACCTTCAAGCAGCACGTGGCCCCCGTGACCTCCGTCGAGTGGCACCCCCAGGACAGCGGGGTCTTTGCAGCCTCGGGTGCAGACCACCAGATCACACAGTGGGACCTGGCAGTGGAGCGGGACCCTGAGGCGGGCGACGTGGAGGCCGACCCCGGACTGGCCGACCTCCCGCAGCAGCTGCTGTTCGTGCACCAGGGCGAGACCGAGCTGAAGGAGCTGCACTGGCACCCGCAGTGCCCAGGGCTCCTGGTCAGCACGGCGCTGTCAGGCTTCACCATCTTCCGCACCATCAGCGTCTGAGGCGTCCCACTGGCTCTGATCTTGCTTCCTGCTTGGAAACTGAAGTCGAATTGGGCTCCCCTGGAAGGGGTTCATTCAGGTCTGTTGACTGAGACTGGCCGGCCTGTGGGCTGCCGTGATGGATTCTGTTTGACGTATTGTTCTCTAGAAGGCCTGGCTCTGATCCAGTGACCCCTCTCACCAAAGAACTCGGTTTAACCAGGGCTCTGTAAGACCACTCCCACCCAGAGACTTGTGTGGCCTGGTGTGGCCTGTGTGTCGGATTCCTTCCTGTCAGCTGTGACCCATTTGACCTGTGTCCCCAGAACCCAGTTTTTTGTTTGTTTGTTTGAGACGGAGTCTTGGTCTGTCGCCCAGGCTGGAGTGCAGTAGCACGATCTTGGCTCACTGCAACCTCCGCCTCCTGGGTTAAAGTGATTCTCTCAGCTCAGTCTCCCAGGTAGCTGGGATTACAGGCATGTGCCACCACACCCCGTTAATTTTTGTATTTTTAGTAGAGACGGGGTTTCACCATGTTGGCCAGGCTGGTCTCAAATTCTTGATCTCAAGTGATCTGTCCGCCCCGGCCTCCCAGAGTGCTGGGTTGGGATTACAGGCGTGAGCCACCGCGTCCGGCTCAGGACCCAGTTTTGGCTGCTGGTTCCCAGCAGGGGACTCGGGGGATATACAGTGGCTGCACCAAATTGGAGGTGTGGGTTCCTCCAACACAATTTGCTTCTGCCCGTTGTCTTCCTGCCAGCTGGGTTTGGCCAGGATTTCTCCGTGTGGGGGCTACATGCGACCCTCTCCCCTCCTCCCTGACTTTAGAGGCTGGTGCTGTGTCGGGAGGAAGGTCAGGGCTCCTGAGCAGCAATAAAGGACCAGGAAGAGGCCTGAGGTGTATTTGAGACTCTGGTCCTTTGGCCACAGCCCTATGAGGAAACGGGGTGTGGGGGGAGTTTGGGGGTGGGGAGGAATTTGGCACCAGCTGCCCCCAGGCCGCTAGGCTGGGGGAGGCCACTGGGAGTCCAGTGCAACCCAACCTTCCGCCCACTGGGTGCCGCCGCGTTCTGCCTTCTCTAAGTGTCCTTCCATCTGGAACTCACTCTGGCTTAGTGAAAGGGGCCTCATCCCTGACCCCCACCAGCTTATGAAGGCTTCATCTCAGGGAACTCTGGACCCCCCATTTCTCCCTCCGTCCATCTCCCCTTTATCACGTTTCTTTCTTTCTTCTCTGTGTCCCCCTCTTTCAGAGTCTCCCGTCCCCCACTGCCAGTCTCCCTGCCCCCTAGTCGCTGTCTCGCTCCTCCGCCGCTGTCTCCTGTCCAGCCTGCCTGGGCTGTGGCCCAGCCGCTCTGCCTGGCTGGCCTCCCTGGCTCCCCCTCTGCGGCTCTGAGCTAGCCCCACCCCCGGCCCCCCTCCATCCAGCCTCTGATCCATCTGTGGACTCCGAGGTCGGGTGCCCGTCACACGGCCCCTGGGACCAAGGACAGACTACAGCCCCTCAGCACCCACAGAGGCTTCCCCTCAGCCCTAGCCGAGGAGCCCCCAGCGGAGGGCATGGGGGTGGGCCGCCCCAACAGGTACGTGCCTCCATGCAAGGCACCGCTGAGCCATCCCCTCCTGCTCTGCTGCGTCGCCCCCATCCACCCCTGCCCCAGCATCCCTGTCCTCAGCTTGTCCCCTTCAAGAAGGCCTTGTCTTCCCATCAGTGACAGGCTCAGCGCCAGGAGAATCCACCCCCAGGTTCAGTGCCTCCAACTCTCACCCCATCCCCATTTTATGCATTTTCTCACTGGCTTCCATCCTTTCAGAGAAACCCTCTCAGTCTGTCTGTCTCTGTCTCTGTCTCTCTCCCCCATCTCTGTCTCTCCCATCTCTCTCTGCCTCTCTCTGTCTTCACAATTTCATCTCCCCATGTCGCCATTTCTTAAAACATTTCTTTTCTCCTTTTCGTTTTCCCAATTGCCCTGTCCGCCTCTATCTTCTCTGTCCCCCTCCATCTAGGTCTCTGTCCCCCCCTCTCTCTGGGTCTCTGTCCCCCTCTGTCTCTGAGTCTCTATCCTCTCAAGGTCTCTGTTCCCCTCTCTCTGGGTCTCTGTCCTCTCTCAAGGTCTCTGTCCCTTTCTCTCTGGATCAATGTCCCTTTCCTGCTGCCCTCTCTGGGTCTCTGTCCCCCTCTCTCTCAGGGTCCCTGTCCTGCTTGGTCCCTGTACTTTTTCTTGGGGCACCCTCTCAACACCCCTCCTCCTGCCTATCTCTGCATCTCTTTGTCTTTCTGTAGTCTCTGCTTTCCAACCTGCTGTCCAGCCCCCACCAGTAGGTGGGGAGTGGTGGGGAACACCCCTGGTTTCGGAAGAGTGAGAGTGTTGATTTGGGAGGGTGAGGGTGGGGCCTGGGGGCGGGGCTTCTTGGCCTCAGATTAGACAGTGACTTTGACACGAAGTTGAAGCACCTTAAGCCCTGTATCTCCTTTATATGGAAACATTAAGCTGCTCTCGCAGGTCAGGTGGAGGATCCCTTTCCCTCCCGCCCTGCTTTTGCTAGGGGAGGGGGGTGCCCTGAGCCTGAGTCGCAGCCAGCCTGGGAGCTGGGCCATGTTGGCCGCAGATGGCCCCCTGGTGAAGGTTCCCGTTGGCTTTGGGAAGTAGACAACGGGTCTGCCTCACGGGGCTGAGGTGGGACTGGAGGATTTCGAGGGCAGAACTCTGGGAAGGAAAGAAAGGCTTAGGACCCAACCAGCATTCCCCCTGGCACTGCGGGGGCCTGGCCAGCTCATGGCGTTCCCTGAGCCTGTTCCCCAACTGTGAAAGGGGGTGATGATCTTCACCTCCCGGCATCCTGAGCGGCCAAGGTGAGCAGTGGGGTCTGAGAGTCCAGTGGGGGCTGTGGGCATGTCGGGAGCTCATCACGAGGCCTCGTACATACCAGGTGTGTTTGAAACCAGAGTGCTCTTGAGAAGACTGTGGTTTGTCACTCGGGCCGTGGCTCCCAGGAGGCCTGGGTGGGAGGCTAGCTTTTGCCACTCCTCTCCCCACTGGCTGAGAGACCTGCGACAAGGGACTAACCTCAGCCCCAGTTGGCTTTTCTGTGAAAAGCCAGGTCCCTTCATCAAAGGGCTTTGGTGAGAGATGGGCAAGTGGGGGTGAGAGGCCCAGGCTGGGGCCTGGGGAGCACAGGTCAGTGTCAGTGCCCACCTGCCCCCCCAGCCCACGGGGGTGGTTCCTGAGGGTGGAGTCAGTGCTGAGTGGGGATCCCCAGGCTGGGGAGGGCTGCAGGTGTAGATGCTGCATCCTGATGTTGACCTCCAGGCCGCCCCCTTGGGCAACGAGCCTATTTCCCCTTTTTGGGAGAACAGTCTCTAACATGCAGGGTTGTCAGGGGTGAGATAGAGTCAAGGTTGGGGTACACTGTGGGCACTGGACACAGCCAGGCTGGTCCCCTCACCTCAGCCTTGCCTCTGTCAAGTGGGCCTAATGAACCCTCGCGAATGGCCAGGCTGCCTGCGTGGTTGTGGGAAGCAGGTGCAGGGCTTTGGGAGACCCAGTTGGTGCCAAACTTGACATTGTCTCATGGTCTTCTTTCCAAATGGAGTGTGCCAGGCCCTGCCAAGAAGCCCCTGAGGATCCCCAGGTTCCAGCACAAATTATTTAACCCCTGGAATGGTTTGTCCTGATCCAGCCAGTTCCTGGGAAGTTCCCCACCACAGGGCCAAGCGTTTGGTAACGTTGCAGTGAACCCTGAAGGCAATGAGGGGTGCGGGTCCATGCCCAGCCCTTTCCTTTGGTCCACCCTGACAGGCTGCTGCGATTCCCTCCATTTCTTTTCTTCCTTTATTTTTTATTTTTAATTATTTATTTATTTTTTAGAGACAGGGTTTTGCTGTCTTCCCCAGGCTGGTTCTCAAACCCCTGGCCTCACGCATTCCTCCTGAGTTGGACTCCCAAAGTGCTAGGATTACAGGTGTGAGCCACCGCACCTGCCCTCTTTTTTTTTTTTTTTTCTTTAAGAGATAGGGTCTTGCTCTGTTGCCCAGGCTGCAGTGCAGTGGTAGAGCATCATAGCTCACTGCAGCCTTGAACTCTGGGCTCAAGTGATCCCCCACCTCAGTCTCCACAGTAGCTGCATCACCATGGCTGGATACTTTTTGTTTTTAAGATAGGGTCTCGCCATGTTCCCTAAGCTGGTTTCAGACTCCCGGGTTCCAACAGTCCTCCCACCTTGGCCTCCCAGAGTGCTGGGATTACAGGTGTGAGCCACCATGCCCAGCCCCCAGGCCTCCTGCCTTTCACAGATGAGAGCTGAGGCTCAGGAAAGGATTTGACCTGTCATCCATCACACACCTAGTAAATGGTTGAGCAAACTGAGTCTCTGGAAAAAGAAGCCAGAGATCCCAGGGGACATGGTGGGTGAGCAACTAAGCCAGGACTGGGCCCTCATCCATATGGTAAGAAGGCCCTTCCTGGTCTTTTAAGAAGTCCCAATTTCCCCACCTTACAATGGAGGAAACCGAGACTCAGAAAGAGTTGCCAAAGATCAGAGGGTCGGGCATGAGGCCCATTTCATTTATTTTACAATAGCTTCATTGAAATCTAATTCACATATCATATCATACACTCACTACAGGGTACAATTCAATGGCTTTTAGTGTATTCACAATTGTGCAGCCATCACAATTAATTTTTTTTTTTTAAATGGAGTCTTGCTTTGTCGCCCAAGCTCGAGTGCACTCGTGCACTCTCAGCTCACTGCAACCTCCACCTCCCGGGTTCAAGTGATTCTCCCACCTCAGCCTCCCGAGTAGCTGGGATTACAGGTGCGCGCCTGTAATCACCATACCCGGCTAATTTTTGTTATTTTTAGTGGAGACGGGGTTTCACCATGTTGGCCAAGCTGGTCTCGAACTCCTGACCTCAAATGATCTGCCTACCTTGGCCTCCCAAAGTCCTGGGATTACAGGTGCGAGCCACCGCACCTGGCCAGCATAATGTTTTCAAGGTTTATCCATGTTGTTGCATCTATCGATACTTCATTTCTCTTTATTGTCAAATACTATTCATTGGATGAATATACCACATTTTATTTATTCATTAGTTGGTTGATACTTGGGTTTCCACCTTTTGGCTATTATGAGTAATGCTGCTGTGAACATTTGTGTACCAGTTTTTGCATCTGTTTTCATTTCTCTTGGGTACATAAGTAGGAGTGCAATTGCTGGGTGATGTGGTAATTCTATGTTTAACCATTTAAGTAACTGCCAGACTGCTTCCTACAGCAGCTGCAATTTTTCATTCCCCACAGCAGTGTATGAGGATGCCAATTTCTCCACATTCTCGCCAACACTTGTTTTTTTTATTATAGCCATTCTAAGTGGGTGCAAAATGGTATTCCTTTGTGCTTTTGATTTGCATTTCTCTGATGGCTAATGATGTTGAGCATCTTTTCATATGTTTATGAGCCATTTGTATACCTTCTTTGGAGAAACGTCTGTACAGATCCTTTGCCTACTTTTTTTGTGCCTCAGCCTCCAGAGTAGCTGGGACTACAGATGTGCACCACCAGGCCCGGCTAATTTTTGGATTTTTAATAGAGACGGGATTTTGCCATGTTGGCCAGGCTGGTCTCAAACTCCTGAGCTCAAGTGATCCAGCTTCCTCGGCCTCGCAAAGTGTTAGGATTACAGGCGTGAGCTGCTGTGCCTGGCCCCCTTTGCCCACTTTTAAATTGGGTTATTTGGCACTAGCCCACATCGTGAAACCCTGTCTCTACTAAAAATACAAAAATTAGCTGGGATGGTGGCATGAGCCTGTAATTCCAGATACTCAGGAGGCTGAGGCAAGAGAATCTCTTGTACCCAGGAGGTGGAGGTTGCAGTGAGCTGAGATTGCGCCACTGCACTCCAGCCTGGGCCACTGAGTGAGACTCCGTCTCAAAAAAAAAAAAAAAAAAAAAAAAGCCGGGGGTGGTGGCTCACGCCTGTAATCCCAGCACTTTGGGAGGCCGAGACAGGCGGATCACGAGGTCAGGAGATCGAGACCATCCTGGCTAACATGGTGAAACCCCGTCTCTACTAAAAATACAAAAAAAATTAGCCGGGCGTAGTGGCAGGCGCCTGTAGTCCCAGCCTCGGGAGGCTGAGGCAGGAGAATGGCGTGAACCCAGGAGGCGGAGCTTGCAGTGAGCCGAGATGGCGCCACTGCACTCCAGCCTGGGCAACTAAGCAAGACTCCGTCTCCAAAAAAAAAAAAAAAAAAAAAGTTTGGGGGGTGTTACTTATCTTTTCATGATTGAGTTGCAAGGGCTCTTTATATAGTCTAGATACAAGTTCCTCATCAGGTATATGATTTGCAACTACAGTATCTTCTCCCATTAGTGGGTTGTCTTTTCCCTTTCTTAAAAAGCTTTTTTGAGACATGGTCTTGCTCTGTCGCCCAGGCTAGAGTGCAGTGGTACAGTCGTAACTCACTGCAGCCTCAAACTCCTGGGCTTAAGCAATCCTCCCACCTCAACCTTCCAAGTAACTAGGACTACAGGTTTGCATTACCACATCTGGCTAATTTTTTAATTTTTTTGTAGAGCAAGCCCCTTGCTATGTTGTCCAGGCTGGTCATGAACTCCTGGGCTCAAATGATCCTCCTGCTTCAGCCTCCCAAAGCGCTAGGATACAGGTGTGTACCACCTCGCCTGGCCTCTCTTCACTTTCTTGATAGTGTCTTTCGGAGCACAAAAGTTTTTTAGTTCTGGCCGGGTGCAGTGGCTCACGCCTGTAATCCCAGTACTTTAGGAGGCCAAGGCAGGAGGATCACTTGAGGTCAGGAGTTCAAGACCAGCCTGGCCAACATGGTGAAACCCCATCTCCACTAAAAATACAAAAGTTAGCCAGGCGTGGTGGCATGTGCCTGTAATCCTGGCTGCTCGGGAGGCTGAGGCAGGAGAACCCAGGAGACAGAGATTGCAGTGAGCCAAGATCGCGCTACTGCACTCCAGTCTAGGTGACAAAGTGAGAGTCCATCTCAAAAAAAAAAAAAAAGTTATTTAGTTCTGATGCAATTCAATTGATGGATTTTTTCCTTTTGTTACTTTGTGAGCCTGTTTTTGAACCACAGCTGACCTCAGAGCCCTGAGGCATCTCTCCATGCTGAGAAGCAGTTACACCTTACGATTATGAGCATGGACCCTGGAGCTGGATGGCTAGCATTCAAATCCCAGTTTACTTACCTGTGGTCTTGGGGAAGTTTTATTTATTTATTTTTTTTGAGACAGAGTTTCACTCTTGTTGTCCAGGCTGGAGTGCAATGGCACGATCTCGGCTCACCGCAACCTCCACCTCCCAGGTTCAAGCGATTCTCCTGCCTCAGCCTCCCTAGTAGCTGGGATTACAGGCATGTGCCACCATGCCCGGCTAATTTTGTATTTTTAGTAGAGATGGGGTTTCTCCATGTTGGTCAGGCTGGTCTCGAACTCCTGACCTCAGGTGATCCGCCCGCCTCGGCCTCCCAAAGTGCTGGGATTACAGGCATGAACCACCACACCCGGCAGTCTTGGGGAAGTTGCTTAAACTTTCTGTGCTTCAGTTTCCTCATCTAGAAAATGGGGATAATGATGTCTGCCTCATAGGCTTGCTCTGAGGTTCAAATATGTAAATTCATGTAAAGTACTTACAACAACCTCCAAATTGTATAAACAGTATAATTGATAGAACACAAATTATGAATTCAGTACATAGATTTAGCACTGTATAAATGCATGCTGTAATTATTGTGGCACTTGCTATAATATCGTTATTGTTATAGTATTTTCCGTTGTTGTTGTACAAGTATCTTCTATAGTATTGTTGCTGTTTATCTTCCAACTTGGAAGGTGAGTATGGGCCAGGTGGGGTGGCTCAGGCCTGTAATCCCAGCACTTGGGAGGTTGAGGAGGGAAGATCGCTTGAGGCCAGGAGTTTGAGACCAGCCTGGGCAACATAGTGAGGCCCCTGTCTCTATAATATAAAAATTAAATTAAAAAAAAAATTTAAAAAAGAAGGTGGCTGGCCAGGCGCGGTGGCTCACGCCTGTAATCCCAGCACTTTGGGAGGCCAAAGCAGGCGGATCACGAGGTCAGGAGATCGAGACCATCTTGGCCAACATGGTGAAACCCCATCTCTACTTAAATTACAAAAACTTAGCTAGGCATGGTGGCCCGTGCCTGTAATCCCAGCTACTTGGGAGGCTGAGGCAGGCGAATCACTTGAACCTGGGAGGCAGAGGTTGCAGTGAGCTGAGGTTGCGGTGAGCTGAGATTGTGCCGCTGCACTCCAGCCTGGCGACAAAGCACGACTCCGTCTCAAAAAAAAAAAGAAAAGAAAAGAAAAAAGTTAAAAAAAAAATTACCCAGGAGTGGTGGTGTGCACCTGTAGTAATCCCAGCTACTCAGGAGGTTGAGACAGGAGAATCGCTTAAACTTGGGACGCGGAGATTGCAGTAAGCCAGGATCATGCCACTGCACTCCAGCTTGGGCGACAGAGCGAGACTCTGTCTCCAAAAAAAAAAAAAAAAAAAAAATGCGTATCGTTCCACCTATTTGACAGATGAGGCCACTAAGCCCCACCAGAAAGCATGCTTGGCCGATGAGCTCATCCATTCCTGTTGCCCCTGACGTTTCTGCCGGTTTCTTGTCCCAGCAGGTTGGGGGCGCCTGCCCCCCACTAGGCCAAGTGGAGGGGGTCCCTCCGTCCAATGGGCCTGGCCAGGGCCCTACGCCGCCTCAGCGGCGCCCTGGATTCGGGAGACAGCCGGGCGGGCGATGAAGAGGAGGCCGGGCCCGGGTTGTGCCGCAACGGGTGGGCGCCGGCACCGGTGCAGTCACCCGTGGGCCGGCGCCGCGGTCGCTTCGTCAAGAAAGACGGGCACTGCAACGTGCGTTTCGTAAACCTGGGTGGCCAGGGCGCGCGCTACCTGAGCGACCTGTTCACCACATGCGTGGACGTGCGCTGGCGCTGGATGTGCCTGCTCTTCTCCTGCTCCTTCCTCGCCTCCTGGCTGCTCTTCGGCCTGGCCTTCTGGCTCATTGCCTCGCTGCACGGCGACCTGGCCGCCCCGCCACCGCCCGCGCCCTGCTTCTCACACGTGGCCAGCTTCCTGGCCGCCTTCCTCTTCGCGCTGGAGACGCAGACGTCCATCGGCTACGGCGTGCGCAGCGTCACCGAGGAGTGCCCGGCCGCTGTGGCCGCCGTGGTGCTGCAGTGCATTGCCGGCTGCGTGCTCGACGCCTTCGTCGTGGGTGCTGTCATGGCCAAGATGGCCAAACCCAAGAAGCGCAACGAGACGCTGGTCTTCAGCGAGAACGCCGTCGTGGCGCTGCGCGACCACCGCCTCTGCCTCATGTGGCGCGTCGGCAACCTGCGCCGCAGCCACCTGGTCGAGGCCCACGTGCGTGCCCAGCTGCTGCAGGTGCGCCCGGGAGGAGAGGCGGGGACTTCCGTGAGCCCTGGGGGATTGTGGGAGATGTAGGCCCGAGGGCGAGGGGCGTGCGGTCCTGGAGGGGGCGTGGACTACAACTCCCAGCAGCCTCTTGGGCCTGGGGCCTGCGAATGGGTCACTGGGCAGCTGGGGATGTAAACCCAACAGAAAGGTATGTGACCAGCTCTTCCTGGAGGCCTGGATTTGGGGCATACAGAGCTTCCTGTGGCTTGAGGATTGCCCGCCTGTGGGTAGACCCCAAAAGGGCCACGCCTGGCCTGTCAAGGCTCTGGGCCGTAATTCCCAGAAGCCTCTGGGTCAAGGGACCTGTCCAAAGATGGGGTGGCCTCAGATGCAGCTTTGCGAGGGGGTGGTGGAGGGCCTGCGTGACCGTTCTATTACTCGGGTGTACAATTCCCACTGGACACTGTGGCACAGTCGGAGGCCTGTGACTTGAGGCCCCCGGGAGAAGCAGGCCCTGGAATGGGTGCAGCTCATCGCTGTGGAGCACAGTTCTCCAGGCCTCTAGGTGTGGGGTCCTGCGGCATCTGTGGGAGAATTCATTCCCCACCTCAGTGGCCCATTGTGTCCCACCAGCCTCCTAACCTCTGAGAGCAGGGTGGAGGTGGCAACGAAACGAAACTGCACCTCCCATTGGCCCCTGGGGTACTGGCTCCCTCCCTGCCCTGAGGAAGGGGCCTTAGCGTTCCTAGAATTGTGGTCAAATTGCTCAAACATCTCCGTTCCCAAGAAACTCTGGGCCGGCAGCTGCCGTGGCCCAAGTAAAGTGACTTTAGGACTCTGGGCTGAGGCTGGACTTGGAGAGGATCGGGGGTGGTGGGAGCTGCAACTCCCAGCCGCCTCTGGGGTTCCTCTACTTGGGGCTTCCAGAGACACTTACAAGAGGAGGATAGATGCCCACCTCCCACTTCAATCTCCTGCCTGAAGCTTTGAGATACCAGGATTCATGAATAGGAGGGACACTGGCTCTTGCAGAAGTCGGTGGGGCAGTGACTTGGCCTGGGAGGTGGCTATGGAACCAGCGGGTAGGCGGGGGTGAAATACCCACACCCCCACAAAGCGTGCTCACACACAGAATGACATGGAAGGGTTTGCAGTTGCCCTGACAGCTAGGATAGCTCAGGGGAGAGCCCAGGGATAAGCCTGAGGCAGTGGTGGGTGCAGAATGTTGGACCTAGGTTGCCCTAACTCCCCCTTCTTGTCATCTGATTTATCTTTCTCTGGCCACATACTAAAAGCCATTTTTCTCTCCCGCTCCTTCTCCAATTCTCTGTTGAATGTCATCCTTATTTTCCGTTGTCGCTTTGATTTCATCTCTGTCTTGCTGATTTCTGTGTCTCTATGCCAATATCACTCTGTCCCTCTCTCCTCTTCCCCCACCACGCCCCTCTTCCCGTTTTCTACCCCCAAACCCTGAGTCTCTTTCCTCTCTCTTTATCTCTGGGTCTCTGTCCCATGTCCCATGTTTTCTCTGGACCTCCATCCTCCCCTCCTGGGTCTCTGGCTCCCTTACTGGGTTTCTGTGCCCTCCCCTGCCTCTCTGACTTCCTCTCTCTCTGGGTTGCCGGCCCCATCTCTTGATCTGTGTTCTCACCCTTTTCTTCACTCCTGTGGTCTTTGCCTTCTTTCTCTGCATCTCTTCCTCTCTCTCACTTCGTCTCTGCCCGTCTCTGTGCTCCCTGCTGTCTTTGGCTCCTCGCCTCCTGCTGCAGCCCCGTGTGACCCCAGAGGGTGAGTACATCCCGCTGGACCACCAGGATGTGGATGTGGGCTTTGATGGAGGCACCGATCGTATCTTCCTCGTGTCCCCCATCACCATCGTCCATGAGATCGACTCTGCCAGTCCTCTGTATGAGCTAGGACGTGCCGAGCTGGCCAGGGCTGACTTTGAGCTGGTGGTCATTCTCGAGGGGATGGTTGAGGCCACAGCCATGACCACACAGTGTCGCTCGTCCTACCTCCCTGGTGAACTGCTCTGGGGCCATCGTTTTGAGCCAGTTCTCTTCCAGCGTGGCTCCCAGTATGAGGTCGACTATCGCCACTTCCATCGCACTTATGAGGTCCCAGGGACACCGGTCTGCAGTGCTAAGGAGCTGGATGAACGGGCAGAGCAGGCTTCCCACAGCCTCAAGTCTAGTTTCCCCGGCTCTCTGACTGCATTTTGTTATGAGAATGAACTTGCTCTGAGCTGCTGCCAGGAGGAAGATGAGGACGATGAGACTGAGGAAGGGAATGGGGTGGAAACAGAAGATGGGGCTGCTAGCCCCCGAGTTCTCACACCAACCCTGGCGCTGACCCTGCCTCCATGATGCAAACTGATGTCCCCTTCCCCGTGTATGCCCCCTTCCCCAAGGTAGCAAGATGGAGGGATGGGGCTCTCTCCTGGGATGGGGGCAGGTGTTCCTGAATACCGACAGGCCTGCTGGGTAAATGACTAGGTGGTAAGGTTCTGCCATGCCTGGTGACCCACCATGGACATACTGGACCTTAATTCCTCTGCTTCTGTGCTCCCTCCTGAGAACCCTTTATGAGCCTGATTCCTCAGTCTCACCAGAATTCTGGATCACCCAAGAGGAAAAGACTGGCAGTTCTAGATTCCTCTATATGGGGAGACCTGGATTGTTGACCAGGGTGAGAAGCCAATGGTATAGACTGCCTCTGGGGAAGCAAGTTGGCAGTTCTTGAACAGCATCAGATATCAAGAGTTTGTAGGTCTGGATTCACCTAAGATTCAAGGGAGTGTTGCTTCTCAACTCAGCCAACTGAGTAGCAAATCATTTGTTCTAGACCACCTAAGGAGGGAAGGTTATGGAATGCCCCAAGTATTCAAGATCATCTTGATTGACCAAAGACCAAAAAAAAAAAAAAGACCTGTGGTTCCAGAAAGCTCATTAGTTGAGATTCTGTGAGTCTAGGTTGACCACAGAGGCAAGCACTGGTGAGTCTAGGACAGATTTTACGTGGAGAGTTGAACTACTCCAGAAACTAAAGAGTAATGTTTCTAGAATGCACAAAACATTGTTAGTCTGTGGGTTTAGAAAGACTGAAGTGACAGATTAAGAGTTCTTGATATTAGATAACTCCAACTTCTGGCTGTAGAGCACCCAGCCAAGAGAATAAGCAGTGCTTTGAAAGGATCCACTGGGTGGGTTGTTTTTTTTTAAAGTGCCATTCTAGAATGTCCAAAGGGAATCAGGATTCTGTGGCTGTAGACTGATCACAGAGTCAAGGAAGCAGTGGCAATTCTAGATATCTGAGATTTTGCTGGTTCCAGTTTGCCCAATGGAGTTGAGAATCTCAATGATTCTAGATGACTTCTTGTGGTTCTGTAATGCCAAAAGGAATGAAGGCTCCAGGGATACAGAGTTGTCCATTACCAAAGCCTGGAAGTTCTCATCACCTCCAGGTGGACTGCTTGGCAGTGCTAGGAGGTGGACTCAGGACTTCAGAAGCAACATTTCTGGCCTGACCTGGAAGGTGAAGGTGAAGGTGAGACCCTGTAGGGCACAGGGCTAATTAGTGGACAAGGGAAGGGGGAGGCCCAGGGCTGGTGAGTCTAGAATGCTCTGGAACCCTACACCTAGTGATGTGTGTCTATTTCTTTTTCTTTTTCTTTTTTTTTTTTTTTTGAGACTGAGTCTCGCTCTGCCGCCCAGGCTGGAGTGCAATGGCGTGATCTCAGCTCACTGCAACCTCCGCCTCCCGGCTTCAAGTGTTTCTCCTGCCTCAGTCTCCTGAGTCGCTGGGATTACAGGCATGAGCCACTATGCCTGGCTAATTTTTGTATTTTTAGTAGAGACGGGGTTTCGCCATGTTGGCGAGGTTGGTCTTGAACTCCCGACCTCAGATGATCCACCTGCCTCGGTCTCCCAAAGTGCTGGGATTACGGGTGTGAGCCACCATGCCCAGCCGTGTGTCTGTTTCTTAAAGATATTATACATATGTATATTATATATATGTAATATAAATACAGATATCTATCTATTTTTTCCCTTGGTCCCTACAACAGGCTTAGAGATGGAGTGCTAGCTAATTGGAATGAGGTCCTTTTCAAGGACCCCAGAAGCTTTGCTCTAAATCCCAATGCTGCCCCAACTTACTGTGTCACTTTGGACTCCTCTTCATGTCAGTTTCCCCATCTGTAAAAACGGGATATTGGAACTTGAAGTTCTTCAGGGGCCTTTCCAGCAGGATGAGTCCTCACTACACCAAGGGTGGGATGGGCATTCGAGTCCTGGGGATTTCCCTCCTCTCCCCAGTGCTGGATCATACGGCCTTCCAGGAGACGCTGGGATGTAAGATACTCTTGGAGGCTGGCTCTGAACTCGGGTGTCTGAATCACAGGGCAAGGGTAGGCGTGGGCTGTGGCTAACAGCCAGAGTCACTTCCCTGGCCTAGCTTGGGGACCTGGGGAGGAGGAGGTAGCTCTGGACACCAGGGTTCTTCCCATTGTGGGAGAGTGAGTGTTTTAGGGGGAGACCTGTCCCCCAGATTAAAGAACTGGGAGCCCTAGCGGATGTGTCTGCGAATGTGTTTCTCGAGCATGGGTCCTCCGACCTGGCCCCCTGCCCATGCTACCATCTACCTAAGTGCCCCGCAGGCTGGGAGCCAACTGCAGAGGGAGCCAGTGACAGTGAGGAGGACGTGTTCCCACCCCGTGTTCTGGACCGAGGGCAGCCACTGTCATTGCCATTCAGCCTTCACAAGTGCTGCATCAACCCAAATGCCCCCTCCAGCTTCTCCATCTCCCTTTATCCCTCAGAATCCCCATGTAATAACCGGATGGGATTAATTAGCTGGCTGCTCTCTCAGCTCAGGGTGTCTGGGGTAGGTAGGGATGGGGGCAATGGAAACGCAGGGTTGGGGAAGGATGTTAAGTTGGAAGTGAAGGGGCAGGGAGGGGGTTTCGTTTGAAAGGAGTATGGGAGCAGGGCAGCCCAGCCTGGGTTTCCACTGGGGAGGGCAGGGCCTGGGCCACTCATAAAGGTCAGTGAGGGGATTAGGAGCCTCCATGTCTAATCCGACAGCTTAACTAGGTCCTGGCCCTGAATCCGTCTCCACCTGCCCAGCCCAGGGACAGCAAATGAGGACGAGGCCCAGACACCACTTCAGCCCCCATTACGGCTTCCCTCTTTACAGGGGTGCCTGGGTTCCCTATTCCAGCCAGTCCCTTGACCACATTCCGTTACAAATAATGGGACATAGAGGCTGGGGAAGGGGAAGGGGAAGGGGCCTCAGAGGAGGGAGGAGTTTAAGAAGGGCAAGGGTGGCTGGGCACGGTGGCTCACGCCTATGGGCACGGTGGCTCACGCCTAGCACTTTGGGAGGCTGAGGCGGGTGGATCACCTGAGGTCAGGAGTTTGAGACCAGCCTGGCCAACATGGCGAAACCCCGTCTCTACTAAAAATACAAAAATTAGCCGGGCATGGTGGTGGGCGCCTATAATCCCAGCTCCTTGGGAGGCTGAGGTAGGAGTATCGCGTCAACCTTGTGGGTGGAGGTTGCAGTGAGCTGAGATCATGCCAGTTCATTCCAGACTGGGCAAAAGAGCAAAACTCTGTCTCAAAAAAAAAAAAAAAAAAAAAAAGGGCAAGAGTATGAGAGGACAAGGGGGACCGTGACGTGAGGGGAGCCAGAGAGGAAAAAAGGCCTCTGAGATGGGAGAAGGAATCAGAGAGGTGGGAGGATGCTGAGGAAAGGGGAGTTGTCTTAGCAGGAGGATGCTTGGGGAAGGGAGGAGTCTTAGGAGGATGCTAAGCTAAAGGAAGGAGTTTGGAGAAATGAGGGAGGAGTCTGAGCGGCAGAAGGTGCCAGGAAGGCCGAGCCTGTGCTTTCACTAAATTTCACCTTCCCCTGTTCCATTCCCCATGACCGATACCAAATAGCATAGCATTTAGAAAAAAGTAAATCTTGGCCAGGCGCGGTGGCTCACGCCTGTAACCCCAGCACTTTGGAGGGCCAAGGTGGGCGGATCATGAGGTCAGGAGTTCGAGACCAGCTTGGCCAACATGGTGAAACGCCCGTCTCTATTAAAAATACAAAAAATAGCCAGGCATGCACCATCATGGTGCAACCCTGTAATCCCAGCTACTCGGGAGGCTGAGGCAGGAGAATTGCTTGAACCCGGGAGGCGGAGGTTGCAGTGAACCGAGATCGCGCAACTGCACTCCAGCTTGGGCGACAGAGCAAGACTCTGTCTCAAAAAAAAAAAAAAAAGAAAAAACGAAGAAGTCTTTTGTTTCACCACTCCACGACTCCGAAGAGGCTGAGGGGGATGGGGAGGGCATAGATGGTGATAAAGAAGGAGTTCGGCGGTAAGAAGGGGCTGAGAGGAGGGGAAATACGCGGAGAAGAAATGCAAAAGAAAAGGAGGCCTAAAGCCGCTCCCGGTTGCATGGCAACCTTTGCGGTCAGAAGCCAGCATGGCCTGCTAGGAGGTGTGGCTTACGGAAACAAGCCAGTTCTAGCCCCGCCTCCTAGCAACAAGACTAACAAAGTACCGCCCCCTAGCAACGTATTATCGGAGGCGGGGCTCGGTTTACCTAGACTCCAAGTGTCCAGGGCCTTTGAGCAGGCGCAGAGGTGGCTGTACCGCGTGGCTCCGCCTCCGCGCGACACTTTTCCGGGGCTTCTCATTGGAGAGCAAGCCTGTCAAGTGCTTTCTGTTGTTTCGGAGGCGGGGCCTGCTGCCCTGCCTGCACTCCGATTGGCCCCGCGGGCCGTCTACCTCTGGCCGGACATACCTACACCGGCTTTTTGTACGACTGTTGGCCCTGGAGAACGATCCTTTGGTGGCGAGGGCGGGGAGGACGAAAGCGCCCACTGTGGATTGGACAGTGTCAAAAAGAGGGGCGGTCCCTACTGAAGGGGCGGTTGGGCGACGAAGGGAAGAGTCTTTTCAGCGCTGAGGACTGGCGCTGAGGAGGCGGCGGTGGCTCCCGGGGCGTTTGAGCGGGCTCACCCGAGCCCGCGGGCCAACGCGGATCCAGGCCCGACTGGCGGGACCGCCCCGGATTCCCCGCGGGCCTTCCTAGCCGCCATGGAGGACGGCGTCTATGGTAGGTCGGGGAGGGGCGGGGTCGGCTGGGAGTTGCTGGAGCGTTTTCTCCTGAACGTTCCGCCGCGAACGTTTCCCCCTGGCGCGCGGCGCCCAGAAGCGTTCGGCTCAGTCGTAGACTTGTCGCGCCGCTTTTGTTGGGCGCTGGACGGGCTTCCGGCGGGGCCCGAAAGCCGGGCGTTCCAGGCCATTGTTTGGGCTGAGCCTGTTTCCGGTGGCGGCGGGAGGGGCGGGATGGAGTGGTGGAGGCGAGGCCGGGGCGGAACCATTCCCGCTGGAGGGGCGGGCGAGCCCAGCGCCTGCCGGGGCCGGGGAGGGGCGCTTGGGTTGCGGGGAGGGGAGAAATCTTGGGGGGCGGGGGCCTTCGATGTCCCGCCCCACCTTCCCAACTCTCCTGAGCTGTCATCAGTTCCCCCGGCTGTAGTGACTTTTCATGGACCCAGTAGTCCGGATAACCAGGTCCCCAGCTACCTCGCCAGTAATGGAGTCAGAAAACCAAGGCCTCAGTCCCCTTCCAAGTAATGGACCTAGAAGCCGAGGCCCCCAGCCCTTTCTTCCCTCAGATCTAAGAGCTCAGGCACCCATTCCCCTTCTCCCTCAGACTCAGGAATCCGGGCCCCAATTCCCCTTGTCCCCCAGGACTCAAGAGTTTAGAGCCCCAGCTCTTTCTCCTCTGCAGGGAGGAATCCAGGCCCCCAGCCCATTCTTCTGTGCAGACATAGGAAGCCCCTTACACATCCTCTCCCAGCTCTGTCCGCCCCCAGATTGCAGGAATTCAGGCTCACGGCCCCTAGCACTGACTTTTAAACCTTGACCCCGATCCCTAGAACCCCCAGACCTGACTCCGGAGGAGCGGATGGAGCTGGAGAACATCCGGCGGCGGAAGCAGGAGCTGCTGGTGGAGATTCAGCGCCTGCGGGAGGAGCTCAGTGAAGCCATGAGCGAGGTGGAGGGGCTGGAGGCCAATGAGGGCAGGTGAGGGCTGGGGCGGATGACCTAGGGGGCGTGGGGTTGGCTGAGGCCAGGGATGCCCAGGCATTGACCCTCCACCCCCAACCCTGCTCTCTGCTCCTGCAGTAAGACCTTGCAACGGAACCGGAAGATGGCAATGGGCAGGAAGAAGTTCAACATGGACCCCAAGAAGGTGCTTGGGGCCACAGGACTGGGATCAGCTGGGCAAACATCCAGGCAGGGGCTTCTGGCACCTCCGGGTTCCAGAAGCGTGATGGTGCCGGGTCTATTCTAGGTGGACAGACTTGGTCCTAATCCCTGGATTCAGATACTGGCTGTCCATTTGTTTTCTGAACACTGAACACTGACCAAGTGTTCCAGCCCTCCTGACTGTTTTGTCCCCTGCCTGGAAGGTCGTCTTCCACTTTCTACTTGTATGGGCGCATTTCTGGTCCCAAGATGAGCTCGAGTCTTGTAGGGGCTGTGGACAAAGTGACATGCACAAAGGAGAGTTGACCTCTCTCCCACAAAGGTGCCGTGACGGAGGAAGGTATCAGGGTAGTGGACCTCTGGAGGAGGCAGGCTGGTGGAGTCAGGGAGGGCTTCCTTGAGGAGGAGACATTCAGGTCGGGTTTGAAGGATGAGTAGGTGTTCACCAGGTGGAGGAAAGGCTTTTGTTCACCTACTCTTTGTGTGTGTGTGTGAGACAGAGTCTTGCTCTATCACCCAGGCTGGAGTGCAGCGATGTGATCTCGGCTCACTAACCTCCGCCTCCTGCGATTCTCCTGCCTCAGCCTCCCAAGTAGCTGGGCTTACAGGCTCCCACCACCATGCCCAGCTAATTTTTGTATTTTTAGTACAGATGGGGTTTCACCATGTTGGCCAGGCTGCTTCCAAACTCCTGACGTCAGGTGATCCGCCCGCCTCAGCCTCCCAAAGTGTTGGGATTACAGGCATGAGCCACCGTGCCTGGCCTGTTCACATACTCATTTAACACCCATTTTCTGAGGCCTCTCAAGAGTCTGATCCTGTGTAGGGCAATGCTGGGGACCCAAAGAAGAATTAGATGCTGCCTTGTGCTCAGAGAGCCCTTGGACACCGATACCACAGTTCACAGTGAGATAAAGCAGTAGTAGAGAGGTCTTCGTAGCACAGAGAGTGAGAGAAACCTCCAGTCTAGCCAGGGCTTCGAGTTCACAGCCCTTGAAGGACTGCGTCTGCTAACAGGTTGTCACGTTATTCTTTCCTGAAGCAATTGGAATTCTGTTCAGTCATTCAACAAACATTGATTGGCTGGGTTCGGTGGCTTATGCCTGTAATCCCAGTGCTTTGAGAGGCCGAGGAGGGAGGATTGCTTGAAGCCAGGAATTTGAGACCAGCCTGGGCAGCATAGTGATAACTCATCTCTAGAAAAAATATAAATAAATAAATTAGCCAGGTGTGTTGGGGCATGCCTATAGTCCCAGCTTCTGAGGAGGCCGAAGTGAGAGGATCCCTTGAGCCCAGCAGTTCGAAGCTGCAATGAGCTGTGATCACGCCACTGCACTCCAGTCTGCAATAGAGCGAGACCAGGTCTCAGAAAAAAGAGAAAATGTACTGAGCACCTGTGCCTTGCCAGACCCTGTTGTTGGTGCTGGAATTAACCAGGCAAAGGCAGAGAGGGTAGGCCATGAAGTGCAAAGGCCATGAGTTGGGAAGAATGCTATTTAAGACCTGTGAGAAGGCTGAAAATGAAACCTGGCCCTGGTCTGTTGAGGGTGGGGGTAGGTCTGGATGCTGAGGTTCCCAGGGAGGTGAGTGGGGTGGCTTTCTGGCCCTCAGCACTGAGACCTTGTCCCCACCCACCAGGGGATCCAGTTCTTGGTGGAGAATGAACTGCTGCAGAACACACCCGAGGAGATCGCCCGCTTCCTGTACAAGGGCGAGGGGCTGAACAAGACAGCCATCGGGGACTACCTGGGGGAGAGGTACGGTCACCACTCAGCTCCTGTGGGGCCCCTCCCTCCCACCCCCCAGACCCAGCTCCTGCCCTCACACTGGCAGCTCACAGGTGGAACAGCCCTGCAGCCTCCCCGCAGAGGGGCCCTGGCAGATCAGCCTTCTGACTGGACTGTGACAGAATGGACTGACATGGGCTAGGGGAGCCTGCGGCCAACCGAGAGCATCTGGGGATGTGGGGCCTTCTGGAATTACCTGGCAGTTGTGGGGAAGCATCCATTTATGTCTGAGAAGGGTAGAGAACATCTCTCAAGGATCATGGGAGCTTGAGAACCGTGGGTAGACCATGGCTGTGCATAGGCACTGGGTGGCCATCTGGGAGCTGTGGGGACCGCTGGGCCCTTGTGGGAGCTTAGGAGTTGTGGGGGTCATTTGGAAGCCTAGGGTGCACAGGACTGGACATCAGATGATTGGAGGCCATCTGTGGACGTCTGGGAATCAGGGATTTATAGAGATCTGGGGTGCTTGGGAAGCATCTCTGGATGTCTGGGGGATGTGGGGGCTGTGTCTGGATACCTGGGGAGCATGGGGATCATTTGAGAGAGGTGACAGTAGGTAGCATACATGTTTGCGGCATTTCTCCCAACTGTACAAAGGTCTGGCCTAAGCAGGGTTCCCAAGCCAGATATTCCTCCCAAGAGTGTGTTCTGAGCATCCCCCACCCTGGGGGCAGGCCTGTGTGGGAGTCCAGCAGGAAACTTCACCCTCGGCAGTGGGCAGCTGTGGTGCAGTAGAGGGGGCACGACTTCCCCAGGGCATTGCCCTTTGCCCATTCCTGCCCCATCCTTTCCAAACTGTATGTGTCTTTGTCCCATCCTTCCAGGGAAGAACTGAACCTGGCAGTGCTCCATGCTTTTGTGGATCTGCATGAGTTCACCGACCTCAATCTGGTGCAGGCCCTCAGGTGAGTGAGGGGGAGGGGTTTGGAACGCCAGGAATGTACCTGTCAGGGCCTTCCTAGTTACAAGTGACAAACCTTACTCAAGAAAAAAACAGAAACAAGCAAAACAGAAACAAAAACTAGGGAACTGAGTGTGTCCTGCACCATAAAAGTTCAGGGTTATGGCCTCCTTCAGGTATGGCTATATCCAGGAGCTCAAATGGTGGTCAGAAAGTCGACTTTCTTTGCCTCTTGTATTTGCCACTGTGTCAGCATTGCTCTCTGCAGACCCGCTTACCTGATAACAAGCCTCAACCAACCCCCAGACCTGTCTAGCGAACTTAGCAGAAAGAGGCTATTTCTGTAGGGATTCACAACACTCCCGTGGCCAATGCCCATTGGTGAGACTGGATCATGTGACCATACCTGAAACAACTGCTGAGGCCGGAAGGTCGGGATTCCTCGTGGACCAGTTCCTAACACAGGGACTGAGAGTGGGGACAGGCTCCCACCAGCCCTGGCATCCATTCCTGGCCCCTCCCCAACCCAGGCAGTTTCTATGGAGCTTTCGCCTACCCGGAGAGGCCCAGAAAATTGACCGGATGATGGAGGCCTTCGCCCAGCGATACTGCCTGTGCAACCCTGGGGTTTTCCAGTCCACAGGTGCGGGCCCCAAATCCTGGGTCCTGGGAAAGAGGAGACTGGGGCCCAGACTCCTAGGTCTGAGGGAGGGAGGGGGCTGGGAGCTGGGAATCCTGGGTCCTGGGGAATGGGGGCACTGGGGACTGACATGCCTGGGTCGTCACCACCTGCCCTGTCCGGTGCAGACACGTGCTATGTGCTGTCCTTCGCCGTCATCATGCTCAACACCAGTCTCCACAATCCCAATGTCCGGGACAAGCCGGGCCTGGAGCGCTTTGTGGCCATGAACCGGGGCATCAACGAGGGCGGGGACCTGCCTGAGGAGCTGCTCAGGGTCAGTCCCCCTTCCCTGCCCCTCAGCCCTGCCCCTCTTCCTGCCACAGACACCCCCGCCCCACCTGTGGTCTCCTAGTGCCCAAGCTGTCTGCCCTCACCCCCAAGATGGTGCGATCATGCCAACTCGTGTGTGATCTTTTTCTCTCTCTCTGGGTGCTTCTCTTCTTGACTGTCTCTCTCAGGCTTTGGCCCTGACAATTTTGGCCTGTCTGTCTTCTCTGTCTCTGGCTGTTGGGCTTTCCGGCCCTCGATTGGCCTCATTCCCCATCTGTCTGTTTCTCTGAGGACGTAGCCGGCTCCTCCACCTATCACCAGGGCATCTCTTCTTTCCTCCGCCACCTCAGCCTCCCTCCACTTCTCTGCCTTTCACTTCCCTCTCCTCCCCACTACCCCTCTCTCTTCCCCACTATGAGTCATCCCATCCCTGGTCTCGCTGCCCCCCACCCTGAGTAACCCTGGGGGGCCCCAGGGGGCTCGAATGGCTAATGCAGCCTTTACTCCTCAGAACCTGTACGACAGCATCCGAAATGAGCCCTTCAAGATTCCTGAGGATGACGGGAATGACCTGACCCACACCTTCTTCAACCCGGACCGGGAGGGCTGGCTCCTGAAGCTGGGTACGTGCCCTCCCGACCCCGCTGGTCCCTCCGCAGGAGGACATTTGTGGGCCTGGGCCCTGGACTCAGCTTCCGCACACACCTGCTGCCTGAACTGAGGCAAATGATTCGACCTCTCTGAACCTCAGTTTTCCACACCCAAAAAATGGGGCTGAAAATAAAATCAGGCCTGTGTGCTGGGCCTGGCCTGTAGTAAGTACTTCCCAACCCCTTCTCTTGACCCACAAATGTTGATGGAGCCCTTCTGTGCCAGGCCCTGAGCTGGGCTGAGGAGGCAGTGAGAGGCAGCTGACATTGTCCTTTCGTGGGAGAAGAGTTCACTCAGGCTTCTTTCCACTGCGTTAACCCAGCCCGAGGGAGCCAAACCCCTGGAATCTATTCCCCTTGGCAAGAACTCCCAGGGTTCCAGGCAGGACTGACCCCGCACTCCGAGGCATCAGGCCCAGAGCACTTGGCTGATCCAGGTGCCATCCTTCCCGAAACACCACCCACAGGCAGAAAAGAGCCAAACAGGCCAGGAAACCTGTCCCAGATTCTGGCTTCCAGCTGTGGAGGGAATAGCCAGGGCTGGTGCAGATGAGTCGGGAAACCCAGCAGAGATGGAGGGGGGAGTCTTCGTCATAACACGTGGCACTGGCACATTCAAGGTCGGTTAGCATGGATCAGACAGGATCGTAGCATGATGAGGGGTTAGCACAAGGACTAGAGTGGTTCTCAGCCCTGGCTGTACATGAGATTTGCCTGGGCAACTCGAAAACTCCGGTGGCTGGGCCATAGACTCCTGAAGTCAGGCTCTCAGGAGCAGAAGGGCCATCAGTCATCGTTTAAGCTCCTCGGGTGCTCCCAATGCATAGTCAAGGTTGAGAGCTACTGGCCTGGAGCCGTGCCTGGTAACAGTAGGTGCCACCTGCGTGTTAGATGTGGTTTATAATGGAGACACGGTGCACAGCTGCTCCAGAGAGACACATCTGGGCAGTTACAGTCCAGCACAGCAGTGGAGGCTTCCCGCGGCAGCAGGAGAGCCCACAGGAAGCTTTCAGCTCAGTGAAGGGAGTCAAGGTCAGGCTTCTTGGAAGGAGGTTGGACAGGGCAGCTTTGGCCTCTGAGTCTTGGGGGCCTCCCCATGTGGAACTGTGCTCTTAAACCAGGGCATCACCACCTCAACAGATGCCAGGGTTTCCTGGTAAATGTAAAATACACAAGTCAGGCAGGGCACAGGGGCCCACCCCTGTAATTTCAGCACTTTGGGAGGACAAGGCAGGAGGATTGTTAGAGGTCAGGAGTTTGAGACCAACCTGGGCAATATAATGATACCCCCCATCTCTACAAAAAATAAAAAAATTAGCCAGGCATGGTGATGTGGGAGGATTGTTTGAGCTCAAGTGGTCGAGGCTTCAGTGAGTCATGGTTGCGCCACTGCAGTCCAGCCTGGGCAACAGAGCGAGACCCCGTCTCTATAAAATAAAACATGCAAATCACTGTCCAGCCAACACCCCAGTCCAGATCCCTGCATTCGATCCAAGGGAGGCAGACTGCTGGGGGAAATTGAGAGTCCTCGAGGTGCCCCTGGCAGTGAGCGGGCCAGAAAGAGAAGCAGGAAGGCGCCAGCATCACGAGGAACTGCTTCCCTCAAAACTGCTGTCAGGCCAGGCACGGTGGCTCAGGCCTGTAATCCCAGCACTTTGGGAGGCTGAGGCAGGCAGATCACTTGAGGTCAGGAGTTTGAGACCAGCCTGGCCAACATGGTGAAACCCCGTCTCTACTAAAAATACAAAAATTAGCCGGGCGTGGTGGCAGGCACCTGTAATCCCAGCTACTTGGGAGGCTGAGGCACAAGAATTGCTTGAACCCAGGAGGTGGAGCTTGCAGTGAGCCGAGATCACACCATTGCAAATCCAGCCTGGACGACAGAGCGAGACAGTCTCAAAAAAACAAAACAAAACAAAAACTGCTCCTGTGAGCAGTAACTTTCCCATTTCCCAGAGGCTCACGCCTCAGTTTGGTTCTGAGCCCCACCTAAGGCTGCCCAGCCCCAGGGACATCTCTGACCAAAGGGCCTCTGTTCCCTTTGTGCCAGTTAGAGGGACCCCTTCCTTAAAAGATGGAAATACAGGAGTGGAGATTGGTGATGGTGGTTGCTACTCCATGCCTAATAAAAGCCATTCTTACTGTCATTGTTTAACCCTGGGCCCACAAGGAAGCCAGCAGCAGGTCATTTTGCCACAGGAAGGTGTAGGCCCGAGTGAGTCTCCAGGCTGGAGTCCAGAGAGTCCAAGAGAGTGCCCTGAGGTCACACAGCCAGTTTGTGCAGGAGCTGAGATGGGCCCTCACACCCACCTCAGACCAAGGGCTGGGGGTTTTGCCTTCTGTCCTGTGGGGGCCTCCTCCAGGGCAGAGGCACTTTTACCATGTCAAGGGAGGATGCTCCTGGCCTAGGACAGACCCTAGGGGGTAGGCTGGGGCCCTGTACCGAAGCAAGGGGTTTTCAAGGCTGCCACCCGGGGCTCATGGCCCTTGGCCTCTCTGGGAGGGAGGAGCCCCGGCCATCCCCACCCTCGTGGATGTAACTGGTTTTCTTCCCTCTCTCTCCCTCCCCTCCTCTCTGCGTCTTTCCCTCTCTCCTGTGTTTGCCTCTCTGTCCTGCCCCTGCGCACCCCTCCCTGTGCCCACCCTGTTTCTGTCGCCTGCGGCTCTTGGGGGTGCTCCATTCTCCCGCCTTCCCTTCTCCTGCACCTGGTCCTGCCTGCTTTCTCGCTGTCTGCCCCAGGAGGTAGGTACACGACCTGTCTTTGTCTCCCATCACTAGACGAGGGGAGGGGGCTGCCCTGGCGCCCTGGCGCCCTGGCCTCCTGCCCACAGGAGGAGGGGGCTGGGGGCTCAGGCTCCTGGGCTGGGACTGACAGACTCAGAAAATGTGGAGCCCCAAGCTGGGGGTGGACGATTCCTGGAGCCCCAACATGCCTGGCCCTGCTTGTCTGTCTCCCCCAACGCAGCGGCTTTGTCTAGGCCCCAGGAGCCCCACCTCTACCGCTCTTGCTCTGCTTCTCACGCCCCTCCCATCTCCCAGAGGCCCTGTCCCCCTGTTGAGCCCAGGCCCCCTCCCACCCCTTCCCTTTCAGGGGGCCGGGTGAAGACGTGGAAGCGGCGCTGGTTTATCCTCACAGACAACTGCCTCTACTACTTTGAGTACACCACGGTGAGCGTGACCCGACCCGGGCTCTGGGGTCCTGGGCGGAGTGGCTGGGAGCCTGGACTCCTGGGGCTGAGGGAGGTGGGGTGGGGTGAGGACTTGGAAGTCTGAGTTCTGTCCACCTTGCTTCTTCAGGACAAGGAGCCCCGAGGAATCATCCCCCTGGAGAATCTGAGCATCCGAGAGGTGGACGACCCCCGGAAACCGGTAAGACCCTCTCTGTACACCTTCCTGCCAGGGCGGGGCCTCCTCTGCCCAGGGCTGGTTCTTACCTGCGCCCTTCCTCTCTCGTCCCCAGAACTGCTTTGAACTTTACATCCCCAACAACAAGGGGCAGCTCATCAAAGCCTGCAAAACTGAGGCGGACGGCCGAGTGGTGGAGGGAAACCACATGGTGTACCGGATCTCGGCCCCCACGCAGGAGGAGAAGGACGAGTGGATCAAGTCCATCCAGTGAGCCTGGACTCCTGGGCCTGATGGAGGAGGGGCTGGGGCCTGGACTCCTGGGTCTGATGGAGGAGGGGCAGGGGCCTGGATGCCTGGGTCTGATGGAGGAGGGGCTGGGGCCTGGACGCCTGGGTCTGACGGAGGAGGGGCTGGGGCCTGGACTCCTGGGTCTGACGGAGGAGGGGCAGGGGCCTGGACACCTGGGTCTGACGGAGGAGGGGCCGGGGGCCTGGACCCCTGGGTCTGACGGAGGAGGGGCCGGGGGCCTGGACTCCTGGGTCTGACGGAGGAGGGGCCGGGGGCCTGGACTCCTGGGTGTGAGGGAGGAGGGGCCGGGGGCCTGGACTCCTGGGTCTGAGGGAGGAGGGGCCGGGGGCCTGGACTGCTGGGTCTGAGGGAGGAGGGGCCGGGGGCCTGGACTCCTGGGTCTGAGGGAGGAGGGGCCGGGGGTCTGAGACTCCTCCTGGGTATGAGGGAGGAGGGGCTGGAGGCCTGGACTCCTTGGCCCTCATCCTGGGACCCCTCCCCTTCTGCAGGGCGGCTGTGAGTGTGGACCCCTTCTATGAGATGCTGGCAGCGAGAAAGAAGCGGATTTCAGTCAAGAAGAAGCAGGAGCAGCCCTGACCCCCTGCCCCCAACTCCATTATTTATTACGGAGCTGCCCCGCCTGGGTGGCCGGACCCCTGGGCCTTGGGGCTGTGGATCCTGGTTCCCTGTTTGGAAAATTCACCACCTCTAGCTCCTCACTGTTCTTTGTAATTAACACGCTGTTGGTAATCTTATTAATTATTTAACCACTTGGCCTGCTGACCCCCTCATTTCTTGGGGTTGACAGAGTCGAGGTGCTCCGTGGAGCCAGCCTGTTTCCCTGGACAGGGGCCTGGACCCGCCTGTCTCTGGGTGCTGCCTGGGCTGTCCCGGTGGGTCTGTTCTGGTTTCACCCCGAGCCCAGCAGGAGTGGAGTAAAGGGAGAAGGTTAATATGGTGGGAGTCTGGAGTTGGAATTGGCCGGGGACAGAGTTTAGAATGCAGGGATTCAGGGTCAAGGTCTAGCATTCATTCTAGAAGTTACTTGACAGCCATCAGCCAGTTACGCTACAGCCATCAGCTAGTTCCCATCGTTGCTTTCATGGGGCTTGAGGTCTTTGAGGGGCAGGAGATGAAGCTGGTGAGGTTGTGAGCTGGGCCAGGGCTTTGAGGACAACCTGGAGCTGGAAGAACATGCGACCACCTCAGGGAGGGTCAGGGAAGGATGAGTGGGGAGGTGGCCCATGTCCTGCAAGGGCCTTGCTGATGGGATGTCCTGAAGGGCTGGGCAGCCTTAGATCGGGCTAAGAGGGCAGGACTGTGGGCCAGTGCCAGAGCCAGGCTTGTCTGTTCTCAAAGGATCAGCCTCCTTTGGAGGACATTTTGTGTCAAGGATAGGGCTGAGGACCTGCGTTCTGAACGTCTTTCCTGGGATTCTTGACAGCCAAAGAAATTCGAGGATCGCCTCTATGAAGGTGAAGTCTTGGCATGTGGGGTACCCCTGAATCCTGGGCTAAGGTCTGTGACCTTTTGCCCTCCAGTTGGGGTATGTGTGGTGTCCCCAAAGAACAAGGGCTCGTGGATCCCGAGCAGGGTGCGATGGCGGATTGGGAGGTCCCATGTCACTCTCCCATGCCCGCCTTTGAAGCTGAGGCGCTCTTTAGTTAACAAACTACAAGTCCCAGCAGGGACCGGGACGCGGGTGGGAGAGGCGCCTGTGGCCCCGAGGCGTGCCGCGAGTTGTAGTCCCTCCTGCCCGCTGTGTTCGCTTTTGAGCTCTCCGATGGGATGCGGCGCTTCGGAATTTCGGGCTTTGATCCCTGTCCCGCCCTTGGCCACAGGCACCTGCCGGCCTGAAGGCCCCCGCGGTGGGGGTACCCTGCGCCCCTCCGCGGGAAGGTGGACTACAGTTATCGGCAGGCTGTGCGGCGCCAAAGCCACGGTGACCCAGACCCGAGGTTTTTCCGGGCGTCGCAGTTTCCCGAGACTCCGTGGCGGCGTTTGTCTTCTTTTTCTTAGTCAGATCCCGTACTTTTGTGGAGGGTAGAGGAGGCTTTGACCGCCGCGGCCCCGGGGGCTGGTGGGAAATGGAGTTCCAAATGAGAAAATAGAATTCCCCACTTCTCTTTCCCACAGGTGCCAGGGAAACGGAGTCATCGACCCAAGAAGGTCGTGGGAGATGAGGTCCCAGGGTAAACAGCGGGTCCCGCCACTATGTCACCCTTTCCTGCCGCCTCCCCGGATGAACTGCATGCAGGGCGGCCGGCTCCGTGGCAGGCAGAGGCAGGAAGAGGCGCGGAGCCCGCTGGTGGCGAAGAGGGGAGTGCGGCGGGAGGGGAGGGCAGAGGCAGGCGGCCGGTCGCGTGGGGCCTGGGCCGCCCCAGGAGGGCCTCTGGCTGGATTCTTAGCAGATGGAAGCCGTGCAAGGGCAGGAGGCAGGGGCCTGACGTGTTTGGATTGAGGTTGCAGGAGGGGCCCCTGGCTGCTTCAGGGAGAATAATTTGGAGGCGAGCGGGGAGGTGAGAGGAAGCTGTGCGGTGCAGGATGGCGTGGCTGTGGAGGTGGAGAACGTTGGGCCACGCTAGGAGTCTTGAAAGAGGAGCCAAAAGGACTTGCTGAGAGCCGCCGCAGCTGGTGAATGACGGTGCCATGACTGAGGTGGTCGAAAGGGAGTATTTAAGGGGAAATCAGGCATTCCGTTTTGACCAAATTAAGCTGGAGATGCCTGTGGAACATTCCAGCCAGGCTGCATCACGTCACACTGACCTTCAGCATTGCCCACAGTCCATCTTCCCCCAGGACCTGAGGATTTTGCGTCCGGCTCCCTCCTCGCCCAGGACCCCCAAGCTCCCAGCACGCTTCTGATTTTTTTTGTAGGTTTTTTTTTTTGTTTTTTGTTTTGTTTTGTTTTGTTTTTGAGAGGGAGTCTCACTTTGTGCCCTAGACTGGAGTGCAATGGCGCCATCTCGGCTTACTGCAACCTCCACCTCCCAGGTGCAAGCGATTCCCCTGCCTCAGCTTCCCGAGTAGCTGGGATTACAGATGTGAGCCACCGTACCCAGCTAATTTTTGTATTTTTAGTAGAGACGGGGTTTCACCATATTGGCCAAGCTGGTCTCGAACTCCTGACCTCAGGCGATCCATCTGTCTCAGCCTCCCAAAGTGCTGGGATTACAGGTGTGAGCCACCGCGCCAGGCCTCAGCCCACTTCTTTTGGGTGGCAATGGTTTGGATATCGTTTGTCCTCACTAAAATTCATGTTGAGATTCGAGCCCCAGTGTGGCAGGTGTTGGGATGTGGGGCCTCATAAGGAGCTGTGTGGTCTTGGAGGTGGAGTCCTCATGGATAGATTAATGCCTGCCTTAAGGGGTGAGTGAGTGCTCACCCTTGGGAATTTGGGAATTTGGTTTTCTCTCCCTTGCTTCCTTCAGCACCATGTGATCTCTGTGCACACAGCTGCATCCTTCTGCCCTCCCCCAGAAGCAGCAGCAGCCTCAGGGATGAGGGAGGTCCTCAGTGAGTGCACCTGCCCAGTCTTGAACCTTCCAGCCATCAGAATCTGAGCCAAATCAACCTCTTCCTTTATAAAGACCCAGCCTCAGGTCTTCTGTCAGAGCAACACAAAATGGACTCAGCACGGATCAAATTGTGTCTCCCCCACCCCCACAAAAAACTTTATATTAAAATCCTAACCCCCAGCATCTCAGAATGTGATCTGATTAGGAAATAAGGTCATTGCAGATATAATTAGTTCAGATGAGGTCATTCATGTGGGCCCTAATCCAATAGGATGTGTGTCTTATAAAAGTTTGTACAGAGACCCAGACACACAGAAATGACACCATGTGGAGGTGAAGGCAGAGATTGGGGTGACGCCTCTACAAACCGAGGAAAACCAAAGCTGCCGGCACACCCTCAGAAGCCAGAGACCGGGGACTCATCCTCCCTCACAGCCTCAGGAGCAGCCAGGGCTGACACCCTCATCTCAGACTTCTGACCTCCAGCACTGGGAGACCTTCAGTTTTTGTGATTTAAGCCACTAATTTTGAGGTACTTTGTTATGTCAGCCCTAGATAACTAACCACTCCTCCCTCAGACCCAGGAGTCCAGGCCCAGCCCCTTCTTCCCTCAGACCCAGGAGTTGGGGACCCCGGCCCCTCCTCCCTCAGACCCAGAAGTCCAGGCCCCAGCCCTTCCTCCCTCAGACCCAGGAGTCCAGGCCCCCATCCCCTCCTCCCTCAGACCCAGGAGTCCAGGCCCCCATCTCCTCCTCCCTGAGACCCAGGAGTCCAGACCCCCATCCCCTCCTCCCTCAGACCCAGGAGTCCAGGCCCCCATCCCCTCCTCCCTCAGACCCAGGAGTCCAGGCCCCCATCTCCTCCTCCTTGAGACCCAGGAGTCCAGACCCCCATCCCCTCCTCCCTCAGACCCGGGAGTCCAGGCCCCCATCCCCTCCTCCCTCAGACCCGGGAGTCCAGGCCCCCATCCCCTCCTCCCTCAGACCCGGGAGTCCAGGCCCCCAGCCCCTCCTCCCTCAGACCCGGGAGTCCAGGCCCCCAGCCCCTCCTCCCTCAGACCCGGGAGTCCAGGCCCCCAGCCCCTCCTCCCTCAGACCCGGGAGTCCAGGCCCCCAGCCCCTCCTCCCTCAGACCCGGGAGTCCAGGCCCCCAGCCCCTCCTCCCTCAGACCCGGGAGTCCAGGCTTCAGCCCCTCCTCCCTCACACCCGGGAGTCCAGGCCCCCAGCCCCTCCTCCCTGAGACCCAGGAGTCCAGGCCCCCAGCCCCTCCTCCCTCAGACCCAGGAGTCTAGGCCCTGGTCTTTCCTCCCTAAGGCCCAGGAGTCCAGGCCCCCAGCCCCTCCTCCCTCAGATCCAGGAGTTCAGGCCCAGCCCCCTCCTCCCTCAGACCCAGAAGTCCTGCCCCCAGTCACCAGCCCTTCCTCCCTCAGACCCAGAAAGTCCAGCTCTCACCTTCCCCCCGCTGCCTTGGTTCATGCAGCACCCACCCACCCTGTGGCAGGTGTCTCAGGATCACTTCAAGCACCACCAAGTCTCCCAGCAGGACTTATTGGGAAGAAGCTAAAACCTTATCCTCTCTCTCCCTTTCCCCAATCCCCCAGGACTCACATGTGACCCTAATGCCGCCATCACCTTAACTCCGAGGCCAGAGTCTACACTACAGCCTCCCTAACAGAGGGAAGGGGCTGGGTTCCCACCCCTTGCTCCTTCCCTCTCCCCGCATCCAGACTACATCCCGCAAATACACCAGTGAACCTGGTACCAAGGTGATGGGGGACAGGTCAAGGCCAAGAGATCAGAGCCACAAAGACAAACCCGGTCAGAGGGAAAAAGACAGAGTCAAAACAGAATCCGGGAGAAACCGAGAACAAGAAATAGAGACAGCCTGGCGTGGTGGCTCACGCCTGTAATCCCAACACTTTGGGAGGCCAAGGCAGGCAGATCACTTGAGGTCATGAGTTCGAGATCAGCCTGGCCAACATGGTGTAACCCCGTCTCTACTAAAAATATAAAAATTACCTGGGCCTGGAGGCAGGCACCTGTCATTCCAGCTACTTGGGAGGCTGAGGCAGGAGAATCACTTGAACCCAGGAGGACTGCAGTGAGCCAAGATCGCCCCACTGCACTCCAGCCTGGGTAACAGACTGAGACTCCGTCTCATAAAAAAAAGGAAATAGAGACAAAAGCACAAGGCAGAAGGACATAATCGAGACAGGAGGAGGTGACAGGGAGACACAGACAAGGAGAAAAATGTGGAGGCAGGGAGGAACTCGAGACAAAAACATCGAAATAGAATTAGACAGGGAGGAGGAGGCCAAGAGCAAGAGACTCAGATGGGGAGACAGGAAAACTCCAGATCAGTTGGAGACCAAAACTGGGGCAGGGTGAGACAGGGAGCCAGAATGTTGGAAATGAGAGAGAGCCACACAGATAGGTGCGGTTAGGGTAAAGACAAGGGATGAGAATGTCAGCGAGGTGGGCGGTCGCATGGAAAAACAGGTAAACTGAGGCAGCACCACGCTGGGTGGGGAGGTAGACCCTGAACTTCAAGGAACAGGCAGTGCCGACCTGAGGTGGGTGGGATGTGATCGTGATCCAGTGTGGGCATGAGCAGCTCATTTCTGAGCCCCTGCCCCACTAGCCCCTGGCCCTGGGATAGCGTCTGGCCACCACCGCGGGCCACCTTGCAGAAACGTGGCTCTGACCGCAGCCTGCACCTTCCCACCCAACCCCAGTGGGCTCCTTATGGTTTTTTGTTTGTTTGTTTTTTGTTTTTTTTTTTTGAGATGGAGTCTCACTCTGTCGCCCAGGCTGGAATGCAGTGGCACGATCTTGGCTCACTGCAACCTCCGTCTCCTGGGTTCGAGCGATTCTCTTGCTTCATCCTTATGGCCTCTTGAGCCAGCAGTGCTGCTGCTGCAGCGGCCAAGGTTGGGCGATGCAAACCCCAGGCGCAGAGCCGGGATCTGGAGAAGCAGAGAAGCCGGGCCTCCGCCACTGTGCGGGAGTTTCCGCTTCTCTGAGCATCCGATGTCCCATCTGCCATGCGGGCCAGGCTGTGAGGATGGGACTTCTCAGGGTCGCACTCGCTCCCTGCATCCTCCCCTCCTCACCTCGCGAAATACGCACAGGCCCCGTGTTCCTCCAAAAAGTTGTTTTTGTCTTTTTTAAATAATGTGAAAATGCCACGCGAAGGTTTGAACCAGAGGCCCCTCCAGGGGCCGGGCTGGGGAGGGAAAGGGGAGACGCGAAATGGGGGGTCCGGGTCCCCGAAGCCTGCGGCCCCTGTCTTGGGCCAGGAGTGGGTGAGGAGGGACCTCCGCTGTGTCGAGGGGCTCCAGGCCCAAAAGAGTTCAGTTCAGTTCCGAGAAAGGCGGCTCTCTATGGAGGGGCGGGGGGATTCCTGCCTCATTTGGCTCCGAGGGGGTCAGGGGGGTCAGGGGAGCCATCTGGGGGGCTGGGGGGCGGGGGCCCGGGGCCTCCCGTTTGGCACATGGTAGGGGAGTGGGAGGGGGAGGGCCCAGCCTCGGGGGCCTCCCCAGAGGCGGCGTCTGCGGTGGTGGCAGTGGCGCCGTCATCCACAGAGGATTCCATTCTCAACCCCTCTTCTGAGGGTGCAGCGGGGTCGGGTCTTCGGGGAATCAATTCTCCACGGGGCCTGAGGATGGACAGAGGAGACAGAGAAATGAAATTACTAGGGGGACAGCCTCATGGCTTCTAGGTCACTCAGCGGAAAAGCAAAGCCCTCACCCACCATGGCCCAAAAGATCTGCTCTGTTCCCTCTCTGTCCTCACCTACCCCTCTTCTCCCCTCTGCTCCAGCCACTGGGCCTCCTGCTGTTCCTCCAGTGCTCCCAGCACGGTCCGACCCCTGGGTCTTTGCACATGCTGTTCCCGCTGCCTGGAACATTCTTCCTTTTTTTTTTTTTTTTTTTTTTTTTTTTTTGAGACGGAGTCTCGCTCTGTCGCCCAGGCTGGAGTGCAGTGGCGCGATCTCGGCTCACTGCAAGCTCCGCCTCCCGGGTTCACGCCATTCTCCTGCCTCAGCCTCCCAAGTAGCTGGGACTACAGGCGCCCGCCACTACGCCCGGCTAATTTTTTGTATTTTTAGTAGAGACGGGGTTTCACCGTTTTAGCCGGGATGGTCTCGACCTCCTGACCTCGTGATCCACCCGCCTCGGCCTCCCAAAGTGCTGGGATTACAGGCGTGAGCCACCGCGCCCGGCCTTTTGGAACATTCTTCCTACGTGACTCAGGCCCCACCTGCAACGTCCCCTCCACAGAGTCCTTCCCCAACCATACTGAATCAAGCAGTCACCCCTGCACGCTCATCTTTCTCACTCATTTCCCTCTGACTGGTTTGCATTTGTCACTCTGGGATGACCCTGTCCTTGGTTTTGTTGTTGTTGTTGCTGCTTTGTTTTGAGATGGAGTCTTGCTCTGTTGCCCAGACTGGAGTGCAGTGGCATGATCTCAGCTCACTGCAAACTCTGCCTCCTGGGTTCACGCCATTCTCCTGCCTCAGCTTCCCGAGTAGCTGGGACTACAGGTGCCCACGACTACGCCCGGCTAATTTTTTGTAGTTTTAGTAGAGACGGGTTTTTACTGTGTTAGCCAGGATGGTCTCAATCTCCCAACCTCGTGATCCACCCACCTCAGCCTCCCAAAGTGCTAGGATTACAGGCGTGAGCCACTGAGCCCGGCCGAACCTGTCCTTGTTTGTTTTTTGGGGGGGTTTTGCTTGTTTGTTTTGAGATGGAGTCTCACTCTGTTGCCCAGGCTGGCATGCAGTGGCGCAATCTTGACTTGCTGAAACCTTCGCCTCCTGGATTCAAGCAATTCTCCTGCTTCAGCTTCCTGAGTAGCTGGGATTGCAGGTGCCTGCCACCACACCCGGCTATTTTTTTTTTTTTTTTTTTTTAAGACAGAGTCTTATTCTGTCGCCCAGGCTGGAGTACAGTGGCACGATCTTGGCTCAATGCAACCTCCACCTCCCAGGTTCAAGCAATTCTCCTGCCTCAGCCTCCCAAGTAGCTGAGATTACAGAGGTGTGCCACCACACCCAGCTAATTTTTGTATTTTTAGGAGAGATGGGGTTTCACCATATTGGCCAAGCTGGTCTCGAACTCCTGACCTTGTGATCCACCTGCCTCGGCCTCCCAAAGTACTGGGATTACAAGTGTGAGCCACGCGCCCAGCCCACCTGGCTAATTTTTGTATTTTTCATACAGACGGGGTTTCACCATGTTGGCCGGCTGGTCTCGAACTCCTGACCTCAAATGATCTGCCCGCCTTGGTCTCACAAAGTGCTGGAATTACAGGTGTGAGCCACCATGCCTGGCCTACCCTGTCCTTGTGGAAAAGCTTCCTGTCTGCTTGTTCCTATAAAATGTAAGCTCAATGATGACAGGAGCTGCGGTCACTGCTGTGTCCCCAGCATCCCGTCTGGCACAAAGCACACCTTTTCCCTGTGGAAAGAGCTCTCCCCAGGAACTCCGACCAAACTTTCCTATGACTCTAGCTCTGACTTCCCTGGGCGAGCAGAATGAAAGCCCCATCCATTGTACAGACCAGAAAGCTAAGGTCCAGGAGGTGCAGGTTCTCGTTGGGGGCCTCATATCAGGCTCCCTCATGCTCCACCCTGTACTTTGTACCTGGGAGGCCTGGGTCAAGTCACTGCCCTCACTCCCAGTCCCTGAGCTTGAGTTTCGCTCTTTTAATGGGAAGCATGACCTTCATGCTTCATGGAGACTTTGGGGTATGTGGCATCTCTTGGTACCCAGTAAATGTTTGCTAAGTGGACAGAGCCACATTGAGCAGGGCAGAGGAGAGGACCCGCCTCAGGCCCCCACACCATGGTCTTGGGAGCCAGACAGGCTCAGCAGCTCGCAGCCCACGCTGCCGCAGGAATATTTGTCAACTGAGCGAAAGGATTTGGGGTTTGGCACAATTGCACCCTCCGTCTCCTCTCCTGGTGATTAAAGGTGAAGCCATTCTCGCTTGCCAGCCCTGCCAGCTCAGCCCTGACTCACCACTTGGCAGTGTCCCCATACCCTGGAATGCACCCCCACCCTGTCCTCACAGAGGCCCTGCGATGATGGCCTAAGGGAGAAAGTGACATTCAGAGTGAAGCCTGAGGATGCAGCCAAGTGAAGGAAGAGTCAGCCCCCAGACCTGTCCCACCTGCCCTTGACTCTCTGCCCTGTCCAACCTCTCCATTCCCACAGCCCTGGCTCACTATCCTCTCCTCAGCCTTTCCCCAGCCTCCCAGCTCCCACTCTTGCCCTTCTGCCCCCAAGAGACCCCAGAGCAGTCTTCCTACACCCAACATTGACTTCCCTCCCTTGCTTATAGTCGTCCGTGGCTCCCTGGCACCCCCAGGACAAAGTCCCAGCTCCTCAGTGCACCCCCTGCCATCTCTCCTCAGCCCTCCATGCACTCTAAGTAACCCTGAAGCCACACCAGTGTCCTTCTGTTCCTTGAGCGGGCCAAGCTCTCTCCTGCCTCAGGCCCTGTGTGCAAGCTGTCCCCTCTGCCAGCACGCCATCCCCTTCCCCTTCACCTAGTTAATGACAACCAACCCTTCCAGTTCCCAGTTAAATTACACTTTTTTTTTTTTTTTTTTGAGATGGAGTTTTGCTCTTGTTGCCCAGGCTGGAGTGCAATGGCTTGATCTCGGCTCACCGCAACCTCCACCTCCCAGGTTTAAGCGATTCTCCTGCCTCACCCTCCCAAGTAGCTGGGATTACAGGCATGCGCCACCATACCCAACTAATTTTGTACTTTTAGTAGAGACAGGGTTTCTCCATGTTGGTCAGGCTGGTCTTGAACTCCTGACCTCAGGTGATCTGCCTGCCTTGGCCTCCCAAAGTGCTGGGCTTACAGGCGTAAGCCACTGTGCCTGGCCTTAAATGACACTTCTAAGGGGAAAACAAAGCCCTTTCCTCTTGTCATCTGCTTTCTCTGCAAGCCTGAGTTTGCAGTTCTTCATTTGTCATAGCAGTGTGTGGTCAGTGTCTGCGGGGAGGGCCAGGCAGGCTCACCCGTCTTGCTCCACATTGAATCCCCTGTGCCCAGCATGGCGCCTGCACGCAGAAGATGATCAGAAAACATTGACTTAATTAAGTGCAGTAATAGCTAATAATAATAATAATAGCTAATGGGGCCGGGCATGGTGGCTCATGCCTGTAATCCCAGCTGGGAGGCCAAGGCGGGCAGATCGCCTGAGGTCTGGAGTTCAAGACCAGCCTGTCCAACATGGTGAAACCCCGTCTCTACTAAAAATACAAAAGTTAGCCAGGTGTGGTGGTGGGTGCCTGTAATTCCAGCTACTCAGGAGGCTGAGGCAGGAGAATCGCTTGAACCCGGGAGGTGGAGGTTGCAATGAGCCGAGATCACACCATTGCACTTCGGCTTGGGCGACGAGCAAAACTCCGTCTCAAAAATACTAACTAACTAAATAATAATAATAGCTAATGGTTAGAGACTGCTGCTGCACAGGCGCTGTGCTGCATACTCGGGAGGATTAAGCCATTTAATTCCCTCAGCAATCTCATGAGTTAGATCCTGTTATCATTCCCACTCTACAGATGAGGGAACTGAAGCACAGAGAGGGAAAGCGACTTGCCCCAGGTCACACAGCTAAGAAATGGCAGGGACAATATCTGGACTCAGGCAAGATTGGGGAAGTAGGAGTGAAACCCTCCAGTGGCGTCTTCTACCTTAGCTCTGATACCGGGGAGCACCACCTGTCCTGCCGAGCTGGGCACAAGCCCTGGGTCCTGGGGGTGTTCCCTGGCTCGGCAGCAGAGGGCAGCAGAGAGCCCAGTCCCGTTCCAGTCCTGCGCTGGGACCTGCCCGTGTGCCCTGCTCTCCCAGAGTGGCCTTAGCATCGCTAAAAGTTGGAAACTAGGGGCGGCATGACCCCTCTCCCAAGGTGGCCACGAGGATTAGCGATATGGCGCATGTGAAACGCCAGGAAAGAAACCTGACCAATGTTCACTACTGGAGAGGGCACAGACTCAGAGGCCGCGCAACTGTGGGTTTGAATCCCAGCTCCTCACTTCTCTCCGTGCCTCAGTGTTCTCTTTTGTAAAATTGGGACCAGACTGGCCAGGCCCGGTGGCTCACGCCTGTAATCCCAGCACTTTGGGAGGCCGAGGTGGGTGGATCATTCCAGGTCAGGAGTTGGAGACCAGCCTGGCCAACATGGTGAAACCCTGTCTGTAGTAAAAATACAAAAAAAGTAGCTGGGCGTGGTGGTGCACTCCTGTGAACCCAGCTACTTGGGCGGCTGAGACACGAGAATCGTTTGAACCCAGGAGGCAGAGGTTGCACTGAGCGTAGATTCCACCACTCCCTCCAGCCTGGGCGACAGAGCGAGACTCCGTCTCAAAAAAAAAAAAAAAAAAAAAAAAATGAGGACGAGGCTAGAATCCACCCCATGGGATCGCAATGAACATTAAATGGGTTAAACTGTGGTGAGGCACTGCAGGGTCCACGCGAGAGCAGCGGTGCCGCTGTGACTGCTCTCTAACCCCCAGCTGTGTCCTCCCTGCTCTGGTTCACACCAACCGGCTTTGAGCACTCTGGGTTTCTCTCTCCTTGTCTGCCCCTGAGCACCGTGTTCCCCAAACGGAGGTGGGATCAGGATCCGGCAAGTGCCAGGCCGGAGTCTGAGCCCAGAGATGGGACAAAGATGGGCAAGAGTCGGGGGTGGGGGTAATCCCCACAGAAGGTAAAA